>NC_000016.10:80130682-80755682 GCF_000001405.40 Homo sapiens | reverse complement strand
CTTTGTAACTCTGTGATGAGCATTTTGTATTTTTCTCTATCTCAGGTACTTAGGATAAGTTTCTGAGGATAAGTATCTCAAATGTTTGCTTGGGATAAGTTTCTAGAAGCAAAATGAGCAGGTCAAAGGGTAAGGATGTTTTCTAGGCTTTTGATAGATTTGGCCAGATTCTTTATTGGCCCTGTGAACCATTAGGGAAGCTATGCCATTTCTTGGCTGTAGGTATTCAGAGTTGTTTTCCACAGGATGTCAGGTCTCTCTGCAGATAAACTGTGAAGTGCCGAGTATGGGCTCTGGTTCTCCACTGATTTCTGTTTTTCCTGAGGGGGACTCTTAGGTGAGGGAGCAAGGAAGCCCTTCCAATTCACCTTACATGGATTCAAGATGTCCAGACTCCTTGGTAATTAAAGGCTAAGATTCAGGTTTCCTCCATTCTCCAAACACAGCCTCTTAGAGTCCCTACTGCCACATAGGAGAAATTTACATTTGCTGAGTAACCAGGATGGACATGTCACATACTTTGTCATCTTAAAATATATGTGTGCATTAAATAGGATGTGGATGAGGAAACCAAGGCTGTGAGAGGGGAGGTGAGGGCTGAAGTCCAAGGTCAGCGGCTGGTTGAGGATTTAAGCACAAGTCTATTTGGCTCCCAAGCACCTGCTTTTTCCCTTCAGCTGAAGGGCAGGCTTTGTTGGTGGGTGACTGCCCAAGTTCCAGAAGTGAAATCCTAATGATATTTCCCCTCGTAAATCATGGGGGCATCTCATTGAAACAGCAAATGTCTACCTTCCCATCTGATACCCTGCTCCCTTCCCTGATACAGGAGGCTCCCCTGGGAGCCCTTTGATTTCCCAGTTTATTAATTTTTTAGAAAGAAAGAGAGCCAAACCCCATCACACTCCCTTTGCAACTCTAAAAGCTCAAACTAATAACTTATTGAGCTCATGCTCTATGCCAGGTGTGCTATGTGTATTCCCTCACGGAATCCTCCCTGATGTGGAGTTAGTACCATCTGCATTTTACTGATAAGGGAAGTAAGGCTTACAACAGCTAAGTGACTTGTCCAGAGTCACAGCACTGAGAAGCTGTGGAGCCAGGAGGGTGGACGCTAGACTGCCTTCATCTACAGTATTACTCTTGACCACGTGAGGCCACAGTTTATGGAGCATAATGGGTCTGACGGTTCTCGGATTCTGGTATATTTTCCAAACTCCGGAAAGTTCCTCTGCAGAAATTCCTGTTTTGTAATAGCAACATCTCCTAATTTATGATGTTAGGGTGGCCTTTGCTTGTGGCTTAATCTCTGTTTGTTCCAAATCCTAGATTCTTGTCCACCCAGCCCCCAGAAAGCCATATATTCTGGATATCTCTCCTTGGGCTCTGTCCACCTGTTGGTTGTAGCTCCTCTTTCCAGGTGAACCATGATATTTTCACCTCCTTTGCTGATGTGTCACTGGTTGGCAAGGATTGATTAGTTTGTCTCTCTAACCAAGCATCTCAGTCCCCTTCCCTGTGCACAGTGGCGGCTCTTGGGCACACGTTGCAAAGTAGGATTGTGTTGAGCTTGTAAAATAGGGATTAAAATTTACACTTCCTTCAAAGGATTATTGTGAGGATTAAATAAGATGATGCATAGAATGTTCTCAGCATAGGGCCTTATGTACAGTAAGGCATGCTTCCATCATTTTGCAGCTCATTCTCCTGTGTTTCCTGCATCTGTTCTTCCCACAAACCTGGTTTTTTACCCTGGCTTTTGACAAAGTGGATTATATATTTTGGAAACAAATCCTTTGTAAGAAATATGTATCATAAATATCTTCTCACAATCTGTGTCTTTTTTTATTCTTTTAATTGTGTCTTTCGATAAGCAGACATTCGTCATTTTAATGGAGTCTAGTTTATCTGTCTTTTCCTTTATGTTCAGTACTTTTTGGAGTCCTGGTTTAAGAAGAGATTTTCTATCTGAAGGTCATGAAGGCACTTTGCCATGTTACCTTCTGGAAGATTTATTGTTTTGTATATTGTGTTTAGAGAGGTGATGGATCTGGAATTGATTTTTTTTTCTTTTTTTGAGATGGAGTTTTGCTCTCATTGCCCAGGCTGTAGTACAATGGCACGATCTTGGCTCATCACAACCTTCACCTCCCCAGTTCAAGTGATTCTCCTGCCTCAGCCTCCTGAGTAGCTGGGATTACAGGCATGCGCCACCACGCCTGGCTAATTTTGTATTTTTATTAGAGATGGGGTTTCTCCATGTTGGTCAGGCTGGTCTCGAACTCCCGACTTCAGGTGATCCGCCCACCTCGCCCTACCAAAATGCTGGGGTTACAGGTGTGAGCCACCGTGCCCGGCCTGGAATTGATTTTTTTAATACATGGTGTGAGGTGTAGGAGTCAAGATTAAATTTTTTTTTTTTTTTAAGTTGGGAATTTACCATTTCTCGGAAAGGCCATTCTTTCCTTACTACATTGTCCTCTTTCTAATAAATTATTGACCATTTATGTGTGTTTCTGTTTCTTTGACTTGGTAAAGAAAAGTGTAAATTACAATTTTACCACTTCTCAGACCTTAGGAAACTTTGACTGCATTACACCATTTTTTCCCTTTTGTGTTAATGTTGTCATGCATTTTAATTCTTAATTTATTTTGAAGGCCACATGTCATTATTACTAATTATTTAGCACAACAAATGTTCATTTAAATCAACTCACATATTCTTTCTGTTGCCCCTCATCCTTTCTTGCATTTCAGCTTTCAATATGGGATAGATTTCCTTCTTCCTGAGGAATTCCCTCTGGTTTTGTCACATTTGTGTGCTGCACTAGCTTCTGAGAGTTGATTGTGCACATCTTGTTCCATCTCTACATTCAGTGATGTCACACTGGCAGCTGACATCAGCCACAGCGGGAGTATTTACACCACAGAAATCAGCAAACACTGACAGAGCTTTCCCGCTTTGTTAAACATTTATCAGTACACCACTGGTTGGTGACAAATTCACTCCCTTGTTGTGTGTTCATTTTATAAGGATATTTCCATAGGGCAAATAATTCTGAGTGGCATTTGTTGTATTTTAGCTCTTCTGTTGGTTTTATTGAGGACCCAGCTGTCAGTTTTATTGTTGTTCCTCCTGCTTCCTTTTCTAAAGATAATGTGACTTTTTTTCTTATCTGGGTACTTTTCAGAATTTATCTTTGTCTTTGCTTTTATGAAGTTTTATTATGGTGTTTCTAGGTACCATTTAATTTATTCTGCTTGGGATTTTGTGACTCGATGTTCTTTTAAGGAAATTCTTGGTAATTGTTTTTTTCACAGAGTGCTTTTACTCTGTTCTTTCTTTATTCCTCTTCTAGGACACCAGTCAGACAGACACAGACTTTCCCACCAGGTCTCCATGCCTCTTATGTTCTTTTTCATATTTATCTGCGGTTTTCTCCTTGTTGCTGTCTGGATGTTGTCTTCTAACCTATCATTCATTTTACTAATTCTATTTGTGTTTTATATGCTGTTAAACTTATCTATTGAGTTCTTAATTCCAGTTACTATGTTTTTTTGGTTTTAGATTAATTTCGCTTTGCTAAAATTGTCCACATGGTTATCTATTTCACAGTTATTTTAAAGGTTATATTTGACAATTCTAGTATTTATATCTTCTGTGGATTTATTTTGACACTTGGTCCTGCTTCTTGGTGTGCCTGGTAATTTACGGTTGAATTTCAGGCCATGGGTGGTTGTTTCCTTCTACAAAGAGTATTCACTCAGCCCATCTCCTGAGAAAATTTATCCTGTCCTCCAGTAGGCAAAGAAGAGGCAGATCACTTTCAGTTCAATCAGAGACGGAAGCCGGTTTTCAGTCTTTGTAAGGTTCAGCTATCTCTGATTATCCCTCTCTTCCTAAGTGAAAGACTTGAGTATTTACTTTTGCCTGGGCAGGTCCTGAGTTCCAAAATTCATTTCCTCAGCACTTTGAACCTTCTGAAAAGTAAGCTCAGCTCTCCTGCTTCTTTCTGCTCAACACTTGAGCCTATTATCCTTCTTTGACTAAGAATCATTGAGCACTTTGAAGGAAAAACACGTGCATAGTGTCTTAGTTCTCTGTTTCTCTTCTGTCCTAGCTTTTCCATCCTCAAGTCTTGTTTGCCTTGATAGGCTCTTGCTACAACTTTTGTCTTCTCAGCTCTGTAAAACTGTTGAAAGCTCTCCTTAGCTGCCACGTGCTGCTTGCCTTTCTGTTTATGTTTCTGCCAGGCTTTTCAGCATCTACCCCTATACTGCTCAAGAGCTGGCAAATAACCCAAGGGAGAAGACCAGAATGCTAAGTGTCAGGTTACCTCCATGAAGTCCTTCCTCCGGATTTTTGGCACTTCAAGTTCTGGCTGCCAAGGCAGCTCTTGAATGTCTTAGAACAGATGAAGTAACTTACCAGCTTTTCTCCTCCTCTTGGCAGGGACATTGGTTTCCTAAAAGTTGCTCAGTTTTGGCCGGAAGTGGAGGTCTAAAGTTTTTGGTTTTGTTTTCCTGAATTATCTGTGTTGATTTTGGAATCAGAGTTTGGCAAGCCACAAAATAGATTGATAGATTCCTATATTTTTCTATAATGTAAAATGAGTTGAGCAGCTTTTACATTATCTTTTGAAAGTTTGAAGTAACTTTTTTTTTTAAGATGGAATCTCACTCTGTCGCCCAGGCTGGAGTGCAGTGGTGCGATCTTGGCTCACTGCAAGCTCCACCTCCCGGGTTCACGCCATTCTCCTGCCTCAGCCTCCCCAGTAGCTGGGAGTGCAGGCCCCCGCCACCACGCCTGGCTAGTTTTTTGTATTTTTTTAGTAGAGACGGGGTTTCACTGTTTAGCCACGATGGTCTCGATCTCCTGAGCTCGTGATCCGCCTGCCTCGGCCTCCCAAAGTGCTGGGATTACGGGCGTGAGCCACTGCGCCCAGCCTGAAATAGTTTATTAATAAAATCATTTGGACATAGTACTCTCTCTCCCTTCATAGTTGTTCTTTGGCAACTTTTTCTAATTTCTGATTATTAGCTTAGTCAGATTTTTCTCCCTCCTCTCTAATAATTTTGATAATATATTTTTGGGTGGGTTGTTTTAATGCAATCATTAATTTCTTCTGTATTTGCCAAGTTTATTTGTTGTGGAGAATACATAATATTTTAAGATCTCTTTGTGTTTATAGCCTCTTTTTCACAGATAATGTTTTTAAGTTTTTTATTTCTCTCTCTGGGTTTGTTTTTTAATCAGTGCTTTTAAAGAACTGATTTTTTTTTTTTTTGGATCCAGTCTACTGTTTTTATTTTTTATTTCTGTTAATTATTTTGTGCTTTTAAAATTAATCATTTTATCCTACTTGGAACAAGATGATATTTGTGGGTGTGTTTTTTGCTTTTTGTACTTTGTGCTTTACATATTTTTCTTCTTTTTAACTTTTTTTAAAATATATTTTTATTATATTTTAAGTTCTAGGGTACATGTGCAGGTTTGTTACATATGTATACATGTGCCATGTTGGTGTGCTGCACCCATTAACTTGTCATTTACATTAGGTATATATCCTAATGTTGTCCCTCCCCCATCCCCCCACCCCACAACAGGCCCCGGTGTGTGATGTTCCCCTTCCTCTGTCCAAGTGTTCTCTTTGTTCAATTCCCACCTCTGAGTGAGAACATGTGGTGTTTGGTTTTCTGTCCTTGGGATAGTTTGCTGAGAATGATGGTTTCCAGCTTCATCCATGTCCCTACAAAGGACATGAACTCATCCTTTTAATGGTTGCATAGTATTCCATGGTGTCTATGTGCCACATTTTCTTAATCCAGTCTATCATTGATGGACATTTGGGTTGGTTCCAAGTCTTTGCTATTGTGAATAGTGCCACAATAAACATATGTGTGCATGTGTCTTTATAGCACATGCACATGTATGCTTTTTTTTAAATTTTTTTAAAAAAATTTTCATATAAGGCTATTTTTCCCCCTGAACTCAGCTTCAGCTGAATTCTTAAGTTTTGGTATGTGTTGGAGTTGTTGTCCTTATTTTGTAGGTAGCTGATAATTTGGATTACCTTCCTTAGCCAAGAGTTAGTTATTGGGGTGTCTGAGACTTTATCTTTTAGCAATTTTTTTTTGCTAAGATAAATAATTTGCGTAATCTTTTAGCTGTTGATTTTGCTTTTCATTGTTTTCTGGACAGACTAAATAGGGGGTTAATTTCTGGGTTTTGGTATTTATTGAGTATTTCTAGTGGACTAGGACTTGTTAAAATTTTTCGGTAAATATTCCAGGCATATATGAAAAGACCATGTTTTGCATTTGTTATTGTGAAAAGTTGTGACTACCATAGGCAGGTGACCAACTGCTTTATGCATTTTCAATAACTTTTATATGTTTTCAACAATTTTAAAAATGATTAACTGCCCTAAATAAGACATTGCTAGGTATTCAGTTGTGTTCTGTTGTTTTTTAAATCATAAATTAAAATAAGAATACCAGAGGAAAATTGGAAACTAAAAGTATAAATAATAAAACACACACACAACAATCTCCCATAATCATTCCCCACTCTTAATATTTTGGTCAAGTTTCTTTAGCTCTGTTTTGCTATATATATTTTATTTAGGTACAGTTAGAACCACAGTGTATATCCAGTTTACAGCTTAAGCTTTAACCTTATATTTTGACTGTATTTTTCTATCCTCAATGTTCTCGATGGTAATATTCAACCATGTACAGAAAGAATGTAAAATTAGCCCCTTCTATGACTTTTCTTTTTTTGATGGATTGATTTATATCAGGGTGAGCTAATTTGGTATCCATGCCCAAACTGGGTCCCTTTGACCTCTCATGACAGAACTGGGAATAAGAAGAATGAGAGACAAGGGCAGCTCAAGGACAGGGATCAACTGTTAAGTTGGGGGTAGAGATGAGGATGAGGTTGTTGTTGGTGGTGGTTGTGGTGTTGGGCCAGATGGTGGGTGAGGGGTGCTGGTAATAATGCATTGGGTTGTTTTTCTAATAGTTATCTTGTTTATTCTTCACAAGAATTCTTCAGAAATATTTCTTATTAACCCTGTCTTCCATTTGTGCAAACCAAGGCTCTGAGTGTTGAGTGAATAGCTCTACATCACCCACCTGAGTTTTTTTTTTTTTTTTTTTTTTTTTTTTTTTTTTAATGGAGTTTTGCTCTGTCGCCCAGGCTGGAGGGCAGTGGCGCGATCCGCCTCCCAGGTTCACGCCATTCTCCTGCCTCAGCCTCCCAAGTAGCTGGTACTACAGGCGCCTGCCACCAAGCCTGGCTAATATTTTTATATTTTTAGTAGAGATGGGGTTTCACCGTGTTAGTCAGGATGGTCTCGACCTGCTGACCTCGTGATCTGCCTGTCTCGGCCTCCCAAAGTGCTGGGATTACAGGCGTGAGCCAGCGCGCCCGGTCCACCCACCTGAGTTTTAAAGGCAGAGCCAGGGCACAGACCTACACCTCTGGCCCCAAGCCTATGCTCTTTTCTTTATATTATTATTATTATTATTATTATTATTATTATTATTATTATTATTTAATCTTCCCAGAATCACCTGTGAGTGTGAACTGGCTCCATGGCTGAACTGGTGTTCTCTGTGTGTAACATTCTGGTCACTGGGGTGGAGGCTGGAGTCACAGAGTTCACTGTGCCCTGCTTTTGAAGAGCTCATGGTTTAGTGGAGAAAATGAACAAATATAGAATGGATTCAAGAATCCTGCCTGAGAATTCAGGAAAGGTTTTGTGGTACTGGTGTCTAATGAGTCTTCAGATGTGAATAAGGGCTTCCAGGTGGGCAGAGGTAGGAAGGGTTCCAATCAGAAGGACCAGAGGAAGCCATAAATAGGTGTGTGCAGGAAATGGAGATGAGACTTGGCAGGGTGTATGTGGCTGCAAGGCAAAGAAACTAGGGCACTTACTCAGTGGTTCTAGAGGGGTCTGTGAAGATAGCTTTTGGTTGTGGCTGTGACTCTTTTGTCTGGTACTTGCTTCTCTGGCCTCAGAAGTTGGGAAGGGGACGAAGCTCAATCCTGATGCTAGAAGGGACACTCCAGAGGGGAAGCTGCCACCCCATTCCCACCAGCTACTATTCACCACCACTACCACTATTCACGACAACATTGGTAACAACAATCCCTGGCATTTATTAAGCACGTAATAGGCCCAGGCCTTGTGTCTAGATTTATTAAGCACGTGATAGGTCCCGGCCTTGTGTCTAGTCCTTTGCATGCGATATCTTCTTAAATCCTTCCCCTAACCCTATGAGGTATAGGTATTTTTATTCTCCTTTTAATAATGAGAATTCTGAGGCTTGGAGAGGTTAAATACCTACCCCAGGCCTCCCTCCCGAGAAACTGCCAGGCTGGGATTTGAACCCAGACTCTTCAGATGCTAGATGCTGAGATCCTCACTATGGGGTGGTTCATGCAAATAAGGAACATCGACAGGTGGTGGGCCTTTCCCTAATTTTCTTGAAATTTTGTTTTGTTTTATTTTGGCCTTTCTATCTTTTGTTTTATTTTGTTTTGCTGATTTTCTTTTGAGTACAGAGAGAGATTTCTATGCCGTAAGAAAACTGACAGCACACAGATGATGATAAATGGCAGCCAACCCTCAGCTCTGGGGACACAACAGGGAGTACTGGGGATTGTGGCAAACCCAGGAGAGGTAGTGGCTTTTGAAATCCAGCCAGTTGTTACCATATTGGAATATAGTCCTAGGGCTGCTGATTTGCAGTTCTATTAATTTTTTTTTAAAGAGAAGAGAAGCTGGGAATCTGGACTTTAAGTGAAGTCTGCAAGTTGTTAAAGTCTGCTCAGTTTTTTAAGCAAGCTCAGCCAACAATAATGGGTTATGATAAAAGCACAGTGTCCTAGTGAGTGGTCTCTATGTTGTGCCATATTGCTGGAGAACCTCCTGCAGCCTCACTGGTGTCCCTCCCCCTGCCCCACACCCTCACACCTGCAAAAGGGGGCCTTCTAAGCTACCTGGTAGTGTTCTTTCCTGGATTGTCTAGTTGTTAAGGGAAGATCCCGCCTGGGCTGTCTGAGCCAGGAATTATTCCCAGTCTGTCTTGGGCACTTGGCTTCCTTTGCCCTACATTCTTGGGGTTACTTTTCCTGTCTTCAGTACTGATTTAGAACAGTCAGAAGATTCCAGAATACTTGAGAGGATGCAAGGAAAATTGCTCAGAATTCACACTTTAGAAATCTGGCTGTAAGAAGAGAACAAGAGGTCACTACTGGAGTCGGTGCCAAATGGAACATTTCGAGCTTGTCTAAAGAAGCCTTTTTCTTCCCACAGCACAATTCACTACTGAATTCATAGCGCTTGGGATTATAAAGTCAGATCTCCCTGGGTCAGCAGGATAGGATAATTTGGTATCAATTTATTATGTTCTCAGCCTGTGCTTTTGCTCAGACAGAGTTGGATTTTAGTCCCCCATCATTTGCGGATTGTCATGGGAATGGGGAGTAATTGCCCTTATTTTCACGCAGGTACAGCCCAGCATTTTGTGCAGGTACCTGTTGGAGCCCAGGGGAGAAGGAAGGTCTCGGGAACAGAGCTAGTCTTCTGAGGTTTGCTTCCTTTCCATCCACTCTTTACATTCCAAGGACCTGTGTGTGGATAATACAGAGACAAGTGCGAGCTTTACCTTCTGCCTGCAGCAGCCTTGCTGATTGATAGCAGGAGGGGGTATCCTGACAGTCACAGGGCTGTGTAGTTGGGTCGCGGCCACGTGTTACTTCTTGTGGGTGAACCAGTGGTGTCACTGGTACCCCCTGCCCTTCCCTGTCTTCTGGGTCAAGAGGGACAACATAAGTGGAAGGTCGCTGGAGAAACCCTTCCAAGCTGTCCTGGTCATAGGGAGGATTGAATTGACTCCAAATTTCTCCAGAGGCATCACAGAGCAATGCTATCATTGTGGTATTTTGCTACCAAAAGCTAAATCTAGGGCAGAAATCACCTCTTGCTCCAGGTTGATAACTTGCGCACTGTCATCTCTTTGTGGTAGTAGTAATAACAACAATAATTATAACAGCTGACGTTTACTCACTGTGTTCCTACAGTACACAGCCATCATTTGAAGTGTTTTAATCCTCACACCAACTCCATGAAGGGGGTACTGTTTTTATATTCTTTTTAGGGATGAGGAATTGAAGGCACAGAAAGGTCTGGTGGCTTTCTCAAGGCCACACAGCTAGTAAGTGTCAGGCTGGGATTATGTACTGCGGGCACTCTTGATTCCAGTCTACTGGACTGCTTGTTGCTGTGGGTATTTGAGTATTTATGTGTTTCTTTTGGCTCCTGTTTGCATGGTCACTGGCTGTCATAGGGAATGGTGATCGGCTTTTCCAGTTGCTCAGGTGACACAGAAGAGGTTGGCTGGTGTCATGGACAGCACATGGGATTTGGAGTTAGAAGGTCTCAGTTAAAAACCCTCAGGCCCCTGCATTCTAGCTGGGGGACCCTCGGGCAGTTTGCTTGAACCTCTCACCTTGATTGGTTTGTTGAACTTGCAGGGTGCTAGCAGCACCTGCCCCCAGCGTGGGGGAGTGGTTTTGCAGATTAAAGTGTTGTGAATGCACTTCCTCGATGGAGGGCCTCTAGCACCATGGTTTCGTCATCCTGTATCTGTCACTCACCCTGTAGGTCAGGGGTTTTTCACATTTGTGGCATCAGAGAGACCCTTAGGTTTCTGTTTACAGAGGCATCCCAGGCCTAGGGGAGACAGGTGGCTCAGTGGCACTGGTTCCTACTGCTAGGCTTGCAGAGCTCACTGCAGGAGGACTGTGGGTGGGGATCCAGGACTGTCCACTTCCTTCTCCTGGGGGACATGCTGCCAGCTGTCACAGAGATAACATTACCGTTCTGTTCCTCTGTCAACTGGAAGAGAGCTTGACCAGAAAATTCCTTTGCTGTGTTGACCCATGCCACTAAAACCTTAGTTTGGTGGAGACCCCTATATGGCCTTTGACTGTAGGTCTTACAGAGCTGGAATATTACCTATCACATGGGCAAGTTGCTTAACCTCCTAGAGCCTCAGTTTCTTCACCTGTATTTTGAAGACAATGACATTTTCTTGTAAGGTTGTTGGGAGGATTAAATAAAATGATGGAAATAAAGTACCTTCTATAGGGTGCTCCTACATGCTAATTTCTTTTTTTCCTTCTTTTGGTCATCACCTTGTTGCTTTCTCAGGTCAGGAGGTCTGAACAGGGCTTCCTGCAGAAAGGATATCTTCATGGTGTCAGTGTAAAGCTGGTGTTAAAGGATGCAATGTGTGAAGGGGAAAGAAATCTCTGCTTTCCAGAGCTGTGCTATGGTTAATAGAGTTGCTTAGGGAATGGGGAGGTGAAAATAAAGGCAAAGAGGAGCAGGCCTAGGGAGCAGGATGTCAGCAGTACACATGTGCTAACCAGACCCAGCGTGTGTTCCCCAGGGCTCCTGCCTTTTCTGCGTCTCTGGACTTAGAATCACACTGATCTGATCTCAGTCTTTTGCTGCTTCTGTGTAGCTTTGATGAGTTGCTCTAACTTCTCTGTGCTTCAGTTTCTTTATTTTCCAAACAGGAATAATGATACCTAATTCCTGGGGGTTTTGAACATATTAAATGGGTGAATAAATGAATGAATGAGTATCAGGTGTCTATATGACTCACTCCAGTAGGGAGGTTCCCTTTTCCCTTTGCAGAAGCAGCAGAAGAGGCAGGAGGAATAGTACAGTCCCACCACCACCGCAACCACTAAGTGATCTCTTTACCACTTACTGGGTGCCAAGCCTGTGTTCAGGCACTTTATCAGCACCATTTCTTCTGGGGAGACCAGGATGTTGCTTTCAGTTCTTACTTATCTTCATCCTTAATTGATTTTGAAGGGGTTAAATTAAAAAAAATACTAAAACAATTTGAACTGATATATATTATAGAAAATCTTGATGGACTGAGATGAAAGGGGCAAAAAAACCCCCAAAAAACAAACAAACAAACAAACAAAAAACAGAGAAAATAATCTTACTTGCATTAAGATGACAACAAATTAAGATAGAGCTCACAATGTCTGGGGTTTCTGGGGGCTAATGCCAATCCCGCTTCACTGGGATGTAGGTGAGACCTGTGGCTACACAAGTTTTAAGAAACATCTCTCCTGACCCATTCATACACCCCAGTTCCAGGTTGAAGTGCTGCTACTTCTGTTAGAGCTGATGAATCACTGCAGACAGCTGTGGGGCTTTTTGTCTGTGGTTCCTTGAGATTTAGACTGCAAATAAAGACTTTCACACTTTGTGACTTCTTTTGAATTCTCTCTATTTTATAAAACGAAGAGATTTTAAGAACTTAAGAAGATAACACTTTCTGGTTTGAGGGCTCCCTCACAATGTCTGCGCTTACCATTTAAGGTTTTACTTCTGGGAGCAGAAGTATTGGGTTTTGCTGTGTAATTGTTTCCTGTTTTATTGAGGGCTTAACATGGAACCTGGAGGTTTGCCTACCATGAAGTTGATGTTCAATACATGTAAGTGGAAACAAAAATGACGACATGCTACCAAAGGAAGGTTTTGTGATTTAGACCATCAATGAGTCCGTCCGTCGGTCCATCCCTCCATACAGCCATCCACCCACCTACCCACCCACCCACCCTCTTACCCATCCATACATTTATTCATCTTTGTACTCACCTATCGATTCATCCACCCATTCATCTACCCATCCACCTATCTGTCCTTCATTTATTCATCCATCCATCCATCCATCCATCCATTCTTTTTCCATCCTTCACCCATCTACCCACTCACCCATTCATATATCCACTCATTTATCCACTCAACCACCCAGTCTTTCATTTTACATCTGTCTATTTGTCAGTCCATCCATCTGCCCATCTATCCATCAATCCATCTATCCATCCACCCACTCACTCACCCACCTACCCTGTCACCCATCCATACATCTCTTCATCCATGCACTCACCTACCCATTCATCCACCCTTTCTACCCATCCACCTATCTATCCTCCATCCATCCATCCATCCATTCATCCATTCATTCTCCATCCATCCTCCACCTATCTACCCACTCACCCATTTATATATCCACTCATTCATCCCAACCCACCTACTCTTTCATTCATCCATCTATTCATTCGTTAGTGTATCCATCTATTCATCCATCCATCCATCCATCCATCCATCCATCCATGCATCCATCCTCCATCCATCCTCCACCCTTCTACCCACTCAACCATTTATATATCCACTCGTTCATCCCCTAACCCACCCACTGTTTTATTCATCCATCCATCCATTTGTCAGTCCATCCATCCATCCCATCCATCCATTAATTCTGTCAAGTGAATATTCTGGAATGTGTTTAATCAATCCTTGTTGTTGGACATTAGGTAGTGTTAAAGTGTTTCCTGTTGATGTTGATGCTTCTTTAGTGACATCTTAGTGGTTAAGAGTCTGGGCTAGGTAGGCACACTGCCTGGGTTTGCATTCTGACCCCACCTCGTATTGTGTGACCTTGGATGATTCTTGATCTCTGTATATCTCAGTTTTCTCATCTGTAAAAGTAGAGATTACATTAGGATCTGTTTCTTATTTTTTAAAGGGTTAAAATACACAATCCATTTGAAGCATAGAACTGTGCCTAGTAAGTGCACATGGTTCCCATAACGTGGTGATGTTGAAACCTTGCACATTGTTCTGGTTATTTCCTTAGGCTGTTTTCTGAAAGTGGAATTACTAACCAAAACATGTAACTCTTTCAAAGGTTTTTCATGGGCGTTGCCAAATTGTCCTTCAGGAATGTTGTAAATTAGTCCAACATTAACAGCTCCCCCGTATGAGAATGCCCATTTTACCTGAACATCTGCCAATGCTGGGCGATTATTTAATTTTTGCCAATTTTGTGAAAATTGCCAATTCATTTTTTTCAATACTTTTATTACTGGTGAATTTAAATATCTTTTATTTGTTTACTGGTGAATTTAAATATCTGTTGTTTGTTTAAATATCTTTTGTTTTATTTATTTTATTTAGATATCATCTATTACCCTCACACACTTCTTTTTCGTGACCTTTTCCATTAATATGTTCATCTGTTTCTTAGATCATAGAATTCATTTCAGTATTAAAAATAACTTTACCACCTATGCTGCAAATATTTTCCCCATAATGTTTTTTTAAAACCTAGATTATGACACTTTTTGATATATGAAAATTTAAAATGTTTAATAAAAGCTTTTATGTTTTTCTGTAAGCCTAGACCTTGTCTGTCTCTAAATCACAAGTGTGTGTGTGCATTTTTTTTTTACATTTAATTCTTGAGGTAAATTGGATTCATGTTGGTTAATGATATAAGGTAGGCATTTTATAATTTCCCTTTACTTAACCAGTTGTCCCAATCCCACTTTATTGAATCTAGAATCTAAAATACCATTTTATTATATATAAAATTCTTATACACACATCTTATATAGTACATGTTATATATATATTATGTATATATATGTTTCTGGGCTTTTTATGCAATTTGGTTTTTTGTCTATGCTTACTTACTACCTTATTGTAGCTTTATTTTTTAATAATTGGCAGTAGAAGTCTTGAATTCTTTTTTTGTTTGTTTGTTTCAGAAATTTCTGGGCTATTCCTGTTTGTTATTTACTTAAAATAAACTTGTCAAGTTTAAAAAATCCAGATGGGGTTTTGATTGAAATTGCTTTAAGTTGAAAAAATTAACATGTTTATAGTAATGAAACTTCCCATCCACAAATATAGAAGTGTCTCTATTTGGTAAAACCTCTTTTTTTTTTTTTAGTGTATCACAGTTAAGTTTTGTGGATTGCTTCATTTAATCCTGCACATTTCTCATTAAATATATTTCTAAGCATTTTCTATTTTCGTTGCCTTTATAAATAGACTTTTTTTCTACTATATTTTCTCACTGGTTATTACTGATTGTTGATTAGATCTGTATTTGGGAACTACACATCTTTCTGAATATTTAAATTCATTCTAAAGTATTTCAGTTCATTCACTTGGGCTGTGAAGATATATGACTGTGTATGCAAATAATATTTTAGAGATTCTTTTGTATAGATCACTTCTCATTTTTATTTCCTGCCTTATTGCATTGGCTAGAAGTTCTAAACTGATATTAAAAATAATGGTTTTGAATGTCAGGCTTGAATTTTTAATGCTGAAATTTTGTGTACTACAGAACTTGGATGGGTGGGTGGTCATAGTTGTACTTTTGAATTAGGCCTTTTAAATGGTTCTCAAATACATATGTCTGTTCATATGTCTGGCTGTTTCTATACTCACTTCACAACCTCCTCCACCGTAGAAGTGAAAATAAAGAATGAGAATATATCTCAGTAGGATCATGGGCTACATGATGGAAGTTTTAGTGGGGAAAACAAGTGGCAAGTTTCATCCACTCTGGTTTTTGGTGCATCTTCCTGGACGTGCTCATTCCACAGAGCAAGGTTAGCAAGGAACACTGAACTGACAAACTTGTCCATGTGGTTGTCAATCCTGCCCGATTTAGTCAGCCTCTTTTTCTGAGTTAGAGACCTGTAAGTAGCTTTTCTGTCTTCTGTAATTTCTCTCTGCACCCGTCCCCTCCTCTGGCACCCACCACCCTCCACAGCCACATGGGGAAGACCCTAGCAAAGACAGTGACATTGCCCCCAAGTCGTTTCATCCTGGGCATCAATGTACGTGACTCAGCTTTGTGCTCCACAGACTTGGGCTGCTTTGTTGGTATAGCCCAGATCAGCATTTCAGGTAATTGGGCTGTAATTGGCCTGCCGTGGACAGCAGGTCCCCAGTGTGAGGCTTCTGTTTTTGGGGAGTTTCCCTGATTGGCAGGGAGTAAGGCAGTGACCTCTCTGTCTCTCTGAGAGCAGCGCTTCTATGACTCATTCTGGCTCCCACCTCCCACACCTGAGCTCTGAGCTGGTGCGTCTTGTTCCATGGGCTGGTGTGGGTGGCGGTGTGGATGGCAGAGCAGGATGCCAGCACACTCCTGGGAGGCAGTGCTAGGGTCTCTCTGGTGTGCTGGGTGCTATCCTGGGACTGCTGGTGCCCGGCTGCTGTGTGAATCTGCCCCGCTGGGGCTTAGCTCCTGATCTTTTGTCCTATGACACCTCCAAATTTCTCCCTCCTTCCCACTGACATTTCTTTCTTTAGCTCTTGCATCTCCCCATTCTATTCTTTTTTAGATTGTGATAAAATACATATAACATAAAATTTACCATCTTAACCATTTTTAAGTGTGCATTTCCGAGGTATTAAGTACATTTACATTGATGTGCAGTAATCACCACTGTCCACCCACAGAACTCTTTTCATCTTGCAAAACTGAATCTCTGTCCCCATTAAACACTAATCCCACATTCTCCCCTTCTCCCCCAGTCCTTGGTAACCACGATTCCACTTTCTGTCTCTATGAAATAAAATACTCTAGGGACCTCAGATAAGTGGAATCATACAGTCTTTTCATGACTGGCTTATTTCATTCAGCGTGACGTCCTCAGCGTTCATCCATATTGAAGTATATGTCAGAATTTACTTCCCTTTAAAGGCTGACTATACTCCATTGTGTGTGTATACCACGTTTTGTTTATCCATTCATCCATTGATGGAAAATCGGGTTGCTTCCACCTTTTTCACCTTGTGAAATACTCCTCTGATCTTTTACAGCTGAAGACAATAGTGGTCAAAGCATGTAGCGCTTTTTTTACAAAGTTGTTCCTATGAATTTTCACAAGAATTAGAAATTTGCCACTATCATCATCTCCATTTTATAGATGAGGAAACTGAAGCTTGGCGAAGTTAAATAATTTGCCCAAAGTTACCTTTAAAAAATAGCTTAACTGAGATATGTTCACATACCATATGACTCACCAATTGAAAGTGTACAAGTCAGTGATTTTTAGTGTATTTACAGAGTTGTGCAACATCACCACAGTTAATTGTAGCATATTTTTATCACCTGAAAAAGAAACGGTATACCCTTTAGTTATCACCCGCCTATTCTTGTGTCCCCACCTTAGCCCTGGCAACTGCAAATCTGCTTTCTATCCCTATGGATTTGCCTATTCTGGAATTTCATATGAATAGACTGGCACAATGTATAGTCTCTTGTGTCTGGCTTTTTTCACTTAGCATAATATTTTCTAATTCTCCTAGTTGTAGCATGTAGCATTAGTACTCATTTCTTTTTGTTTCCTAAAATTCCTTTTTTTAAAAAAAAAATAGACATGGGATTACTGGGTATATACCCAAGGAATTATAAATCATTCTACCATAAAGACAGATGCGCATGTATGTTTATTGCAGCACTATTCAAAATAGTAAAGACTTGTAACCAACCCGAATGCCCACCAGTGATAGACTGGATAAAGAAAATGTGGCACATATACACCATGGAATACTATGCAGCCATAAAAAAGGATGGGTTCATGTCCTTTGCAGGGACATGGATGAAGCTGGAAACCATCATTCTCAGCAAACTAACACAGAAACAGAAAACCAAACACTGCATGTTCTCACTCATAGTGGGAGTTGAACAGTGAGAACACATGGACACAGGGAGGGGAACATCACACATGGGGCCTGTCGGGGGGCTGGGGGCTAGGGGAGGGATAGCTTTAGGAGAAATGCCCAATGTAGATGACAGGTTGATGGGTGCAGCAAACCACCATGGCACATGTATACCTATGTAACAAACCTGCACGTTCTGCACATGTAACCCAGAACTTAAAGTATAAAACAACAACAACAACAACAACCAGTCCCTAAATGCATTAGAAAAAAGAATCTCTCCCATGAGGCTGGGCATTCTTTAGAGAAATGGTTCTCAAAGTGTGGTTCCCAGACCTGGGGACTTGGAAATGCAGATTCTCAGCCTTACCCCAGACCTACTGAATCGGAAACTCTGGATGTGCAGCCCAGCCATCTGTGTCTTAACAAAGCCTTCACCTGATCCTGATGCACACCAAAGTTTGAGAACCAGTGCTTTGGAGAAACTTGCCAAGAAAGAGACAAAGAGAAAACCACCACCACTAGCAGCAGCAGCAACAGCAGCAACAACAGTCCAGGCAACAGCTGGTATGAAGAGCCATGCTCACGGTACCTAGAGCAAGGTACAGTTTAATACAGTGGCTGAAGAGCTCACGCTCTGCAATTCTCACAGCCCTGGGTTTGAACCCCAGCTTTGGTACTTGCTGGCTGCCACTTCCCTTAACCCCTGAATCTGCAAAATAGGGATAATGATTCCTCCCTTTTAAGGTTGTTCCAAGGACTCGGTGAGACCTTACCTGTAAGGCACTTAGCACAGAGCAGCACATTAAGTAAAAGCCACTATACCAGAAAGGAAACTCAAGCAAATCCATCCTCTGCAAAAGTGTTAACATCTCTGTGAGTTCAACATCCTGTGGAACAGCAGTCTACATGGGGTACTTACACACTGGTAGGTACAAGCAGACTTGGTCTGGGGGCATGGATAGATTTGTGAGGCTCAATTTCAAGATCCTCAGTTTTCCTACAGGCTGTCCTGAAACTGATCTGCCTGCAAAGGGGGCATGAAGCAAATTCTCTTTCCTTGTCTTCTCTTTCCACAGGAGCCCTTCTCCCACGTAACAAAAGAAAGGCAGAGTCTCAGCCATCCCAAATCTGAATACGATGCATCATGTAATATAAATTTCCAGGGCTCCAACAGAGGATAAATGGAAATACTGAGGTTGTGAACAATGATTAGATAATAAATCCATGTGCAAGTGAACAGTTCAAATGACTGGGTAACAAGTCCTTATCCAAGTCAAGTGGTTCGTACATAATTGAAGGAAGCCCTAATTGGGCTGTAAGTTGATAGATCATTAAAAATAATTTTTGATGATTAAAAAAATAGAGATGACGTCTCACTATGTTGGCCAGTCTCATCTTGAACTCCTAGACTCAAGTGATCCTCCCACTTTGGCCTCCTAAAGTGCTGGGGTGACAGGTGTGAGCCACTATACCCAGCCTTATTTTCTGAGATTACTTTTTGAACTCAGACATCTGAGTCCACAGTCCCAGTGTTCAGCCACATTGCTGTCCTGTCTCCTCCTTCAAACATTGTATACAAGTTCATGTTTACCTGTTGATATCTTCCCAGCTTCCCCTCATATTCAAGAGACTGGGGGTTCAGCTTTGTACCTCTCTTGCTCACTGTCATGTTGCACATAAGGGCTTCGTAAATTAAAAATTAGTAACTTGAAAATAAGTGCTTAGTCTGTTGAATGCTGTGTGTTGGACAGTGTTGCAAACTAAACTCACGCAAGGAGTCACTTGTGTTAGTATTCTGTGCATGATGGTTACGTATCGTGTTTTGCCGTTAGAAACGAGAACAGACAAATGAGAACATGTTCGTTAAAGGGCTCTGAAACAGTGTGAATTATAAATGTATTGATGGTGGGGATGTGTCACCATTTGCAGTTAGGTTCAGGAGCTGATGAACAACCCACGAGATGGAGGTTTGCACACAGTGGCCTTGGGCCTGTGGCCAGCTGTGACAGCTGGGAGTTCCACAGTCTCAAGGTCACTGGCCTATGTCATAAAAGGCTGGTTACTGAGGACAAGCTGGGAAGGTGACCCTTAGTCCAGCGGATGGAGCCACCTGGGGTGAGGAGTAATTACTTGCTTGAGGCCCCTGAGCTACTAAGTGCAGACCCGAGTCTCTGTGATTCCTAAGTGCCTGCCTTGCCCTGCTCTCTCTAGCCTTGGATGTGGACAGGCTGTGTTGGAGGCTGGTTAGGGACCAAAACATTCTCTGAAAGTAGGAGCTGTTTGCAGCTCCCTGACTGCAGGTTTCTTTTGAAGAGGCAATGCAAATGGAAGGGGTGGTCTGAAAGCAGTGCCATGGCTTCAGAGTACTCTGTCGAGAGTCCAGTGATTATTGCTATGTGGTCCCTGAGAAAAAAAGGTCTATGCACAAAACTTCCCGGAGCTTTTCTAGAATAGACACCAGAGCTCTAGTTGGAGCCTGGGGGCCATTCCCTGGGGGTCTGGGCTGCCTCTGAGAATTCCCTCCCTTCCCTCTAGCCAGATCACTGGAGCCTTATAGTATCAAACATGGGGATGGTATTAATCACTCACATTCAGTGAGTGCCCATTCAGTGCCAGGCACGTAACTAAGTGCTTTGCATCATTTAGCTCATTAATTTTTGACAATGTCGTGGTTATTATTAACTTCATTTTACAGATGAGGAAACTGATGCATAGAGAAGGGGAAAACTTGTAAAACTCTTTAAGGATGTCACTCAGACTGTACTTTATTTTTCTCAGAAAAAAATTTAATTTATGTAAAGACTCATTGTAACATGGAGTAGAGACAATATGAATTTTCTTTGTGGCTTACTGGCAAATACAGTAGCTTGGGCATGATCTATTCTTGGTTGCCATGTTTCTCACTTTTGTGGTTCATCTCACTTTGTTTATCTAATTGGAATCTCTTTTTCTGCCATTATTTTGTGTTCTTCTGAGAAGTTCTCACCCTTGAGGGTGGACAGAGGTAAGCAAGAGGCATGGCTGGGAGAAACAACTAAGTATCAAGGAAGAAGTTAAGGTTGGGAGATAAATGTGGCTTTTGTGATGATTTGACGCAGGGCACCTTCATGGAATTGATGAAGGAAACAGAGGAGGAAACTCAGTGCTCAGGGATCACTGGGAAGCCTTTGAATGGAGGGGCATCAACAGCATCATAGCCTGGGAGGACCAAGGATTGTCAGTCATTGGACCATATCGTGGTGGCAGGTCCATTATGACTTCTAGCTTTAAATTGAAAACACCGTAGCAGCAGGTTACAAAATTAGGAACCAGTTCTAGAGGGAATGTGTAATAGTATGTGGCAGTGATCCATTCAACACCTGCATTTCCTAGAATGCATTCCTAAGCTTAAGCAGGTATATCTGTGCTCCCAGGGCCCAACATGGTGTCTTTCACATAGTGGGTGCTTATGCAGTAAACCCCCTTGAATGAGTAAGTTCAAGCCCCATGCCTTTAATTGTCAAATAGGCTGACTCCCTAGGAGAAAGGCTTCTCCTTAGCTGCCTTCCCAAACCTGCTTCCCTATTCTGAGTTTCTCTCCAGTTGCTTTCCACCTAGATGTCCTCTAATTACAGCTACTCTAGATCCACACCATGTCTGGTTTCCAAATCTTCCATCACCCTCAATGCATTAGTCTTTAGTGTTGTTGTCCTCATGGCTCATGGATCTGTCTTAACTATCTCAACCTCGTGCCTATGGAAAGTGTTCCTCAAAAACTTCATGGTACAGACACAAAGATGATTATGACCCCGAAGTCCTACTCCATGTAGCGTGGCTACCATGGTTCTAACTTGAAATCTCCTTGCCTTTCCCCGGCCCCCAACCAGGAATATGCAACAAGATTTATATATTGGCCAAATAAAGTCTCTGGGTAACTCTATTGAAATACGGAGCTTTGCATGATGGGATTCCCTAATATAGTCCATCAGAAGATAACTGATATGAGATGCCCATCCAAGTATCTAAAGGAAGTATGGGGTCTTGGTATTACTAAATTCCTTGACTGTAACTTTTTATAGATTTTCTAATCTGTTACCTTAATTCCTGGCAATGATTAGTTAGCAAAGCCAGTTTCCCATTCAGAATAATTTCTGAAAGGCCTTGTGGGTCTTGCCATGAGGAGTAGACTTAATCCTGTTGGGGAGTCATTGCAGAGTTTTAAGAGGGCAAAAAGACAATACAATTTATATTTTAGAAAGCTCATCCTGGCTTCTGAGTGGAGATGAGATTGGAGGAAGGAGATTGAAGGCAGAAAATGAGTTGGGAGCCATTGCAATAGTTCTGGTTAAAGGCAATCACTGGGTCTGTGATCTGTTAGAAGAGCTTCTTCTAACATCCTGACAGTTGCATCACTGCATTACTTTATCTTTAGAGCACCTATGGGCAGCTTCCTTTGTGGTGACAACTGCTTTACTTGAGTTTATTGAGAAAGCACTTGCGAAGAGGCACATCCAAGATACTTCATTTCCTCTTGCTCAGGCATTTCTCCATCTTGGCATAGTGATGATGTCCCCAGGGCAAGGGGACTTAAAAACTGCAGCTTCCTACTGCGTATAAAGAGAGGACACAGATGTCTTCAAGGAAGCCTCCATAAACCTGTCCAGGGAACCTTGGAGAATGTCCAGAATTTTCAACATTTTTGGAATGTTAGTATAGGGCAAAGCCGTTGCAAGCCCAAATGGCAAGATGAAACTATTCACAGTGCTTCTACAAGATATATAAAATGATTTCCAACTCATTCCATCCCTGACCGCTCCCCAGCCTGCTGCAACTATGGCCCCTTTGAGATTCTTGGGGTTACTTGAAATGCACACAGTGGAGATTCTGCAGTAATATTTAAGAGCTTTTTTTGACCACTGATTTTGTGAATCCAACTTCTTTGTCTCCTCCTAACTCTATACTTCTCCCAGGGAACTGCCTCAACCTTGCCCACAAGAGACATCAGCTGTTCAGGGTTGTGGGGTAGAAATGGCTGTAGAAAGAACGTTATCAGTAGATATAGGCTACATTGGCTTGTTGCTATAACAGTCACTCTTTTCTGTGGATCTTTGAGTCTGTTTTGATCAATGGCTTTATCACATCTTTTGGGACACTAAATAGATAATGATACTTCACGACACAATTCAAAATAATTAAAAAATAATAGATGTGTGTTTATGTGTGTGTGTATTTTCCATTCATCAACTTTCCCAACTTGACCCTTGTTTAGAGAGGTTATAACCAATCCAAAGAAAATGTGCAGACCTTAAGAGAGGTTAGTGTTGTTTTTGGTAACAATTGGAATAAAAGGAAATTCTTACATCACAGTCTGCCAATTCAAAGTCATCTTCAAATCTCATGTAATGCCCGGATTCTTAGGCTTCCTTGTAAATGTTTTCATACATTAATCTACTTAGTTATTTCAGGTATTTTAAAATTGTATTCATTCTTTGGTAGGTAAAACATGCTCATGGTACAAAATTCAAAAGGAGCAAAAGGGTAAATAGGTAAAGTAGTTCCCTTCAGACATCTCCCAGACATAACTAGAGTTAGTTACCAGTTTTGTGAACTTCCTTCCAAAGATATTCTGTGCATATTCAAGCTTATATGTTTATAGAGAAACCTTTTTTTCTTGTTTGGGACACTGTGTTTTTTTCCGTATTGCAACCTGTGGCAATCAGAAGGCTCTTTCCAACACGATGACTAAAAGGGCCTCCAAACTTGAGTGTAACTTTTTATGCAAGGGACATACCATATGTCACCGAACCCAAGATAAGAGGTCCCACTAAGACAGAAAACTGTGCAGCCCATTAAACTATGATACTCTCTCAGTTGTAGAATGTATCCTGATTTCAGAGATGTTAAAATGTGGAAAAAGTGTTTTCATCATCAGTGAAATGTGGTACTTCATGTTCTCATTATTCAGTGTCATCCACACACTGTCATCATTATGGATTTCGTCAATAAAAATGATGACTCTCATAATTTGCATTATGACTGTCTATTTAATTCTGGAGAGAAAAGTGGCTGTGAATACAGAGCCTTGCACTATCCTTGGCCAGAAAATTTCTATCCTGTTTCAATCTGTGCTGACTTTCCTTGCGGCCTAGTGCATCTCTGTCACCCTGGATCCCCTTCACCATCAGCTTGGGGATCTTTTGCCTTTTTTTTTTTTTAACTGTGCTGCATCTCTTATGTGTTGGGTTTCATGTATGCTCTTTGTTGATTTATATCCTTGTTATGGTGGAGCACATCCTCAAGTAGATTCTTCAGAGAGTTAGATGGAAAGTTAACCTTTAGAGATTTCGCATTTCTGAAAATGTCTTCATCCTGCTTTCCCATCTGATTGATGATTTGGCTAAGTATAGAATTCTAGGTTGAGAATCATTTTTGTTAAGATTTTGAAAGATTGCTTCCAGTGTTCAATGTTGCTGTTGAGAAATCTGAAGCCATTCTGATTCCTGGTTCTTCCACTGTAAAACTATTTTGCTCTCCAGAAGATTTCACAGTCTTATCTTTGAAATCCCATTCTGAATTTTTATAGGGATATGTGCTGGGTTAGGCCTATTTTTGGTCATTGTGTGGGGTTCCTGGTGGGCTCTTTGAATCTGGAAACACATATTCTTTGTTGTGGGAATTTTTCAGAATTATGTTATTGATTTTCTCCTTTTTAGTTATCTGTTCTCACTTTTTTGAACTTTTGTTATTCAGATGTTGGATTTCTTGGTCCTCTAAATTTCTTGCATTTCCTCTCCTGTACTCCTTCTGATTGTGTTACTGTCTTATATTTCAGAAGATTCCTCAATTTCATCTTCTAATCCTTCTGCTTTTGCGCTGATGTTTTTAGTTTTCAAGAGCTTCACTTTTTGGTTTTGTTAATATTCCTTTTTTATTTCATCCTGTTCTTATTTTGCATGTCAATTGTTTTCTCTTGTCTCTGGAAGGATACTTATTTAATAGCTTTATGGAAGTATAATTTATGTACAACAATTTGTACATATTTAAAGCATAACATTTGATAAGCTTTGACATATTTTACCTGGGAAGTTGTCACCTCTGTCAGTCTAATGAACATATCTATCATTTTCCAGATGTTTCCTCTTGCCTCCTTGTAATCTATCTACTCTTTCCACTCCTTCCTACCCTCATTAACCATACTGATCTGTTTTCTGCCAGTGCAGATTAGTTTACATTTTCACAATTTTATATAAATGTGATCATACAATGTGTGCTCCCTTTTGTCTGGCTTCTTTAAGTATAATTACTCTGAGATTCATCCATGTTCTTGTGTGTATCAGTAATTCATTCTTTTTTATATCTAAGTAATAGCTCATTGCTTAGATACACCCCTACATATTTATCCATCACTTATTGCCAGTATTTTGTTGAGGATTTTTGCATCAATGTTCATCAAGGGTATTGGTCTAAAATTCTTTTTTTTGGTTGTGTCTCTGCCCGGCTTTGGTATCAGGATGATGCTGGCCTCATAAAATGAGTTAGGGAGGATTCCCTCTTTTTCTATTGATTGGAATAGTTTCAGAAGGAATGGTACCAGTTCCTCCTTGTACCTCTGGTAGAATTCGGCTGTGAATCCATCTGGTCCTGGACTCTTTTTGGTTGGCAAGCTATTGATTATTGCCACAATTTCAGCTCCTGTTATTGGTCTATTCAGAGATTCAACTTCTTCCTGGTTTAGTCTTGGGAGAGTGTATGTGTCGAGGAATTTATCCATTTCTTCTAGATTTTCTAGTTTATTTGCGTAGAGGTGTTTGTAGCATTCTCTAATGGCAGTTTGTATTTCTGTGGGATCGGTGGTGATATCCCCTTTATCATTTTTTATTGCATCTGTTTGATTCTTCTCTCTTTTTTTCTTTATTAGTCTTGCTAGCGGTCTATCAATTTTGTTGATCCTTTCAAAAAACTAGATCCTGGATTCATTAATTTTTTGAAGGGTTTTTTGTGTCTCTATTTCCTTCAGTTCTGCTCTGATCTTAGTTATTTCTTGCCTTCTGCTAGCTTTTGAATGTGTTTGCTCTTGCTTTTCTAGTTCTTTTAATTGTGATGTTAGGGTGTCAGTTTTGGATCTTTCCTGCTTTCTCTTGTGGGCATTTAGTGCTATAAATTTCCCTCTACCCACTGCTTTGAATGCGTCCCAGAGATTCTGGTATGTTGTGTCTTTGTTCTCGTTGGTTTCAAAGAACATCTTTATTTCTGCCTTCATTTCGTTATGCACCCAGTAGTCATTTAGGAGCAGGTTGTTCAGTTTCCATGTAGTTGAGTGGTTTTGAGTGAGTTTCTTAATCCTGAGTTCTAGTTTGATTGCACTGTGGTCTGAGAGATAGTTTGTTATAATTTCTGTTCTTTTATATTTGCCGAGGAGAGCTTTACTTCCAACTATGTGGTCAATTTTGGAATAGGTGTGGTGTGGTGCTGAAAAAAATGTATATTCTGTTGATTTGGGCTGGAGATTTCTGTAGATGTGTATTAGGTCTGCTTGGTGCAGAGCTGAGTTCAATTCCTGGGTATCCTTGTTGACTTTCTGTCTCGTTGATCTGTCTAATGTTGACAGTGGGGTGTTAAAGTCTCCCATTATTACTGTGTGGGAGTCTAAGTCTCTTTGTAGGTCACTCAGGACTTGCTTTAGGAATCTGGGTGCTCCTGTATTGGATGCGTATATATTTAGGATAGTTAGCTCTTCTTGTTGAATTGATCCCTTTACCATTATGTAATGGCCTTCTTTGTCTCTTTTGATCTTTGTTGGTTTAAAGTCTGTTTTATCAGAGACTAGGATTGCAACCCCTGCCTTTTTTTGTTTTCCATTTGCTTGGTAGATCTTCCTCCATCCTTTTATTTTGAGCCTATGTGTGTCTCTGCACGTGAAATGGGTTTCCTGAATACAACACACTGAAGGGTCTTAACTCTTTATCCAATTTGCCAGTGTGTGTCTTTTAATTGGAGCATTTAGTCCATTTACATTTAAAGTTAATATTGTTATGTGTGAATTTGAACCTGTCATTATGATGTTAGCTGGTTATTTTCTCGTTAGTTGATGCAGTTTCTTCCTAGTCTCGATGGTCTTTACATTTTGGCATGATTTTGCAGTGGCTGGTACCGGTTGTTCCTTTCCATGTTTAGCGCTTCCTTCAGGAGCTCTTTTAGGGCAGGCCTGGTGGTGACAAAATCTCTCAGCATTTGCTTGTCTGTAAAGTATTTTATTTCTCCTTCACTTATGAAGCTTAGTTTGGCTGGATATGAAATTCTGGGTTGAAAATTCTTTTCTTTAAGAATGTTGAATATTGGCCCCCACTCTCTTCTGGCTTGTAGAGTTTCTGCCGAGAGATCCGCTCGCTGTTAGTCTGATGGGCTTCCCTTTGTGGGTAACCCGACCTTTCTCTCTGGCTGCCCTTAACATTTTTTCCTTCATTTCAACTTTGGTGAATCTGACAATTATGTGTCTTGGAGTTGCTCTTCTTGAGGAGTATCTTTGTGGCATTCTCTGTATTTCCTGAATCTGAATGTTGGCCTGCCTTGCTAGATTGGGCAAGTTCTCCTGGATGATATCCTGCAGAGTGTTTTCCAACTTGGTTCCATTCTCCCCATCACTTTCAGGTACACCAATCAGACGTAGATTTGATCTTTTCAAATAGTCCCATATTTCTTGGAGGCTTTGTTCGTTTCTTTTTATTCTTTTTTCTCTAAACTTCCCTTCTCGCTTCATTTCATTCATTTCATCTTCCATCACTGATACCCTTTCTTCCAGTTGATCGCATCGGCTCCTGAGGCTTCTGCATTCTTCATGTAGTTCTCGAGCTTTGGCTTTCAGCTCCATCAGCTCCTTTAAGCACTTCTCTGTATTGGTTATTCTAGTTATACATTCGTCTAAATTTTTTTCAAAGTTTTTAACTTCTTTGCCTTTGGTTTGAATTTCCTCCTGTAGCTTGTAGTTTGATCGTCTGAAGCCTTCTTCTCTCAGCTCGTCAAAGTCATTCCCCATCCAGCTTTGTTCCATTGCTGGTGAGGAACTGCCATCCTTTGGAGGAGGAGAGGTGCTCTGCTTTTTAGAGTTTCCAGTTTTTCTGCTCTGTTTTTTTCCCACCTTTGTGGTTTTTATCTACTTTTGGTCTTTGATGATGGTGATGTACAGATGGGTTTTTGGTATGCATGTCCTTTCTGTTTGTTAGTTTTCCTTCTAACAGACAGGACCCTCAGCTGCAAGTCTGTTGGAGTACCTGGCCGTGTGAGGTGTTAGTCTGCCCCTGCTGGGGGGTGCCTTTCAGTTAGGCTGCTCGGGGGTTAGGGGTCAGGGACCCACTTGAGGAGGCAGTCTGCCCATTCTCAGATCTCCCGCTGCGTGCTGGGAGAACCACTGTTCTCTTCAAAGCTGTCAGACAGGGACATTTAAGTCTGCAGAGGTTACTGCTGTCTTTTTGTTTTGTCTGTGCCCTGCCCCCAGAGGTGGAGCCTACAGAGGCAGGCAGGCCTCCTTGAGCTGTGGTGGGCTCCACCCAGTTCGAGCTTCCTGGCTGCTTTGTTTACCTAAGCAAGCCTGGGCAATGGCAGGCGCCCCTCCCCGAGCCTCGCTTCCACCTTGCAGTTTGATCTCAGATTGCTGTGCTAGCAATCAGCGAGACTCCGTGGGCGTAGGACCTTCCGAGCCATGTGCGGGATATAATCTCCTGGTGCGCCGTTTTTTAAGCCCCTCGGAAAAGCGCAGTATTCGGGTGGGAGTGACCCGATTTTCCAGGTGCCGTCTGTCACCCCTTTCCTTGACTAGGAAACGGAACTCCCTGACCCCTTGCGCTTGCCGAGTGAGGCAATGCCTCGCCCTGCTTTGGCTCGGGCACGGTGCGTGCACCCAGTGACCTGTGCCCACTGTCTGGCACTCCCTAGTGAGATGAACCCGGTACCTCAGATGGAAATGCAGAAATCACCCGTCTTCTGCGTCACTCACGCTGGGAGCTGTAGACTGGAGCTGTTCCTATTTGGCCATCTTGGCTCCCAGAACTTTTTTTTCTTTTTGAGATTGTCTTGCTCTCTTGCCCAGGCACAGTCATGGCTCACTGCAGCCTCTACCACCTGGGCTCCAGCAATCCTCCCACATCAGTCTCTTGGGTAGCTGGGACTATAGGCACATACCAGCATGCCTAGCTAATTTTTAAATTTTTTGTAGAGGCAGCATCTCATTATGTGCCCAGGCTGGTCTTGAACTCCTGGGCTCAAGTGATCCTCCTGCCTCAGCCTCCAAAGTGTTGGGATTATAGGCATGAGCCACCATGCTTAGCTGTTTGTTTGTTTGTTTTGTGATTGTTGTTGTTGTTGCTATTGATACTTCCTTACTTTCTGGCACTGCAGGATGCTCCAGGCTCATTTTGTATATTCCATGTTTCAACCCTAGAGTCAAACATTTTTCTAAGAAGCCCTTGCTCCTTTTATTGGAGAATGATATTAGAACCAAGATCTGAATGCTAGGTATTATTCATCTCTTTCTTTGTGTTTAAGCTAACAAATAGTTGCAGTTTAATGAGGAAAGATGCCTTGGCTGATCTTTCATTCAGTAAATATGTATTGCATGTCAAGCTTTGTACTTGGGATTAAATTTTTAATTGTTTAAAACTTGCTCTAAATAGAACTTCAGTTTTAAAATACATAGCAATTAGAAATTTTTTTCAGAATTCAATGTTATTTTAGTAAAATGTTATAGTAAATTACAGTAGGATTTATACAGTTATTGTTTGTTGTGCCAAAATCAGTGTCTTTGTTTTATGAAGTCTTTCATTTCATTGTTGGTTTTAAAAACAAATGCTTCTTACTGGGAGAAAACCTATGGATGAATATTGATTTGAGTTACAAAATGTTCCTCAAATCCCTTTGCAACATGTATGTGGAAAATTTTAAATGTACGCAAAAATAGAATCTTATACGGAACTCCTATGAACCCATTATCCTGCCTCAACCGTTTGAACTGATGAGCAATCTTATTTCATCAAACTTGACATTATTTTCTGGATTAGCAAATTATTTTTGAACTTAAAATAGATGTCACTGTCTTTTTGTGACTCAGACATACATAATGGAGGAAGCTTAAATAAATTCTAAGGAACACTTAACAGTTGGCCTTTGTAAGAGCAGGTGAGTGACTAAGTGTCATCCCACTTCAGAAGATGAAAACTTCATGCCCCAATGTCTTAGAAGCTGTGGGTTGAATGGCACCAATAATTTTTGTAACAAGTGAGAATTTGAAAAAAATGGGGATTCCCTCATCCGGGTCGTAGAATTCAGATTCCAGTCCTCTTGAATAGCGGGCAGCGTGCTTGTTGCTAAAGCGCGTTACTCACACTGTGGTTGGCTGGCTTTCAGGAGCAAAATATGCCAAGTGTTTTTTCAGTTCAGTCCGGGTTAGGGTTTCTCAGGTCAGTCGTACAGAGTTTCTTGTGGACTGCTGGAACTTCTGCATGTAGCTTAGGCCACAGCAACTAAGCACAGTTCTTGGACATGAAAGTAAGAATTTGAAATATGTGGACTGAGATTCGTAGACTGTAGGATGAGATTTGTAGACTCAATTATCCAATGAATGTTTCCTGAGCACCTACTGTGGGCCAGGAGCTATGCTGGGGACACAGCAGTGAACAGGACAGATATAGAGCCAGCTACATGGGGCTTGCAGTCTAGGGGTAGAAGTGGATCGTCACCATGAATCCCACAAATCGCTAATTACTGTTGCAATAAGTGTTGTAAAGGGATAGAAAAGAGTGCTCAAATATGCGGGTCTCCAATTTTATCTAAGATGTCAGGGATGTCAGGGAAGATGCTCCAAGGAAGTGACATTAAACTAGGACTGAAGGGATGAATAGATGTTGGTGAGGCAAAGTGTGTGTGTGTATGTGTGTGTGTATGTGTATGTGTATGTGTATGTGTATGTGTTGCACAGGTGTATGGGAGTTCAGAGTGTTCCAGTGAAAGGGAACAATGCCCACCAAGGCTCTGTGGTGGGAAAGGACAGAACATGTCCTTGGAACCGATAGAAGGTGACTCAGTTGAAGTGTGGTCCAGGAGTGGGGCAGGCAGGTGGCATCTAGACCATGCTTAACTCAGTAGACTGCTCAGAAGTCTGGATTTCATTCTTAGTTCAGTGGGAAACCACCAAAGGGTTTGAGGACACGATCTTACAGAGTTGGCTTTACAGTTTAAAAGATTCCCCTGGCCACCCTATGAAGAGCACATTGGCCATGGGTCAAGACTGTAGACAAGAAGACCATGTGGGAAGCTGCCACAAAGGTCTGGGTGAGAGGTTTGGTGACTTGGTGATGCAGAGAAGTGGATGGATCTGAGATGTAATTCACAGTGTTAGTGTCATGACTTTCAAACTTTCTTGACTGTGAACTATAGAAAGAAATCTATGTTGTATCATGGGCCTAGTACACAAATGCATGTGTGTATATGTATGTGAAACAAAGCCTTCATAAAACAATATTACAGGCAATACACACTGATATAGTTCATGCCAGGTCATGAAGTGCCACATGTGTGTCATGTGTGTGTTATGTGCTTGAGGTGGGTGGAGAGTGTTAGGGGTCTTCATGAACTATGACAAGGAGTCAGGATCTTCATGCTGCAGGGAGTAGAAGAGCTCCAGAGTTTTACAGATTTTTTCTTTGAGAGAGAGAACCTTAATGGCATAGAAAAAAGAGCCACCTGATAGCAATGCTAAGACAGAAATAATTTCTCTAGGTCCTTCTACTCCATTTCTTCCTCCTCCTCCTCTTCCTCTTCCCATCTTCCTCTCTCTCTTCTCCTTTCTTTCCTCTTCCTTTCTCCTCCTCCTCTTCCTCTTTCTCCTCATCTTCTTCCTCTTTCTCCCCCTCCTCTTCCTCTTTCTTCTCCTCTTCCTTCCCCTCCTCCTCTCCTCTTCCTCTTTGTCTCCTCCTCCTCTTCTTCTTTCTCTTCTTTTTTATCTCCTCTTTCTTTCTTCTCCTTTCTCTTCCTCTTCTTTTTCCTTCCTCTCCTCTTTTCCTCCTCTTCCTTCTTTCTTCCTCTTCATCTTCTTTCTCTTCCTCCTCCCCTCTTCCTCTTTCTCTTCTTGCTTCTTCCTCTTTCTCTCCTTGCTTCTTCCTCTCTCTCCCTCCTCTTTCTCCCCCCTTTTTCTCCTCTTCCTCTTCTTCTCCACTCCTTCTCCTCCTTCCCCCCATTTCTCCTCTTCTTCCTTCTCCCTTCCTCTTCCTCCTCTTTCTCCTGTTCCTCACTCTCCTCTGTTTCTTCTTCTTCAGCAGGAATTGGCAGACTTTCTACCAATGCCAGAGAGTAAATATTTTCAATTTTTCAGGTCATTTGGTCTCTGTCACCACTACTCATGTTCTGCAGTTTTGAAAGTAGCTATAGAAGTATGTAAACGAATGGCACAGCTGTGTTATCAATAAAACTTTATTTACTGTAGCAGCTGTTAGGCTGGATGCAGCTTGTAGGCTATGGTTTGCTGACTTTATCCTAAGGAACATGGGGGACTATCCTGTGGAATCAGTATCTCATTGGGATAAGATCAGTGTGCTGGGGCATGGGGTCAGTCTCACCTGGGCTGTGGTGGCTCTTGGGTGAGGCTGACACTTGGAGAGTTTGCATTTGGGGAACCTGGAGTTTAGAAGCCGGAATTAGTGTTCTTACTTAGAAACATCCCAGCTTGCACCTCAGATTCAGCCACAGACAGAATGCAAACTGTAAATTGAATGTTCATCTCAGCTCCTCAGCGCTGCAAGCCCAAAGCTGGACTTGATGCCAAGCTAGGGTTTACTTAATACAACCCTTCTGGGCACAGCTCCCTGTGTAGGAGCCATACATAGGTGAATGCAGCCTTTGTGCCAGGAGGAAAAGCTCCGAGAGGAGATGCCTTGAGATGGCTTCTTGGGGCGGCTTTTCCTCTCTCCAGGAATTCCTGGGCCTATAGACCACACATCTAAGTGCACTTGGAAGCAAATGGGTAGCCCAGGGAGGTGCCTGTGGTGGGTACATAGTCCACAGGGACTGTAGAAAGCGCCCTGCCGAGTGTGGCAGTTCAGAGGCTTCACCCTGCAGCAGAAAAGGGTTATGGCCCCATGGCCCCTCTATGTCTTCTCCTTCTGCTCTGCTTGTGGAAATCCTCCTTGCCCTCTAAGGGCCAACTCCCGAGTCTTCTCTTCTATGGGGACTGAATCCTCCAGCCAAGAATAATTTTCCCTCCTGTGAACTCAACCCTTTGTATGTTGGAAGCTTAGGGCACCAGGTATGCTCATGAGTAGGGCCGTAGTCTGTCTCCTGGCATGGATTATAAAATTGAAGAGTGCATGGACTGTGGTTAATCCATCCTTGAATTCCAGCTCCTAGCCCTGTACAAAGAAGGAGCACAGTATCTTGGAGAGTCAGTGTGGTGTTTTGAAAAGGGCCTGGTTTTCGGATGTCTGTCAGTTTCTTCCTCTGTAACCTTGGGCAACTTTGACTTTTTGGATCCTCAGTTTTCTAATCTGTAAAATAGGCCTAAGAAAACTAGGCTTAGTTATGTTCTGACAATTACAGATACAATATACATGCAGCTTGTGTGCCCATTCCGTTGTTGATGACTTTGCCGTTGTTGGCTCGATAAGGTGTCTCATCCAGAGGAGCTGGGAAGTGTTTGGGAGATCAGGGTGAGTTCCTGGGTAAATTCTCAGGACTCAGCAGTGTGTTTGCTTTCATTGACTCTAAGACACTACAGATTATAAGATGCTCTGTTATTTTATGTACCTCTGAATAATAGAATCACCTAGTGAGCTTTCACATGTCTTGGTGCCCAGCCCTGCTCCAGATCAATAACATCAGTAATCTGGGGGGTGGACATTGGTTTTTTCATTCACTTATTTATTCATTTTATTCATTTTCTTCTTTTTTTTAAATCAGTATTTAAAAACCTCTTTGGGTGATTCTATTTTGCAGCCAATATTAAGAATCATTGTACTTTTAAAAGAAACACCTCTATTATATGACTCAATGCTTCCTTATCACTGGGAATTTTTATTTTAATTTGTTTATAGAGCCCTTTTAGACATTCTCTCAGCTCCTGAGGGGTCCATAACCACTTCTTCCTCAAAGAAGGGTCTCCTGAGAATTTTGTAACAGCTAACAGACACCAGAACTGGGTAGTGGCTAGGACCTCTTCGTCGCTGTGCCTGGAATACAGTCCCTGAATTTGCAGCCCAGCAGGTTCAGTGAGTTTGGGGAGAGGTGGACAGGGCAAAGGAACTGTGGGGACTGCATGGCACCAGGAGAAGGATGGGGATGGTCACCGGGGAGGGGACAGAGCAGCTGTATCTTCTGTCTTCCCTGTGGTCACTGCTCAGCTTCAGTCCTGGAGAAGCTGAAGGGTGGTCTAGCTGGGCCATTGTTAGGCATGCTTGATTTCAATCCTGATTACAGAGATGATAAAATGGGAAACTGTGCATATTTTAGAATCAGTGGAATATGGTGGATCACGTGCTAGATATAAACCTGCTTAGAAGAAAGTGGTCACCAGCAGCTTGGCTTTGCAAAGGATGACTGGGCTCCTGCAGACAAGGCAGAACCCAGAGCTCAAGAAGCAGTTTGGAGAGTCATGATCGCCACTCTCCCAAATAGTCACTGATGGAAGGACTTCCCCATCTGATACTATTTTGCTGCCCAAACCTGCTCATGCCTTGGAAAAGAAGCTTGTGAATCAGGGATGATTTTGAATCCAGGCCCCAGCGTGTGTTTGCTACATGACTTCAGGCAAACCCTTTAATTTTTCTGAGCCTCGGTTTTCTTAGGTATCAAATGGGAATGAGTCACCACCTCAGAGGACTGTTGGGAGGATTAAATAAATTACTGCAAGTAAAATATCTAACATGTGCAGACAGCAAACAGCTAGCACATGACAGTGATTAGTTTCTTAGCACTCTTATTCTGTCATTGGTTGTTCTTAGTAGCACTGGGATTTTTGTACTTCTTGTTTTGGTCAAGAAGTGGGGGCACTGAGAAGGAAGCCCCTAACTGCTGGGGAGGAGCTGACATTTTCCTGGGGTCTTGGCGGAAATGTGTTTACTGCACTTAGGGTCTCTCCAGGATGAGCTCATTATTTTCTCTCTGTAGCCACTTCCTTATAATGAAATGATATGGGTTCTTTCTGGTTATTTTAGTCTATTCCCTTATTTAAGATAAGTTACCCCACTTGTGACTCTAAAGAAAGCCTTTCAGCAACCACACATGCTCAATTTCTGAAGCGGACGGCTCTCAGGGTATATTTTTAAACCAGAAACAACATTACAAGTGGTAGCAGGATTCCCAGGCCAGCCTACTGAAATCTTCACTCACTAATGCTGCTGAATGAAAGTAATAATAAGTGGCATTATCAGCTGCTGCCTACACTCATTTATACATTGGTCCAAGAGGAAAATGCACCCTGAATCCCAGGAAGAAATGCCAGGAGCATGTTTTCCCAGCAGCAACATCTTGTTTCAGAAGCCACGTTGAAGGGATTAATGGGGATGGATACTCCTGAGCAAAATACCCTCAACTTTTAAAGAGTTGTCAGCAGAGAACAGTGTCCTTGCTCTGTAGACGAGCATACCCTCCTTTCTAGAGTATTTCCTGTTGGAGTCAAATGACACTGATGACAAGGTTTGTCAGAGGCATTTGTGAGAATAGGTTGTTTTTGCTCTACCTGGTCATTGGATACTACATGGTGACTGTTCACAGTCATGGCAGGGATTGACATCAAATCTGCGGGGCAAAACCCAGTGCCTAGTTTTTGTCTCTTTGCTTCCTTGATGTTCTGGCATTTAGAGTGCCGATGACTATAGGTGCTTTCCAGGATTCAGCACGGAATCCAGGCATGTCCACAGAGAGGGGAGTCATGAGGGGAACTGGAAGAAGGGCCCTCTGAGCAAGTGTTCCCCTCCTGGATCTGTGTGGATATTGTGTAGTTTCAGGGCCCGAGAGATGGCTCAAATTCTTATGTTCCCAGTTTCATTCTCTACCTGCCCATTTCTGCCTAAATATTATTTGCTCGACCACTAAAGGCTGGTGGCTTTACAGTGTCAAGGCATGGGAGAGGGGACACTGTTGGGAAATGAGCCAGCCACAGGGAATATCAATGATAGATTTGAATCCCTTCCCAGATGATCAGGGTTTGGGTACAGAGGAGGGCCTTTGGCCTCTCTATGCCAGGGGAGGGCCAGGGTTGGACAGCAGGTAGCCAAGGCAGGTCCCAACAATGTCTTTGGTACCCTCTTGGGCTGATTCTGTTGTCATCATCCCTGTGTGGACAGACACGGGCTGTGAACAAGGCACTTCCTGTCTTCATGACTACATAGTGTGAAGCTTGGTGGCGACAGCCTCCTTGTTTCCTGCCACTGTGTCTGGGTTCACAGTAGAGAGGACAAGACATAGGGGTTCAGAATTGGGGTCTGGGTGGCCTTGTTTTCTCCTGGGCAACCCAAGGTACAGATACTTGTTTGTCTCAATTCTAAGTTGTTGGCTAGGCCCCATGTGATGGAAGCAGGAACTGCCTGCAGAGCTGAAAATTATCTAGTGATTCTCAAAATTTAGTGCACACAAATGACGAGGGGTCTTGTTAAAATGAACCCCTATTCCTCCATGATGATGTAGAAAATTAAAATGATGAAGATCATGATGATCCTGGCTTGTGTCAAGCCCCTACCCTGTGCTGAGTGCACTCACTTAATACAGCAACTTGTGGGTCATTCGTGTTCCTAGTCCCATTTACAAATGGAGAAACGGAGGCACTGAGCAGTTAGAAGACTTGCTCAAGGCCCACACAGATTCCTGCTCCCAGCCTCTTCCGGGGCCTGGGAATCTTCAGTTTTACAGGTACCTCTGGGGATCCTCAGACTCCAGTTTGAGAAACATTGCCTTTGCATTCACGGGGGTCAGTGACTGTGTCTTTCTTGCTCAGCACTCTATCTCTAGGGCTTTGCATTGGCCAGGCACGTAACAGGTGTTCAGTACTTGCTGAAGGAATGAATGAGTAATGTTCGCTTCCAAGGAGTCCCTGGGGAATCTCAGGAGCTGCTGCCCAATTCTCTGGGAGCGTTAAGTCGTCAAGCCCAGTATTCATGCCCTAGTTCTGACAACTTTGGATTTACTGCCAAGAACAATTCTATCTGGTTTCCTGGTTCTGCTCTCTGGATCCCTACATTGTTCCCTGGCTCTAAGTCCTTCCCTCCTTAGTGGCCTCCCTGTGTCTCTAGACCCCAGGCGCTCCCCTGCTCTTGTCAGTACCTCTTTTAGGGACTGGGATTCTGTCTCCAACAGCGGTGTGGCTGCTGGGCAGGATTTCCGGATGCTGCCCTCTGGCCCATTGTTCTGGGTTCTCCATCCCACTATCCACGTGTCTGTTGGGACACCACCTACCATCTACTGCTGTGGCCTTGAGTGTCAGGTTACACTTGCCAGACTGGACTTCCAGCTCCTTCAGCTGCATTCTTTTTCCATAGTGGCCAATTCTAGCTCCTGAGCCTGGCTGCCATCCAGCTTGCCTTGTCACGGAGCAGTAAATCAGCTCTGTTTTAATATAGCCAGGTGATGCAGATCTTAGGCATCAGAGTGGGCAGGCTTGGGTTCAACTTTTGGCTCTTAGGGTGAGCACTTTAATTCTCACAGCCTCAGTTTCCACACCTGTAAATTAGGTATGATAGTCCTAACCTCCCCTTCAGTGGGTTGATGTGAGGATTAAATGGGATTGTGCACATAAGGTAATAGTTCAGTTTTAACTATTATGTGAGTTTGCCATCCATCTTTAAACAAGTAATGAATTTTATTTTAAGATGATTTTGACAATGAAGATTTTAGATTAATATTTTACTTCAAATTGGTCCTTCAATTTTGTGTGAAGACAAAACAAAACTCACTTCTCACTCCCTATGCAGCCTGGTATAGCAGAAAGAGCACGGGCTTTGGAGACAGTCTTAGGTTTTGTTCTTGCCTTGGTCATGTGGCCTTTGGACTCTGATTTAACCCTTCTGAACCTCAGTTGCTACATCTGTAAAGTAGAGATAATAGCCCCTCCTGGGTTTGTCAGGATGATTGGTAACTGCTTGAGAAAGCACCCAGCGTGAGACAGCAGATGCACACTGAATGTGCCTCACAGCATCCTTGACCTTGCAAGTGGAGAAACTTATTAGAAACAGACATGCCTGCTCAGTGTGCCCTACTTTTGCTTCCACGAACCATGTGGGATAACTGTTCTAGGAACTTTGTCACATTTTGCATGCCAGGGAATTTCTAGCATATGATGGGGAGTCCTCCTGGCTTCAGTATTTGCTTTGCACACATGCAATTAGTTAATCATTTATTTTAATTATTTATTTCCTGTCTGCCTTTTACATATCCTGGCCAACTTCCCAAGGACAGGGGCCTTGTCTGTCCACTTCACTGCTCCATGCCCCTAGCAGATCTCATGAATACTTGTTGCCTCCCAGATCGTGGAGGAGACTGGAGAAGGTGTCTGGTTCAGTCTCCAGTTTCTCTCAGGGGTTTTCTCTTCATGGTTCCTAAAGAGGTAAAGCAGTCTTCACCCTAGTGAAATCTTTGGAAGAGGACTGGGGGCTGTCATTTGCCCCAGCTCAGGTTACCTCTGTCTCCATCCACCTTCCCTGGTGGCAGTGGCTGTGTTCAGTATGTTGTCTTTGAAGTTTCTTACTTTATTGCCACCAGGATATCCAGCCCCCTGTAGCCATGTTGCTATCTTTTTGTAAGAATAATAATGATGTAGGAAAGAGAACTGGTGATAATTCAAGATCGTCATAGAGGACATACAAGGCAGTCTAGGACTCTGGGTAGCTCCTGAAGGTGAAGCTGCTGGGCCTAAAGTTGAATAGTAAGAATGGCTAGTCACCACACTGTGTGTCAGCAGGGCTGTCTCCATCCATCCATCCATCCATCCATCCATCCATCCATCCATCTATCGATCCAGTCCACCCATCCATTCATTCATCCCTCCATCCATTTGTCAACCCAATCATTCACCCATCCATTTATCCATTTAATCATCCATCTATCCATCCATCCGTGCATCCATCCATCCATCCATCCATCCATCCATCCATCAATTGAATCATCCATTCATCTAATCATCTATCCACTCATCCATCTGCCCATCCATCCATTATCTATCCATTCATCTGTCTATCCATCTGTCCATTCAATCATCCATCCATCCATCCATCCATCCAGTCATCCATCCATCCATACATACATTACATACATCATCTATCCATTCATCCATCTATTCAGCCATTCATTCAGTCACCCCTCCATTATCATCCATCCAGTCATCTGGTCATCCAGTCATCCATCTATCATCCATCCATCGATCCATCCATTATCCATCCATCACTATATCTATCCATTCATTCAATTACCCCTCTGTTATCCATCCAATCATCTATTCATCCAGTCATCCATGTATCATCCATCCATCCATCCACCCATCTAGCCATTCATCATCTATCCATTGATCCATCTGTCTGTCCATTCATTCAGTCATCTATCCATTATCATCCATTTAGTCATCTATTCATCCAGTCATCCATTTATCATCCATCCATCCCTCCATCCACCCACCCATTGTTCATCCAGCTATCCGTCCATTCATCCATCCATGCATCCATCCATCGACCTACCCATCCACCCATCTATCCATCCACCCACCCACTCATTCATCTACCCAGCCATCCAGTATGTCAGGAGCTGTGGTAAGTCTTGGCATATAGTGTGAGCAAAACCAGACATGTATCCTGCTCTTGTGATACACATTAATCAAGTAGTCCTATAAAGGATGTATAATTATGATGTAAGTACTTGGAAGGAAATAGCATATATGAGGAATCTTAGTGTGGGGAGCCACAGAGGAGGCTTCTCTTTGATGAAGTGATATTTGAGCTGAGATAAGAATGAGGAGTGAACAGTCACTGAATTCCTTTTATGTACCAGGCCTTGTTACAATTATTTTTACCTGATTTGCATGGACTGACTTTTCATCCTTATAATGATCCCATGAAGGAGGAATGATTATCATCCCCATGAGGAACTGAGGCATAAAGAGATTTAGCTCTCTGCCCAAGGGCGTAACCACAGGTCGGCGACAGAGCTGGGTTTTGGGCTTAGGAAGTCTGGCTTAGAATCTACTTCTTCTTCCATCTAGGGGTGGGTAGGAGTTAGAGGAAGAGGGATGGGGAATGAAAGGACTTTCCAGGGCACAAGGGCCAGGCACTGAGGTGAGGTTTGGGGCCATGGATGATTCCATAGAGTGGCTGCAGGGCAGAGAGTGAGGAGGAGATGGAAGGTGAAGGGGCAGGAAGTGCAGGTAGATACCAAACTGTGCAGGGCTTATACACCATTTTAAGGGTTTTACATGTTCTCATTTGAGCAATGGAGGGTTTTAAACAGGGAGAGGGAGTTGGGGACACAATCAGATTTTCATTATGAAAAAAAAAATTCCTCTGGAGGCAATGTGAGAGTGGAGGAAAGGGAGGCCGGAGGGGTGCAGAGATTTTCCTTTGGAGGCTGCTATGAGAGCTGGTGTCCCACAGCAGGGCAGTGCCACTGGAGAACCATGAGTGTCTGTAAATGTCTTGCAAAGACATTCAGGAGGTAAAATTGCAAATCTTGGAAGTGGAGGTAAGGATGAGGGCCCTCTGGTTGTCAGAATGGCTCCTCGCCTTGGATAACTGGATTAGTTGGGGTATTGTTGGTGGTTATGGTCTTCCAGAGCCCTCAATCATTGTTGACTATGGTGGGATCATGACTCCGGGTCCCACAAGGATTCCTGTATCCTCAGGCCAGTGCCAAGGACACAGAACTGTATCATGTGCTGTGGAGCCCACGTCAGTGCCTGAGCCAGACACAACATTTCTTCCTCTTTGCTGACCTGACCCACATGGCCATTGTTAGATCCATGGCTTGGGTCGAAGTTCTGCTTGTGTACCGTACTGCAGTTACACTTACTTTGATCTCATCTCCAGTTGCTCCTCCAGATGAGTAAGGCATGTCCGCTCACTTGCATGAGCTTAGTTACCCTGTCAGTGTCTGTTGATGTTTCTCTCTGGGGATTCTGTCTCTGATCCTTAGTGACTCCACAGCTCTGGTCATGGTCTGAGGCTTTGACTACATCCTACTTGGGGGGACAGATGGAAACACCTTTTAATCCTGCTCGAGAAATCTGCCTGGCCACTAAAGGAGCTTTGTAAATGCTCACCTTTCATTTGATCTCCAAAAATGGAGCTTTTGGTGAAACACGTTGGTAGTTTATTTTTGGGTAATTTATCCTGTCACTGAGCAACCCTCAGGAGCCTTGGAGCTAGTTGGATTGAGCGTAGAATGCAGAGATATTTCTTGTCAGGGTTCCAGGATGGCATTGATGTAAGGTATGCTGGGATTTTATGGGGTAGGAGCAGAGAAAGTTAGGGTCGGGGATAGGGTCATTGGCTTTATTGAGGTGACCATAACTTGTGGCAAATTTAGGAAGTCTTACGTCTTGCAGGAGACACAACAACAGATATATAAATAGTGAGTAACCAGCCAGGTGGGCAGCAGCCTCTTGATTTATTTTAAATTTTTTTATTTTTCCCGTTTATTTTTAGTTGACATATAGTAATTGTACATATTTATGGGATACACAGTGATATTTCTATATGTGTATACAATGTATAGCAATCAAATAAGGTTAATTAGCATGTCCTTACCTCAAACATTTATCATTTCTTCGTGTGGGGAACATTCAAAATCTTCTCTTGCAGCTTTTTTTTTCTTGATTTATTGGTGTTAGGTAGTAAGAACCTAAAAAGTATCTGATGGTACAGGTATCCCCCAGCTTGCAGTTTAGGGGATACCAGGATGGAAGCTTAGTGTCAAGGGTCAAGCTAAGGGGTCTGGGTCGTGAGACTGGGACAGTGCTTAAGTTCCAGTATTCCAGTTTACATTTGAATATATAAATATTCCAAACCACCTATAAATTAGTAGTGTTAAAAAATTTTTAATGCTCACAGGTTTTGAGGGTCAGGAATTTAGATAGGCAACGTGGGAATGGCTTGTCTTTCCTCCACAATGTTCGGCACCTCTGCTGGGAAGACCTGAAGGCTGGCAGCTGACCCGTCTGGAAGCACATTCATTCTGACATCTGCTGTTTGATCCTGGCTCTTGACTGGGGCCTGAGCTATGTTGTCGGTTGGCACACCTGCATGTAGTCTCTCCGTGAGGGCTTGCTTGGGCTTCCTCACAGCATGGCTCCTGAGTTCCAAGAATGGGCATCCCAGGAGAGCAGAGTGGAAATGAATGTCACTTTTATGATATAGCCATAGAAGTCACATAGGGTCACTTCCCTATGGCCACGACAGTCTCAAATGTACACCCAGTTCAAGGGGAGGGGGCATAGACCCTACCAGTTGATGGGAAGCGGAGCAAGGTCACATTATTAGAAGACAGGAGATCTTAATGTGTTCATCTGTGCAAAATACCCACACCCAGCCATAGGATGGTAGAGAAGATTGTGTTGAGGCCGGTCATCCCCCACCGAGGAATCTTTGATTAGAGCTCATCAATGGTTCAGAGGGACCTTTGGTGCTCTGGGCTAAGCTTTAATATCCCAATGGAACATCCTGAACAGTAACCTATGGCTGTGGTGACAGTGCATCTGAAAGGCCATTTGATTTAACTAAAAAATGCTACCAGTCTTCTGGAGGTGTGTCTACAAATGGCATGTGACAATCTGATTGAGTCTCTTGAATGATTGCAGACTTCTCCCACAATGCACTGTTCTCAGAGCCTCTCACAGCTTGTTTTGTAACTTCATCCAGCTACATATTTATCCGTGCATTTATCTTTCCAGCCACCTAGCGCTTATTAAATGCCTGCAGTGTAGCAGACATTGCACAGGGCATTATGAGCAGGAGGAGAGGTAGAAAAAGCCATAGACTGCAGCAGATCATGGGCCATACCGTCAAGGAACGCAGTCTCTGAAGGGATATTCTTGTATAAGTAAGCAGGGCTGCTGAGGACCTTGGAACACCTCTTGTCTGCAGCTGAAAACAATGAGCGAAGCCACAACCTGGACCTGGAGTGCATTTGACTTCGGACATCTGTGTGCCTCTCCTCCTTCCTCTTGTCCCTTCTGTTGGGTACTAGCAGGAAGTCCACATTTGCTATCAAGGAAGCTGGTACCCCTTTGGGCTGGGCTTTACTAAGCTTGCAACACCCAGGGGATATAAAATTCAGAGCCGGTCATGCATCTTACATACATCAGATGAAAGGAAGCAGATATCTTATGTCTGATGGCATTGGGACACAGTCCTTTTTGTTGACTGCATTGTCTTTAAGCCATGCATTTCCCATTCATCCCAGAGCTGTACACTGTAGCTTAGGGCTGTGTTACCCATAGGCACCTTTTGGGGGCCATTGTGGTTTGGTTTTCCTTTCCAAGCACCTCGCAGAGACCTATGGAGTCCACCTTCTTTCTGCCTCCAGCCACCCACTTCTCCCACACGGTGGAAGGAGACGCCCCTGCCCCATCCTGCTGCTGGGTTTGGGCTCATTTTTGCCTCATTCACATCTGAGAGGGTTCAGTTTCTTGCTGTGGTGGTGAGGAAACAGGGAGATGTGAGGCGCAGCCGACATGGAGAGCAGCCAGGGACCAGCAATGTTGTGACATTGACGAATAGACCAGGAGAGACTTGTAAGGGTACACAAAGGACACCAGGCAGGGATAGTTTGCACTGGGGGTCTTATGCATGGTCTCCAGGTGATCCAGTGGCTACGTTTCAGGGACTCTCTGGACATTATTTTAAAACATACGCAAATTTAATTGCATTCAGTTAAATCACAGTGAGCAGTGGTTTGGAGATATATATATATATATATATATATACACACACAGACACAAAGACACATATATATACACACATGTATATACACATATATGTACACACATATATATACACATATATACACATATATACACATATATATACACACACATCTATATACACACATCTATACACACACATCTATATACACACATATATATACACACATATATATACACACATATATACACACATATATATACATACATATATATATGTGTATACACATATATATACACACACATATATATGGGTGTCCTTCTCCCCTGTCGGTTGGATAATGGATAATTCAGGGTCCCGTTGACGTCTCTATTCCGCAGTGCCATACTGAGTGTGGTCAGCCAGGGCATTATGCTCTTGCTAGGTACATCAGACAAGGGCCCAGGATTGGGAGTACAGGTGGCAGGAGTGTCCCTTGAAACACTATGCTTCAGATTTACTGAGTATTTATTAAGCGCCTCTTAGGGCCAGGTGTGTTGCCTTTTCAAACATTTAATACTTAGAACAACCATTGGAGACAGACTGTTATCCCTACATTTCTGAAGATGAAAGGAAGGCTCAGAGAGGTAGAGGAATTTGCTGTGGGTCACACAGCATGTAGCTCAAATTAAAAATCAGAGCTGTCAGGATCCAAACCTTGAGCTCTCTTCCACTTTGCATCCTGCGTGTTCAGAGGAGGAGAAAGCTTTTGCGTATGGGAAATGTCAACTCTTTTATTAACTTCAAGTGTTAATAAAAACAGGACGCTCTGTTAAGCACTCAAAGCAGTCCCCACCTTTGCCCCCTCCCAGGTGTGCATGCAGCCCTCCACAAGCTGTCAACGTCTGCTTCCCTGCCTGGGAGATTGGGCTGACTTGGAGCTTCTGACACAAATGGTTCAAGATACGTACTTTATATTGTTCACAGAATCTATTGGGCGGTTGATTTTGTTAACGTGAAAATGCCCCACTTCTTGTTGGCCATCTGCTTTGTCCAGAAAGTTGTCTTCCTGGTAACAGCGCCGCTTGAAACAAATCCTCCCACCTGGTTTTCACCCAATAACACAGCCTGCGTGCAAGCACTGTCCAGTTTGCCAGTCGCGTAGCACAACCTTTACTTTCCATTGGTATGTTTTGCCCTGCATGTTTGTGAGTTGCAAAGGGACTATTGTTTCCATATTTACAGCAAGCAGCAGGGCTGCAAATTAGTTTTAGTGACAAACTGAAGATTACCAGCTGTAGTTCAGGATTCAGATTTGTACTGTTACAAAAATATGTATTCATGAAACTAAAATTTCAAATTACTTCCTTCACATCTCGAAATAAATACTGTGCTGGGTATATGATATGCAGTGAAGAACTATTTCTGATTTTTAACAAAACCGAAAATTAGCATATTCAAAACACTTCTTGGTGACTTAGCTTTTAAAAAAATTTAAACACAGTTCTCTGTGTGTATGTGTGTGTGTGTGTGTAAGCAGTATTATAACATTAAGGGATTTTTTCAAGATGTACAATAGATCACCTTCAATCCTATCGTGACAATACAACTAAAATCATTATTGTCCTCTGTGTCCTTGTTTTCATACAGTTAACCTGTTTACACACATTTTTATTTTCTATTCACTGAACAATATACTGTAGTTATTTACTACTTGGTTACATAGTCTTTTCAGTTAAAATGTTTGCTGGCTTTGCACACATGCACACAAACACACGCACATCCACGTCAGTGTCACAATCAACACTTTAGTGCACATCATCTTTCTGTTTTCTTATTCAATTATGTCCTTAGAGTAAATTCTGTCGAATTACTTGGTTCAAAGATATGGACATAACTTGGTAAATATTGTTATGTGACTGCTGGAAGGGTTGTACCAATTTGTAGTACTGTGTACTTCCTCTAAAAATTAAATAAGCCATGGAAGAACATTTAGCAGTAAGTTCTGCTATAATATGACTTGAGCATTCTTAAAAATCAGCCTGCCAGGCCAGGCATGGTGGCTCACACCTGTAATCCCAGTGCTTTGGGAGGCCGAGGCGGGAGGATCACGAGGTCAGGAGTTCGAGACCAGCCTGGCCAACATGGCGAAATCCCCGTCTGTACTAAAAATACAAAAATTAGCCAGGCGTGGTGGCACGTGCCTGTAATCCCAGCTACTCAGGAGGCTGAAGCAGGAGAATCACTTGAAACAGGAAGGCGGAGGTTGCAGTGAGCCGAGATAGCACCACCGCACTCCAGGCTGGGCGAAAGAGTGAAACTCCATGTTAAAAAAAAAAAAAAAATCAGCCTGCTGTCCATAATCATGTAATTAAAAAATAGGGCTTACGGAAAAAGTAGGATTGGGGTACAAAATCAAAAATGTTGTCAGTGGCTCAGTGAAAAAAGGGATGGTAGTACAGTTTTGCACATGCAAGATGGTTAAGAAATCTATAATTCCTACAATAAATGTGGCACTTTACCTTAAAAAAGACTGAAAGTTGGCCTGTGGAAGTAGATGTGAGAAGGGCTAGTAATTATTGTGGGGTTGTGAAATAGGTTTTTCTGAAAGTTGTGCACAAGTGTGGTCCAGAACACACTCGCTTGGTGAACTGGGGGAGCTCATGGGTGTTTGAGGAAGTGTGTGTGTGTGTGTGTGTGTGTGTGTGTGTGTCTGTTTATTCCTGCATGGCTCAGTTTACTTAGGTGCAGCTTTAGCTTTCTGCATTCATCTAGTGCTTCTCATGGACGAAATTGTGCACAAGAAAATGCAAAATTTGCGTTATGCTCAAATTATTCCCTGATATATAAATTGTGTTGGAACAAATTTGTATTTTCTTTTTTTTTTTTTTTTGAAATGGAGTCTCGCTATGTTGCCTAGGCTGGAGTGCAATGGCACGATCTTGGCTCACTGCAACCTCCACTCCCCGGGTTCAAGTGATTCTCTTGCCTCAGTCTCCTGAGTAGCTGGGGCTACAGGTGCACGCCACCACACCCAGCTAATTTTTGTATTTGTAGTGGAGACGGGGTTTCGCCATGTTGGCCAGGGTGGTCTTGATCTGTTGACTTCGTGATCTGCCCACCTCGGCCTCCCAAAGTGCTGGGATTATAGGCGTGAGCCACCAGGCCTGGCTAAATTTGTATTTTCAAAACAGGAGAAGGCAGTCCTGCCTGTGCTTTTCTATTTGTATTTCTTCTTGTCTGACTGGCGCCTTACGCTTCTGTTCAATTTGCAAACAGGAGCTCTGCTGCCAGAAGAACATTTTTATTTTCGGAATGTAGATAGGTAATTGCCTCATGTTGCTTTATAATAAGCAATTTTTTATATCTTTAAATATTTTCTATGAGGATTGCAGCAACTTTATAATAAAGATTTCATCATTACCAGATTCCTGTCTGCTCTATCTCGATGCTTTGGAACTGAGAACAACCTGAACTACACAATAAGCTTCTAGTACTTTCTACATATAAGTACAAAAAAAAACAACCCTGTGTGTTTTATTTATTTGTTCATTTTTAAAAGGAAATTTGACTACCAGCTGATATTTATTGATTGCCTCTTGGGTACAGTGACGCCCTTTGCAGCCAGGTGGGACAGGTTGAGTTTTCTCCTTGACAGAAATCCTTTCTGAGCCTCATCCTCAAAATGGGATGGGGTTGGCTTCTTAATAGGGAGGGCTGTGGCTGTACCAAGATGTATTCGTTCATTCTCATAACTGCTAGTAAAGCCTACCCGAGACTGGGTAATTTCTAAAAGAAAGAGGTTTAATGGCCTCACGTTTCCACATGGCTGGGGAGGCCTCACAATCATGGCAGAAGGCAAGGAGGAGCAAAGTCACGTCTTACATGGGGGTAGGCAAGAGAGCTTGTGCAGAGGAACTGCCCTTTATAAGACCATCAGATCTCCTGAGACTTATTCACTGTCACAAGAAGAGTATGGGAAAAACCCACCCCCGTGATTCAGTTATCTCCACCTGGCCCTGACCTTGACACGTGGGGATTATTACAATTCAAGGTGAGATTTGGGTGGGGACACAGCCAAACCATATGACAAGATAATGGATTTGACGTCTCCACTTCCTGTTGAGTAAATGTGAGTTTCCTCCTATCCTTCCATCCCAGTCCTGGATTTTTCCTTAGACCTACCATCCTCTACAACCTCCTATGGGGCATGAAGGGGGAAAGGGCATCATCTTTGCCCCACCCCTAAAGAGTGTGATCCTCTGAGCCTTTCTTGTAGAAATAGCATCCTGCCTTTCTTTCTGGATAAACTTAAGGTGATCTACCCTTAGTAACCCAACACCCTACTGGAGAGAAAAAAACTTGTGGTTTAAGAGGCATCAATGGTCTCTTACTGGAATTTTCCCAGTGTACAGTGATGAAACACTTGTGCCCTTGTATTACAGGCCACTTGAAGCACCAACCCTTGACCTGAGCCAGGGTTCAGATAAACTGTATTCCCCTCACTTATGAGGCTGCCTCTCTGGATGCTGGACTTGGCCACACTTTTACAAACAGACACAGATTCTGTTAAAAACTAGGAAAGGATTATGACTTAAGCATTGGATCTGAACACTCAGAAAGACACCACCAAAGCATCTGGAGTTTGGTGATGCCAACCCAAAGAAGCTGCATGTTCTGACCCATTTGATGCTCTGTTCCCAACTGGAGCATTTACAGTCACCGAACCAGAAGGAGCCCTCTGGAAGGATCTTGAACAAGGATGGTCTTGTTCAAGGTTTTTCACATTTATACTTTCTTCTTTTCTTTTTTTTGAGACAACATCTCTCTCTGTCGCCTAGGCTGGAGTGCAGTGGTACGATCGTAGCTTACTGCAGCTTTGATTTCCCAGGTTCAAGTGATCCTCCTGCATTAGCCTCCCAAGTATAGGACAGACACACGCCAGCCCCAGGATGAGTTATGTTAATTTTTTTTGTAGAGATGGGGATCTTGCTGTGTTGACCAGGCTGGTCTTGAACTCCTGGCCTCAAGCAGTCCTGTCATCTTGGCCTCCCAAAGTGCTGAGATTACCAGTGTAAGCCACTGTGCCCAGCTCTCACTTATTTTTATTGTCTAAAAATTTTCTTTTTTTAGCATGAAATGCAATACCAGGTAGAACCATAATGGCTATACTGAATCCTAGGGGGCAGGCTCTGGGTGCAGGGAGTTGGATGTGGGGTGTTCACTGCACCCCCATGCTCTGAGGCGACATCCTCTGATGCCTTCATCAATCTGTACGGCTTCCCAGAACATGGGTGGAAAATGTCTGCTTGCATTCAAGACTTTTATTTTATGGGCAGGCAGACAAGTCTGTAGGTGTGATTGACCTGAGTCAGTTGGCCGTGTAACTGAAGAGCCAGGTCTTCTGATATCTACCTCTGTTCTCATGAATGAGACCGGCCTATCTTCTGCCTTCCCGTGATGAAGATTTTCCATTGTGTACTCTTGCCTTGTAGACTGGGAGGCAGCAGTCCCAAACCTGCCTCTACTTCCTTTGTTTCTTCCTCTTTGTCTATGGTCCCTGGACTCAATCTCATTCTTCTTGGCATTTCTTGTACACTTGTGGAGCATTTCTGGCACCCTTGATAATCACTTTTGTGCAGGAGGAGGGGATGATTTCCCCTGGGGCTGCCCCTAGCGGCTTGGTGGCAACTCAGTGATAATTGTTTACCAGAAGCCAGCCTCAGTCATGAATTCCTTCCAAACATTAACTTATTTGATCCCTGCAACGTGCAACAATGTGATCATGATTCCCAGTGTTCAGATGGGAGAAGTGGGGCTCAGAGAGGCAAAAATAGTTTGATCATGGTTTTATAGGGTGGAGGCCTAGATTCAAGCTGAGGTTTATCTTGTTTCCGAGAGCTTGAGCCCTTCACTGCCAGCATTGAGCGGATGGGTCCAGCATTGCCCTCCTGTTTTTGAGCTCACATTCTTGTGTGAGGGTGGAGGGCAACTCATTTTTCACAAACCTGTTGAAGTTCTCGAGAGGTTACTGGCCTGTAGCCAAGGGACAACTAATGGATGTAATTGATTTATGCCTCTTAAAATGTTTTGCAGAATTTTTAGTAGCTTTTGATGTTGGCATGTAGTCACTTGGCTGGGGATTAGGTGTTATTTTGAGGGAAAGATGCGGAGTAGAGAAGAGTGAACACTTTTCCATCAGTCTTCTACACTGGATGCTAAGTTCCATGAGAACAGGGACCATGTCTGTGATGTTCAGATTACACCCCTCTACTGCCTTGGAGTGTCCAGCATACGGTAGATGCTCAATATATGCTTTTCTCCCTTAATAAATAAATGGGATAACTTGAAGAAAGATTTTATGATGTTTATGGATAAAAAGAAGAGATAAACTATGGAATGGAGAAATTATAATATGGGGGTTGGCAAACTATGGCCACAGGCCAAATCTGGCCCACCATTTGTTTTTATAAATAAAGTTTTATTGGAACACAGCCACATTTGTTTATGTATTGTCTGTGGCTGTGTTTGCATGACAAGGGCAGATTTGAGTAGTTGCAACAGAGACCATGTGGCCTTCAAAGCCTAAAATATTTACCATCTGGGCCTTCACAAAAACGTTTGTTGACCATTGGTTTATAATAATGCCAGTTCTACTGAAAGAAATGTGGAAAATATTCATAATAGCACAAAGGCCTGCAACAGATCTTTGTTGGAATAGGAAGAACAGATTCTGCCAGGGGACCTGCCTGCGTTCCCTCAGTGTGCCTTCTACAGCTGGGCTAAAGCTTCTAGAACATTCCTGAAAGCAGATGGGCTCCCTAGAAGGAAGCAGTGGGTTCTTGTAGAGGCCTTGGCAGGTGGAGGAGTTCTTGGGGTCAGTAAGTTTGCATCTGGATGACATTAGGACTCTAGCATCGCTCATAGTTCTTCAAAAGTGGCCTTTGGCCAGAGTGAAGACAGGAATCTCCCTGCCCGCTTTCCCAGCCACCTGACCCTGAGGGACGGTCTTACCTGTGGAAGACTGCAAAGGGAGAACCAGGCTGAAAGGAGGTGTTAGCAGCCATCCTGCTAGAGGAAACTGATGCCACCTCTGGTCCCAGATGTTTGGTGCTCCCTTCTGCCCTGGTGGGCATTCGGATCTGGACCCTGTGTCTCAGAGGGATGGCTGAGCAATAAAGGATTTCCTGAAGTCAGCGTAGACGAAGCACTGGTGAGCTGTTGGGATGAGTCAAACAGAGCATCTGCCCACGAGGAACTCACCTAGTGAGGTCTAGCTCCTAGCTGGACAATAAGCATGTCAAGCCTGGACCAGGGAGCCCCTACCTTGGCCAACTTCTCCACCTGCCATACCCCTGGGTGGCTTATTTTGCACTTAGGATCAGGATGAGATCAGGGTTCTTAACTTGCCATAGAGACCCAGCAGAGTCTGTTTTCTTACTCTCATCTCTCAACATGCCCCAGTCCCTTTTGGCTTCAGCCACGTGGCCTTTCTCTGTTACTCACGCTGACCACTGGCCACATTCCTCCTTGGTTCAGAGCATTTGCACATTCTCTTCCCTCTAACTGGAACTGCCTTCTCCCTGAGCTCCTCCCGCATGCCCTGTTCCAATCAGTGGCAGCTCTTCCTTCCATTCTGAATGTCACTTCCTCCAAGGAGTCTTCCCTGACTGCCAAGACCAGGTTGGCTACCTTGTACACACCGGTGGTGAACGTCTTTCCTTTTGTCTAGAGCACTTATCTCAGTTTGCTATTAATGTTGGTTGGTGACTTTATGTATTAGAAGCTGGCTGTCCCCATGGACTGTGTGCTTCATGAGCATGAGGGCCACATTTGTTTTTATTCACCGTTGCACCTCTGGTGTCTCCTGCAGTGCCTGGCATGTGATGAGCACTTGATAAGCATTTGTTGAATGATGATCAAGTTCCATCTTTGGTATTGGTTCTGAGAGAATAGCTGTGGCTGCCTGGAGTGTTGTATTTAAAAGAAGAAGAAGAATATCAATTTGCCAAGTGCTTCTGTGTAAATTCTGTGCTATGCATTTTGAGTTGATCTGGGCTGATTAGGAGTGGGTGCTGTGGTTGATTAGCAGTGTCTGGCTTGGATGAGGGTGCGAAAGGAAAGAAGGGAGTTGGTTAATGAGGTTTCAGAAAGCACCATCTAATGTACCTCACTGACCTCCTAGGACAAACAGACATTTTGCTCTACTCAGGTAGTGGAGTTTTTACTGGTCACCTTCACCTCCCAATCTTCCAGCAACATGCACACTTCCGCTATCCTGTAACTCAATTGTTGGCCTGTGTGTACTTTGGAATTCAGTATGCAGTGTGGTGATGGGCGCACCCACCCTGCGCAGCTGGGCAAGAGAAGGGAGGTGGCTGCTCTGCTTACCTGGGTGCAAAGTTTGATGCTAACGTGGCTCCGCAGGTGAGGCTTGTCATCCAAGCTCAGGCAAGGCCAGGTGTGGTCTGGAATCAGAGGTCAAGAGGGCAGGACCCTGCAGTAGGGGTCCTGGTAACCAGCAGGACTTAGGGGAGCCTGTACCCAGGAATAGCCGTGGAGAAGCCCCTGACCACCAGGTGCGGTTCTGGGAGGGGCTGGGTCACTTGTCCCTCTCCTTGAGCCAGAGTGTGATGCATGGTAACCAGATTGGTTGCTAGAGCACCCCACAGGGAGGCCCTGTGGCCTGAGCCACCACAGGGTGATGGGGATACCTGCTGTAAGGGCAGAGTGGCTGGGTGGGCATTGACTCATGGGCACCAGCTTTGGTCTAGTGCACATTAGAGAAAGTCCAGGGACCAGTGACGAGGTTGGTAGCTCTAGTCCAATCCTGAATCTGGGGATAAGCCTGAGGCTTTCTGTGTTCATTCATTCATCTAGCATTGACTGTACCTCTACCATGTGACAAGCCGTGGGGTTCACAGTCGAAAAAAAGAGCCTCTACAATCAAGGAGGCCACAGTCTAGTTGTGGAGGTAAATCAACCTTTAAAATATAATGCTATTCACATATATTTATCTGTTCATGAAAGGAAACTTTGTAAATACAAAAGAGTATAAAGAAGATAATTAACACTAATCTTGCTCCCTGGAGATAACATTCTTGTTAACATCTCCACCTCTCTTTTTGCCCAGGTGTGTGTGTATGTGCATATTCTACATGGTTGAGATAATTCTGTTAATGGGGTTTCCTATTTTTATTAACATTTCCTTCTTATCTTTTTTTCCTAGATTCATGTGTGTATATATATTCCACATGATTGAGCTAATACTCTAATAAACTTTTATGTCAAGTTATATCAGTTATGGACTTAGTGGCTTAAAGCAATAACAACTGATTATTTCTTAGGCTTCTGTGGGTGAGCTCTGTTGATTTCATCTGGGCTCACTCATGCAGCTGGGATGGAAAGTCCAAGATGGCCTCACCCACATTTCTGGCGTGCAGTGCTGGCTGTTGGCTGCGGCATTTTGTGTCTACTCATCCTCCAGGAGGCCAGGCTAGCCTCCTAATATTGTGGCCTTACCTGTCCACAGGGTCTTACTCTGTCACCCAGGCTGGAATGCAGTGGTACGATCATAGCCCACTGCAACCTTGCCTTCCTGGGCTCAAGCGATCTTCCAGCCTCAGCCTCCCGAGTAGCTGGGAGTACAGACATGAGCCACCACACCCAGCTAATTTTTAAATTTTTTGTAGAGATGGGTTGTCACTCTGTTGCGCAGGATGGTCTGAAACTCCTGGCCTCAAACAATCCTCCTGCTTTGGTCTCCCAGAGTGCTGAATTATAGACGTGAGCCCTCATGTCCAGACCTGTCTGCTTTTCCTAATGATATTCCTGAGATCTTTATATATTTCTTGATTATTTTTACTATTTTACTTCATGCCACTTAATTTTTTTCTATTTTATACACTTTTTTTCTTGATTTCTTCTAAAAAATGGGATACATGTGCAGAACGTGCTTTTCTGAGCAAAATATTATTTTGAACATGGGATGTCTTTCAATGAAAAATGAGATGGCTGTCTACCTCTGTCTTGTTTTCTTCTAAGTTTTTATAGTTTTGTGTGTGTGTGTGTGTGTGTGTGTGTGTGTGTGTTTTAGGCCTTCTGACTCTTGGAACCTCTTGGAATTAATTTTCAGAAAACCCCCAAACTCTGATTCCTCTACTGTGAAGTGGGGGTTTGTTTCTCACTCCACATTCCTGTATAATTGCCCCAATCCCACTTATGCAATAATTCTGCTATTTGGCACTGATATTTGATGCTACTTTGTTTCCGATTTTATCTCCTAATATATGAAGGGATGTTTTCAGGCTTGCTTTCTTGCTCAGTTGATTTATTTTTCCTGTCCTAATGCTACACTCACAAGTATAGTGGCTTTATATTCTACTTGAGTATGTTATTGTAGAAGTGCCTTCTCATTATTCTTCTTTTTCAAAAATCTCTTGGCTATTTTTATTTAATTCTCCCAAAGGTACTTGAGAACCATTTTGTAAAGTTCTGAAAATGAACTCATTGGGACTTTGATTGTAAACTGCGTTACATTTATCGATCAGTTTGTTGCAAACCAACTTTTAATATGTGAAGACTTCCCATCCAGAAACATGGTACATACAGCTCCATTCATTTCAGCCCTTTAAAACATCTCAGTAGAATTTTGTTGTTTATCTTCTTGTAGTTTTCCAATATTTCTTGTGAAAGTTAACGTTTGCAATTCGGTGTTTTTTTGGTTGTTTTTTGGAATGTGCTCATTTTTCCCCATGATATGTTCCAGTTGGTCATTTTTAAAAACAGAAATCAAATTAATTTAAAAAATATTTTTATTGATTTTTAAATGGAATAGATACTATGTAAATAATGTTCATTGAAAAAAAGCTTTACAGAAGAATTTGAATAGAAATGAAAGACCTTCTTTGTGGCCTCTTCCCCTGCATCCACTCCCTGCCTTAGAGAAAACCATTGTTAATAATTAGGCAATAACCATAGAAGATTAACAGTGAATTATTCCAGACCTTTATATATTTGCATATGCATATTTTGACATAAATGGGATCATACTGTACATTAAGACATATAGCTCTGTCTTGATCTATGTAGAGGTTCTACTTTGATAGAGTCCCTGTTTATTGCTTTTTTCCCTTTAGAATTGGTTGTATGCGGATGGATACTCAAAAGTCAAATGGCTGGTTCAAGGGTTTGTGCAGATTTTTTTCCCAGTGGCTTAAGACTGCAGGGGTTTATTTCTCACTCATGCTACCTGTCCAACAGTGTTTAGTGGGATCTTCTGCCCGCCGAGTCCCTCAGAGACCCAGGCTGCTGCTGAAGGCTTAACTGTTTCTTAGCTGCACGGCGTTACAACTCATGGCCTGCTCTGTTGCTGTGGCAGGGAAGACAACAAATAGGAAATTAAACCTTTCTGTTCAGAGGTGATACATTTCTTCTGTTTCCTGCCTACTGGCGAGAGAAAGCTAGCATGATGTGAACCTATGTACTATGTGTGGGAGGAGGAGGAGAGAAGGTTGTACATTTTAATTTGCATAGATATCTGTTAAATTACCTTCCCTAAAGGGTATATCCATTTACATATGCTAAGAACATATATAGCTATTCGTATGCCCACATCCTTGCCAACATAGGGTATTAGCAACCTTTTAAAATTTTGCTGATCTTTCTCACTGTTTTAATTTTCATTTCCCTGATTAGTGATGAGCTTAACCCTCTTTCTAATATGTTGATAGCCATTTTTATTTATTTGAATTTGTATTTCTTATTCTGCTTCTTTGCCCATTTTTAACTTCTTTTTCTTAATCGACTTTGAAGTTCCTTACATATTCTGGATGTTACTCTTTTGTTGCAAATGTGAATATTTTCTCAGTCCATTGTCATTTAATTTTATTTTTGATGTCTTTTATGAAAGGAAAAATTTTAATTATAGTTTAGTGAAATTTAGCACTCTTCATGGCCATTAGATTTTTGTTTCAGTGACCTTCTCCACTGTAAGTCTTAAAACGCATTTTTTGTGTTTGATATGTTCTTAGATTTTTGTTTAACTTTCTAATTTATCTGGAATTTTGCAGAGGCACTGTGATTTCTCCAACTTTGCTCTTTTTAAAAATTGTTTTGGCTGGCCGCAGTGGCTCACGCCTGTAATCCCAGCACTTTGGGAGGCCGAGGCGGGCGGATCATGAGGTCAGGAGATCGAGACCATCCTGGCTAACATGGTGAAACCCCGTCTCTACTAAAAAATCAGCCAGGCGTGGTTGCAGGCACCTGTAGTCCCAGCTACTCGGGAGGCTGAGGCAGGAGAGTGGTGTGAATCAGGGAGGCGGGGCTTGCGGTGAGCGGAGATCGCGCCACTGCACTCCGGCCTGGGCGACAGAGCGAGACTCCGTCTCAAAAAAAAAAAAAAAAATTGTTTTGGTCATTCTAATTATTTACCTTTTCCACATACCTTTCAACCTTTTAAGAAAAGTTTTTGACACATAATAATTATACATATTTATGGAGTATAGTATATTTCAATACATATAGATAATGTGTAATGATCAAATCAGGGTAATTAGCATATCCATCCCTTCAAACATTTGTCATTTCTTTGTGTTGAGAATAGTAAAAATCCTCTTTTCTAGTTATTTGAAAATACACAATAAAATTTTGTTAACTATATTCACCTTACAGTGCTGTAGAACATTAAAACTTAATCCTTCTGTTTAGCTGTGATTTTGTATTTATTAACTAACCTCTCCCTATCCTCTGTTCGTGCTATTCTTCACAGCCTCTAGTAACTACTGTTCTACTCTCTACTTCTATGAGATCAACTTTTTTAGCTTCCACGTATGAGTGAGTACTAGTGGTATTTGTATTTCTATGCCTGGCTTATTTCACTTAACACAATGTCCAGCAGGCTCGTGCATGTTGCCACAAGTGATAGAATCTCATACTTTTTTATGGCTAAATAGTATTGCATTGTATATAAATATGTATATCATATTTTCTTTATCCATTCATCTGTTGATGGACACTTAGGTTGGTTCTATATCTTGACTATTATGAATAGTGCTGCAGTAAACATGAGAGTACAGGTATATCTTAGACATACTGATTTTCCTTCCTTTGGATATATACCCAGTAGTGGGTTATTGAATCATATGATATTAAATTTTTAGTTTTTTTGAGGAACCTCCTTTCTATTTTCCATGTCTTTACTAATTTACATTCCCACCAACAGTTTATAAAGTTCTCTTTTCTCCACATCCTTGCCAGCATTTGTTAGTTTTTGTTTTTTTGATAATAGCCATTCTACCTGGGGTGAGATGTTATCTCATTGTGGTTTTGATTTGCATTTTCCTGGTGATTAGTGATGGTGAGCATTTTTTCATATTGTATTAGTTCATTCTCACACTGCTATAAAGAAGTACCTGAGACTGCATAACTTGAAAAGAGTTTTAATTGGTTGATGGTTCTGCAGGCTCTACAGGAAGCAAAGTGGCTTCTGCTTGGGAGGAGGCCTCAGGAAACTTACAATCATGGCAGAAGGTGAAGGGGAAGAAGACACATCTTATATGGCAGGAGCAGAAGTAAGAGAGAGGAGGAGAGATGCTACATACTTTGAAACAATCAGATCTTGTGAGAACTTACTATACAGTACCAAGGGAGGATGGCAGTTTATTCATGAGAACTGTGCCCCCATAATCCAATCACGTCCTACCAAGCCCCACCTCTAACACTGGGGATTATAATTCAGCATGAGATTTGGGCAAGGACACAGATCCAAACCGTATCACATATGCTTATTGGCCATTTGTATATTGTCTTTTGAGAAATGTCTTTTCAGATCATTGGCCCATTTTTTAATTCAGCTATTTGGTTTTTTGCTCTTGTGTTGAGTTCCTTGTATATTCTGGATATTAATCCCTTGTCAAATGCATAATTTGCAAATATTTTGTCCTATTCTGCGGGTTATTTGTTCATTCTGTTGATTGTTTTCTTTGCAGTACGTACAGAAGCTTTTTAGTTTGACATAATCCTGTCTGTTTTTGCTTTTGTTGCCTGTGCTTTCGAGGTCTTAGCCATGAAATCTTGTGTCTATTTTTATGCCAGTACTATACTGTTTTGGTTACTACAGATTTTTAGTATATTTTGAAGTCAGGTAGTATGATGCCTCCAGCTTTGTTTCTTTTGCTCAGGATAACTTTGACTATTTGGGATCTTTTGTGCTTCCATATGAATTTTAGGATTTTTTTTTCTATTTCTGTGCAGAATGTCATTGGTATTTTTATAGGGATTGCACTGACTTTGCAGATCATTTCGGCTAGTATGGCCATTTTAACAATATTCTTCCAATCCATGAACATGGGATGTATTTCCATTTTTTTAATCTTATCTTTAATTTTTTCCACCAATGTTTTATTCTTTCCATTGTAGAGATCTTTCATCTCCTTGGTTAAATTTATTCCTAGGTATTTTATGTTTTTGTAGCTACTGTAAATGGGATTTCTTTTTCAGCTAGTTTGTTACGATTGTATAGAAATGTGACTTTTTTGTTGATTTTGTATCCTGCAACTTTACTGAATCATCAGTTCTAAGAGGTTTTTGGTGGAGTCTTTAGATTTATATATATATAAGATCATGTTGTGTGCAAACAAGGATAATTTGACTTCCTTGTTTCCAGTTTGCATGCCCCTTATTTCTTTATCTTGTGAAATTTCCCTGGCTAGGACTTCCAATACTATGTTGAGTAAGAGTGGTGAAAGTGTGCCTCCTTGTCTTGTTCCAGTTCTTAGAGGAAAAGCTTCCAACTTTTCCTGATTCAGTGTGATGTTGGCTGTGGGTTTGTCAGATATGGCCTTTATAATGTTGAGGAACGTTCCTTGTCTACCTGATTTGTTGAGAGTTTTTATCATGATGAGATGCTGAATTTTATTAAATGCTTTCTCTGTATCCATTGGGATGATTTTATGGTTTTTGTCTTTCATTCTTAATGTGATGTATTACATTTATTTTCTAATGTATGTTGAGCCATATGTGAATCACTGGGATAAATCCCACTTGATTATGGTGTACTATGTTGTTGATGTGTTGTTGGATTAGTTTGCTTGTATTCTTTGTTGAGGATTTTTGCATCTACGTTCATCAGGGATGTTGGCCGGTAGTTTTCTTTTTCTTGTGTCCTTGTTTGCTTTTGGTGTCAAGATGACACTGGCCTCATAGAATGAGTTTGGAATAATTCCCTCCCCTTCAGTTTATCATTTTACTTTACTTATTTTTTTTTTAGAAACAAAATATCACTATGTTGTTCAGGCCGGAGTGTAATGGCTATTCACAGATGCAATCATAGGGCACTGCAACCTTGAACTCCTGACTTCAGGTGATTCTCTCACTTCCACCTCCAGAGGAGCTGGGTCTCTAAGTGCATGACACCATGCCTGGGCCCTCCTCTTCAGATTTTTGGAAGACTTGGAGAAGAATTAGTTTTAGAGTCCTTCTTTAAAAGTTTGGTAGAATTCAGCAGTAAAGCCATCCTGTTCTGGACTTTTCTTTGTTGGGAGGCTTTTTTTTTTTATTACTCTTCCATCTTGTTACTTGTTAATTGGTCTATTCAGGTTTCCTATTTCTATTTTGTATTTCCTGTTTAATCTTGGTAGGTTGTATGTGTCCAGGAATGTATTCATTTTGTCTAGGCTTTCCAATTTGTTGGCATATAGTTGTTTGTAACAGTCTCTAAGAATTTTTTGTATTTCGATAATATCAGTTGTAATGTCTTCTTTTTTGTTTGTGATTTTATTTGTGTCTTCTCTATTTTTTACTTAGTCTAGCTAATGGTTTGTTGATTTTATATTTAAAAAAAACTGTATTGTTGACCTTTTGTATTTTTTAGTCCCTATTTCTGCCCTCATCTTTATTATTTCTTTTTGTCTATTGAGTTCGGTTTTTTCTTGCTTTTCTAGTTCCTTGAGATGTATCATTAGGTCATTTGAAATCTTTCTGCTTTTTTGATGTAGATGTTCATTGCTATTACCTTCTCTCTTAGTACTGCTTTTCTATATCCCATAGGTTTTGGTATGTTGTGTTTCTGTTTTCATTTGTTTCAAGAAATTTTTAAGTTCCCTTCTTAATTTCTTCACTGACTCATTGGTTGTTAAGGAACGCATTGCTTAATTTCGATTATTTGTACAGTTTCAAGGTTTTTCTTGTTATTGATTTCTAGTTTTATTTCATTGTGGTCAGAAAAGATAATTGATATGATTTCAATTTTTAAAGCATTTGTAGAGACTTTTGTGGCATGATGTATGGTCTATCCTGGAGAATGCTTCATGTGCTAATGAGAAGAATATGCGTTCTGCAGCAGTTGATTGAAACCTTCTATAAATGTCTGGTAGGTTCATTTGGTCTGTAGTGGAGGTTAAAGCTGATGTTTGTTGATTTTCTGCCTGCTTGATCTGTCTCGTGCTGAGAGTGGTGTGTTGAAGGTCTCAACTAATATTGTATTGAGGTCTTTCCCTCCTTTTAGATCTAATAATATTTGCTTTATGTATCTGGGTGCTCCTGTGTTGGGTACATACATATTTACAATTGTAATTTCCTTTTGCTGAATTGATCCCTTTATCATTATATAATGACCTCCTTTATTGCTTTTTACAGTTTTTAAACTTAAGGTCTATTTTATCTGCTATAAATATAACCACTTCTGCTCATTTTTGGTTTCTGTTTGTGTAGTGTATCTTTTTCCATCCCTTCACTTTCAATCTGTTTGTGTCTTTACAGGTGAAGTGAATTTCTTATAGGCAGCATGTAGTTGGGTATTGCTTTTTTAGTTCATTCAGTCATTCTTTATCTTTTAACTGGGAAATTTAATCCATTTACATTCAATGTTATTATTGATAGGTTAGGACTTACTCTTGTCATTTGCTTTGTGGTTGTTTTGTATAGCCTTTGTTTCTTTCTTCCGCTTTTATTATTTATCTTTGGTTTTGTGGTTTTGTATAGTGATAAGTGTTGGCAAACTTTTTCTTGGGCCAGAGTAAGTATTTGTGAGCTGAACACTCTGTGTGACAACAACTCATTTCTACTGTTGTATTGTGAAAGCAGCCACAGATATTACATAGATGCATGGACATGGGTGTGTACCAATAAAACTTTACTTCCAAAAACAAACATCTGGCCAGATTTGGCCTGCAGGCCATAATTGGCTAACTGCTGATTAATTCACCTGTTTATATCAGATGGACTCTTGAATATTTATTCTTCGGGTTATAATTCTTTGGGATATATATTCTTTGGGTTACTCTTATTATCAGGAGCATGTTGCTTAATTTTGTTCTGTTACTCAGATTGTTCCAGTTTTGGCCATCGGGAGCTCTTTCATTTGGCCCTTTTGATATATTCCCGTCATTGTGGGTTTATTTATTTATTTGGAGCACTTTCATACCTTTTAGCACTCTCAGATCTTCTAGGGTCATCTTGTATGTTTTCTGTCCCAGCCCTAGAGTTAGGCATTTTCCTAGGGAGCCCTAGTTTTTTTCATTGGAGAGTGATATTAAGAAACCATGATCTGTGTTGCTGGATGTGCTCATTGATAGTAGGGTGTGACTGCTTCTTGGTCTTCTCAGAGGAAAGATGTAGGAAATATGTGTGTGCTCTAACTCATGTATACATATATTTATATTTCCATGTTTATATGTGTAAATGTATTAAAGTAAACATGAGTTTATACTGATATCTCTTACTCCGATTCAGTATTCCAGGGTTTATTCTAATCTTCTCCTTTAGCTTATTTATAGCTTTTTTTTTAAGCCAGTGAGAAACCTGGCTTTCATTTCCTATCAATTATTTACATATTTGCTCAAACCTAGTGTATGCTTAAGGTCATTTTTTAAATTCTTTGTACCTCTGCAAAAAACAATTTTACCAACTAGAGCAGGGGTTCCTAACCCCCTGGTTATGGACTGGTACCAGGCCGTGGCCTGTTAGGAACCGGGCCACACAGCAGGAGGTGAGTGGTGGGTAAGGGAGCATTACCACCTGAGCTCCGCCTCCTGCCAGATCAGCAGTGGCATTAGATTCTCATAGGAGTACGAACCCTCTTGTGAACTGCGCATGCAAGGGATTTGGGTTGCGTGTTTCTTATGAGAATCTAACTAATGCCTGATGATCTGAGGTGGAACAGTTTCATCCTAAAACCATTCCGCCCGTCGTGGAAAAATTGTCTTCCATGAGACTGGTCCTTGGTGCCAAAAAGGTTGGGGACTGCTGAACTAGAATACAGTATTTGTATACTTTGTCTTTATTTTGTCCAATTAAAACACAGTTTTCTAAAGTTACTTGGGTCAGCTCCTTTTCCCTGTCTCTTGTATTTAGGTTGTATCATACATCTGTAATACAGTGAGATTCATTTGTCACTGGATGCATTCCATCCTGGGAGCCTCTGACACCTTGGTTGATTTTTTTTTAAAAGTGCGTACAGAAAAGGTCACTCTTTTTTTGTGGTCTACAGCTCTGTGGTTTTTGACAAATGTACAGTCATGAATCCACCCCCATAGGACCACGCAGAACAGTTTAATCACCTAAAGATTCCCTTGTGTAGCCGATTGGTAATCATCCCCTCTTCTTCTGGTCCTTGGCACCTGAATGTAAGATTCATTTATGTTGCTGTACCAAGTAATAGTTTGTTCCTTTTAATTTCTGAGTGGTATTCTGTTATACGGATGAACTTCAGTTTGTTTATCTGTTTTCTTGTTGAAGAATATAGTTGTTTCTAGTTTTTGGAAATGACAAATTAAGCCCCTGTTAGTATTCACATACAGAACTTTTTTTTGTAAATAATACCTTTGGCCTCATTTCTGCTGTCTTGTTTAATGCTTTTTGTCTTTTATGCTTTATTACAATTTCTTTTGCAATATAGACCTTATTTCCATCTTCTCATTTGATTTGAAATGCATATTTCCTCTTTTTATTTCTATGTGTTTTGTGTGTGTCTTCCAAACAACTTTATTGAGGTATAACTTATTTATGATTACACACATTTTCAGTGTAAAAGTGACTTTTGACAGATGTATACCTCACCACGCAAATCCAATTATAGAACATTTCCATTTCCCCAGAAAGTTTCCTTATGGCCTTTGCAATCACTCTCACCCCCACCCCGCCATCCACCCCCACACCCAGCCCCCACTGATCTGGCTTCGATCACTATAGATGAGTTTGCCTGGCATGTAGTCTTCTGAGTCTGGCCCCTTCATTCAGCATAATGCCTGTGAGTTTCTTCCAAATTGTTGTGTGTGTCATTCCTTTTTATTATTGAGTGGTACTTCTCTGCACAGATATGCTATGGTCTATTTATTCTGTTAAAATACTTAGATTTCTCCAGGTTTTGTCTGTTATGAGAAAAAATGCTCTGATCATTGATCGTGTCATTTTATGGGCGTGTGTTCTTTCTTGAAAGTAATTGTTTTGTCAATATACACAAACATGTTACTCTAGTGATAAAGGCAGACATCATTCAGTTAAGTTTTCACTCTTCTTCATGTTTGACCATTTCCTATACTCATTATCTTAACTTGGCATTTAAAAATCACATTATTATAGTTTTGCTTTCTATTTTCACATTATATATGCAAGTAATCCTTTGAAAATCATTTAATATTTGCTTTCAATTTGTCATAATTACAATGATTACTTAAGCCTCAACTCCAGGTATTTATTTGGTATCATTGTATAGCATTAATCCTAATATGTATTCTTACTACACCTTCTCCAGTTTTACGTTAAAAATTTAGGTTTAAAATTGTTCTCTGAAGTACCTGTTTGAGTCATGTTTTAAATGGGCAGTTCCTATTTTGTCCCCTAAGAGATGAGTTATCTTCTTCCCCCGTTCTCATCTGAAGGACCACTTGGGCTATAGAATAGAATTCTTGAGTTCAGAATATTTATTGCTTCAACAGGTGTTCTGGAACATAATGTTCTGAAGTTGGCCTGATTTTTGGATGGGGGAGGGCTGGGGGATGAGGCAGATAATTCAGTTTTTTGAAATGAAGAAGCTTTGCATGGATAGAAATAAAGTTGATCTATTCTCAAACTCTCCTTCCCCCGTCAGTGAAGTCTTCTTTTGACGTGCAGACTTAGGACGTAGATTTCTTCTATTATGACTTGATTAGCGTTTCTGCCCTGTTTAGATTTTTTTCTCTTTGTTGGACTTAGACTGGGTGGATCTCTATTAACTCTTCTAGGTATCTATTCTCATTTTCCTTAGTGCTTTCTTTAAAATTTCTGTGTCCTTTTTTCCTGCTCTCTTGGACAGCTTTTCGAGTATGTTGTCTATGTCGCTGGTGTGATTTCCCGCATGTTGGTTCTGTCCTTTCCTGGTTCCAGCGGGAATTTTATTCCCTTGCTTGCGTTTTCTCTTTGATTCCTTTACATCCTTTCTTATGTAAATGAATCGTTTTTTTCATTTCAGCTTCCTTCTCAACCTGTTGGTTTCATTTCATCATGTATCTCTTCTTCTCTCTCTTTTAAAAACATGGGTCATATTTTCTGTAGTATTGGAAGACACACCACAAATACTATTCAAAAATATACAGTAGTACTCTTCACTGGTGTGATTGTACTGGGAACATTTTAGTTATGATCATGTTCTTATGTTTTAAAAATTTTTATGACCATGTTGTGTGATGATGCTGCTATTACTAATTTTGTGTGAGGTCTCTCTAGGCATAGTGTTTTCCAGCAGAATGGATATGGAAATTCCTGTTGGTCTCTCTCACCACTTGGATGCCACAGAGTCCCCCAGTCAGACCCTTGCCCAGAATCTAGCTTGGTTTACATGGCTCTGAGCCAAACTTCTTGGTCTGACAGCCATTTCCCTTGTGTAGTTTTGCTGCACTGGACGGGAAAAACCTACTGCCTTCTCTGGCTAGATTAGCTGAAGCAATCTAAGTCTTCTGGATTTTAAATAGCCCATGCCAAGTTGTTCCCAGAACTTGCCCTCTTTATCCTTCCTGAGGACTTCATACCCCAAGTTGTAACCATGGGGTGCCTTCGCCCTTCCGCCCCCAAGGGAGTTGTCTCAGGATGTTGAAAGGATGCAGAAAGAAAGGTCTTCAGGGATGTGGGGTTTGAGGTACAGAGTTAGGGAATGAACTGTTTCTGGCCAGGGATGGCTGCTCTGGTATATGGATGGGCAGAGGCTGTAGGCGTGGATGTCTTCTTTCTCTGTTCTTTTTTTTTTGGCCTTGCTTTTTGCTCCCAGAGACCAAGACATGTACTAGTAAACCCACAATTTCTCAATCCAGTGCCATGTGTTGGGAAGATATCCCTTCAGCAGTCTGCAAAATCTTTGATTGTAATCCTGGGTTCCAGAGCAATTGTAATTTTATACATTGTGCTGGTTTGGTGGGAATCTGTGGTGGGGATTATGACTGGTGATGAGTCTGTTTCCATTTGGACCAATGAAGAATTGAAGCAGAGGGAGAGGAGGCCCTGTGGCTGGCATGGTAGGGGCTCTAGGAGAGGCCAGCGCAGGAGGCTAATCCGAAGTGATGGAAAGATGCTTCAGGACTTCAAGGAAATTGGCAGGAGTTGAGGGGAAGAGCCTGAAGCTGCGGATATGCTGCCAGCCTTGGTCAGGTTGGACCCACTGCACGATGAGAGGTGTATATAATGTGGTCGCCGAGAGCATGGGATTTGGAGCCAAGATGCATTAGACCAAGTCTTAGCTCTTCTGTGCTTACCAAAGTCCATAACTTCTGGGTGCCTCAGTTTTATCCTCTATATAAAAAATAAGAAAATAAAATTACTTACCTTGCTGGGTTATTTTGGAGAGTTAATGTATAGGGATCAAGTACAGCAGCAGCTGGCCCTTAGTCATGCTGAATCAAGGTTAGGTGGTGATGGTGGTATGTTATCAGCCTGCTAGTGGAAAGGCTGAGGAGGAGGGGGTGGTCTCCCTTGCTTGGAAGGCCCCTCACTGCTCCAGTCCTTCTCATCTCTACAGGCTGAGTTTGCTGTCAGTTTAAATTGTCCTTTCTTGGAGGAGCCTTTGTGACTGTTCTGTTTGAAGTAAATCCATTCCCGCTGCCGTTGTTTCTCACAGCACCTTCCTCTTTGCCATCAGAGTACGAGTCCTTTTTTATTTCTATTTATTTTTTTATTTTTTTTTTATTTTTGAGACAGAGTCTTGCTCTGTCTCCTAGGCTAGAGTGCAGTGGTGCGATCTCGCCTCACTGTAACCTCCGCCTCCTGGGTTCAAGTGATTCTCCTGTCTCAGCCTCTGGAGTAGCTGGGATTACAGACATATGCCACCACGCCCAGCTAATTTTTGTATTATTAGTAGAGATGGGGTTTCACCATGTTGGCCAGGCTGGTTTCGAACTCCTGACCTCAGGTGATCCGGCCACCTCAGCCTCCCAAAGTGCTGGGATTACAGGCCTGAGTCACCGTGCCTGGCCCAGAGTGCTTTTTGTAATTTGTTACTACATATTATGTTGTGCTCCTTTTAAGGCCTGTGTTTCTCACTAGCCTGTGAGCCATGATGGCGGTCTGCGAGGTTTCTTGTTGCACGCTGGTGCCTCGCGTATCAGTGATCCTTGAAGAGTTATTGTATGCGTCACTTCCGTGAAGCCGTTTCCTTCCTCAGTATCCGTTCCTCTTGTTGCTGTTCCAATGGTTCATGCTTTGCTTGGCCCTGCCCTGTTCTAATAGCTTCTCACTGGCAAGATGTGGCTAGGAACTCAGGCTGTTGCAGTCAGATGAACTTGGGTTCAAATCTTGGTTAACCAGCTACTGACTGTGTGATCAAGGGAAAGTTACCTACCTTCTCTGAGCCTCAGTTTCCTCCCCTGTCAAATGAGAATGATGTCCAGCTGGAAAGCTGGGCATAAGATGAAATCTAACACCTGAAAGTGATTTACACAGTTCCTGGAACTATGCATGTACCAGTCAAGATGATTGTCATCAGTATTAATCCTACTGAGACAGCCATCCAGGTGGCATCCTGGCACTGGTAATAATAGCATCAGCATTTCCCTGCCTGCCACCTGCAATAGAGCAGAGTCTCACATTAGCTGGGATCATGGAGAGTAAATGTTAATGAATGATTTGATTGAACTCTGAGGAATAGTTCAGCATCTCAGATTGCTTATTTTTGAGAAAAGAAGCTGGTGGGGGTGTGTACACAGGATTTTCTAATGTCATTCATTCATTCATTCATTCATTCATATGTGCAAATAAAGGGAAGAGAATTAATTATTGTTTCCATTTGGAAGGACTGAGCTTCAGGTAAAGCAAGTGGCCTGCCCAGGTAGAGCGGGGGCAGAGCATCAAGAGACAGAGCTGCCAGGACCAGGGGTACCAGCTCTCTGTTTTTTGTTTGTTTTTGTTTGTTTGTTTTTGGTGTGAGGAGTTATGAGACAGTGCAGGAAGTTTGGAGGAGCTTAAAAAGGATTTCCCAGAGAGAGAATGTTGCAGTCATATGCAAGGTCAAGTCCTAAACGACTTGGGCTTTTTCTATCAACAGAACAAATTACAATTCAGGTTCTGTTTGAGGTGCTCCTGAGAAGAGGAAAAGAGTCAGAAACCTACACAAAGATGTATAGAAGATTAGGTCCTGAGAGATGCCGGAGATCAAAGTATGCTGGGGTATTTGGGAGCCAGCTTTCCCCTGAGTTTTTTGTGGTTATTCCAGTGTTTCAGGAAAAACAGTGTTTTCTGAACCTGCAAAAACCTTGTGTTTGTTTGCTTTTTTAAATTGGGGGTGAAACAATGTATATAAAAGCAGTTTTGTCAACTGAAGTTCATATGTATCGGAGTCATCCATTCATCTTGTAGTGATGCTTTTCCTGTATCTTAATTCTTTCAGTTTTTCTTTATTATTATATATTTTACCGATGGGGACACCAAGGCCAGAGAGGTGGGGTGACATGCCCAAGGTCATACAGATAGAAAATGACAGAGCCAAGGTGTCTTCCTCCACATACCAGGCTATTAGAGATGGTCCTGTTAATACTGCTCATCATTGGTATTGGGTTAAGTAGAAATTGTTGACAAGCCACCCAGTGGCTTTGTGAATGGGACCAGAGGTAGAAGAACTAGCCTTGATGTCCCCCATAAAGCTACCTGTGACTCTGTGATTGCAACCTCCAGTAATTTGGAGGGAACAAAACTAAGCTCCGCCTCCAATGTGGCCCCAAATAGCCATCTAGACCCTGCACCCTTGCTAACCTTCAGCTTTTCATGTAGCCCAACTATGCATAGCCACCTTCCATGCATGGAAGCACTTATCTAAGTAGGTATACTCTCTCTTCTTCCCATGGAGGAGTTGACTGTTTTAAGGGGTCATATTCTGAAAGGTGGAGGAACATTCTGTCTTTAGACACCACTAAGGTTTGTGGTCACAGGAGTCTATGCAAGATTACTGTGGAATGCAAACGTACATAGTTGTGTATTTTCCGCAACAACCCCAAGAGATAGGCGCTATACTTCTGCCTTGCTCTATGAGTCATCTGAGGCCCAAAGAGGTTTAATAACTTGCTCAAGAACACATGATAAGAGGCATAGCAGGGGATTTAAAACAGATCGTTTTGTTACAAAGCCCTGTTCTTAAATATTTTGCTAATGCCATTTTGATAAGTGTCATCTATTAATCTATCCATCCATTTATGAACCCACTTCTGTCCCCACCTTTTCATCCATCCCACATCTGTCCATCCATCCATCCAGCCAGCCAGCCAGCCATCCATCCATCTATTCATTTATTTATCCATCTAGTCACCCATACATCCTACCATCCATCTATCCATCTATCCAGCCATCTATTCATTTATTTATACATCTAGTCACCCATACATCCCACCATCCATCTATCCATTCATCCATTCATCCACCCACCCATCCACCCATCCATCCATCCACCCACCCACGCACTCATCCATTGTGTTGGCTATTTGTCTAACATGGTCCTCCACTTCATCCTGGGGAAGAAATTTCTCCATCCCGGGAAGTGAGCATATATTGTCTAGAGCTGGAGGCTTCCATGAGAATACACCACATCCCTTAGCTCCCAGGAAATATCTGGGCGCTGCTGCTGTTCCTAGGTTGGTGTCCTCACAAATGCTGCTGTTTCAGGCAATGTCAGATTGCTTACTCTCTTTCCTCCCTCAGTAAACCTGTAGAGAGTTTCTCCCTACAATGTTCACAAAAAGAGCAAAGCTGCAGGCTCTTCCAGAAATCCTTGGCGTTCTGAAGCATTATTACAAAGGAATACTCAGTAACTCCATTCCTTAACCCAAAGGTTGGATATTGGATTAGTTAGGCATGATTTTACTTTTTCAAAAATGTTACAGAGTTTGTGTATTATATCTAAAAATTATCTAATAAATCTAAAAGACCTGTTCCCAGGACGTTTAATAAGGAAACAAATTTTGATAGCCAGTTTGGATGGAGATAAATTAATTAAGGAAACAATTTAAATTGTCTATGAAGAGGCAGTATTATAAAGAGGCAGTATGGTCTAGTTATTTGCATATTTATTAAGTGCAAGGCAAAGAAAGTGGTTTAATTATTTTGCATGACCTCTGTTGTGCAAAAGCCATTGATGAGACAATCCCACTTTTCAAAGTTTTTTCACTTTTTAGGATTAAAATTCTAAACATACTAAAATTCAAACACGTAAACATAAACATCCATATAAATTACCCCATGTATTCATTACCCATTTTCAACAATTATCAACTATGACTGTACTCACCTTTGCTCACCTGTTTTATTTTTCTTTTTGTAAGTTTCAGAGGCTTATTCCTGACTCGACTTAATTTTATTGGGTCAAAATTCCATTCTAGAAAAGCATATTATATTGATATTGAAGTAGAATAAACTTTTGAATATAACTGCTTACTTTTTCATTGAAATTTAGCATTTGGAGGGTACAACATTGGGAATTTTCCACCTTCTTTTAATTGAAAAAGTTTCAAGTCTACAGCAAAGTTGAAAGAATACTAAATGAACCCTCACATACCCTTCAGTTAAATACAACAGTTATTAGCATCGAGACTGGCATTTTCCGAGTGTATTTTTCCACGGGATTACATAAAGACAAGGGAGGTTTTCTTGCCTTTGAAGACATGTAGACAGTAGCTCATGGCTTTAGGGCCTGACACATAAAGGTTCAAATCCCACCAGTATCGCCTGCGAGCTGTGCATGGTAGGCGAGTTGCCTTATATGCAATATCTTCATCTATCAAATGGAAAAATAATAGTGGTGTACACCCACAGGGACATGTGAGGTGCATAGTAGGTACTCAGCAAATGTTACCTATCTCTTTGCCTCCTAGCTGTGCCTCTGTGTTGCAGCTGGGGGAGCTGTGTGGGGAGAGCTGGACATTTTCAGTTCAAGTCCTTTTTGGTCACTGTGGAAGATTTTTGCAGTTAAGAGAGTTAGTATGGCCTAGTGAGTAAGAGAATAAGTCTGAGGTGAGAGTGGTTCAAACCCCAGTTCTGCCCTTACCATTCTGGAACTTGGTTAAGTTACTTGGTCTCTCTGAGCCCTCGTTCTCTGACTGTAAATTGGGGATAGAAAAATATTTACTTCATTGAGTTTTTGTCCACGAGAAAATGAGATGGGAGAGTCTATGCCCAGCATTTAGTATAGTGTCTGGCTCATAAGCACCCAGTGAATGTTAATGATCATTGGTATTGTTATAAGTAAGGATAAATTGGCATAGTACCTCCCATATAATTGCTCAATAAATGTTACTTATTATAAATAAGGATGAAGAACTCACACCAAATTGGTCTTTAATAGCCTGCATCTACTTTGGTGCAATGAAAAGAATAAAGATCTCTTGTGAAACCTTGCAAGGCAATTTCAAATAAAAGTAAGCCTGGATGGACATGTGGCTACCACCAGCTGGGCGTGTCATCTAGCGTCATCATGGGAAATGGCTGCATGTGCCTTAGGTTCCATCCAGTGATGTCGTAAAATAAACCAGCCTTCTTGAACCCTCCTGCCAGTGTTGGCTTCTGGCATTGAATGGCTCGTGGCTCACCCCCTGGCTAGGGTAGATGCCTCTATCCCAAAGGCTTTATGGTGTTCTTGTTGCCTCGAACTGAGTTTTTTCCTCCCTCTCTCTCTGTTTTCTGACCCTCTCATCTTGTATCGCAGGTTGAAAGGATTGTAGACAAGAGGAAGAACAAGAAAGGAAAATGGGAGTATCTTATCCGATGGAAAGGCTACGGGAGCACCGAGGACACGTGGGAGCCGGAGCACCACCTCTTGCACTGTGAGGAGTTTATTGATGAATTCAATGGGTTGCACATGTCCAAGGACAAGAGGATCAAGTCAGGGAAGCAGTCCAGTACCTCCAAGCTGCTGCGTGACAGTCGAGGCCCGTCGGTTGAGAAACTGTCCCACAGACCTTCAGATCCTGGAAAGAGCAAGGGGACCTCCCATAAACGGAAGCGAATTAACCCTCCCCTGGCCAAGCCAAAAAAAGGGTATTCAGGCAAGCCCTCTTCAGGAGGTGACAGGGCCACCAAGACGGTGTCTTACAGGACTACCCCCAGTGGTTTGCAAATAATGCCCCTGAAAAAGTCTCAGAACGGGATGGAAAATGGGGACGCCGGCTCTGAGAAGGATGAGAGGCACTTTGGAAATGGGTCCCATCAGCCTGGCTTGGATTTGAATGATCATGTTGGAGAGCAAGATATGGGTGAATGTGACGTGAATCACGCTACACTGGCGGAGAACGGGCTCGGTTTGTAGCTTTTCTTTCTCTTGGGTTTGGCTCTGGCCATGGCGAAAGGGGAGCTCTGCCTGTAGCCTAGGGACATACATAAGACCCCCACCTCCATCCCCGTCTCTTAGCTAGCCAGCAATTCCCCCTTCATCTCTCTCACCTAGAGCTTTGTGGACTCGGTCGTAGGCCCATGTTGGTTACAGACCCTCATGCATGTGGGGAGGCTAAGCCTCTGATGCTCCAGCCAAGGTCTGGAATGGGTCCAAAGTTCCAGACTCTTATTTCAAGACACCCAAGGCCATGGTAACCCCTCTAGACCCACTTCCCTGAGGGCAGCTCAAGTCCTCACCCCCAGGACCCAAGACACGTGTCCTCAGCGGGCCAGTGCCTCCCAGGGCACAGTGCAGAGCCCTTGCTTGCAGCCTCATCATGCCCCCAGCAGTGTAGCCCAGAGAGGTAGGGTCTGGGTTGGGGTCCGTGCCGTCTTCTCAGACACAGTGTGGACTTGGAGTTCACCACGCCAGTGCCTGTGCTGGAGCCTCTTGTCCTTCTGCTATCTCTAGGTTGGATGATTGACCTATATTAGGTCCTGTCTTAGTCTGTTCAGGCTGCTGTCACAAAACACCTTAGAATGGGTAATTTATGAAAAATGGAAATCTAATTTCTCACAATTCTGAAGGCTAGAAGTCCATGATGAAGGCACCAGCAGATGCTGCATCGGGTGAGGGCCTGTTCCTCTTAGCTGGTGCCTTCTGTGTCCTCACATGATAGAAGGGGCAAGGCAGCGCCCATCAGCCTCTTTTATAAGGGCCACTAATCCCATCCACAAGGATGGAGCTCTTATGACTTAATTACCTCCTAAAGGCCCCTCCTCTTAATGCTGTGACTGTGTTGTGGCTTAGGTTTCTTCATATGAAATTTGGCAGAACATAAATGTTCAGACTGTAGTGGGTCCTAAATGCTGTCTTGACCTCATCCTGCACTAATTCTTTCGATTGGCAGCCTCTTACTCTAACACAGCCTGCATATGTTGTGTTAGGTTATGGAATTCCTCCTTTTTCCAAAGTCTCTGTAGGCAAAATTAAGGAAACAGGAGGTGATGACCCATGTAGTTCATACTCCCAAACATGAGATTTCCTGTGTGGTCACATTGCCCCTTACCTGAGTCCTTCATGGCATCAGTCTTTCAGGTTAGCTGCTTGTGCCAGTTATGTGCAGTCCCTCACTTCTCAGACACCTGTGTGTCTACCTGGTGGCATTTGTCTCTTTGGCTGCCAGAGACCCGAGCCTTGGAATGTCCAGAAATCTTACAGGAGTGTGGACAACCATTGCCCAACAGGGCAGGGCCATCAGATTCCCTGATGAAACCAGGGTGCGTGTGGAGACCGGGATGCTTGGATGCAGGGGGAATGGTTAGAAGGGCTCACAGAAGGTTGGGGTGATGAGGCCAACACACTTCAGTGTGACGATGGTAGATTTGGAGTCCAGAACGTGCAGAGCTGGCTCCCCTGCAAGAGCTTGCTGTCTTTAGGTACTCTTGCTGAGAAATCTGAGCAATCCGTGTTGAGGCTCCTCTTTCTCCAGAGAGAGGAATTTCACCCAAACAGGATTTACTTAGCATCTTTGCCCCAGACTGACTCACGTTTCCGTCTCGGGATCCCTGACGCTGACGTGACTGTGCCTGTGAACATATGTAAAAGCTGTTTGTTTTAGAAATTCATCTCTCGGGGAGAAGTGGGCTCGTGTAAATGGGGCTTGGCATAAACACCCGTGTTTGATGTTGCTGTGACGGCTGCTGGCGGTGGCGGAGTTCCCTGTCTCAGGAAGGGTGGCGAGGGGAGATTTTGTGGCCCTTTGGGTGCAGGGGCAAGGCTCTGGCGGGGTTCCCTGCATTCCAGCTGTTAGCAGCTCCCTGCCCTGCTCATATGGGGCAATCCCAAGAGTAAAGCATGAGGGAGGAAGATTTGCTGACTGTAGCTGACAGTCTGCAGTGTGAAGGAGAGAAGCCAGACTCATAGAGGGGTCTACATGAGGGTGTGCCTCTTGTGCTGTGCAATCTTCTGCGGTGAGGCAGAGCTGCGAGCTCTGTGCTCTTCACCCTTCGGCTTTGCTGATGCCCCCTGGTCCATGACCTGGTGATAAGGCATGGTACCCCACAAGCAGGGAAAACAGGTGAGGGCCAACCTGTTGAGATCCGTTGATTGTCCTGTTAGCTCCAAAATGCTATTCTAGACCTTTCTTGTCTCTCTGATCTCTTATCTTCCTCATATTTGCCTGACGTTGTGTGTTCTCTACTCCCACTTGAGCCAATGCTGGCCTCTATTTTGTTCTGTTTTGTCTGTTTCAAAAGGGCCCTTTTGCTTAATCACATCCCATAGCACTGGTGCCCGTAAGGTTAAGGCACTGGTTCTCAGATTCTGCATGTATTAGATTATCTGGCAACTGATGAGAGATGCAGATCCCATGGAATCTGATTTCCTAAGTCTAGGGTGGAGCCCAGGAGATGGACTTGTTAACAAACTTCCTGGGTGACTCTACCGCATTTTGAGATGAGCTTTGTGGCCAAATGTGTGGGGGGTGGGACCTTGAAGTTTCACATCAGGTGTCAATTTAATTCAATTCAATACTGATTTTTTTTTATGACTTCCTAAGAGTTATTCACCATGCTGGGTGCTTGAAGTAGAGTAATGAAGAGATAGGTATGGACTTTTCCCTCTGAAACTTATAGCTTCCCTCTGAAACTTGCCAGGAAGTTGGAATGCCGGCCTCTGGCCCCATGCTGAGAAGGCGCCCGAGGCTGGCTCCATGGAAGGAGTAACACATATTACATACATGTGCATGGCTTCACCATACCCACAATGACGTCTTCTGTGGTCACTCGTGTGATAATTGTCCCAGCCACCATCAGCCTTTCACCTTCTAGTCAGAACTAGCTTGTTAGCCAGGTCTGGGGGAACTGGGAAGAGGAAAAGACTGAGAATCCTTGCTTGAGAGAGAAGGAGAGTGTTGAAGAGAGTGGTTTGAGGTTCCTGGACAAGACCCAAGACAGGGGATGCCGTGGTTCCAGAATTTTTCAGCAACAGGCCAGAGGTGTAGTCCAGCAAAACGTGTTTCCATGTGTGTTTTCAGCCAGAGGGAAGCTTTGCTGAAGCCAGTGTTCAGGCCCACGTAGCCCTGAATGTCCTCCTTCTACCCTCTTCCCTAACCTCACCTTCCCTTATCTGGACTAAAGGATCCAGTCTCCAGGGGCCCAAGGGTGAGCACTGGGGGTTTGCAGCACAAAGGAGGGCTCATCTTAGCCCAGCAGAAGGGGTTGGGGGATCCTGGCTGCAGTTGCACAGCATTTGTTTTGGGGGTGGGCTGTTGCTTTTTATATGGTTTTAGCTTCTCTTTGGTGAGTTAAGGTTCTGCATACAGAACAGCAACTTATGTAACATGTTACTCATTTACTGCTGACTTCCCTGATCTACTGTGGAACAAATGCTAAATTGGGGCTCCGGCGGGTGGTGTTTTGGTTTCAGACTGCGCTTTTTCCCCAGCAGTGTTTGTGGGGCGTGTGCAGCAGTTCTACACTGCTCTTGATTCTGAGTCTTCTCTGATAATGAGTACTGGCTTTGTGGTCCGGGGCCCATCTGCCTCAGTATCTCTTGGGGAGCTTGTTAAAACGGGCTGTATCCCAGTTGAATGAATCAGGATCTCAGGGGGCTGGAGGGGTGGGTTCTGCACGTTCATGCTGAATTGTAACAGCCACAGGTGTGTACAGGAGCTCCAGCAGATGTGTTTGGTCGTAAGAGATGGTTCATAGATCCATCTGTTGGTAGATCCATCTTTACTCCCTGGATTTGAAGCTTGTGAGAAGGAATGTGATCTGGTCCTTCAAAGTTTTAAAACCTGTCATAGTTTCTCTGCCTTGCTTGCAGTTTCTACTAGGCATCTCTCTCTTTTTTCTAAAACTACGCGAGTTTCATCGGTACAGAAAAGCTGGTGGGTTTGCTAACCCTTGCTGTGGTTCTGCCTTGGTGAACTGCTTAGCACTCGTCTAAACAGGCCAAAGCATCAGTGTTCTATGGATTCACACGAGCCTTTACTCTGTGAAACGTCCCTAACTAGGAGCCATCGTTTCTCTTTGAGCCCTAGAATAGCATAAAGACTTGCAGCGTTCTCCAAATTACCAGGAAGGTGATGAGCATCACTGTTGATGCCAGTCTTGTGGCCCCATGTCCACATTTCTGAAAGGACGTTTAAGATCCTTTCCTTGCATCTTGATGACTGTTGTCTGCTGCACAGACGTTGCATCTCACACATTGCATGATTCAGTGTTTGCAGAATTATCTCTACCATTGAACGAGTCATTCCACACAACACACACACGCAACATTTGCCATTTTCTCTCCATTGATCTTTTAAAATCGTCTCAGCTTTCACTTCTAGAACATTTGTTTATCTCTTCCTACTCACTCTTTCAACATGATTATCATTTTTCCCTTTATTGATTATAATGGATAACCATGTTTTAAAGGCAGTTGGAAACTAAGCGCAAGCAATGGGAAGTGGCCTATGGCTTTTGAGAATCTAGGGGCTCCCAAACATGGATCCGGCGTCAGAATCCCTTGGAGGGCATGTTGAAACACAGACTGTTGGGTGTACCTTCAGCATTCTGATTTAGTAGGTGTAGTGTGGAGCCTGAGAATCTGCACCTCCAGCAGAAGTTCCTAGATGCTGCTATTGGTCCAGTGAGCCCAGTTTCAGAACTACTGCTCTAGACTAATGAGCTCCAAGATGGCGGAGATGAAAATGCAGATGGTGTTGTGCCTGCCAGGTGGTGGTATTGAGGAAACTTGAAGTGCTTGTGCTCTGCACCTGGAGTTGGCATTCATAAGACTTTGTAAAGAGAAAGTTTGTGAAATGAAAAGCTGTAAGGTTGAAAGTTTTAGAGTATAAGTACTTCCCTGAGATGAGGCCTTGGAGTTTCCAAAGTACCTTGTGTGATCCTCATGGCAGTCGTGAGAGGTAGTTTTTCTACCCATTTTACAGAGGTGGAGACCGAGGTTACAAGTGTCCAGGTTGGAATTAGGAGAGAAACTCAGGCAATTTGACTGCAAATTTAACTATAGAGCTGGCCTCTATACCACGGCCCAGCTGGATTCCAGGCAGTAGAATTTCCCCAAGCCCTGATTACTGACAGAGACATTTTGTGACTGGGGGAGGGTCAGGAGTGCTTGGTGGTACAGGATGTACTTCTTTGACACCCTCCTTGTTTGTTTATTTATTTATTTATTTATATATTTTTATTATTATACTTTAAGTTTTAGGGTACATGTGTACAATGTGCAGGTTAGTTACATATGTATACATGTGACATGCTGGCACAATGCACCCACTAACTCGTCATCTAGCATTAGGTATATCTCCCAATGCTATCCCTCCCCCCTCCCCCCACCCCACAACAGTCCCCAGAGTGTGATGTTCCCCTTCCTGTGTCCATGTGTTCTCATTGTTCAGTTCCCACCTATGAGTGAGAATATGCAGTGTTTGGTTTTTTGTTCTTGCGATAGTTTACTGAGAATGATGATTTCCAGTTTCATCCATGTCCCTACAAAGGACGTGAACTCATCATTTTTTATGGCTGCATAGTATTCCATGGTGTATATGTGCCACATTTTCTTAATCCAATCTATCATTGTTGGACATTTGGGCTGGTTCCAAGTCTTTGCTATTGTGAATAGTGCCGCAATAAACATACGTGTGCATGTGTCTTTATAGCAGCATGATTTATAGTCCTTTGGGTATATACCCAGTAATGGGATGGCTAGGTCAAATGGTATTTCTAGTTCTAGATCCCTGAGGAATCGCCACACTGACTTCCACAATGGTTGAACTACTTTACAGTCCCACCAACAGTGTAAAAGTGTTCCTATTTCTCCACATCCTCTCCAGCACCTGTTGTTTCCTGACTTTTTAATGATTGCCATTCTAACTGGTGTGAGATGGTATCTCATTGTGGTTTTGATTTGCATTTCTCTGATGGCCAGTGGTGGTGAGCATTTTTTCATGTGTCTTTTGGCTGCATAAATGTCTTCTTTTGAGAAGTGTCTGTTCATGTCCTTCGCCCACTTTTTGATGGGGTTGTTTGTTTTTCTCTTGTAAATTTGTTTGAGTTCATCGTAGATTCTGGATATTAGCCCTTTGTCAGATGAGTAGGTTGCGAAAATTTTCTCCCATTTTGTGGGTTGCCTGTTCACTCTGATGGTAGTTTCTTTTGCTGTACAGAAGCTCTTTAGTTTAATTAGATCCCATTTGTCAATTTTGGCTTTTGTTGCCATTGCTTTTGGTGTTTTAGACATGAAGGCCTTGCCCGTGCCTATGTCCTGAATAGTAATGCCTAGGTTTTCTTCTAGGGTTTTTATGGTTTTAGGTCTAGCGTTTAAGTCTTTAATCCATCTTGAATTGATTTTTGTATAAGGTGTAAGGAAGGGATCCAGTTTCAGCTTTCTACATATGGCTAGCCAGTTTTCCCAGCACCATTTATTAAATAGGGAATCCTTTCCCCATTTCTTGTTTTTCTCAGGTTTGTCAAAGATCAGATAGTTGTAGATATGCAACGTTATTTCTGAGGGCTCTGTTCTGTTCCATTGATCTATATCTCTGTTTTGGTACCAGTACCATGCTGTTTTGGTTACTGTAGCCTTGTAGTATAGTTTGAAGTCAGGTAGCGTGATGCCTCCAGCTTTGTTCTTTTGGCTTAGGATTGACTTGGCAATGTGGGCTCTTTTTTGGTTATTTATTTATTTATTTTTATTTTTATTTTTATTTTTTTGAGATGGAGTCTCGCTCTGTCGCCCAGGCTGGAGTGCAGTGGTGCAATCTTGGCTCACTGCAAGCTCCGCCTCCTGAGTTCACGCCATTCTCCTGCCTCAGCCTCCCGAGTAGCTGGGACTACAGGCGCCTGCCACCATGCCCAGCTGATTTTTTTTGTATTTTTATTAGAGACGGGGTTTCACCGTGTTGGGCAGCATGGTCTCATCTCCTGACCTCGTGGTCCGCCCGCCTCAGCCTCCCAAAGTGCTGGGATTCCAGGCGTGCGCCACTGCGCCTGGCCGACACCTCCTTGTTTATTGATAGATGGGTATGGTGCTTCTGAGCCTGAAACGCTGTGACTAACTCCATGCCACTCAATCTGAAAACCTAGATAACATCATCACTTCCATAGAGAAATACAACTCAACAAAACAGCCTAAAGGAGGGCTAGAAAGCCTGAAGAGAGAAATAACTATTAAAGAAATTGGGCCAGGAGTGGTGGCTCATGCCTGTAATCCCAGCACTTTGGGAGGCTGAGGCAGTGGATAGCTTGAGCCCAGGAGTTCAAGACCAGCCTGGGCAACATGGCGAAACCCTGTCTCTCCAAAAAAATACAAAAATTAGCCAGGTGTGGTGGCACATGCCTGTAGTCCCAGCTTTCCAGGGAGCTGAGGTGGGAGGATCACTTGAGCCCAGGAGGTGGAGGCTGCAGTGAGCTGTGATTGTGCCACTGCACTCCAGCCTGGGCGACAGAGCGAGACTCTGTCTCAAAAAAAAAAAAAAAAAAAAAAAAATACATTGAATTGGTTGTTAAAAAGTCCTCAGAAGAAGTAAGAAAGGAGGAACACAAGGCCCAGAGGGTTTTGCAGGCAAATCTAAACGTTCTAGAATAGATCATCTGACCACACATTCTAGAGCAGATAACCCCTCCCTTATCCAAATGATTATGGAGAACAGGAAAATGGGAAAATACTCCCAACTCCTGTGACGAGGTCAGTATGACCTGGATTTCCAAACCAGACAAAGAGAGGAGGAGAAATGCAAATTACAAGTCAATCTCACTTCAGAATGCAGTAGTGAAAGTCCTGAATAACCTTCTGGGCTTATTATAGTTCCCTTGATACTTCCTCAAAACTACGACTGTTTCAGAAACATCTCATTCCTTGCCCTGAACTTGACCCCAGTTCATTGCCTTTAGAATCACCACTGCTTCTCTGGGTGAGGAGCTTGTCCCAGAAGAGGCCCAGGGAAACTGGTTCAGGAAGGCTCTGACTGTCATCGGCAGTGGCCCCACACTATCTGGTGAACCACTGAGAGGTCAGGAAGGGTGTTCCCGGGGCAGCCTCTTGTCAGCACAGGTATCCATGTATCCACTTCCCTGAGCCCAGCTGTTCTTCCTGACCCACTTCAAGTACCCACCCCCAGGCCAACACACTTTCACTAACCTTTTCAATTTTTAAAAGCAGATGATTTTTCCAAGTCAGTAACAACAAAAACTTGAGGGTTTTTTAATCTTTTGTCTTTCACAGGGTGGCAAGTAAGGAAGGTGTGCTAATGAACTAACTTAAAACCCTTTGATGTGGTGGTGTTAAGACCCTGTCCAACTTGGCCACCGCCCTATGCACATGGAAAGTGCCAGGCTGTGATGGGAAATCCGACTCTTTAACCAGGAGCAACTTGACCTATGGCAGATCCAAGGGGAGAATCGATTCTCCCCGCTTGGCTCCTGAATTCTGGATTTGATTTTGGTGCCCAGAAGAGGATGATGGAGTCTTGACCACTGTCAAGGTTTAGAAACCAACTAATTGCTTTTCCTACCTGCTCAGCTGTCGTTTTCCTCCCTCAATGTCCTTAGGAAAGTCTTAGGCACTGTTTGCTCATGGCTATCCATCAGGGGACTTCCAAAAAGGGTATAGTGGGGGAGTGGAAGCGATCCTCCCCAGGAGCAAGCAGTAAGCGGGTACAGTGTCTGTAGAGGGCTCCAAAACAATAATAAAACTTCACCTCCTAATGTCGGTGAAAAGCCGCTCTCCTTATTGAGGGTTCCAAAACAATAATAAAACTTCACCTCCTAATGTCGGTGAAAAGCCGCTCTCCCTGTTGAGGGTTCCAAAACAATAATAAAACTTCACCTCCTAATGTCGGTGAAAAGCCACTCTCCCCATTGAGGTGGATCCCAGGGCCTTCCTCCACCCTGACTCCTCACACAAAGCAGCCAGTCTTCATGAATGATGATGATAATGGTGGCAGCGGTGGTGGTGGTGGTGATGGTAGCAATAGTAGCTAACATTTCTTGAGGTCTTACTGCAGGTAACGCCTAGCTCTTTGTATTTGATCTACTAAATGTGATTTAATTTCCTCAGTGGTTCTCTGATGGAGCAGTTTAACAACATAGCAACATAACAAGGTTACCTGGGATCAACCTTGTTTATAGATGGGGAAGCTGAGGCTCAGCAAGGGTAAGACACAGCACTGAGAGAAGGAATTAGGGTGTGGTGCCGGGTCTGGGGATGCTGAAGCTGTTGGGGGTCTGTGACCAGTTTTGTAAATGAAGAAAGGTACTTCAGGGATTCAGGTTGAAGCCAACAGACCTTTCCCAGATGCCAAGGGCATTGTTCTGGCCAACACCCCTGGGCCTGCCTTTGAGGCATCTTCAGTAGTATCAGAGATGCTGACTTGGCATTCCAGGGAGGTGGAACCTCTGGTCCTGGTGATTTTCCTTAGGGCCTTAGATTAAAACACACACACATGTATGCATGTACATACACATGCACATATTCACATCACAGATGTACACATCACACACTCATGCACACATCATATATACACACACACCTGCACATCTATGCATTGTAAAGGGGACTCCCTCAATTGTCAAAGTTTATTTCAATGCTAGAAGAAATGGCAAAAAAAGGACAAAGATCTTCACCAACTGATGAATGGATAAACAAAATGTCGTCTTCCCAGACGACGGATGTTATTCAGTCATAAAGAGCAATGAATAGTGGACATATGCGGCAACGTGGATGAACCTCAAAACCACATATGATATGATTCCACTTATGTCAAATGTCCAGAATAGGTGAATCTGTAGAGACAGAAAGTAGATTAGCCGTTGCCAGGGGCTAAGGGGAGGAGGGAGTGGGGAATGACTGCTAATGGGTACGGCATTTCATTTTGAGCAATGAAAATGTTCTGGAATTAGATTATGGGGACAGTTGCACAACTCTGCAAGTCACACTAAAAATCACTGAATTGTGCACTTTATATGGGTGAATTTTATAGTATGTAAAATAAATCTCAGTAAAGCTGTTTTTGTTTTAAAAAAAAGGAGAAGAAAAAGAAGCTAGCAAGTAGGATGAAAAATAACAGCTACCGTTTCCCTACTGCTTGCCATGTGCAAGGGAGCCTTCTAAATGCTCTCCAAGAAGCTGTGCATTGAATTTCCTCGACAGCCCCCATTTCTACACTGGAAAATTAATGCTTAAAGAAGACACGTGCATTGCTTGAGTTAGTCCAAGTGTCACAGAAGGTGGAGCTGGAATGGAACCACAGTGCCCACTCGTGAACCCAGGCTCCCATGTGGGAAATCGAGGTACTCTTAGTGAACCAAGGGACGCTGTATTAGTTCCCTATGGCTGCTGTAACAAATTCCTCCCAACTTGGTGGCTTAAAGCAACACCACCTTCTTCCCTTATAGTTCTGGAGTCAGAAATCTAAAATGCATTGGCAGGGCTGTGCTCCTTCTGGAGGCCCTGTGGGAGAATCCATTTCCTTGCCTTTTCCAGCTTCCAGAGGCTGCACGTTCTCCTCGGCTCGTGGTCCCTCATCTCTATAACCTTTGCATCCATCCTCACATCTCCTTCTCTTGACTCCAAGCCCCCTGCCTCCCTCTTACAAGGACTTATGTGATTACACTGAACCAACCAAGATAATACAGGATAATCTCCCATCTCCAAATCCTTAACTTAATCCCATTCACAAAGTCCTTTTTGCCATGTCAGGTACCACATTCATAGGTCCCAGGGATTAGGATATGAGATCTTTAAGGATTTGCTATTCATCCCACCACAGGCATTTAGGAGAGTTTGAGGGGAAGAAAGGGTATGCATATGGGTTTGTATTCTTGAATGGGCAAGAAACCTGCTGGTAACAAGGAAATGTTAATTTTGTCGTCTAGATTATTAAAATTATTTCATTTAAGTGCACTTGCACATCTGTGCATTGTGAAGGAAACTACCTTAATTGTCAAAGCTTATTTCAATGCTAGAAGAAATAGCAAAAGCCACATCAAGTAGATTATTTCATTTAAGCGAAATAATTATTTTGTTTAAATGAAATAATCTACTTGGTGTGGACTTTGATATAACTGGAAAGTGTTGAAGTTGACTTAAATTCACTTGTTGATTTTTTTAAAATTATTTATTTATTTATTTTTGAGACAGAGTCTTGCTCTGTCGCCCAGGCTGGAGTGCAATGGCATGATCTTGGCTCACTGCAACCTCCGCCTCCCGGGTCCAAACGATTCTCCTGCCTCTGCCTCCTGAGTAGGTGGGATTACAGGTGCATGCCACCATGCCCGGCTAATTTTTTTGTACTTTTAGTAGAAATGGGGTTTCACCATGTTGGCCAGGCTGGTCTTGAACTCCTGACCTCAAGTGATCCACCCACCTCGGCCTCCCAAAGTGCTGGGATTACAGGCATGAGCCACCACGCCCGGCCTCCCTTGTTGATTTTAGAGATGGGAGCAAGCAGCTCCTCCTACAAGACACAAAACACTTATCTAATCCTAGGATGCATTTCTATACGACAGTTACTGCATGACAGTGTTTTGTACAAGCCAGCGTGAGCCTTCCTAGTGCCCAATGAGCTGCTGTTAATAATGACAATAACAGCAATTGCACCAACAACAGATATTTATTAAGCCCTTGCTATGAGTCAGGTGTTGGTGGGCTAAGGATGTTACATTTAGCAGCTCTGTTAATCCTGACAATTCTATGAAGTAGGTTGTCTTTTTATCCCTGGTTTGCACATAAAGAAATGGAGGCTTTACAAAGTTAGTTAGGCAGCTGGCCTGCAGCCTCCAGATGGTAACAAGGTAGAGCCAGAATTGTGGTCCTCTTTCTTCCTTTCCTTTCCTTTCTTTTCCTTTCCTTTCCTTTCCTTTCCTTTCCTTTCCTTTCCTTTCCTTTCCTTTCCTTTCCTTTCCTTTCCTTTCCTTTTCCTTTTCCTTTGCTTTGCTTCTTTCCTTCTTTCCTTTCCTTCTTTCTTTCCTTTCTTTCTTTTCCTGGGCATTTTAAAATGGCTTTCTTACATCACCTTATCCTGTGATATCTGACTGTATCATTAGATCTTAATCACACACAAAGGGAAAGCCTGTTCTACTCATCTCTCTCTCTCTCTCTGTGTGTGTGTGTGTGTGTGTGTGTGTGTGTGTGTAACATTTTGTATGAAAACACTTGTATTTTGATTTTTCTGCTCAATATAGCGTATGTCTGTTTCCGTCTATTTCCATATTGGGCAACTCTTCATATTGGAATTTTAGTAGTGCCATTTATATGTTTTCAGAAGGATATACAGGTTGAATGTCCCCAAGTCCAAAATCTGAAATGCTCCAAAATCCAGAACTTTCTGAGCATCAAAATGATGCTTAAAGGAAATGCTCATTGGAGCATTCAATTATCAGATTAGGGGTGCTTAACTGGTAAGTATAATACAAATATTCCAAAATCAGAAAAAATCAGAAATCCAAAACACTTGTGATCCCACACATTTTGGATAAGGTATACCCAACCTGTGCAATATTTGATTTATGTAGCCAGTCTCTTGTTGTTGGACATTTAGGTTAGGTCTAAACATCTTTGGTTTTCTTTCATTTTTTTCTGGACTATTTTTCTAGACTAGATTCCCAGAGGCAGGATTATACTGCTAATTTTACCATATCCTTCTAACTCCATCCAAAAAAGAATAATAACCAGTGAGGCATAATTTTCTAGTTTTGTCATTGCCTTGCCAGACGTGTGTGTTTAAGGGGAACAAGAGGAGCCTCGGTATCGTTTATTTGCATTTCTTTAGTCTCCACTGAAGCTGAGCTTTTTCTCTGCATGCTCAAGTACTCTTTGTAACTTCCTCTTTGTGGCTGGTTCACTCCTGTCTTTTGAGATTGGGGAGAATTCAGATACACAGGGAAGAGGTATGGTATGGCAAAGGAGGAGAGCCCAGAGCATGTTTGCTGGTTGGTGAGAAGATGCGTTTGGGGCAGGGGCTGGTGTGCTTAGGGAAAGACTTGGGCGACAGCTGAAAGACAGGCTGGGGCCAGGTGCAGGAGGGGCCTGGGTGGCAGGGAACCCCCTGTTGTACTTGTGGCAGCCACTCTAATGCAGGTCATCCATGGAAGGACTGGTCCTAAATTTTTGATGAACTGGCAGAAATACCAAAATCTGGTTCTGGCCCCTATGTCAGCCACTCTGGCCTTCCTCTGGCTTGTCCGTAACTCTGTACCACCCTCTTTAAACCCACTGGGCAGCTCGGCTGATAGACATTCTCCATTAAGGGCTGCCCCAGACACCTCTACTACCTATACCCACCTGTCTGCTCCCTGGAGAGCTATTAATAAGGAGCCCAGGGTGTGGGTGACTCCAGAGAAACATCAAAGAAAAGAGATTTGGTAGGGGCTGCGGCAGGAGAGAGAAGCCTCCACTGGGGTCAGGGATGCCATAGAGGAAAGTCACAACCCTAGACTGGTTAGAAGAGGAGAACCCAGGAGACAAAATCCTGAGGCAGCCTTCTTTAGATATTCATGTTATTCCAGGTGGTGGAAGAACAGCTGGTGAGGCAAGCCCCTGTGTATAGAGCCCCTTTTATCTTCCTCGTGCGCAACCTGACTATGCTGTGTATAGAGCCCCTTTTATCTTCCTCGTGTGCAACCCGACTGTGGTGTGGTGTTCCTGGGAGCGCCAGCCTCGAGGCCTCGATTCACACTTTTTATGTTGCAACATGGCTTCTCTTTCTTTCATCCTGTCCCAGAAAGAAAATCGAGACCCTGGGGCAAAATGAGCCTGGAAATAGGTTTGCGCACCTCGTGTCATTAAGACGTTGCCGTCCACGGAGCCCCGGGGTTCTCTGAGGGCCTCCTGGTGAGAAGCCAGATGGGTGGACTCCAGCGCTCCCTTCTCCATGTCAGCCACAGTAGCTGCTTGTATTAGTCCATTCTCAAGTTGCTAATGAAGACACACCCGAGACTGGGTAGTTTATAAAGGAAAGAGGTTTAATTGACTCACGGTTCCCCAGGGCTGTGGAGGCCTCAGGAAACTTACAATCATGGCGGAAGGGGAAGCAAACACATCCTTCATGTGGTGGCAGCAAGGAGAAGTGCTGAGCAACCGGGGGAAAGCCCCTTATAAAACCATCAGATCTCATGAGAACTCACTTCAGTATCACAAGAACAGCATGAGGGTAACCGCCCCCCGTGATCCAGTCAACTCCCACTGGGTCCCTCCCACCACACGTGGGGATTATAAAAACTACAATTCAAGATGAGATTTGGGTGGGGACACAGGCAAACCATATCACTCCTGTTTTATTTGTTTCATGTGAGGGTTTGTCATGTGCTTTTGTTGAGGGAAAAGAAGACAGGAAATGAGAGGACTTAAAGCATATTTCTGAATACACCAGTTTAATAAATCTGCCCACCAGTGGCATGAGCTACTTGATGAGGTTGTTGTGCCCCATGTCTTGGGTTGTTTGGGTGGACTTAGGCAGACTTAGGCAGAGGGATTCCTGCATGGAGACGGGTGAGATTAGGTGGCCTCACAGGACCGAGTCAGCTCCTCAGAGCATGTGTCTGGCTGGGCAGGGTCGTGGCCGCTCTGCAGTCAAGACCCTCATGGTGTGCACTCACTCTCCTCATGGCTGAGCCATGTGTCACCACAGCCCATGTGTGCAGAAATACTCAGCTCATTTTTGGAGGCTCCTTGTCCAAGTTCCGACAGGTGCTCAGGGAGCTTTTGCAGCGACCATGCAGGGAGGGAGAACACAGGCTCTGCTTTCAGTGGGGGCACCTGCCTGAGGCCACAAAGCCAGCCAGAGGATAAGAGTTAGCTGTCTTGCCCACCGACCCTCCTGCTTGGCCTCTCTCGATGTCCTAGCTCCCAATTCTGGCATCCCCCGGCTGAGGGAGATCCAGGTACTGACCTCTGATTGGCTTTCATGGCTCCACGCTTACACCTGTCTGTTCCCTGCTGCCCCAGATCTGTGCCACCATCTCCCACCATCTGCTTGACGCGGCTCCTTGTCCCCACAAGACGGCAGTGAGGTGGAGGGGGGACATCTAAAGGGCCACTTCCGACTTGGTTCTGAGGACCATTGTCCTGAGTCTTACAGTGAGGGCAGAGCCACTTTCCATGGTCCGTGGGGCCTCTGAGTCCTGGGCTGTGGGGCCTTGGGGGTCAATATATCGTCGTATCTGCTTCCCCTTCTTGGCACTTTGCTGGATGCTTCCTCTGCTCGGCCAGGCCGGTCACCTTGGCCTGTCGTCTTCCCATTACCTTCCAGTGTGCAGAAATGTGGCACCCACTATTGACTCTTCTCCTTTACTTTTGCTTGTGTTAATACTTAAAAAAAAATCTTTTACTGCCATTTTAGAGTGGTTTCAAGAAAGAGGAGACAAATTTGTCAGTGTGGTATATCTAGGTCCCTAAAATGTTCTTCTTTTTTTCTTTACTTTTTCCTCTCCTCTCTTCTCCTCTCTTCTCTTTTTGTTTTCTAAAGTTACAAATAGGTGAGTTGTAAAAAATTCAAACAGTATGGAAAATATAAGCATTTAATTTTAATTTTATTTTTAAATTATTATTATTATTTGAGATGGTGTCTGACTCTGTCGCCCAGGTTGGAGTGCAGTGGGGTGATCTCGGCTCACTGCAGCCTCTGCTTCATGGGTTCAAGTGGTTGTCCTGCCTCAGCCTCCTGAGTAGCTGAGATTACAGGTGCCCACCCCCGTGCCTGGCTAATTTTTGTATTTTTAGTAGAGACAGGGTTTTGCCATGTTGGCCAGGCTGGTCTCAAACTCCTGACCTCAAGTGAATTTCCTGCTTTGGCCTCCCGAAATGCTGGGGAAAATATAAGCATTTTAGAAATTAAAGTCTCCATATTCTCCCTTCCCAAATCCTATTTAGAGGTGACTTCTGTTAATGTTTCCTTATGGATCTTTTGGGACTATTCTCTAAGTTTATATATATGTATATGTATTTATATATATTAAATCTATGTACTTTATTACATACCATATATTATATATGTGATTATATTACATATTTACTTAAATATTTGTTTGTTGAGTGATGAACAGGAATTATCCCATTTCTTTCTCTCTCCATGTATGTAGGTATAGATATGTATATATCTGTCTGTCATCTGTCTGTCTATTCATTTATCCATTATTTATCTGTTAGCCAAGGCCTCACCAAGTTGACATCCGAGTAAAGATTGAAGGTGGTGAGAACACCTTGTCCTGCAATTTCTTTTTTGACTTAAAGCCTGTCTTGGAACTCTTTCTGAGTCAGGACGTGTGGAACGGCCTCCCTGTTTTTGGCTGCTTGGGATTTACGGTGTGCAGGGACTTAACTGTTCCTCTGTGATGGCCATCTGGGCTGCCTACAAAGGGACCTGCTCCTGCCAAACCTGGCTAGGGCCAGTCTTTGTAATGCTTTTCCAGGCCCTGTTGTTTTAATTTTAGTTTCTAAATGTGGGTGAGCATCTTCTCATGTTCCTTCCACTTGTGTCTCTCCCTGGGCATTGCCCGGGTGCCATCCTGCTGTGGAAACAGTGGTGGCGAGTCAGGGGCATTCAGCCATGTTGCCTGGAACAAATGACCCAGCCTCTGTGGGCCAGATTCTTAATTTATAAGATGCAGATATTCATACCTCACGGGTTGGGGGTAAAGAATAAATGAATTCGTTTATAGGAAGCCCTTAACATATTCGCTGGCTTGTGGTAGACATTTGATAAATATTAGCCGTTATTTCAATTTTTTCCCCCTTTTTCCAACTGGGTCTTTATATTTCCCCACTTGTTTTTAAAATCACTTTACATACAGTACACATATATGAATCCTTTCCTATGTATGCTAACCAGTACTCATAAAATGACTGCCATATACCAGGAACTGTTTAGACAAATAACTGCAATACCTCATGCTGTGATGGAGACATGCAGAAGATATTGTGGGGCCATAGGTAAGGGCACCGAAGCCAGCTTAGGGGAAGGAATTACTGAGGGCTTCTTGGAGGAGGTGATGCATAAGTGGAATCTGATAAAATGAGCCGAAATGACTGAGGAAAAAGGCAGGGATGTCAGGAGGTGATGACAGCATGTACAAGGGCATAGAGCTGAGGGACAGCCTCTGGGTGCCTGTTGACACATCACAAAGAATACAGCAGTCCAGCCAATTCTAGAGCAGCCTGCACGGGAGGCTGAGCTCCAGGGAATTCCTCGGGTAGTCAGGCTTGTCTTAAGAACCAGATAGATGGAAGCCCACCCCATCTGTCTGTGTTCTGCATGTGTGACTCCCTCTGTCTGAATGCCTCCCGCTGTGAGCCCTCACGTGAGTAGTAACCTCTGCTCATCCTGCAGGTCTGGCTCAAGCAGCAATTCCCCCATGGAAACCTTTGCTGACTGCCAGCATAGCTCAGTTTCCGTTTTTATTTGCACACATGGAATGGTGTTTCTTGGTTGACAGCACTGACCTCGGTTTGTAGTGGTCACACTGATTATTCGGGTAATCTCTGCCTCTTTCACTCGATCAGAAGCTCCACAGGGGAGGGATGGTCTCCATTTTTGTTCACAGCTGTATCACCAACACCTAACAATGCTGGGCACTTAGCAGGTGCTTAAGAAATGAATGAGTGAGTGAATGAATAGATGAAAGAGAGGACTTAAGGAGCCGGTTCTGCTTTAAGATGGGGGTCCTGAGGCCAGGTCCACCCACTGCAAACCCTTCTGACATCTGTCAAAGCTGCCCATCCCCTGGCCCAGTCTTTCCTTCTCTCCTTGAGTTGTCCTGGGTGTTGGCTTCACAGCCTCTGCTCATGGTAACATGTCCTGGAAAGCCCGTATTTTGTCAGGGCTCTTCACAGCAACGACAGGATTCCCTTCCCATTGGCTCATCTGGTGATTGTTGTCGCCATCTGCCACGATGGCCCTGCTTGCTGTGTTCCTCTTCCCTTTATATTCACGAAGCCACAGTAGACTCTTAATAAAGCGCCAGGCTCCCTCCCCCATGAAGGGCATTGTGAGTTCTTTTCAGCAGGGTGCATCTCATTTGGGCTGCAGCCTCTGTATTTTGCGCAGTTCTTTGCTATGAGAGAGCGAATGCCCAAATCATGTAATTTATGACCTGCCTTGATGGTAACATAGGACATGAAATTGGTGGACTTCTTAATAGACGTCCCAGTTACAGGAAGTATTGTAAGATTTCACCTTTAAAATTGCTCTCATTTTGCAGGTAGCATAGAGGCGAAGAAACTGATAAGAGCAGGCAGGTAGAAAGAGGCTCCGTGTGTTCAAATACAAACATTGCCTCTTAGCATCTCCAGGCAGGTCTTACCAGCTTTTGAGCCTCACTTTTCACCTCTGTAGTCCGGGAATAGCAAGCCTGCCAGAAAGGATGAAGCAGTGGGTCCTGGCGCCTCATGAGTCTTCATTTCTCTTCTCCTTTGTCAGACTCCGCTTCAGGTGGAGCTTCCTGCTTTGCTCAAGAATGTGCTTTTCTACCCCACCCTCAGCCTGCCCTGTCGTTTTTTCATTGATCCTAGGATATTAGGTTTTATTCTGTTGCATAAGCCAGCAAGGCGAAATCAAGAGGGACAGCCCCTGGGTGCCTGTTGCCACATCACAAAGAATGGGTTGCAGGACAGTGGACTCTGTTACTTTTGTGACTTTTCCATGGAAGTTAGAGTCTTGAGTTTTTCACCTGCCATCTTGGTGACAGTGCCACTGAGTAGGAGGTTCTGCCTCCGAGTTTGTTCTTTCTTCTTCTGTTCCACTGTGGACCTCTGGAAGCTTCTCCCATCTTCATCTCCTTTCCCGATTCCCTCCCACTTCACCACCCTTGCAGAAAGAGGGTCTGTCCTGAGTTCCTGGAGGTTTAGCAAGACATCTCCATCTCTGGCCTGGCTTCCACCAGTAACTCCTCATATTATTAGGTTGGTGCAAAAGTAATTGCGGTTTTTGCTATTTTTTTTTTTTTTTTTTTTTAATGGCAAAAACCTCAATTACTTTTTCACCAACCTAATACTTGGTGGCAGTGAATGAGAAACAACTGGTCACAAGATCTGTTGAGCCCTCGTGTGTGCCAGGCATGGCATTGAGTGCTGAGGATACAGCCCAACTCATATTCCTGTGGGAAGAACTGAGGAAAGAGCCAAATATTCCAGTGAACTGTGAGCAGGTACGGCAGTGCCCTACATGAACGTGGATACCACCGAAGCAAGGAGATTATAGACGCAGCTTCCACCTGAAGGATGCATGGAGCTTGATCAGGCAAAGAGGAGAGGGGAGAGTGTTCTAGACAGTGAGAACTATATTTTAATTAAGAAGATTTGTAGAAAATATGTAACATCTATTTCAAGCATCATTAATAAATGCCATTTATGATTTCTTCATGAAATATTTATTAAATGACTGCTGTGAGCTAGTATTGTATACCTAGAAGCAGGTCTCAGCATGCCTCGTTCTGGGGGTATGATGAGTAAGGCAAGACAGAGTTTAGGGAAGAAAACAAACAAATGGGGAAATGACAAATACATTGACAATCTCCATACCATGTCAAAATAGCCAGCATTTACTGAGCCCTTGCTAAGCCAAACCCTCTTGCTAGCACTGGCAGTTCCTCAGTTAATCCTAGCAGGGAGGGTCATTACCCTTCCCATTTCACGGATATGGAAACTGAGGTATATGCAGGTGAAATAGCTTGCCTACAGTCTATTAGTCAGTAGGTGGCTGTTCCAGGATTCAGATCTAGTTGTCCTGGCTTGAGACCTAGATTCCTAAATTCTCCTTTTCTGCTTCTTGAGGGACAGGGCTATCTGGGAGGCCAGAAGAGAGCTACATTGTATTTGGAAAACTTTAAAAAATTTTTAGCGTTTTGAGATCATTTTCTCCCCTACAGTTCACTTAAAGAGGCATTTGCTTTCCCCTCACTATGTGGTGGGGACGAAGGCTGTAGAGATGACCAGCCGTGTCTTCCAAAGAACTCAAAGCTTATTAAGCTGATTAAGGGATCAGCTGGTCCCCAGTGACCTGCTGCAAAGCTGAGCATGCGAACTCAGGAAGGCCCAGGACACCGGAGCCCTGGGGATGGGCTGTTCCCGGCGCTTGGGGAGGAAGAGACAGCTGTCTGGAAGAGAAGCATTTCAAGTGGCCCCGGAGGATTAGATGTGTGAAGGTGGACGGAAATGACATTCCTGGCCAAGGGAACAGAGGAAGTAATGGCTCAGAGGGTGGAAAACTCAGTTTCGGAGAACCTCAGACAGTCCTGGAAGTTAAGGTGTTTATGGGGCAAGAGTGGGAGTTAAGGCCAGAAAACAGGATGAGGCCAGACGATGGAGGCATGTGAACTTTTGAGCAGGGGAGTTGCAAGAAAAGGTGATAAAAATGAATTTTAAAGGAAATCACTTTATACTTTGATACCCTACAGAATATTTTGCCACATACCAGGATCCTGGCATAATAGAGCTTTTGGAGTTAGCATGGCCTTGGAGGGTTTTAATGCAGGAGACATGATTTGATTTGTAGAAAAAGTTCCTTTTAATCAGGTTAGTTTTGTATTTTGAATTCATGCTTTACACTGCTGAATGCTTTAAACATTTAGGCGGGGCATAGTGGCTCACACCTCTAATCCCAGCACTTTGGGAGGCCAAGGTGGTGGATTGCCTGAGCTCAGGAATTCGAGACCAGTCTGGGCAACATGGTGAAACCCTGTCTCTACTAGAAATACAAAAATTAGCTGGGTGTGGTGGTGGGTGCCTGTAATTCTAGCTACTTGGGAAGCTGAGGCAGGAGAATCACTTGAACCCAGGATGCGGAGGTTGCAGTGAGCCAAGATCATGCCACTGCACTCCAGCCTGGGCAAGAAGAATGAAACTCTGTCTCAAAAGAAAAAAAAAATTTAGACATCTGACAGTGAACATCATAAGATTACTTAGAGGTGTTGGATGTAGTGATTAGATAATCTGAGAACCTAAACTTTCTTAAAATTCGAAGTGTATGGATTTTATCTGGCATAATTTTAACATGCCAGATGACAGTTAACTGTGGCTAAGATTTTTTTTTTTCTTGAATGCACCTGTGAATTTGAGCCCTGCTATTGCATTCAGGTCCTGAGAGCAAGGATTCTGTACATGGGACTAGGGGCTTTTGGTTCCACTCAACTGTAGAACTGATGAGTCTTCTCTTTTATTTAACTCTCCCCTCCACCTCACCTCCTGACATGATTGATGACCGGAAGTGCTCAAGCTGAACTCCCCCTGGGTTGGTCTGTTCTCTCTGTTAATTGTATCTGCTCCCCAAGATGATAAGAGTGATTGGAACACTGGGGAGAATGGACTGGAAGGAAAGTGCTTTGCACCTGTGTCTTTTAGGGGGCTAGAAGGAGACCCCCAACACCACAATTTTTTTATCCTATCTTCCAGCCTCTTGCTTTTTTCCCCTATGTCTTTTGATCAAGAGGTAAGAACTTCTGTAGGTCCTCCATTGTAAGTCTAGTGTTTATTCATTTATTCACTCATTCATTTATTCAACAAAGAATGACTTGTGTCGTTCTTTGTGCTGGGCCTCCGCTGGTTCTGAAGGTATATGAATAACTAAAACAGCCCTTGCCTTTAAGAATCCATCTGGTGGTGAGGAGGGAGCCAGACATTTGAGAAAATCCTTGTCAAGATGTGGAAGGTATCCATGATGATTTTCCTACAGTGTGATTCCCTTCACTGTCCAGTACGGTAGCCATCAGCCACAGGTGGTTAGAGTTATATTTCAATTAGTTAAAATTAAAAAATTAAAATTTCAATAGCCATATGTGGATTCCACCTACTGTATTAGACAATGCAGATATTGAACATTTTCATCATTGCAGGAAGTTCTGAATCAGACTGTAAGCTCTTTGAAGGCAGATCCATGTCTGGTTCTGCCCATCCGTATACCCCAGGTGCTAAGCATCTGGTGAACACTCACTAAGTATGTACTGAATGAACATGGGAGAGGATAATAAGGAGAGTAAAAGAAGGGTGTACAAACAACCAGAAGAGAGATGCACTGCTCTGGAAGAATGTGCAGAAGAGATATCCCTGGAGCTCCATCAAAAAGTAGGGGACTTTTAGCAAGTGGGGAAGGGAGGAAGGGTGCTTTCTCCAGGAGGGAGAATGACTCTGGTCTCACTAACTTCCTTCTGTGTTCTGATGTCTCAAGCCACACAAGGTGTTACTATTTTGTTTGCAATGGAAGGAAAATTCATAGCACTCACGCTGTGTTCTCTCCTTGGGTGTCTTTGAGAGGTGGGATCTCACTCAGAGCGCCAGATGTGATATAAATACGAGTTAGTCATCTAGGTGTGAGATCAACTGGATTGCAGAAAACAAGTGTTTTCACGTATGAGGCCAATACAAAGCTTTGCAAGCATGTTTGACACATGGAGACTTCATGATCTGTGAGTGAGGTGAATACGGAATGCACCACTAGGAACATACTAGGAACATTATTAAGAATTTGGCGTGGGGTATGTTGTGATTGCTGGAGTGAGTTCCCCCACCTGATTGTTTGCTCATGCAGTCATTGGATGAACACTGGGTTAAGCATGCGGTGTCCTCTAGGCACTGCGCTCTGTGTTGCAGACACACAGGTGAATACATCTCAGGCTTATCCCTCAAGAGGCCACAGTCTGGTAGGGTCTTCAAGCAGGTGTATGGATGATGATAACATAGTGAAATGAGCTCTGCTTGGTAAAGCATCACATGACACAGGAATCAGATGTGGCATCCACATTTTCTTTCCTCCTTTGTTCAGCAAAGACTAGGCTCTGGAAAACAAAAGCAGAACATCCATCAGAGCCAACACCATGAAGAGGGCCTGAGACCAGGGCTAGTTTCAGTGTCTTGATGCTCGAATCCAGCATCAAGCTTGGTCAAGATGCTGGAGTTTGACCCTCATGCTGGCACTTCCCAGTGGCATGGCCTTGGGTTTTGGTTTTCTCATCCTTAAAATGGGGATGTAAACAGTGTCCTACAGGGTCGTGATGAGGATGGAATGAGACAACCTGTGTGAATCCCATAGTAGGCACTCAGCAACTTGTGAGTATTGCATAGTTGAGAGAAAGGACTCTGGGGAATATGCCAAAGTGACACTTGGAGTCTCCATTTCACACTGTTGTGGGGGCAGGTGTAGATCACTTCTACTCCAGCTGCCCATAATAATCAAGGAGCCACCCTGGTTTCTGAGGATGGCTGTGTTAAGTGAGGAACCAGAATGGATAATGTATCCCTCAATTGGGGATAGCATCCTTCAGCGATCTGTCTAAACTTTTCCTCCCTTCCTCCAGGCCTGAAGGGAATGTGGTGGTGTTCTGTACCTGGGGTTTGAAATGTTCTTGGTGGAGAACTTGGACATGGTTCCTGTGCCCTGCCAGGAGTGGCTGTGTTTTCTGAAAACTTATTTGCATGGTAGAAGTGCCCTACGGTCTGTCCTTGTCTGTCTCAGGCTCTGTGGCCTCACCCCAACCCCAGCCCTCCACTTCCTGCCCTCTCAGACAGCTTACCCCTAGCTCAGGGGCAGCTGCCCCTGTATCTTTAATGACAAGTTTCTATCTTTCCTTCTGTGTCTTGCACACTGCAGTGAATTCCCTGACACCTTTTGTTGCTGCATGTAGACCACTGTGCACCATTTCTTGATTCCCCTGGGATCCTTCTGGCATTTCTCTATTGATTGGGCAGTTTTTCTTCCCCTCTTTGCTGAGTTGAGATCCCTCTTTCTGTCTCAGAGTTTCTCCTCAGGAAATCTTACACACATCTTTATTATTTTATCCAGTGTGATTATCTCTGTCTTTTAATATGAGTTTAATATGTTCACAGAATAATGTAATTATTGAGATATTTGGATTATTTCTCCTATTTTAGGTAGCATTTTATTTTTACCCATTCTTGTTCTCTGTTCCCTCTCTCATTCCTATTTTCTGACCTTTTAATGCTTTTCACTGGATTGATACATTTTATACATTCCTTCTCCTTGGGCTGACTCAGAAGCTAGCTGTAGATTGTATTTTTAAACTTCAGCACACATACTAAAGTATGATCTTTTTCTAACAAATATGATGTCCTCTTACTGAATTTGGCAAGATGCTTCCTTCTGCTTGGCTTTCAGTTGTCATTGAACATGTCTCTTCCACATCTTACTATTATTTTATACACCCAACATTATTAAACACCATTGATTATTATTTTCACAGCCAGTAATTACATTTACTAAAATTTTAAAAATCTATTTTTTTACCCGTGTCTTCCTCTGAATTAAATTTTTGATTTGCTAAGTTTCTCTTAATTTTTTTAGAGTCTGTGGTAGATAAATTTTCTTGGTGTTAGAACACCTGAAAATGTCCATTTATGTGGTCCTTTAAATGCTGCTTTAGCTGGGTATAAAATTGGTTGACAGTTATTTTGTCTCAGCATTTTGATGAATAGTAGCTCATTTTTTCAAGCCTCTGTTATTGCTGTTTTCAGTCTGCCATTCCTTTTTGACAATATGATTTTTCTGTCTATGCTTTTTTTTAAGAACTCTTTACCCATGGAATTCTACAGTTTATCATTAATATTATTTGTCTGTGTGTCCTGCTTGGTACTTAGAGTGCTCTTTCAAACTGAGAACTTTTTCTTTTTGAGTTCTACAAAAAGTTCAGCTATTCTTTTCTTAGAGTTATCCCTTATATAGAACTTTGATTCTTATCTGCAGGATATTTATGTTTAAAATATATTTAACTTTTTATTTTGAAATAATTTCAAACTTACAGAAAACTATGAAGGACCCATTTTCTGATTAACCAGTTTTTTTAACTTTTTTCTCTCTTTCTGTGTGTGTCTGTATATGTATATGTATATAGACACACATATTTATAATATATACACATTATATAAACTATATACAAATTGTTCTTTTTCTGTACCATCTGAGTGTAGACTATACATTATGCCTCCTTACCCCTTAATATCTAGTGTGGATATTTTATAAAAGGATATTCTTTTAAGTAAACACAATGTAGTTAAGAAATTCAAGAAATTTTGCGTTGATGCAATACTTTTATTTTAGCCCACATTCAGTTTTTTTGCTATTACCGCAATAATGTCTTTTAGATATTTATTTCTTCCAATATAGAATACAGTCTAGAATTCCATGATGCCTTTAGTTGCCATGTCTGTGTAGTCTCCTTTAATCTGGAACAGTTCTTCAGTCTGCCATTGTTTTTAATGACGCTGACATTTTTGAAGAATACAAGCTAGTTATTTTACTGAGTTTATCTAATGTTTCTTCAAGGTTAGATTTAGCTTATGCACTGAACTAGCTGATATGATGCTCTTCCTTCTTATCCATCTCATCTGTCTGTTCATCCATCCATCCGTCTGTCCATCCATCCATCCATCCATCCATCCATCCATCCATCCATCCATCCATCACCTCTATCGTGAGTACAAATTCAAGGATTCTTACTTTATGTGACAGTTTATAATCTATTACTGCCATTATTTATTTTACTATTGAAAACATCCAAGATTTGGCCAGTGGGAGCCCCTTCAAGCTGCCTTATATGCCCTTTTGCAATGCCTGGCTATTCTTTTGATCACTTCCTATTTTTAGGTACAATAAGATTTTCTAGCCCAAAGTATACCTTACCTGCCCAAGCCCTGGAAGCAGCCATTTCTCTAGGAGCCCTTGTTTATTTTAGTGGGATTGTTATTTAGAAACCAACATGTGGGATCTACATAGCTCATTGCTATTTGGGTTTCATTTCTTCTAAGCCTTTTCAGCTGACAGAGCTAGGAAATATGTATAATTTTTAAAATCATGAATTCTTACCAATACCTATGATCCATTTTAACCTCACTGGATTCTTCCTTGCCTCTCTGCATCCCATATTTGTATGTCTTCTTCCACAGAGAGAATCCTATTTCTCCACAATATCATATATTTACTCATTTTCTCAATCCTGAACTACTCATAAAATAATCTTAGAATTGCTCCATTCTTACCACAGTGAAAAGCAAACCCACTAAGAAGAGTTCAAGATTTATCTGTTGTATATTCATAATATTATATCCAAAAGTTATTTGTATTTGTTCTTCCCCTCTCCCCTTTTGATGTGGTTATGTTATTCCTTTGAAAGACGATTAGGTTTATTTCTTTCTCTTTTCATTTAGTTTATTTCCACCCCCCATCTTTATTGCTTTTATTTTATATCTTAACATGTTTTAACATACTTCCAAAAATTAAAACAAAAAGATATCCTCAAAGAAGGGTCACCTCTTCCCCATCCCTTTTACTCAATTTTCCCTGCCAACCACTTGTGATAATCAATTTCATTGTTTTCTGGTTTATTCTTCTTGTGATTTTTTTTTTTTTGGAAAAAAAAGCAAATTTATGTTATTTTCCCATCTTTTTTTTTTACATTTAAAGGTAAAGTACTTTTCCACCTTTCTTCTCTTTATTGGAATGTATACTGTGTAAACCACTCCATATTCATAGAGATAGCTCTTTCTTTTTTAGAGCGACATAGTATTCTATTGTGTGGGTGCATCGTAGTTTATTTCACCAGTCTATGCTTGCACATTTAGGTAGTTTCCAGTATTTTGCAGTTATAGATAAAGCTACAATAATTTTATGCATATATATATTTGTACCATTGGAAGTACAGTTTTCCTGTTAAATTTCTAGAAGTGGGATTGCTGGGTTTCGTGAGAGTAAGTGCATAAACAGTGTTGTCAGATACTGCCAAATTTCTTCCCATCACACTTGTACCTTTCTGTATCTCCCCCACAATGAAGATAATGCCTGACTCCCCACATTCTCTGTTGCAGAGTATATTGTCAAGGTCTTGAATTTTTGCCAAGCATAAGATGCATGAGAAATGGTATTTCAGTGTAGTTTTAATTTTCTTTGTTATGAGTTTTAATGTGCACTATTCTTTTGGGTGGATTTGGAGCCATTTCTTCTATTTAAGGGCCATTTTTGTGTAATGCTGTGGATTGTTTGTTCTGTCTTTTGTTCATTTTTTCCTGAAGGAATTTTTGGTCTTCTTATCTTCAGTGTTTAAAAGTTCTTTACAATTGGGGATATTAGCCTTTTATCTGTGATACACAACTGTTTTTCCCAGTTTGTCATTTGCTGTTTAATTAGTTCTTTATGCTATTCACTGTCCTTGTTTCCTTTCTGTCTGCTTTTGTTTGAACATTTCTTGTTTATTTTAAATGAATGTTTTTCTTGCATCTGAGCATTTGAAATGTTCCTATTTTAAAGTCCTTGTCAAATTGTTTCATGATGTTAATTTAATTTTATTTGGAGTAATTCATGTTTTGAGTATTGATTTTGCTGGCTTGTTTTCTAAGCGTGAGCTGTCTACAAGTTTTGGTATTTTGGTGTGCAGGCTCATTTCAAGAGCAAAGTTTCTGTTTTGTTTTCGTTTCTCGTTCCTTCTCTCTCTCTCTGATAGTTTTGTGTTCGCCTCTACCTGGTCCTGAGATCCTAATAAAGCCTTAGCCGTGGATATCACATCCCTTGGTTACTGTTTTACTGCCTTCAGGGTGGACAGCTCACTTCATCCCCTGGCTTCCAGCTCTAAGCCTGGGCTCCCCCTCCCATCTTGCAGGGAAGACTTAGTCCTTGTTGCCTTTGAAGAACCCACATCTTCCCTCCCCTCTCCCACCCCACTGACTGCTTTGTGTCAGTGTTGTGCCTCTCATACGCAGAGATGATTATCTCGTTTGTGAGCCCGGCTTCATCTTATTGACTCTCTCCTTTTGTATTTTATCTGTCGCTTCTGTATGTTTGGAACAGGGGCACGGTGTCAGCACGTGAGTTTATGGAGCCTTCTTAATGGGAAATACTCCTTTGTACGCTAAAGGAGGGAATGTTGGAAGTCTTGAGGGGAACAGAAGGAAGGAAACTAGCATGATGGGGGCTTTCCTATTTTCCAGATATGTAGCATGCACCATTTCCTTTACTTCTCAGCTGCCCTCCCATTTCACACGCAGGACAGTGGGGGCACAGAACAGGCGAGCAAGTTGTCCAGCCCTGCAGCCCATGAGGGGGATGTGGGATCTGAATGCAGGCAGTGCCCCCGACTGGACGTCACCCTGGCTTTTGGGCTCAGCAGAGCAGTTAGTCCCCTCTGTGCCTGGAATGCCTAATCTTTGGCCTAGGCCTGGGTGTGGGGTTGGGAGTAGGAGAGGCATGATTAGGGACACTCACCAATTAGTTCCTCCTTTTTGAATGCCTTGGTGTCCTCCAGCTGACATTGGAGAAGTGCCTGGAGTGTGCTGGGCACTTTATTGACCCCAGGTCAGTTCTTTAATTGATTGAGTTCAAAACAGCCCGAAGAGTAGGTACTTTTAGCCCCTACCTTTTAAAATACTAAGTAAGATTGAATCTCATTTCTCATATTTTGTGGGAACAAGGAGACCAATGCTCAAGAGCTCGTGTGGCTTCCTTGCTTCTCCCATTAGCAAATGTAGGGCTGGGATTATTTCCATGTCCTCTGACTGCAGAGCCCTAAGCTTCCACAGTTCCAACATGTTCTGTTTCTCACAGCGTCTTCCCTGCCAGCTTGTTGCTGTCACTCGGGAAGCATGATGCTCCTGAAGGAGAGGGACCTCGAGGACTGCTCGGTGAGAGGGCAGAGTCTGAGGGGCTCTGGAGGCACCATTCCCCTGCGTCTCCTGGAGAGAAGGCCCGTTTCAGCCACCCGCATCCAGAATTGCACACATTTTGAATCCAGTACTCAAGGAGGCTCTGATCCCTGCTTGGCTCAGAGGTGTTGCATCTTTCTAAGTTTATCGGAGAGGCGAGCCCAGTGTCCTGGCAGAGGGTAGGAGGGTCTCTTTGCCTCTGCTAGTTTCATGGCTTATTTGGTAAGATGGCCTCAGGGCCCTCGTCTCTTCGGGTGCTTCTCCACCCTGTTGCGCTAATGGAAAGACCATGAGATTTGGGTTCACGAACACCTCCCCTCCCTGCATCACTCTTTATCACATCACCCTATTGTTTTCCAATCTGTAATTTTTTTAGGTATTAGTTACTTGTTAGCTTTTCATCTCCCCAACCCAAAGCAAGCTCCATGAGGGCACAGGCCCTATTTCTCTACTTTCTTTTGGATCCCCATCACCTGGTAGATACCTAGCCCATAGGAGGTGGCAAGTAACTAGATTTTGAATGAATGAATGAATAAAATGAGGAGATGGCTGGCTCCAATCCTGGCTCTTCCATTTACAATCTCTGTGACTTCCAGCAAGGTACTCACTTTTCCTTATCTGTAAAATGGACTAACTAGAATGGCAAATGTATAAGACTGTTCAATAATTGACACCCAGCCTTAGAGCTGCTCAGAAAAGGCCTGGCCTGGCCCCAGCAGGGATGGATGTCCCCAGGCTCTGGGCATCTGGTGACACCCTGCGCCCACCAAAAGCAGCTCCCATGAGGTGAAGCCTCCACGAACGGGACCGTGCCCTGGATCTGCCTGGGCCGCTGCAGAAACCACAGCCAGCTCTGTCTGATTAGGAAGGCCTTCTGAGTTGCTGAGGGTTTGAGATTAACCCTGAAGGAACAACTCCCTCTACACAAGCCTTGTAATTAGACACTCGTGTTTACTCTCCGAAGTTCACTGAATCATTTTACCTGGTGTCAGGAGCTGCATCTTGATGTTTGACAAAGCCTGATTGCTTTTGGTAAGGGAACAATACAAAACTGGGGCTTCACAGAAGCTGTGGGTGGCACAGGCCCATCTCCATGCCGGGCAGCTCTGATGTCTGAAGCGTTGCCTTGCATGTAGCAGGGTTTGGTGGAGCGTTTTCTGGTCCCTGCCTTAGGCCTGGTCCTTGAGATTCCAAGATTCCCAATGCCATTTATGAGCCTGAGCCCACCCGGAGGTGGACCCAGGGCCCTGTATGCAGAGGGGCAATTCCTGTAGGCTTCTAGGTGCCACGGGTGTTATGCAGCGCTGGGCTCTGAGTGTGCCAGTGGCCTTGCCTTCAGACATTATGTTATTAGAGAGACAGCAAATATTACCAGAATGGTGTTGTGCTAAGCTGGGCATGATGATTATAAAGCAAATAAGAGCCACCATTTATTCCTGGTTTACTGTGTGCTGCTTCTTTAAATGTTATCTTACTTGATCCTCATATCCTGCTCACCAAGGATCAGAACACGGAGCCTGTCCAGGCTGTGTACACACAGTAATCTTCCTTAGGAGGGGCATGGGACAGGTTGGCTTCCCGGGCTGGGCTTCTGGTTGGGTTCCGGAGTCTCAGTCTCTGTAGTGACTTTTTCCCAACCCAGCCCGGCAGAGCGCTGAGCACATGGTCAGTGCCTGTCTGCGTCTCCTTGCACCCTTCTTCCCCAAATCACCACGGCTGAGCAGAGTCATCGTGAGATGTGGCTCCATCCTGCACGGGGCAGTCACTCACTTCATTGGCAGAAATGGTGACAGTCCAGGAGATTTTCCAACTTCCGTTGGCATGCAAGCATGGGGCAGCCCCATGCATGAGGAAGATGGCTCACACTCGACACCACAGTGACTCCTGGGGTTTGAGGAATTCTTGGGTTGTCTGGATCCTGGCTCTCAAAGCCTGGACCCTGGAGCAGCCTGATTTTTCACAATCCTCCCATGATCCCTGTGTACACGCAAGTGTAAGAACCATGGGTTGAAGTTCTCAAGCTTGCCTGCATGTCTGAATCACCTGGGAAGCATTGTCATCATTTTTAATGAACTTAATTCCTAAAACATATTCTTTAAAATAATAGCTTAAAGAGTGTAACTAGATTGTTTGTAACTCAAAGAATACATGCTTGAGGAATTGGAGACCCCATTCTCCATGATGTGCTTATCTCACATTACATGCCTGTATCAGGACGTCTCATGTACCCTTAAATATGTACACCTATTATGTACTCACAAAAGTTAAAACAATAAAAAGAAGAAAAATAAGAAATTAAAATACTCTTTAAAATAAATTTCACTTTTTTGTTTTTTCGTTTGTTTGCTTTTTTGTTTTTTGAGACGGAGTTTCACTCTTGTTGCCCAGGCTGGAGTGCAATGGTGCGATCTCGGCTTACTGCAACCTCCACCTCCTGGGTTCAAGCGATTCTCCTGCCTCAGACTTCCAAGTAGCTGGGATTACAGGCATGCACCACCATGCCCGGCTAATTTTGTGTTTTTAGTAGAGATAGAATATCTCCATGTTGATCAGGTTGGTCTCAAACTCCTGACCTCAGGTGATCCGCCTGCCTTGGCCTCCCAAAGTGCCAGGATTACAGGCGTGAGCCATCGCGCCCAGCCAAATTTCACTTTTTAACCAGTTATAGGTTCACAGAAAAATTGGAACACGAAATACAGCAAGTTTCTATATAGCCCACACCTAGTTTCTCCTATGAACATCTTACATTAGTATGATTTTTTTTGTTGTTGAAACTGGTGAACCGGTATTCAAGTATTATTATGAACTGAAGTTCATACTTTATTTAGGTTTCACCTAGTGTCTGTTCCAGAGTCCCATTCAGGGAATATTCAGAGAATATTATGTTTAATCATGCCTCCTTAGCCCCTCTGGGCTGACAGTTTCTCAGGCTTTCCTTCTTTTTATGGTCGTAAAAAGAGTTTTGAGGAGAGCTGCTTGGTATTTTGTAGAATGTCCCTCAGTTGGGATTTGTTTGATGTTTTTCTCATGATTAGAGTGGTGTTGTGAGTTTTTGGGAGGAGGGACCCCAGAGGGTAAGTGCCATTCTCATCACATCCTATCAGGTCTATAGTTCATAAAGACTAAGAACGTGACCTGTCACTGTTGATGTTGACTGTGACCACCTGGCTGAGGTATGCGTGTCAGGTTTCTCCACTGTAGGGTTACTTCGCCTCCCCCTCTACACACTGTGCTCTTGGGATGGAAGTCACTGTGCGTGGTGCTCACTCAGGAATGGGAAGTTATACTCCATTGCTTTGAGGTTGCAATATTTACACAAACTATCGGGAATTCTTCTGCATGGAAGATTTGTCTCTTCTGCATTTATTTATTCAATCATTTATTTAAAGCAGTATGGACTCATGGATGGTAATTTTATATTTTCAGATTTAATCCAGTACTACTATATTTTGTTGCTCAAATTGTTCCATCTTTGGCCATTAACAGCTCTTTTAGGTGGCTCGTGTGTCCTTTTGACATACTCCCATCATTGCAGCAGATTTTTTTTGTTGTTGCTTTGCTTTGTTTGAGCACTTCCTTCTGTTCTGGCACTTATAAACTTACAGAGTCAGCCATTGCTCCAGAGTTTCCTAGGTCCTTTTATTGAGAATTGTGTTAGAAACTAGTATCTGTGCCCCAGGTATGTTCTTTGCTATTGGGATGTCATTGATTCTGGGCCCTCTCAGCTGAGAGAGCATGGCAATACACATGGGTATACTAACCTGTGTATATACCCTTATCTATAGATATTTCTGTATGCAGCCATCTTTATCTGCATCAAACTAAAAATGAGTTCATACTGGTGTTTGCAACTCTAACCCGTGGTCACATTCTAGCCTTCTCCTTTTGCTTATCTGTAAACTCCAACTCCCACAGTGAAAACCTAAGTCCCACCATCTGCAATCCATTTACTTAATCATTCAATTCCAGTATACAAGTATAACAGTATCAGAATTGTTAGCCCCTACCGCCATGGGAATCAACTTTTTCAACTGGAGTACAGTGCTGTGTAGAGTTTATTTTGCCTTTAGTTTCACAAACTCCGCTCATTTCTAAAGTTATTTATGTCGGCACCATATTTCCGTAACCCCTTCAGTAAGGTTGCTTTATACATATATAATTCAGATGGATTCTTTTGTCACATTCTGCATTCTACCCTGAGATCCTGTGCCCTCCTAAATGACATTTTTAAATTGGCATGCTTTTAAATTCGCTCTCTGTGCTGTAAATTTCTTTGGTATTTGACAAGCGCTTAATGTCTAGTATTCTCCATTGTAGTATCATGCAGAGTAGTTTTAACTGCCCTAAAAAGTCTCCTATGCCTCACCTATTTGACCTTCCCCTTATTCCACTGGAACCTCTAGCAACCACTGATCTTTTTACCTTTTTATACTTTTGCTTTTACTAGACTGTTTTATAGTTGGTATCATATATAGATTTTTCAGACTGGCTTCCCTAACTTAGTAATACGCATTTACTATTCATTCTTTTTTTGGTGGCTTGATAGCTAACTTTTTTAAAAAATTATTTTTAATTTTTGTGGTTACATAGTAGGTATATAAATGTATGGGTACATGGGATGTTTTGATACAGGGATGCAATGCATAATAATCACATCATAGAAAATGGGGTATCCACCCTCTCAAGCATTTATTCCTTGTGTTACAAACAATCCAGTTACACTCTTTTAGTTATTTTAAAGTGTAAATTAATTATTGACCAGAGTCACCCTGTTGTGCTGTCATATACTAGGTCTTATTCATTGTTTCTATTTTTTTGTACTCCTTAACCACTTCATCTCCCCCGCCCCCCGCCCTTCCCAGCCCCTGGTAACTGTCCTCTTCTGTATTTCTATGAGCTCAATTGTTTTGGTTTTTAGATCCCACAAATAAGTGAAATCAGGTAATGCCTGTCTTTTTGTGCCTGGCTTCTTTCACTCAGCAGAATGACCTCCAGTTCCATCTGTGTTGTTGCAGATGACAGGATTTCATTTTTTTATGGCTGAGTAGTACTCCATTGTGTATAAGTACCACATTTTCTTTATCCATTTGTCTGTTGTTGGATGCTTAGGTTGCTTCCAAATCTTGGCCATTATGAACAGTGCTACAACAAACATGAGAGTGCAGATATCTCTTCAATATACTGATTTCCTTTCTTTTGGGTGTATACCCAGCAGTGGGATTGCTGGATCACATGGTATTTCTATTTTTAGTTTTTTGAGGAACCATCCAACTGTTTTGCATAGTGGTTGTACTAATTTACATTCCCACCAACAGTGTGTGAGAGTTCCCTTTTCTCCACATCCTCTCCTGCATTTGTTACTGCCTGTCTTGTGGGTATAAGCCATTTTACATAAAATGCGGTGAGATGATATCTCATTGTAGTTTTGATTTGCATTTCTTTGATGATCAGTGATGTTGAGCACCTTTTCATATCCCTGTTTGCCATTTGTATGTCCTCTTTTGAGAAATATCTAAATCTTTTGCCAGTTTTTTAATTGGATTAGATTTTTTTCCAATAGAGTTGTTTGAGCTCCTTATATATGCTGGTTATTAATCCCTTGTCAGATGGATAGTTTGTACACGTTTTCTCCCATTCTGTGGCTTGTCTCTTCACTTTGTTGATTGTTTCCTTTGCTGTGTGGAAGCTTTTTAACTTACTGTGATCCCATTTGTCCATTTTTGCTTTGGTTGCCTGTGCTTGTAGGGTATTGCTCAGGAAATTTTTGCGTAGACCAATGTCCTGGAGATTTTCCCCAATGTTTTCTTGTAGTAGGTTCATAGTTTGAGGTCTCAGATTTAAGTCTTTTCAATTTTGATTTGATTTTTATATATGGCAGGAGATAGGATAGGGGCCTAGTTTCATTCTTCTGAATATGGATATTCAGTTTTTCTAGCACCATTTATTGAAGAAGCTATCTTTCCCCAGTGTATGTTCTTGACACCTTTGTCTAAAATGGGTTCACTGTAGGTGTGTGGATTTGTTTCTGGGTTCTCTATTCTGTTCTATTCATCTCTGTATCTGTTTTTATGCCAGTACCGTGCTGTTTTGGTTACTGTAGCTCTTTAGTGTAATTTGAAGTCAGGTAATGTGATTCCTGCAATTTTGTTCTTTTTGCTTAGGATAGCATTGGCTATTCTGGGTCTTTCACAGTTCCATATAAATTTTGTATTTTTCTATTTCTGTGAAGAATATTATTGGTATTTTGAGAGGGATTACATTGAATCTGTAGATTACTTTGGGTAGTATGGCCATTTTAACAATATTGATTCTTTAAATCCATGAATAGTTTTTGGCGTCCTCTTCAATTTCTTTCGTCAGTGTTTTATAGTTTTTATTGTAGAGATCTTTCACATCTTTGGTTAACTTAATTCCTAGGTATTTAATTTTATTTGTGGCTATTGTAAATGGGATAACTTTTTAATTTCTTTTTCAGATTGTTTACTGTTGGCATATAGAAATGCTATTGATTTTTGTGTGTTGGTCTTGTATCTTGCAACTTTACTGAATTTATTGGTTCTAATAGTTGTTTGGTGTGGAGTCCTTAGTTTTCCCAATATAACATCATATCATCTGCAAACAAGAATAATTTGCTTTCTTTCTTTCCACTTTGGAAGCCCTTTATTTCTTTCATTTGTCTAATTACTCTAGCTAGAACTTTCAGTACTATGTTGAATAATGGTAGTGAAAGTGGATATCCTTGTTGTGCTCTGGATCTTAGAGGAAAGGCTTTCAGTTTTTCCCCATTCAGCAGGATACTAGCTGTTCTGTTATATGTAGCTTTTGTTATGTTGAGGTATATTCCTTCTATACCAGTTTTTTAGGGTTTTATCATGAAGGGATGTTGAATTATATCAAATGTGTTCTCAGCACCAATTGAAATAATCATATGGTTTTTGTCCATCATTCTGTTGATATGATGTATTGCATTGACTGATTTGTGTATGTTGAACCATGCTTGTATCCCAGGGATAAATCCCACTTGGTCATGATTTTTTTGACATATTGTTGAATTCAGTTTGCTAGTATTTTGTTGAGGATTTTTGCATCAGTGCTCGTGAGAGATGCTGGCCAGTAGTTTTCTTTTTTTTTTTTATTTTTTTTCTTTCTGATTTTGGTATCAGAGTAATACTGGCCTTGTAGAATGAGTTTGGAAGTATTTCCTCCTTCTCTATTTTTTAGAATAGTTTGAGTAGGATTGGTATTAGTTCTTCAAATGTTTGGTAGAATTCAACAGTGAAGACATTGGGTCCCAGACTTTTCTTTACTGGGAGACTTTTTATTATGGCTGTGATATCGCTACTTGTTATTGATCTGTTCAGGTTTTGGATTTCTTCGTGGTTCAGTCTTAGTAGGTTGTATGTGTCTAGGAATTTGTCTGTGTCCTCTAGCTTTTCCACTTTATTGCATATAATTGCTCATAGTAGCCACTGATGATCCTTTGAATTTCTGCAGTATCAGTTAAAAGGTCTCCATTTTCATCTCTGTTATTAATTTGGGTCTTCTCTCTGTTTTTCTTAGTCTGGCTAAATGTTTGTCAATTTTGTTTAGCTTTTCAAAAAAACAACTTTTTGATTCATTCATCTTTTGTATTTTCTTCTTTTCAATTTTATCTATTTCCACTCTGATCTTTATTATTTTTTTCATCTACTAATTTTGGGTTTGGTTTGCTCTTGCTTTCTTGTTCTTTAAGATGCATTGTTAGGTTGTTTATTTGAAGTTTTTCTTCTTTTTTGGTATAGGCACTTAAAGCTATAAAATTCCCTCTTAATACTGCTTTAGCTGTATCCCATAGGTTTTGGTATATTTTGTTTCCACTATCATTTGTTTCAAGAATTTTTTCAATTTCCATCTTAATTCCTTCATTCAGTAGCATATTGTTTAATTTCCATGTATTTGTATAGTTTCTAAAATTCCTGTTATTGATTTCTACTTTTATTCTATTGTGGTTAGAGAAGAAGATGCTTGATATTTCCATTTATTAATGTTTTAAGACTTGTTTTGTGAATTAAAATGTAGCCTGTCCTAGAGAATGATCCATGTGCTACAGAAGAGAATGCTGCAGCCATTGGATTAAATGTTTTGTAAATATTAAGTCCATTTGGCCTATAGTGCAGATGAAGTCCAATATTTCTTTGTTGATTTTCTGTCTGGAAGATCTGTCCAATACTGAAAGTGGAGTCTTCAAGTCTACAGCTCTTATTTTCCTGGGGTCTGTCTCTTTAGCTCTAATAATATTTGCTTTATATATCTGGGTGATCCAGTGTTGGGTGCATATATATATTTAAAATTTTATATCTTCTTGCTGAAGATATAAAGATAGCTCTGTAATGTAATTTGAAGTCAGGTAATGTGATTCCTGCAGTTTTGTTCTTTTTGCTTAGGATAGCTTTGGCTATTCTGGGTCTTTCACAGTTCCATATAAATTTTGTTTTTTTCTATTTCTGTGAAGAATATTATTGGTATTTTGAGAGGGATTACATTGAATCTGTAGATTACTTTGGGTAGTTTGGCCATTTTAACAATATTGATTCCTTAAATCCATGAACATGGAATATCTTTCCAGTTTTTGGCATCCTCTTCAATTTCTTTCATCAGTATTTTATAGTTTTTATTGTAGAGATATTTCACTTCTTTGGTTAAGTTAATTCCTAGGTATTTAATTTTATTTGTGGCTATTGTAAATGGGATAACTTTTTAATTTCTTTTTCAGATTGTTTACTGTTGGCATATAGAAATGCTATTGATTTTTGTGTATTTATCATTATATAATGACCCTCTTTATCTTATAGTTTTTGTGATGAAGTATATTTTATCTGACATCAGTATAGCTACTGGTGCTCTTTTTTGGTATTCATTGGCAAGGAATATCTTTTTCCATCCTTTTTTTTTTTCAGTCTATTTGTCTTTAAAGGCGAAGTGTGTTTCTTACAGGCAGCAGATCATTGGGTCTTGTTTTTTTGTTTGTTTTGTTTTGTTTTGTTTTGTTTGTTTGTTTTGAGACAGAGTCTCACTCTGTCTCCAGGCTGGAGTGCAGTGGCGCAATCTTGGCTCACTGCAACCTCTGACTCCCTGGTTCAAGCAATTCTCCTGCCTCAGCCTCCTGAGTACCTGGGATTACAGGCACACGCCACTCTGCCCAGCTGATTTTTGTATTTGTAGTAGAGATAGGGTTTCACCATGTTAGCCAAGATGGTCTTGATCAGCTGACCTCGTGATCTGCCTTCCTTGGCCTCCCAAAGTGCTGGGATTACAGGTGTGAGCCACCACGCCCGACCTGGGTCTTGTTTTTTAATTCAGCCACTCTGTCTTTTGATTGAAGAGTTTAGTACATTCACATTCAATGTTATTATTTATAAGTAAAGACTTTCTCCTGCCATTTTGTTATTTGTTTTCTGGGAATTCTGTGCACTTCTTTTCCTTCTTTCTTTCATTCCTGTCTTCCTTTTAGTGAAGGTGATTTTTGTCTGGTTATGATTTAGTTTATTGTTTGTTAATTTTTTTGTATTCATTATATATTTTTTGGCTTGAGTGATATAGTTTGGCTCTCTGTCCCCATCCAAATCTCATCTTGAATTGTATTCCCATAATTCCCACATATTGTGGGAGGGACCCAGTGGAAGATAATTTTTTTGTTTTTTTTTAATTATACTTTAAGTTCTAGGGTACATGTACACAACGTGCAGGTTTGTTACATATGTATACATGCGCCATGTTGGTGTGCTGCACCCATTAACTCATCATTTACATTAGGTATATCTCCTAATGCCATCCCTCCCCCCTCCCCCCTCCCCCCACCCCATGACAGGCCCCGGTGTGTGATGTTCCCCTTCCTGTGTCCAAGTGTTCTCATTGTTCAATTCCCACCTATGAGTGAGAACATGCGGTGTTTGGTTTTCTGTCCTTGAGATAGTTTGCTGAGAATGATGGTTTCCAGCTTCATCCATGTCCCTACAAAGGACATGAACTCATCCTTTTTTATGGCTGCATAGTAGTCCATGGTGTATATGTGCCACATTTTCTTAATCCAGTCTATCATTGATGGACATTTGGGTTGGTTCCAAGTCTTTGCTATTGTGAATGGTGCCACAGTAAACATACGTGTGCATGTGTCTTTATAGCAGCATGATTTATAATCCTTTGGATATATACCCAGTAATGGGATTGCTGGGTCAAATGGTATTTTTAGTTCTGGATCCTTGAGGAATCGCCACACTGTCTTCCACAATGGTTGAACTAGTTTACAGTACCACCAACAGTGTAAAAGTGTTCCTATTTCTCCACATCCTCTCCAGCACCTGTTGTTTCCTGACTTTTTAATGATTGCCATTCTAACTGGCATGAGATGGTATCTCATTGTGGTTTTGATTTGCATTTCTCTGATGGCCAGTGATGATGAGCATTTTTTCATATGTCTTTTGGCTGCATAAATGTCTTCTTTTGAGAAGTGTGTGTTCATATCCTTCGCCCACTTGTTGATGGGGTTGTTTTTTCTTGTAAATTTGTTTGAGTTCTTTGTAGATTCTGGATATTAGCCCTTTGTCAGATGAGTAGATTGCAAAAATGTTCTCCCATTCTGTAGGTGGCCTGTTCACTCTGATGGTAGTTTCTTTTGCTGTGCAGAAGCTTCTTAGTTTAATTAGATCCCATTTGTCAATTTTGGCTTTTGTTGCCATTGCTTTTGGTGTTTTAGACATGAAGTCCCTGTCCATGCCTATGTCCTGAATGGTATTGCCTAGGTTTTCTTCTAGGGTTTTTATGGTTTTAGGTCTAACGTTTAAGTCTTTAATCCATCTTGAATTAATTTTTGTATAAGGTGTAAGGAAGGGATCCAGTTTCAGCTTTCTACATATGGCTAGCCAGTTTTCCCAGCACCATTTATTAAATGGGGAATCCTTTCCCCATTTCTTGTTTTTGTCAGGTTTGTCAAAGATCAGATGGTTGTAGATGTGTGGAATTATTTCTGAGGGCTCTGTTCTGTTCCATTGGTCTGTATCTCTGTTTTGGTACCAGTACCATGCTGTTTTGGTTACTATAGACTTGTAGTATAGTTTGAAGTCATAATTTGAATCATGGGGGCAGTTTCCCCCATACTGTTCTCATGGTAGTGAATAAGTATCACGAGATCTGATGGTTTTATCAGGGGTTTCCGCCTTTGCATCTTCCTCATTTTCTCTTGCCACTGCCATGTGAGATGTGCCTTTCGCATGCTGCCATGATTCTGAGGCCTCCACAGCTATGTGGAACTGTTAAGTCCAATTAAACCTCTTTTGTTCCCCAGTCTACCCAGTGTCTTTATCAGCAGCATGAAATTGGTACAAGTAGAGTGGGATGTTGCTGAAAAGGTACCCAAAAATGTGGAAGTGACTTTGGAACTGGGTAACAGGCAGAGATTGGAACAGTTTGGAAGGCTCAGAAGAAGACAGGAAAATGTGGGAAAGTTTGGAACTTCCTAGAGAGTTGTTGAATGTCTTTGACCAAAAGCCTGATAAGTGATATGGACAATAAGGTCCAGGCTTAGATGGTCTCAGATGGAGATGAGGAATTTGTTGGGAACTGGAGCAAAGGTGGCACTTGTTATGTTTTAGCAAAGCAACTGGTGGCATTTTGCCCCTGCCTTAGAGATTTGTGGAACTTTGAACTTGAGAGAGATGATTTAGTGTGTCTCGTGAAAGAAATTTCTAAGCAGCAAAGCATTCAAGAGGTGACTTGGGTGCTGTTAAAAGCATTCAGTTTTAAAAGGGAAACAGAGCATAAAAGTTTGGAAAATTTGTAGCCTGACAATGTGATAGACAAGAAAACCCATTTTTTTGTTTTAGGAGAAATTCAAGCCAACTTCAGACATTTGCATAAGTAATGAGGAGCTGAATGTTAATCCCCAAGACAGTGGGGAAGATGTCTGCGGGGTTTGCCAGAGGTCTTCACAGCAGACCCTCCCATCACAGGCCTGGAGGCCTAGGGGAAAATGGTTTTGTAGGCTGGGCCCGGGGTCCTGTTGCTGTGTGCAGCCTAGGGACTTGGTGCCCTGTGTCCCAGCTGCTCCAGCCATGGCTGAAAGGGGCCAACATACAGCTTGGGCCATGGCTTCAGAGGGTGCAAGCCCCAAGCTTTGGCATCTTCCATGTGGTGTTGAGCCTATGAGTGCCCAGAAGTCAAGAACTGGAGTTTAGAACCTCCACCTAGATTTCAGAAGATGTATGGAAATGCGTGGATACCCACGCAGGTTTGCTGCAGGGGCAGGGCTCTCTTGGAGAACCTCTGCTAAGGCGTGCAGAAGGGAAATATGGGCTCACCGCCCCCACACAGAGTCCCTGTGGAGGCACCGCCTAGTGGAGCTGTGAGAAAAGGGCCACCGTCCTCCAGACCCCAGAATGGTAAATCCACTGACAGCTTGTGCTGGGCACCTGGAAAAGTTGCAGACACTCAATGCCAACCCATGAAAGCAGCCAGGAGAGAGGCTGAACCCTGCAAAGCCACAGGGGTGGAGCTGCCCAAGACCACGGGCACTCACCTTTTGAATCAGCGTGACCTGGATGTGAGACCTGGAGTCAAAGGAGATCATTTTGGAGCTTTAAAATTTGACTGCCCTGCTGGATTTTGGAATTGCCTGGGCCCTGTAACCCCTTTGTTTTGGCCAATTTCTCCCATTTGGAATAGCTGTATTTACCCAATACCTGTACCCCCCTTGTGTCTGGGAAGTAACTAGCTTGCTTTTGATTTTACAGGCTTATAGGCAGAAGGGACTTACTTTGTCTCAGATGAGACTTTGCACTGTGGACTTTTGGGTTAATGCTGAAATGAGTTAAAACTTTGGGGGCCTGTTCAGAAGCCATGATTGCTTTTGAAATATGAGGACTTGAGATTTGGAGGGGCTGGGGGTGGAATAATATGGTTTGACTGTGTGTCCCCACTCAAATCTCATCTTGAATTGTACTCCCATAATTCCCATAATTGTGGGAGGGACCCAGTGGGAGATAATTTGAATCATGGGGGCAATTTTCCCTATACTGTTCTCATAGTAGTGAATAAGTCTCATGAGATCTGATGGTTTTATCAAGGGTTTCCACTTTTGCATCTTCCTTATTTCCTCTTGCCACTGCTATGTAAGAAGTGCCTTTCACCTCCCTCCATGATTCTGAGGCCTCCCCAGCCACGTGGAACTGTAAGTCCAATTAAACCTCTTTTTCTTCCCAGTCTACCCGATGTCTTTGTCAGCAGCGTGAAAACGGACTAATTCAATGAGGTTTGCAAATAATATCTTATATCTCATCATTTTAAGCTTATAACAACACTATTTGCATAAAGAAACAAACAATAACAAACTAATAAATATATAATTTTTTTTAGATGGAGTCTCGCTCCGTTAACCCAGGCTAGACTGCAGTGGCGAGATCTTGGCTCACTGCAACTTCCGCCTCCTGGTTCAAGCCATTCTCTCAACTCAGCCTCCCAAGTAGCTGGGATTACAGGGGCATGCCACCATGCCCAGCTAATTTTTGCATTTTTAGTAGAGATGGGGTTTCATCACTTTGGCCAGTCTGGTCACGAACTCCTGACCTCAAGTGAAGCACCCACCTCGGCCTCCCAAAGTGCTGGGATTACAGGCGTGAGCCACCACACCCGGCGACTAATAAATATTTTATACCTTAACTTCATCCCCCTGCTTTTCAACTTCTGTTTCTATTTATATCTTATTGTACTATGTCTTGAAGAGTTGTTGTAGTTATTATTTTTGACCTGCTCATTGTTTATCCTTTCTATTTAATAAGAGTAGTTTACATCCCACAGTTACAATGTTATAGTATTCCGTTTTTTTCTGTGAACTTGCTATTACCACTGGGTTTTATGCCTTCAGATGATTTCTTTCTTTTTTTTTTTATTTTTTTATTATTATACTTTAAGTTTTAGGGTACATGTGCACAATGTGCAGGTTTGTTACATATGTATACATGTGCCATGTTGGTGTGCTGCACCCGTTAACTCGTCATTTAGCGTTAGGTATATCTCCTAATGCTATCCCTCCCCCCTCCCCCCACCCCACAACAGTCCCCAGAGTGTGATGTTCCCCTTCCTGTGTCCATGTGTTCTCATTGTTCAATTACCTCCTATGAGTGAGAACACGCAGTGTTTGGTTTTTTGTCCTTGCGGTAGTTTGCTGAGAATGATGGTTTCCAGTTTCATGCATGTCCCTACGAAGGACATGAACTCTTCATTTTTTATGGCTGCTTAGTATTCCACGGTGTATATGTGCCACATTTTCTTAACATCCTTTTCTTTCTGATTGAAGTGCTTCCTTTAGGCATTTCTTGTGGGAGAGATCTGGTGTTGATAAAATTTCTCAGCTTTTGTTTGTATGGGAAAGTCTTTATTCCCCCTTCATGTTTGAAGGAGATTTTCACCAGATATACTATACTAGGGTAAAAGTTTTTTTGTTTTGTTTTGTTTTGTTTTTTGTTTTTCTCCTTTAGCACTTTAAATATGTCATGCCATTCTCTCCTGGCCTGTAAGGTTTCCACTGAAAAGTTTGCTGCCATATGTATTAAAGCTCCTACATTGTGTGCTATTTGTTTCTTTTTTCTTGCTGCTTTTGGAATCTTTTCTTTATCCTTGAGCTTTGGGAGTTTGACTATTGAATGCCTTCAGATAGCCTTATTTGGGTTAAATCTGCTTTGTCTTCTGTAACCTTCTTGTACTTGGATATTGATATCTTTCTCTAGGCTTGGGAAGTTCTCTGTTATTATCCCTTTGAATAAACTTTCCACTCCCATCTTTTTCCCTACCTCCTCTTTAAGGCCAGTAACTCTTAGATTTGCCCTTTTGAGGCTATTTTCTAGATCCTGTAGGCATGCTTCACTGTTTTTTATTCCTTTTTCTTTTATTTCCTCTGACTATATATTTTCAAATAGCCTGTCTTCAGGCTCACTAATTCTTTCTTACGCTTGTTCAATTCTGCTATTCAGAGTCTGCTGCATTCTTCACTATGCCAGTTACGCTTTTTAGCTACACAATTTCTGCTTGATTCTTTTTAATTATTTCAATCTCCGTGTTAAATTTATCTAATCGAAGTCTGAATTCCTTCTCTGTGTTATTTTTAATTTCTCTGAGTTTCCTCAGAACAGCTACTTTGAATTCTCTGCCTGAAAGGTCACATATCTCCCTTGCTCCAGGGTTAGTACCTGGTGCCTTATTTGGTGAGGTCATGTTTTCCTGGATGATCTTGATTCTTGTAGATGTTTGTGTCTGGGAATTGAAGAGTCAGGTATTTATCTCTCCCTGTAGCCGCCACAGATGGGAATGTGCTGAGTCTCACCTGAAGCCACCAAGTCTCGGAGTCTTACCCAAGGCCCTCAACGTGGTACCTGTATATTGCTGCTGGTTATTCAGGGCTCTTCAGTTAGCAGGTGATGAATCCTTCCAAGATGGGATCCTTCCCTTGAAGGCAGCAGGTTCCCTTCTGGCCCAGACTGGGCCTCATGACTCTGACCAGTGCCCCATCCTGCTGTGACTGAGCTGTTATCCAAAATGCAAGACAAAGTCCTCCCTACTCTTCTCTCTCCTCTCCTCAAGTGGAAAGGAGGGATCTCTTTTGGATACTTGAGGTGTGCAGTCTGGTGTTAGGAGAGCGGTGATACCAGCACTCCCTTAGCCACCCCAGCTGGTGTCTCAGTGGATTGTGTGCCCCCTGAGTCTACTGGCTCTGGGCCCATTGCGGGACTAGGATTGGCCTTGGAGGTCTAGCCCTTGTGGCCTAGACCACCTTTCAGGTTTATCTAGGGCCCCAGAGCACTTTATCCCATTGTGGCAAGACTTGCAGGAACTCAAGTTCTGACCACTGGGATATCAGTGATTCCCCTCTGGCTAGGGCTGGTCTAAATGCTCCGTCATTGGGTAGACGTCAGCTGAGTTTGGTATGCTTTTGCTTTCTGCTATAACAGGACAACAGTGAGTTCAATGCCTCACAATTGCTACACTCTCCCTTTCCACAGTGCACAAACGTGCTTTCCATACCACACTACTGCTTCAGGGGGAGGGGAGAGAGGTGGCGTTTGTGATTCAAGACTGTTTTTCTTACCTCTTCGGTGCTTCTTTCAGCAATATGAAGTTAAAACCGGGTCCTGTGAGTGCTCACCTGATTTTTTGTTCTTATGAAGGTATTTTTTTTTGTGTGTAGACAGTTGTTAATTTGATGTCCTTGCAGGGGGGAGGGTACAATCCATGGAGCCTTCTATTGTGCCATCTTGCTCCATTCCCTCATAACTCATTTTTTATTGCTGAATAATGTTGCATATTATGAATGTACCACAGTTTGTTTATCCCTTCACTTATTAAAGGACACAATGGTTGCTTCCAATTTTTGGTGCTTTGAATAAAGCTGCAGTTTTTTGTGTTTTGGTTTTGTTTTGTGACTATAAGATTTCACATCATTATGGTGAATGCGTAGGAATGGTGGTTGCTGGTTGATGTGGTAAGACTAGTTTAGCTTTTTAAGAAAAGACAAAACTGTCTTACAAAGTAGCTGTGCCATCTTATATGCCCACCAGCAGTGAATGAGCATTCCTGTCACTCGGCATCCTCTCCAGCTATTGGTGTTGTTGGGTTTTTGGATGTTAGCTAGTCTAATGTGTGTAGTGGTACCTCCTGGCTTTAATTTCCTTGCTTTAGTTCCCTAATGAAAAATGATGGTGAATGTCATTTCAATATGCTTGTCATCTGTATAACTTCTTTGTTGAGGTGTCTCTTCAGATCTTTTGCCCATTTTAAAATTATTGAAATTATTTTGTTTAAATTATGTTCTTTGTAATGTCCAATTTAAAAATTTTTTATTTCACGGATCATGTTTTTAGTGTCTTATGTAAAAAGTCATTGCAAACCCAAGTTCCCTAGGGTTTCTCCTGTACTATCCTCTAGGAGCTTTATAATTTGCATTTTACATTTAGGTCTATGATTCATATTGAGTTAATTTTTGTTTGCAAAGTACAGAGTTTGTGTCTAGGTTCTTTTTTTTCCCTTTTTCAAATGGATATCCATTTGTTCCAGTACAATTTGTTGAGAAAAACTATCCTGTCTCCATTGAATTGTCTTTATTTCTTTGCCAAAGATCACCTCGGTATATTGCTGTGGATCTATTTCTGGGTCGTCTATCATATACCACTGATGCATGTATCTGTTCTTTCAGCAACACCACGCTGTCTTGATTACTTTAGCTTTATAGTAAGTTTTGGAATTGGGTAGTGTGAGTCCTCCAGGTGGATTCTTACTCATCAGTATTACCTAGGTCTTTTGCCTTCCCAAATAAAGTTTAGAATCAGTTTGCCAATATCTACAAAATAGCTTGCTGGGATTTGAATTGGGATTACATTGAGTCTATAGATCAAGTTGGGAAGAATTGACATATTAAAAATATTGAGTCTTGGCGAAGTGTGGTGGCACACGCCTATAATCCCAGCACTTTGGGAGCCTGAGGTGGGAGGATTGTTTGGGGTTGGGAATTTGAGACCAGCCTAGGCAACATAGTGAGACCCTGTTCTCTGCGAAAAATAATAAAATAGCCAGGTGTGTTACCACATGCCTGTAGTCCCAGCTACTTGGGAGGCTAAGGAGGGAATATAGTTTGAGCCTAGGAGGTTGAGGCTGCAGTGAGCTGTGATAGCAGCACTGTACTCCAGCCTGGGTGACACAGCAAGACCTTGTCTCAAGAAAAAAAAAAATGGAGTCTTTCAATTCATTAACACAGATTATTTCTCCATTTACTTAGATTTTCTTTGTTTCATCAGAATTTTACAATTTTTCACATATGGCTCTTATACATATTTTGTTAGATTTATATCTACGTATTTCCTGTTTTGGATGCTGTCATAAACAATATTTTTTAAAGTTTTAACATTTACGTATAATAGTTGTACATATTTTTGGAATACGTGTGATGCTTAGATACCCGCATAGGATGTGTAATGATCAAATCAGGGTAATCAGGGTAATTGAGATATCCATCACCTCAAACATTTGTCTTGTGTTTGTTTTGGGAACATTCCAATTCTTCTGTTCTAGCTACTTTGAAATATACAATAAATTATTGTTAAGTATAATCTCTCCATTGTACTATTGAATATTAAAACAGTATTTTTTTAAAAAACATCAAGTTCCAGTTGCTCATTGCTGGTATGTGCAAAAGTAACTGACTTTTGTCTGTTAACCTTGTATTCTGTGACCTTACAGTATTTGCTTATTAGTTCAGGAGTAATTGTTTTTCTTTTTTTCTTTTTTCGTTAATCCAGTTCTTTCGTACTTTCTATGTAGACAAGTCTTGTCATCTGTGGACAAAAATCGTTTTATTTATTTCTTCCCAAACTTTATATACTTTTATTTCCCTTAAAAATGTTTTTGCAATCGCTAGGACTCTCAGTGTGATATTGAAAAAGAGAGAGAACATCTTTTTCTTATTTCAGATCTTAAGGGCAAAGCATCCATTTCTCACCGCTAAGTAAGACATTATCTGTAGGTATTTTGTAGATGTTCTTTGCCAAATTGAAGAAGTCCCTTTCGTTTCCCCCTTTTTTTTTTAAGTTTGTGCTTTTTAGGAACTAAAAGATTTTTTTTTAAATGTATACATATACAGAACGTGCAGGTTTGTTACATAAGTATACACGTGCCATGGTGGTTTGCTGCACCTATCAACCTGTCATCTATATTAGGTATTTCTTCTAATGCTATTCCTCCCCTAACACTCCACCCCCAGACAAGCCCCGGTGTGTGATGTTCCTCTCCCTGTATCCATGTGTTCTCATTGTTCAACTCTCACTTATGAGTGAGAATATGCGGTGCTTGGCGTTCTGCTCATGTGTTCATTTGCTGAGAATGATGGTTTCCAGCTTCATCCATGTCTCTGCAAAGGACATGAACTCATCCTTTTTTATGGCTGCATAGTATTCCATGGTATATATGTGCCACATTTTCTTAATCCAGTCTATCGTTGATGGGCGTTGGGGTTGGTTCCAAGTCTTTGCTATTGTGAACAGTGCTGCAGTAAACATACGTGTGCATGTGTCTTCATAGTAGAATGATTTATAATCCTTTGGGTATATACCCAGGATGGGATTGCTGGGTTAAATGGTATTTCTAGTTCTAGATCCTTGAGGAATCGCCACACTGTCTTCCACAATGGTTGAAGTAATTTACACTCCCACCAAAAGTGTAAAAGCTTCCTATTTCTCCACATCCTCTCCAGCACCTGTTGTTTCCTGACTTCTTAATGATCTCCATTCTAACTGGCGTGAGATGGCATCTCATTGTGATTTTGATTTGCATTTCTGTAATGACCGGTGATGATGAGCTTTTTTTCATGTATTTGTTGGCTGCATACATTTCTTGAGAAATGTCTGTTCATATCCTTTGCCCACTTTTTGATGGGGTTGTTTGGGTTTTTTCTTGTAAATTTGTTTAAGTTCCTTGTAGATTCTGGATATTAGCCCTTTGTCAGATGAATAGATAGCAAAAATTTTCTCCCATTCTGTAGGTTGCCTGTTCACTCTCGTGATAGTTTCTTTTGCTGTACAGAAGCTCTTTAGTTTAATTAGATCCCATTTGTCAATTTTGGCTTTTCTTACCATTGCTTTTGGTGTTTTAATCATGAATTCTTTGCCCATGCCTATGTCCTGAATGGTATTGCCTAGGTTTTCTTCTAGAGTTAGGCTTTAGGTGTTACTTTTAAGTCTAATCCATCTTGAGTTAATTTTTCTATAAGGCATAAGAAAGGGGTCCAATTTCAGTTTTCTGCATATGGCTAGCTGGTTTTCCCGACACCGTTTATTAAATAGGGAATCCTTTCCCCATTGCTTGTTTTTGTCAGATTTGTCAAAGATCAGATTGTTGTAGATGAGTGGTGTTATTTCTGAGGCCTCTGTTCTGTTCCATTGGTCTATATGTCTGTTTTGGTACCAGTACCATGCTGTTTTGGTTACTGTAGCTTTGTAGTATAGTTTGAAGTCAGGTAGCATGATGCCTCCAGCTTTGTTCTTTTTGCTTAGGATTGCCTTGGCTATACAGACTCTTTTTTGGCTCCATATGAAATTTAAAGTAATTTTTTCTAATTCTGTAAAGAAATTCAGTGGTAACTTGATAGAGATAGCATTGAATCTTTAAATTACTTTGAGCAGTAGGGCCATTTTTACGATATTGATTCTTCCTTTCCATGAGCATGGAATGTTTTTCCATTTGTTTGTGTCCTCTCTTATTTCCTTGAGCAGTGGTGTGTGGTTCTTCTTGAATAGGTCCTTCACATCCCTTGTAAGTTGTATGCCTAAGTATTTTATTCTCTTTGTAGCAATTGTGAATGGTAGTTCACTCATGATTTGGCTGGCTGTCTGTTATTGTTGTGTAGGAATGCTTGTGATTTTTGCACGTTGATTTTGTATCCTGAGACTTTGCTGAAGTTGTTTATGAGCTTAAGGAGATTTTGGGCTGAGATGATGGGGTTTTCTAAATATACAGTCACATCATCTGCAAACAGAGACAATTGGACTAGGAAGTCCCTTTCTATTGGATTTTGTGAGATGCTTTTTCTACATCAATTGATATGATCATATGGTTTTTCTTCTTTTAGCCTATTGATGTGGTGGATCACATTGATTGGTTTCCAAATATTGAACCAGCTTCTTATACCTGATTGTGGCGTATAATTCCCTTTATACATTGATGTGCTAATATTTTGCTGAAGATTATTTTTCCATCTGTGTTCATGAGAGATATCAGTCTACTATTCTGTGTTCTTGTAATGTCTTTATCTGGCTTTGGTATTAGGGCAACTCAAGCCTCATGGAATGAATTAGGAAGTGTTCCTCTGAACCTGTTTTCTGGAACAGCTTTTGGAGAATTGGTATTATTTGTTCCAAAAATGTTTGGTATAATTCTTTGGGCTTGATGCTTTCTTTGTTAGCTTATTAATTATTGATTCAATTTCTTTAGTAGAAATTCCTTCAATTTCTTTTTTTTATAGCCCTATTCAGATGAGATGATGTATTTCTCCTTGTGTATATTTTGGAAGTTTGTGTCTTGATTAAAGAAATTTCATCTAAGTTATCAAATACATGGGCAGAGCAGTTTTTCTTAGTATTTCTTTATTATCCTTTTATTTTTATTTATTTTTTAAATTATACTTTAAGTTCTAGGGTACATGTGCACAATGTGCAGGTTACATATGTATACATGTGTCGTGTTGGTTTGCTGTACCCATTAACTCTTCATTTACATTACATATTTCTCCTAATACTATCTCTCACCCATGTCCCCACCCCACGACAGGCCCTGGTGTGTGATGTTCCCCGCCCTGGGTCCAAGTGTTCTCATTGTTCAATTCCCACCTATGTGTGAGAACATGCGGTGTTTGGTTTTCTGTCCTTGCGATAGTTTGCTCAGAATGATAGTTCCCACCTTCATCTATGTCGCTGCAAAGGACATGAACTCATCCTTTTTTATGGTTGCATAGTATTCCATGGTGTATATTTGCCACATTTTCTTAATCCAGTCTATCACTGATGGACATTTGGGTTCTTTCCAAGTGTGAGCTATTGTGAATAGTGCCGCAGTAAACATATGTGTATATGTCTTTATAGTAGCATGATTTATAAGATCAATAGTGATGCCCCCTCTTTCATTTCTGATATTGGTAGTTTGTGTCTTCCTTCCCTCTCTCTTTCCCTTTTTTTTTTTTGGACGGAGGTATTTGGGAAGTGTTTTCAAAATACACATTTGAGCCTCTTCCTATATCTGCTTCCGATGGAGGTTTGGGGGTGTTGGCTTGGCCTTGCTTTCTTTAGCACATCCCAGAGCTCCTGATGTATCCTGTGTGAGGCTGGAGACTGGGAACCGTTATACATCTGGATCATTCTGTTTTTAGTTTTCAAACCTTTTCAGGAGGGCACTTTCAGGCCATTTGTGAATGTTAATATGTGAAACAGAAAAATGCAAAGCCATTGTAATTGATTTGCGAGAGGAAGAGAGAGACCTAAGGATACTGCCTGCTTGGTATTCACCCCTCTCATCTCAAGGCAGCGCCTGAGGAAGCCCTAGGGGGGTCCCAGAGCCCCATCTCTGGTTCTCATATTAAATAAGGTCATGCTCGTGAATGTATTTGAGGGTGGTGCTTAGCACATAATACGGGTTGGTTAAAGGTTAGCTGCTGGTCTTGCTCTTATTGATAATTTCCTATGATTCATAGGCATCCACCAGTGGAGAGGGCTGCCTCTCAGGGTGGTCAGTGGATTCCCTGTGGCCAAGGAATCTGAGCAGAAGCTGATATATGGGAGAAGAGAGTAGAGGACCGCACAGGGCCTTCACAAAGAGCCCTCTAGGTCCCCTTCTGAATTTGGAGATGCAGGAATTCAGCCTGTCTCTTCACCTTCCCTCTTCCTAGAACAGAGGGTGGCACAGGGGAGAAGGTGGTGTGTCCCAGCACATCCAAACCTTTCCATTGGAAATCCCAACGTCCTCTGATCACATCCTTCTAGGATCGTGGTCCATTTCAGTTTCTTACATTGTTTATCTGGTTTTGGAAGGCTCTGCTCTGACCAACGGGGGATTGAACCTGCACAGTCCAGTGAAGAGGAAGCTGGAAGCGGAGAAGGACTACGTCTTTGACAAAAGGCTCAGATACAGTGTCCGCCAGAATGAAAGCAACTGTCGGTTTCGAGACATCGTTGTGCGGAAGGAAGAAGGGTTCACGCACATCCTGCTGTCCAGTCAGACCTCGGATAACAATGCCCTGACACCTGAGGTAAGGGGTGGCGGCCAGAGGGAAGGGCAAGCTGGGCTGTGGCTCCTTCTCACTCAGAATGGAATATTGGCTTTCTCCTTCCTTCCATCAGGGAGCTGAGGATGGTAACTAGCGTGCATAAAAACTTGACTGCAGCGCGCAATTTGCTCATCATTTTACATACATTATCCCATTTGATCTTTATGACCGTGTAATGATACCCTCTCATCTTATGGATGAAGACCATGGGGAGAGGGACTCACTGAACTGATCGTGGACACAGACTTAGCCAAGGGGCAGACCCAGAATCCAAACATCACATCTTGGGCTTTTCCAGCTAAACTTTGTTGTCATCAGCATGTCATATTTGTTGGCCGCAGATATAATTCACTCAGTTAATGTATCTCACTCAGTTTATAATACATATATATGTTACTACATATTGTATATATAATTGAGACAGATTGATTTCACATACCATAAATGTCACCCTTTTAAAATGTACAATTCAGTGATTTTTAATATATTCACAAGATTGTGCAAGCATCATCACTACTGAATTCCAGAACATCTTCATCACCCCAAGGAGAAACCTCACCCACATGAAATAGTAACTTCATTCTCCTTTCTCCCATGCCCTGGAAACCACTCATCTACTTTCTGTCTCTGTAGATTTGCCTATTCCGGACAGTTTGTATCAATGGAAACGTGCAGTTTGTAGCCTTTTGTGTCTGGCTTTTTTCACTTAGCATGTTTTCATGTTTCATCCATGTTTTAGTGTGTATCCATACTTCATTCCTTTTATGGCTAAATAATATTCCATTGTATGAATAGACTATATTTTATCTATCACCTTTTCTATTTGTTCGACTTTTGGCTTGTTTCTACTTTTGATTTTTATGGATAATATTTCTACAAATGTTATATACAAGTTTTTATGTGAACATATATTTTCAGGTTTCTTGGATATATTTCTAATTTCTAATATGATTTTCTTGAGTCTATTCCAATTCTTAGAATTGCTGGGTCATATTGCTTACCGTATTTTTCGAGGAACTGCAAAAACTGTTTTCCACAGTGGGTCCCCCATTTTACGTTCTGACCAGTAGTATGTGAGGGTTCTAGGTTCTCTGTATCCTCGATAACACTTGTTACGTCTGTCTTTTTTATTATAGCAATACTAGTGCATGTGAGGTGGTATCTCATTGTGGCTTTGGTTTGCATTTCCCTGATGACTAGTCATGTTGAGCATCTTTTCATGAGTGCATTGGTCATTTATCTCTTCTTTCTATTCACATCCTTTGCCTATTTTTAAAATTAGGTCACTTTTCTTTCTATGGTTGACTTTTAGGCATTCTTTATTTACTCTAGATAGTAAGGCCTTATCAGATACTTGACTTGAAAATATGTTCTCCTATTCTGAGAGTTGATGTTTTACTTTTTTGATAGTGCCCTATGACAAACAAATTTTTAAATTTTGATAAAGTCTGTTTTACTGCTTTTTCTACATTACTTTTTAAATATTAATCATGCTTATGTCTTAGATGAATAAAATAGGGAAACAATGAATACTTAATGCAGTGAGATTGACAACATCATTCAAAATACAGGGTACATGGCAGGAGAAGGGAACAGATTCTTGACGGCACAAAGGTGGGAAGATGCTCCACGAAGCAGCCTTTTCCTACAAGATGCCTGGGGTAGGGCAGTAGAGTGGTAAATGGCGATAACAGTGATGACAGCCACTGAACAGGGGCTCTTTGTTCCTTGTATTTGCTGTTTATCTCATGTCATTTCGTCACCTCCCTTCTGATGTAGGATTGTTATGATCCACATTGTATAGATGAGAAAATTTAGGCTTAAACAACCCAACTGGGCTAGGGTCTCACAGCTTAACCAAGTAGGTGCCAGGAGGGCAGGGGTTCTGTTCTTGCTCGCCCTTTTGTCTCTTCTGTTCATCCCAGTGCCAGGCCCACTGAAGACATTTAACTCCGAGACCCCTTTTTCTGTCCTTGCAATATCCTGTATTCTCTTTTTCATAATAGCAATGGGAGGTTAATGAGAAGGGTATGTTTTGGAGGATGAAGTCAAGGGATGGCCACTCACTCACATCGGGATAATAGAATGACCTAGCATTGTCCAGTGTACCCCGTACCATCAGGGAGGCATAGGAAGTGGGGTGGGGAGGGAGGTGCTGTGCTCTTGAATTTGTGATTGCATTATTATTATGGTTGAAATAGACCCTGGTTCTTTTACGGGGTTGTGGGTGCGGCCATCTGGAATGATTGACAAATGGTGAGGGAAGCACTGTGGCTAAAGCTTTGGGGTTGTGGGGTAGTGGTTGTGTGCTGCCCCTTCTCTGAGCATGGTGTTTTGGGGGCCTCTCCATCCTCCGCCTGTAACAGAAGCATCCCTGGGGTTCTCTGCTGTGTAGACCTCTGTGTGGGATTCAAAGAAGCCCAGAGCCTGCAGTCCACCCCGAAAGCAGCTCTTCATATGTTTATACACCTGGAAACCTCATTATTTTAAGCTCATCATGACATCTGCAGAGACCAGTTTTTCCTAGATTCTTTCTACTTCACTACTTTCTAAAAGCGTGCTCTAAAAAGGCACAGCATTTTCTTTCAAGAAATTGAACACATGTGAAGTCTCCAGTTCATTCCCTCTGTGGAGCAGCCCTGGGTGGTAACTGTTGCCCACTCATCATGGAAAACATGTTGTGCTCGTCTGATTTAAGGTGCACAGGTTCTCACCTCCTGAGCTGCGGGCTTGGTTAATTGGGGTTCCTGCCCTAATCAGTGTCAGTTGGTTACAGAACAGGAGGAAAACAGTCAAAGTTATTGATCTGGTATTTTCAGCTGTCTCAACAACTGAAGGGGATTGAGTATGTGGGTGAGCCAGCTGACTGGGTAAAGCAGCCCGTAATGAAGGTCCTACTGAAATGAAGAGGCTGTGTGAGAGGAGGAATACAGGTTTTAGTCTAGCAGACCTGGCTTCCAATCCTCCCTTCAACTTACCATGCTGTTACCTTGGGAAGTTACTTTGCTGCTCTGAGCTTCCTCCTTTATAGAAATTTTACAGTATTTTGCTGGCAAGATTAGAGATAATGTATGCACAGGAGCCCACAAAGTACCTGGCATATAGGAGGTATGTAATAAATGTTCCCATCATTGTTAATGGGAAGCAGAGGCCATTTAATGTCCACCAGCAGACATTGCCTTGCTTGTGAATGGAGGAACCAGAAGGCGACCACTTTCATGGTTATAATTAAGTTGCTTTTTCTAGTTGTATGTGTAACATTGGTTGGATTGGCCTCATGGGCAGAAATTCATACATTACTGTGTGCATTAAGTAGATTCTGAAGCTAGTGGGTTTGCTGTAATATTTCTCCTGTCTGGGATACAGCAGAGAACCAGGAGATGAACAGAAATGCCCCTTAAGGAAAGAGTCAGTGAAACAGATGACACAGTCTCCTTGATTGAAAGCTTATCCACTTCCCCATTGGGAGAAGACTCCAGGTCTTCCTTCAGTGCCCTTGGCCTCAGCCCACAATCCTACCACTACTCTCAGGAACACAGCAGACATGCAGGAGTCCCTTTTCACACCGCTCTTGTCGTGGCCCCATGTGCAAACCTGTCTCAAGGCCGGTTCACCTTTATTCTTGAATAGCTCTTTCATATGTTTACTTCTATTTCCACCATAACCATTACAGTCCACTACTAGGCTATTTTGTCTGGACTGCTGTAATTAGCCGTCTCATAAGTCTGCCTCCTTTCATGCTTCCTGCCCTGTAATCCATTCTGCATAAGGCAGGCAGAATGATCTTCCAGAAATGCAGCTGTGGCCAAGTCAACCCTTTATACACACACCCCTCCCCAACCAAATGTGTCGATGGCTCCTGATTACCCTGGCTGACAGTCAGAACCCTCAGCGTGGTGCAGTCCCGCCTCATCGTGCAGCCCACCTCACATACCTGTCCTCCTGTACCTCAGTCACCTGGTTTGCTTTCATGCTTACACCTGCCCCGGGGCCTTTATATGTGCTCTGACTGGAACGGGCCTTTCTTCCTCCTTGCTTCACTCACTCTTGCTCTTCCTTCAGGTCTCAGTTCACCCATCACTTGCACAAGTCTTATCACAGTTGTTAGTCTACATGTATTTGTGGGGTGACTTGTTAAATGTCTGATATCCCCCCCCTCCTCCATTAGACTGTAAACTTCTTGGGGATAAAGACTGGCATTCTCTTAATTCAGTAAACATTTGTTAAATTCTTTTATGTGAAAGGGTCTGGACTAGGTGCTGCAAGGGATATAAAGATGGTAAGTATGCTATTTTAGCTCTTGTGGGATTGTATTAGTTATCTATAACTGTAGCAGATTGTTTTAAACTTAGCATTTTAAAACAGCACACGTTTATTGTCTCATAATTGCTGTGGGTCAGGAATCTGGGCATGGCTCAGCCAGATGCTTCCAGCTCAAGGTCTCTTACAAGGCTGCTGTCAAGTGGAGGCTGGGGCTGCAGTCTCACACGAAGGCTCAACTGGAGGAGAATTCACTTCCAAGCTCACCCACGTGGTTGTTGGATGCATCTGTTTCCTGCCATGTGGGCCTCTTCTGAGGGCTACTCATGACAAAGCAGCTTTATTCCCTCAGAGCAAGAACTCCAAGAAAGAGCAAGAGAGGATGATCCTTTTGTCACCTATTCTCCTCCTGAAGATGACCTGCCATCATTTTGGCATCTTCTGTTGAAGCCAGTTGCTAGGTCCAGTCTTCTCTTGAGGGTGGGATTTACAGAAGAGTGTGAATACAAGGGGTTTAAATCACACAGAAGGCAAGATGCAGTAAGGAGGTGCACATTCTACAAGGGAGTTTGTCAGAAGAATCACAACAAGGATTTAAAGTATTCAGGGTTTTGGGAGAAGGGAGAGTATGCATCTAGTCTAGGGTACGGGGAAATCTCCCTTGAAGGTGGTTGCATTTGAGATAGGCCTGGTGTGACTGGATTTCAGCAGGTACAGATGAAGTATAAAGAGAAGGACCCTGATTGATTCCTCTTTTACATCACATTCTAATTAATTTGGTTATCTGGGTGTAAACCCACGCCGGATCCAAAGCTAGAGGTCATAGAGGGGGAGTCTGTTCTCTCCAGCAGACAACTAATAGCAGGTGCAAGTGACAGCTAGGAAGTGCATAATGAGGGCAATGAATGTACAGGACATATTTAGGACTTCAAAATGCATAGCAGTCTGGGACTATTTGTTATAGAATCACATCCCAGAAGCCTCTAAGAAGAATTTTCTGTTATAGGCCAGCAGGTGACCATTGAGAGGTAGTTATATGCATACAGTATATTCTGTTTAAGAAGGAAACAGAATGTGGACTAATTTCGGAACATTTTACTTTAAATGAACCAGTTACATTATTAAATTTGGGGTCTTTCAAGAAGGTAGAATCTTAGCCATCTGTCCAAATTGAATTAGCAACACCAAAAGGAAAGAAAAGAGATATAAACTAGATATAACTTTTTTAAAAATGAAAAACAGTATAGTTTGTACTTTTGTATCAATAAAATGCAAATTTATTTTCAGTTTAATTCATAAATGAGATGGCTGTTTTGTTTGGTCTTTTATTTATTTTTTCTTAACGAATTGAGAAGTAGGTAAGTATGGCCTTAGCCAGAGAAGCTACTCTCTGAGTCATCTATAGAATTTCAGTTCACCTCTTTACAGCAGGGTTTCTTTTTTTTTTTATTTGCCTCTCAGAGAAATAGAGTTCATGTATAGGTGAGAGTATATCTATTTCTGGAGGCAGATGGATTAAAGGACCCACAAGATAGTGGCCTGTGAGCTTTTTTGATGTTCAAAATGAATATCTGTTGCTTATACCCAGATAGGCTGGAATGTGCTTATTCCATCCTTCCAGCAGGGCACAGGGCTGGAGATTCTCAATTCAGATTGACATCCAGCCCTGTTTTTTCCACCAAAATCCTATCCATTAAAAAAAATCATCCAACAGTATAAAGTAGGAGAAAGTAAAGGATGGTTAGCATGAGATTTAAATCATGGTCGTGCCTCTTACTGTTGGTGTGACCTTGGACATCTTACTGCACCTGTCTGAGTCTTCATGGTGTCACTTGCAAGGTTGAGATACCATCTCCTACCTTACCAGATTTTTGTTTGGAATAAAATTCCTGGTGCAATTCCTGGCACTACTAGGTGCTTAAGAAATGGAAGTTCTTTTAAAACTTTAACCTTAAAAAACAGTATTTTCCCAGTATCCCCCTAACTTCCATACACCGTGATGATGCCTGTGGAGTCTTTAATAGTGATCCTTTGGAAGTTTGCTCACTTATCATCTCTTCTGTTAGCCTCTAAGCTTCACCCAGGCACACGCCATGCCTTGTTTTCTATCACTATGTACTTTCTGCTCTTGTTTTAACAATCCAGTGATTGGGTGTTCTTTATTTTATCCTCCTCCCCATTCATTATAATTCATGTATTTTTAAGAAGTTATCCCTAAATTATATACACATAGCAAAGGCTAAGAGTAACTACCTCCACCACTTCCGAATATAACCTTGACATGCTCCAACCCTAGTCATTCCTCCTCTCATCCTCTACAATATTATTGCCTGCTACTACAGTTGTACGCCATACCAACCCCTGCCCTCAAATTAATGAATATCAGTATTATGATTTTTATAGTCAGTTTTTTTTTATTAACAACACATTCACCAATTTTTTCCTTTTTTTTTTTTTTTTTTTTTAGATGGGATTTCATTCTGTCACCGAGGTTGGAGTACGGTGGTACGATCTCGGTTCACTGCAACCTCTGCCTCCCATCCTTCTGCTGAAGAGCTGGGACCACTGGCATGCACCACCATGCCTGGCTAATTTTTTTTTTTTTGTATTTTTAGGAGAGTTGGGGTTTCATCATGTTGCCCAGGCTGGCCTCGAACTCCTGAGCTCAGGCAATCTGCCTGCCTCAGCCTTCCAAAGTGCCAGAATTACAGGTGTGATCCACCAATTTCTTTGCTGGTTATTATTCCTTGCAGGTCAGTTTTTGTTTCTGAATATAGTTTCTTTTTCTTGAAGTACATTCCTTTTTAGTTCTTTTAGTGAGGGTCTAAAAATGGTAAACATTCTTTGACTGAAAATGCCTAATTTTTACCCTTCCTTTTAAGTGAATTTAGCTGAGTGAAGAATTTGTTGACAGTTGTTTTCCTCAGCACCTTGACAATTGTATTCTGCTACCTTCTGGAATTTATTTCTGCTATGTAGAATTTGCCTCCGGTTAAATATTTGCCCTCTGTAGGTAAGCTTTCTTTTTCCTCTGGATGTATTTAAGGTTTTGCTTTGTCTTTGATGTTCTGAAGTTTAAATATGATATGTCTGTGCTTGCGTGTATTGTTATTTCTATTGCTTAGCTTTTTGTTGTAGTTCTTAAATTTTAGTATTCAAGTCTGTGGTAGATAGAAGCCCTCTCCCCAAGATGTTCATGTCCAAATCTCCAGAATCTATGACTATGCTAGGTTCCATGGCTAGGGGGATTTAAGGTTTCAGATATACAATTAAGGGTGCCAGTTAGCTGACCTTAAAATAGAGAGTATTCTAGACTACCTGGATGGGCTCAATGTAATCACAAGGGTCTTTAAATGTAGATGAGAGAAGCAGAAGAATCTGTCAGAGTGACACAAACTGAGAAGGTGAGGAAGACCCAGCTCGGCATTATTGCCTTTGATGATGGAGGAAGGGGCCAGGAACCAAGGAATGTGGGTGGCCTCTATAAGCTGGAAAAGGGAAGAAAATGATTCTCCCTTAGCGCCTCCACAAAGGAATGCAGTCTTGCTGACAACTTGATTTTAACCCAGTAAACCTGCATCAGACATCTGACCTAAGGGACTATAAGATAATAAGTTTATGTTATTTTATGCTGCCAAATTTATAGTAATTTTTTACAGCAGCCATAGGAAACTAGTGGATCTTTCATCAATTCTGTTAAATTCTCATCCTTTATCTCTTTCAATATTGACTTTCTCCTCTTCTCTGTGATCTCCTGATAGAATCCCTACAGCACCAATTTTAAATCTTAGCATTCTTGTCTTTAATCTCTCCGTTATATTTTCCATCTCTGTTTTTCTGTGCTACGTTTTGGTCAATTACTTCAGGTCTTTCAGTTACTTTATGCTCCCTTTAGCACCACCTAATCTGCTGTTGATCTCAGCAGATGTCCATGACTTTGTTTTTCATTTCCAGAAGTTTCTTTTTCTCCTCAAATCTATTTTTTCCCCATATTCTCCTGTTCTTTCCTTATTGTTCATGTCTGTTTTCCTCTCTGTGATTATTTGAAACATCCCTATTTTACAGTCTCTTTTGGATCCTTGTATTACTTGAAGTCATGTTATGTAATCCGCTCATTTGCTGAGTATGCCAACTTGTATTTCCCAAGTGTTTTGTGATTTTTGATTGTGAGCTCATCTCCTGCTAGGGTTTTTTTTCCTGTGTAATTCCCATGCGGTCTGGGTTGCAGCTTCTCCCCAGAGTACTTTTACATTCATTTCCATCAGACACCTCAGGGATATTACTAGCCTGTGTCCAATTTCTGTGTTAATTTTTTTATCTTGTGGATTCTTCCCCATGTGGGTGTGGTAACTCAGAACTTCAAATCCACATACAGGGCAGGTATGGAGTTTTAGCTTCTCATGGGAGAGTTTTCCTACAGCAAAAATAAATTATTTGCTGGAGTGGCTTGTCCTGACTGTGGTATGGCAAATAGGTAGCAGAAGGACTAGAAGGGCTGAGCCTGTTTGTGGTAAAGCCGATTCCATCATAGGCTTCCTGTCTCCAAAGCCTGTACCTTTTCAGCCTGGCCAACTGCCTTGAGTCCTTGTGAATACCAGGCACCCAAGAGACATTGTGTAGTCTAGATACGCAGTGTTGCTGCAAGGTTGTGATTGGAAGGAGTCGGGGAGTATGCAGGGGTGTGAGGGGGATTGCTTCAGTCAGTACACAGACTTGGAGGGTCTGGATGATGCTTGGGCCTCAGAACGTAGCATGTGGCAGGAGCTCACTTTCAGATCCTGGCTCCATCCTAAAATCCACAGTCTGGGAGGGGAGAAGGATCTGCTTTCCCCTGGGCATCACAGAGCTCATTTCCTGCTGCTCCCGTAGCCACACTGCTATCATGTGGAGGTCTTCAGATGAAAAGCCCTGATGCTTTGAGAGGCAGCCTAGCCTGCGGTGAAGGACATGGTCCCCAAAGTCTGACTTCCTGAGTCCTAGTCTAGCTCCACCCCATACTTGCAAACTTCTCACAGTGACTGTACTTTGATTTTGTCATTCATAAAATGGAGCTTCAACAAGTGACTCCCCCAGAAGGCTAAGTGAGTTCATATCGTAAAGCAGCACTTCTCAAACAATAACATGCATATGAATTTCCTGCAGGTCCCATGAACATGAAGAAACTCATCCTGTCGGTCTGGGCTGGGGTCCAAGACTCTGCATTTCTAGGCAGCTCCTAGGAATGTGAAGCTGCTGGTCTAAGGACCATACTTTGAGTAGTGAGGTTTGAAAGTGCTTGGGGCAGAAGCTGACCTGTTCCGTAGGGTCAGTATATAAACGGGGACATCTTGCAGGGTATGTGCCATGCACTGCACTAAGCAGTCTACTTGCATCTTGTTTGTTGGTTCATCTGAGGTAGCTCTGAATTTTACAAATAGGGAGACCAGGAGAGGCTATTGATTTCACCCCAGAACACCCAAGATACTGTGGGGTAGAAGTGGAGCTTGTGCCCAACCGTAGCCCCAGAGGCGCATGTGGACCTTCTGGAACCCCCTGTCATACGTCGGGGCTGGGGCTTTAGACTCTGCATTTCTGGCCACCTCCTGAGGGATGTGTTGCTGCTGTTCCAAGGACTACACTTTGAGCAGCGAAGTTTGAAAGTGCTTGGGGCAGACAGAGCTTGTACCATCTCCGCAGGAAGCTTTGAGCTGGCCAGTCTGTTAGTGCAGGCTCTGCCACTTCCTGACATGTTGCTTTGAGAAAGTCACCTTTCTCTCTGAGCCTCAGTTTCCCTTTCTATAAAATGGAGCTAATAATAATGCCCACCTCACAAGGGGTTGGGGGTGCAAGTACTCATGGGCAAGTGCTCTGTAACCTTCAGGCTCATCCAAAAATAGTTGCTCATGTGATGAGGAGCTGAATAGCCGGGCTGCATGCCTTTGAAGAGCGCAAACACAGTTAGCTTTCATGGGGTGCAAACTTTTTGGTGGCAAACTCTTTACAGTCTTTTAAATGGTTTTCACAGGTGCCTTTTGAGTTGGCCTTGTAAAAGCTTCTAGGTGGGTGAGCAAGCAGCCTGCCTAATTTCCTCTGAAGTTGAGGAAAAGGGCTATGAGGGAGTTTCTGTGTGACTAAACAAGCAGATACTGAGTGTCCACCATACCCCAGGCACTGTGCTAGGCTCTGAGTATACACTGGAGAATAAGAGAGATGCAATTCCTGTCTTTATTAAAATAACAGTTGAGCAAGTGTGGACAAATAAAAGGCAGGAAACAAACAAGTAGTAGGTAAGACAGGTAAATGTATGATAAATGAAGAAAACAAATGGGGGTGCTGGGCAAGGGAGAATAGGGGGAGGAGAATAGGGTGGGTCATAAAAGGACCTTCAGAATCAAGGAGCCTGGGCAACCCCACAAGGGGTGGGGAGATTGGCATGTGCAAAGGTGATTAGGTGAATATAGGCTTGGCCCAGGGAAGACGTTCAAAGAAGGCTGCAGGGTGGTAAATGGGAGCTCTGGGCTCTCCTAGCTGCCCCACCCCTGCCTGTCCACCCCTGGGCTGGCTGCGTGCTCTGGGGCTGAGTCCTCTCCTTCTCCATAAATGGAAGGCCATGGCCAGATAGTGGGAATTTGCAGTGTCAAAGTGCATAGACTAGGCATTGTGTGAGCCAGGCCAGGGCTCAAATCCACCTCTAACACTTACCAACTGTGTGGCCTTGGACTAGTGTTACGACCCCTCTAGGCATCTGTTTCCTGGTCTGGAAGTAAGAATAGTGACCACTCACTGGTGTTGGGGAGGCTGGAACCCATGTAGCAGGGTACCTGGCCTGCAGTACATGTTCACTGCTAAGGTAGCACTTGTTGGTCTTACCACTTACCGAGGGCACCTGTGTCTATCTCCCAAATTCTGTCCTGCCCTCCACCTGCCTAAGACAAGGTCATAGAGACCTAAAAATCCTAGGGCATACATGCAGGAGACCCAAGCAGGAGATTAGGGGAACTTGTCCCATGATGGCAGGGTGGCCAGCACAGTTCTTCCATGTCAGATGGCACCTTTACTGGCATGAAGAGGAGGAACAAAATGCCTTTTATCCAGAATTCATCACTACCTCCCAGGAATGTGAACCTGCAGGTGGCCATAGCATAACCTTTCCTTTCATTTATTCTTCACTGGAGGCCTTGAGAGTGGGTCCACCCACTTATAGATGGGGACATTGAGGATGAATAACCAGCATGGCTCAGGTCCCATGGCTAGTAAGGTGCAGAGCCAGAATTTGGACCAGGGGCTTGGAACTCCAGTGGGACACTGAACCCAGGTCTGGATCTGATGCCAAAGCCCACTTGCCATGTGGCACCTGCAGGCCGTGCGGGGTATGAGCTGGAGGAAAGATGAGCAAGGATGTATAATAATTAAATTGAGTCATCTAGAGATGGCTTACATCCCTCACTTGGGCTGTGCATGGATTTTTTCCACATCTTGTAAAGGGCTAAATAAGCAAATGCCAGAACAAGATTTGCAGAGATTTACCAAGGATTGAGTGACTCCAGGCCAGGCTTCCAGATCTGCAGCCAGTGACCACACTGCCTCCTTATTAGCACTCTTCTGCCTTCTCCGGGGATGGTGCTGGAGGGCTTTGGCTATGATAAGTGTTTTTCTCCTTGCTCTGGACTCTTGCTTGTACTCAGGGGAGGCTCCCTGCACAGGCAGAAGCAGATTCCCTGGCCTCTACCCTCAGGGGGTCAGGCCTCTGGCTGTCTTGCAGTCTGAAAGCCCCAGGCTTACAGGATAGACACTTAACATCCCTGCAAATTCATCTCTGCCGGCAGATCATGAAAGAAGTCCGGCGAGCGCTCTGCAACGCAGCCACAGACGACAGCAAACTGCTGCTCCTCAGCGCAGTGGGGAGCGTGTTCTGCAGCGGCCTGGATTATTCCTACCTAATTGGCCGGTTGTCCAGCGACCGGCGAAAGGAGAGCACTCGGATTGCAGAAGCCATCAGGTGAGCTGTGCTCCTTTTCACACACCCTGGGGTCCTGCGTAGGATTACCAAGTAAAAATACAGGCTGCTCAGTTAAATTCGAATTTCAAACAACCAGGAATTTTATTTTTAGCATAAGTATATCCTGTGCAATACTCGAGGTCTGCTTACATTTTTAAAATGTTGGTTATTTATCTGAAATTCAAATTTTAATTGGGCATCCTATATTTTCATCTCTAACCATGGTCCTGCCAAAATTAGGGATGCTTTGCCCTCTAGGTTAGATCCCACTTTCATTCTTTTGATCGGAAAGATTTTTTATTTGCTATCAAGGCCTGAGTCTGGTAGTGGCCATGTGTTGTCCACACTACTCCCGCCCCTTGCCTGATGGGGAGAGTCTCTGGTTGTCTGGTTGTTTGTATGTCCCAGCACTGCCGTAGCTCAGCAGTGGGGAGGTTGATGGAGGGGTTCCCTGGGCAGCTGTGTGTTTGCAGACCCAACGGGGTACAGAGTATTTCCCCCTTTCTAATTGCCCCTGGGCAAAAGTTGGGATCCTGGCGGTGACATCCAGTCCCAACAATGAGTACCCTTTTGGGACACTGAAGGGTAGTTATTTCCCCATTCTTTATCAGTATATCAAAAGCAAGTGAGTGTCATTTCTAGACACTACGGCTGTTTAGCTGGTTTACAGCTGTCACCCAGTGTTCACCTGGCGGGTGCTGCTGTATCTTGCTTAGGAATCAGACAAGTCACAATTCAGGAATGCCCCTGGTCACATGAGAAGGAACATTTACTCCACATGGTGTCACGGAGCCTCAGGCCACAAGTCAGGGATTTTCTGGGGCCTCCAGTCTCTATGGTTCTGTGGAGGGGCCACACAGAGGGAGGCTGATTCCCACGTGGCTATAGGGGGCTTTGAGGGGTTGCTTTGTCTCTAAGAGGTGATGCTAGGATGCTCTTGTGTGTGGAATTCTGAGTCCCTCTTCAGGGTGAAGCAGCCATTGGAGCCCCTGCTCCGAAATACCCGTGTGTTTCCTGTTGCAGAATCCTTGCCAGAAGAGACATGACGAGCCTGGGCACTGTTATGTGAAAGGTGTTGTGGTTATGGAGGCACAGGCTTCCTGGCTGTGCCCACACAGTTTGCGCTTTGCGTGGTCCCAGCTATGCCCTCTCACTACTGCCTTTCCATGTATCAAAGGGGGACCACAGGATTTCCAGCGTGCTTCTCTCGTCATGCATGAGGCCACCAGAGCCCATCCAGAGAAACAAGTGCCCATTTTTGTGACCCGTGGAGCGTCAATCATGGTCTTTATCTGGTTTACACATTTCAGTGGAGGTGTTAGCTGGATTTCCAGAAGTCCAGGGAAACCTGGCTGACACAGCCCCTCGTTTTCACTCCATGCACGAGCAGCTCATTAGCATGCAGACCCCTTGTAGTGAGTTGAAGTGTGGCCCCCAAAAGATATGTCCACGTGCCAATCCCTGGAACCTGTGGAGGTGACCGTATTTGGAAAAAGGCTCTTTGCAGATGTGATTAAGTTCAGAGTCCTGAGGTGAGATCATCCTGGATTGGAGTGTGGGCTCCAGACGCAGAGAGAACTTATTTCATAAGAGGGGACACAGAGACAGGAGAAGGTAATGTGACAGAAAGGGAGAGCGTAGAGTCATGCAGCCTCAAGCCAAGGAACTCCAAGAATGGCCAGCAGCCACCAGAAACTGGGAGCGAGGCCTGACACAGCTTCTCCGTCAGAACTTCCAGAAGGAACCAGCCCTGCCAACACCTTGAGTTTGGAGTTCTGGTCTCCAGAACTATGAGAGAATACCTTTTGATTGTTTTAAACTGCCAAGTTTGTGGTGACTGTTCCCTGGGAAACTAATACAGCCTGGAAGGAAATCATTAGCAGCTCAAAGAGCCCCATCTTTTCAGGCTCTCCTCTTAGGCAAGGGCCCATCCTGACCTCTGCCCAACGTCCTCAATGGCTGCTCCTTCTGGTGGGCAGCTCTTCACCTTTGCTGGATGGGGTCTGTTAACAGATTATCCTGGACAGCTGCAGGCAAGGTGGGACTCCCAGGCCAGCCCTGGGTTGACGGTGATGAGGCTTGTCCCAGCCTGGGGAGGGCGTGGGGATCCTTCTTGCATGCAGGAATAAGGTATTGTAGCTGGGTCACTGAAGGGATGGAAGCTGAACAGAAACAGGGTACCCAGGGGGTCAGGTCTCATGATGGATTTCCCCAGAGCCCCCACCGAATGGTTCCTTCCTGTGGCTTTGCACGCCCAGTCTCTCTGGTGAGGGAAGTGTCTCCTTGACCTATCCCTGCATTTGTGTCTTAGATGTATCAAAGCTGAGGGGCAAAACCTCTTCTCCTGTCCCCATAGCCTCTACCCATTGGGGTCTGCTGCGTGGTATCTGTGCGTCTCTGGACTCTTGAGAACCAAATTCATGGAGAAAGAGGTGTCAGAGGCAGATGGGATTGAAAACATCAGCTGTAGGAGAACGTGGCTGGGGCCTGAGGCCCAAACTGGCTCCTGACTTTCCCAGCTGAGTAGTTCTGGGGAAACATGACTAGTGGAATTCAGACATTTGCCATCTCAGCGGGCAAGTGAGCTCCCCTTAGGCAGAGCACAGGGCAAGATGGCGGAGGCAGGAGGAATTCTTCTCGATGCTTCAAAGGGAGCAGAAGTTGCTAGTTCATGAACTAGCAAGGATGGGGGCGTGGGAAAGGAGATGTCCCCTGGACCACTGGTTCTCAGCCCTGACAGCACAGAGAGGCCCAAGGGAGCATTCCCAAGACCCTGATGCTTGGCAACACCCCCAGGGGACTCTGAGTTATTTAGGCTGAGGTGGGGCCAGCGCATCTTTTGATGTCAGTCGTCCTTGGTGGTTCTCAGGTGCAGCCAGGGTTGAGAACACCCGCCCTATGCTAACCAGATTTCTGCACCACTGATTGAGAGCACTAAGAGAAACGCAAGATTCTTATTTTTATGCAAGAGAGTAAAGGTGGTTATTAAGGGGATGAGTATGAGGAAAGAGGTGATACAGGCATGAGAAAGGTGAGGACGATGAGCGAAGATGGATGGAAGTGCAGAAGATGCGGCGTGTAGAGACAGATGCTCCCGGGGTTAGAAAGAGACTGTGGCTCGCCCATCAGCACCAAACTCTTTTAAGGCATCTCCAGCTCTCCCAACTCGGGAGTGCTGCCTTGGAGGCCACACTCTGGAGTTGGGGACACAAGGTGGCAGTGAAGCATTCTGCACAGAACGTTTTGTGGATTTCCAGAGGGGTGTCCTGAGAGAAGCGCACTGTCATTGAAAGGAGCTTGATTCATACTGCAAGTTCTGTGCCTGCTCCTGTGGACTTTCTAGGTGTATTAGCATACTTACAAGAAGTCTCTTGTGAAAGAACTTCCTTCAAAATCTAGCAGGGCTAAAACGTTGTTTGGACATAGAACTGCCACCATCTCTTCTCTTGGGACACGCTCCTGGTAGGGCTGACCAGGCATGCCGCATGGCCTTGGCACCCCGTGAGTGGTACTCTCACCCCCTCCTCATCCTTGCCTAAAGAAAACTTGCATACACGTGACTGGGACTGGTGACTGGGACGCATCACTCTGCAAATGTTTGATGAATGAACTAGCAGATTTGGGGAGAGCTCAGGTGAATTGTTCAGAAGGCTCTCTCCAGGATCCATCCTGAAAAGAGTCTGCCTCCTCTGAACTTGTCATAGGTGACAAGGTGGCTTGTTCAAACGTGGTATTCAGGAAAGCAGTGTTGGCTAGCAGCTGCCCACATGGCCCCTGGAAGCAGACCGCCTGAGCTCAAAGCTGCCTCTGCACTTGCTGGTGGTGGAGCTTTGGGTATGTCATGGATCTCTCTGTGCCTATTAGCTCATCCAGAAAATGGGAACAATCAAAATGATGGTACTGGCCTCACTGGTGTGTTGCTAGGATAAAGAATAAAAAGATACTCTGTGTGAAACACTCGGGCTATTCCTGGCACTAATATGTTCTTGGAGTTCTTATTATGGTTGTTGTCACTACTGCTGGTACTTCCAGCCATGACTTCTAGCTAAGCTGAGTCTAAGACCAGGGAGTGGGCGCCTGGACTAAGGGGTGGGTTGGAGACTAAGGAGTGGCCTGCCAGGGACCTCTCTGGGGGCCCCAGGATGGTGGTCACTGTTTGGTCCCGTACTGGCTGACTTGGCTCTGAGCTTTGGCTGGGGGAGGGTTCTCCTCCATGCCTCTGGTTAAAGGGAGTTGGGTAACTGGGTCACAGGAGAAATGCCGATTGCTCCAGGGGAAATTGAGGCACTCCTGTGAGCAGAATTTTGCTGCTGGGTCACCTGTAGCCTAGGAGAATGGATCACAGACCAATCTGAGAATTGAATGAGGACTCTGTCCACCCTCCCCAGCAGATGCACTACCCATAATAATAGCAGCAGGGATCGCGTGCTCCCTGCATGTCAGCACTGGGCTAGCACCCTGCATGGACCGTCTCCTTGGATTCTTATTCAGCTCCCTATCTGGGGCAACATCATTGATTTTCCCATTTTACAGAGGGAGAAAGTGAGGCTCCAGAGACCAGGCACCCTGTCCAAGGTCTCACCATTAGTTAGGGGCAGAACTGAGACTTCACTCTGAGTCTTTCAGATTCTGAAGTTGTTGCTCCTTCTGCCACATCAGTGCAGCCCAGCAGCTTTGTCAGGCAGAAGCCACAGGGGTCGGGTAGAGCAGAGGAAGCTGTGTGGGTCAGGTCAGCCTGATGGCCTTGGATGTGGGGGAAGGTGGCGTACAGTTTTCCCCACGCAGCCCCGCCATCGCAGAAGGATCAGATATCGGAGCTGCAGGGCCCGTAATGCAATATCCTGTTTGCTGCTTGGCTCCCAGTGATAGAGATCTACTGCCCGAGGTGAGAGAAAGAGGATGGGGGGTGGCCTTCATTAAACATCGGGTGACATTTTCATATCAAGGAAATGAAGTGCGAGGCAGATTGGATGACACAGGAGGGGCTGGGGCGGAGGGTCAGAGCTCTGCACGCCTGGTCCCCTTTCCCTTGCGTCCCTGATTCCGTTTCATGGATCTCAGGTTGGAAAACACAGAATGAAAGGCTCTGGGGTCCTGCAGAGGAAAGCTCTGGAAAGTCACAAGGGCTGCAGTCCATTCCTGAAGGATGTCATGTGGTTGATGGAGCTGAGGTGGCAACAGTATCAGAGAGGCTTACAGGAGACCCACAGCAGGGAGGCTGTCTTGACAGGCACGGACCCTCTTTTATTAAAAACGTCCAGCAGAGGCGGAATGATGCATCGTTGGAATGTTATGGAGGGAATTCTGCACCGAGTGGAAGATACGGTCCCATGAGTCCTAAAGTCCTTCCCACCTCTGAGATCTAAGACTCTGGAATTGTATGAGGTCACTCAGGAATGGGATGTTTGACAAAAATCATCCAAACCCCTAAGGATTCTCCAAAAAAGTCCATATCCCCCGCAGACCCCAAATTGCTTTCAGTGAAAAGCACTTGCAAAAACCAGTGACCTAACCGAAAACCTCACCATTAGGTTAGGAAGTGAGTGATGTCAGGAGATGGGCCACTGGAATACCAAGCTTCAGAAGTCATGGAGCCAGAACTCCCTCTCTGAAGTAGTACCTTTTGGGGGCCAGCAGGGACTGAGAGCTAACTCCACCATCTTAGGGAATGTGATGCCTCAAGCATGAGTCAGAGGCACGTACTTTTATGATGACTTACATAGATCGTAAGATACCTTCTACCCCCGCAGAACATTAAGTAGACTTCTCGCAGTTGAATCTGATCCCAGTATATCATTATGATATCCACAACTTTTGATAAGACTTGGGGGAAGGAACAGTATTGATTGAGAAGAGATAAATCAGCTCAACTTTTTTTTTTTTTTTTTTTTTTCTCCCTGAGACAGAGTCTCACTCTGTTTCCCAGGCTGGAATGCAGTGGCCCGATCTCGGCTCACTACAACCTCCACCTCCTGGGTTCATGCAATCCTCCTGCCTCAGCCTCCCAAGTAGCTGGGACTACAGGCATCTGCCACCACACCCAGCTAATTTTTGTATTTTTAGTAGAGATGGGGTTTCACCATATTGGCCAGGCTGGTCTAGAACTCCTGACCTTGTGATCCATCCACCTCGGCCTCCCACACTGCTGGGATTACAGGCGTGAATGACCATGCCCAGCCTCGACTTTTGTATTAGTTAAGTATTAGCTGTTGTAACAAGTAAGCCTCATATATAGTAATGTACTTCTCACATACATGAACCTAAAATAGATGTCACCATCAGCCTGTGGCTGTCTTCCCATTGGTGACTCAGGAACCTAGACTTCTTCCATCTTGTGGCTCGGCAAATGTCTTCCAAGACTGCTGTGCCCATCAAGATGAATGGGCTTGGAGGACGCCATGGTGGGAGGTTTGATGTGCACCTGGAAGTGGTACTGGTGGGTTTTTGCTCACATCCTGTTTGGCCAGCACTTGGTGACTTGGCCACAGCCACATGCAGTCGGAGACGGGAAATGTGGCCGGCCAGCAGACCTGGGAAGAAGAGGGAAAACAGGTTTGGTGAAGAGCTGGTTCACCATTGCCACACCTCTGCAGTCTTTGTTCTTGTTCTGGGAGACTCATGTATTTGCTCAACAGCTGTTTACTGAGTGCTAATTCCAATATTGATGGAAGCCAAGCGGTGCCCCAGGCAGACCTCTGGGTGTCCTTAAGGAGCTAAAGGGGAAGAAGAATCCAAAAACAAGCAAATAGTTAGGGTGATTGCAAATTCTGATAATGGTGTTTTTCTGAGAACTCTCAGAGGCCCATGTGGCTCATGCACAGTGAGCAGGGGCAAGAGTGATGTGAGGGAAACCTGGAGAGGTAAGCTGAGGCAGGTCAAGGTCAGGCCAAGGTCAGACCAACGTAATGGGCATTTGGATTTTATTCTTGTGAGTTCTTATAGTTTCTAATCTTTCCTCTGAAAGTAACGAAGGATGCAGACTTTACTAGACATCTTGTGTCTTTCCTCCATGTCCAGATGAATATTAAAATTTTATAGATCATACATAGCAACTAGGAAAAGGCAAAAAGCCTTCTGAGGCAAAGGAAATACAGGTCATTGTTGATGGCTCTGTGTAATTGGTAAAGGTACATGCCTTGCTCAGTGCAGAAGGGCAGGGAGAGAAAATATTGCCCAGTCTTGTAGCCAGGATTGTAGCTCCTTCCTACAGGGAACCCAATTTTAGTCAGAGCCATCCTAACATATTCAGCATTTTAGAACCACCCTTGATGAGTCTGGCATCCCTGCAGGTAATTCAGAATCAGACCATCCTAGGTGTGATTTTTGAAAGAAAAATGTCATCAATCCCAACATGTACCCACCATCTGAAGCTTGAAGTCCCTCTACAGCATCACCCAGCATAATCATTGAGCTAAAATGCAAATACCTCCAGGAATGAGGAATTCATACCCCACAAAGCCACTCCATTCACCTTTGGCCAGAGATGTTAGAACATTCTTTCTCTCTTTGAGTTGAAATATGCCTCCCTGTTACACCTTCCCTGTGGTTCTGCTTCTGCACCTTAACATTCAGGTTGACTTCCTTAGGATATATAGAAATTCTGTCAATATCTAGGGTGCCCATATAACTTACTGTGTAAGCTATGGCTTTTGAGAGTGGAAGGAGATGGTAACTGGGTGCAGTGCTAGGACATGGGGCATGAACTGGGGCAATCTGAGCAAACCAGGACATGCAGTGACCCCATCAGTATACCTCAGAAAATCTGACAGCTGGTGGTTCCATGTCCAGGCAATGAGGCCCTTGCCTGGCACCTCTAACCTCTGACGACCTGAGGGTGCTCCTCACAGCACCTGGGAGAGTCAAGGGTTCCAGTGGGGCTTAGCATGCTATAGTCACCTGTTCAAGAGGATCTTCTTTCTCTCCCAGGGACTTTGTGAAGGCCTTTATCCAGTTTAAGAAGCCTATCGTGGTGGCCATCAATGGGCCGGCCCTGGGCCTGGGTGCCTCCATCCTGCCCCTCTGTGACATCGTGTGGGCCAGTGAGAAGGCCTGGTTCCAGACGCCCTACGCCACCATCCGCCTCACGCCTGCTGGCTGCTCCTCCTACACCTTCCCCCAGATCCTGGGCGTCGCGCTGGTAAGCCTCCTGTGATACCTGGATTCGGGTCCCAGCAGGATCCTTCCTCTGCCTTGGGTTTAGGGGCTCTTCATGGGGCTAGAAACCTGAGGGTGTTGTCAGCCTGCAGATTGGCTTGGCTGCCTCATGTCCTTCACACCTTCAGTGCCAGATGGAGTAGCCCGGCCTGAGAAGATGGCGATGATGTCAGTGTATGGACCATGCACTCTGCATGGCGTCTCAATTATTCCTCACTCCAACCCCCTGAAGGCGTGTCTTAGGATTGGCTGGGTGCTGTGACAAGCAGCCCACGGTCTCAGTGGCTTTAACAACAAAACTTGCCTTCATCCTCTTGAGTGGTCCAGCATAGGTGTAGGGGCCACCCACACTCTCTGGGGACCCAGGTGTCTCCCGTCCAGTAAATGTGCCCTCACTTCCAGCCAATGGGAGAGAAGAGAGAGCCAGAAGCATCACCCTGGAGGGCTTCATGGGCCAGGCCGGCAGGGGCGTCTTCCCCTCCACTCATGTGGTATTGGCCATGACTCAGCTTCTGGTCACATGCGCCTGCAAGGGAGGCCGGGAGACGCAGCCCAGCGCATGTCCAGCAAGAAGAGGGAAAGGATTCAGTGGACACAAAGCAGTCTCCACCCCATGTGGAAACGATTGCGATTTCCATCTTACAGATGGAACGTTAAGCTCAGAGAAGTCGTGTCACCAGGTGGGGCAGACAGAGCCACTGTCCAACAGAGGCGGCGGAGTCCACTGTAAGCTGTGGTCAGATTCTGCACCAACATCCAGAAGCAAGTCTGGACAGGGGAGAGCACTGATGACAGCTGGCACGTAGGAAGCACTTGCTGTGTGCTGGGCTGGGCTGTCAACGCCGTCCACGCCCCTGTGAGGCAGGACAGCTGTGATCCCCATTTTGCGGATGTGGAGACTGAGGCTAGAGAGGTTTAGTGAGTTGTCTAAAGGCATGCAGTGGTAGTGCCAGTTGTGGGATTTGAGCACGAACTGGCTGGTTCCACTGTCTGTGCTCCGAACCCAGCCTGTTATTAAATAGGTCCCACATCTGAGGGGTTAATCTGAGATTAGCTGTCAGGACCAGGGAGGGGTTCAGAACATGTAGCTGGTCCGAGTAGGCGTTGGAGGCACCACGCTGCTGGGTCTGGGCTTCCTTTGACGGCTCCTCCCCTGTGGACTCTCAGGCAGCCTCTGCTGTTCAGAGCAGCCACAAACTCTGAATTCAGCTCTGATGGGCTAATCCTTATTTCATAAGCACGGGTCCCATCTGGATCTCAGAAGGTTCTCAGGGAGTCCCCTCCTTCCAGCCCCCTCTAGCCAGTCAGCTCCCTTTTTCCTCTCCCTTTCTTCAAATACTGCAAATCCACTAAGTGCCCGGCTCGCCACACCCACCAGGAGTGCAGGGGTGAACAAAAACCCTGCTCTTCAGACCTTCTATTCCCCAGCTCTCTGTCTTGGAAGGAGGTCCCACCTTGTTCAGAGAGGACCCCTTTGAGCAGGTGACATTTGAACAGACGCAAGAATTCCAGGCAGAGGATGCATGAAGGGAAGAACAGGGTAGGGAGTGGGCCTGGCAGGCCCTGGGTTGAGAGTGGTCAGGTCAGTGTGGCTGGGGCCTGGTGAGGATGGTGGGGAGAGGGCGAGGGATGAGGCCATGGCAGTGGCGTGGAGTGGCCCCTGCGAGCCTGGCATGCCGGGGAGGGTGCTGGGCCTTCTGTGTTGTGCCTGCCTCAGCAAGGTCTGCCCGGGGTCCACTGGGGGCATCTGCCAGCAGATGTCATAGGTCATAGGAGACCCACAAAAGTGCCAGAGAAGCACCCCTTAGGTGACAGGGCCAAACTCTACAACCCCAGAGAAAAAGCCGAGTGCTGGCTCCCGGCCCTGCAAAGTGTGCTGGGAGCTTGGTGCTGTCATCATGCCTCTTGGACAGCAGAGAAGATTGTGGCTTTGTGACGTTAAGTGACTTGCCCAGAGTCACATGCCAGTGACTAAACTCTGTTTATGTTCTTGTTTTCTTAGCTCTAGCATGGGTTTTTTGTTAATTTTATGGGTCTTCACCAGGGACACCCTACCTCTGCCCAAGAATCTCCTTTCTCTCTGAGTCCTTAGGCTTCTGGATAATACCCTTAAGTTCCCTCTTCAAAAGAGAGCAGTCCATTGTGGCCCCACGGCTATTGTGAATTGTTCCTTTTTAGGAACAGACTCCAGGATGTTTCTTTTGATGTCTTGATTTTATCGGAAGGTCAACACCCACCTTTGACATTACTCTCATGCTCTTGAGGCAGCTCCGCACATTCTCAGGACTGTGGCTGTTGCACCTAGGCAAGCACCTGTGGAAGGGCAGGTGCTTTTACACTGGATTTCTTCCTCGTCTTCCTTTGCAGTTCCATCCCCCATTGTTTCCATCTGAGGGCCTGCAAGCCCATTCTTCTCATCTCTCAAGTCCTGCTTTTGTTGCAATAGTGAGGCTGATAAGCATTGTCCCTTTTCCTTCCTTGATATTCCCCCTTGTTCTGTTTTGAAAATAACATCACCAACCATACAAAAATAGCAAATTTTTGCTACCCCTTCTGCACTACCAGGCCCTGTTCTAAGCACCTCTCAGTTAACCTTGCCTCTGTGCTGGGAGCTTGGTGCTGTCATGATGCCTCCTGGACAGCAGAGAAGATTGAGGCTTTGTGACGTTAAGTGACTTGCCCAGAGTCACACGTCAGTGACTAAACTATGTTTATGTTCGTTTTCTTAGCTCTAGAGTGGGTTGTTTGTTAATTTTATGGGTCTTTACCAGGGACACCCTACCTCCACCCAAGAATCCCCCTTTCTCTCTGAATCCTTAGGCTTCTGGATAATACCCCTAAGTTCTCTCTTCAAAGAGGGCACTGCAGGGTATGGTGTCTGAGGGGTGGCCAGGAGCCTTTCCGTATGAATGGGGGCCTCGCCTTGTAACTCACACCTGCCAGGGAGTAGCTTCCAGTGGATCTGAATCCAGGTTCATTGGAGCAGATATGGCCATTTGCCCCTTCTCCCAGCGAACTTCTGCTGAGTTCATTTGACTGAGGTGTTCTTCAGAAAGTATCAAGTCCTCCATTTGTGTTCAAATCTTGAACCAAGCAAGCATATGCTAAGACTTATTATCGACATAAAAGATTGCCCTCTACTCTGGCGTGAAAGATTGTCCTCTGGGTCATCACGAACCATCAGTGACACAACCAGAACTCAGTGGGGGAACTTACGCATAGCTCTGGAGGCCTGAGAGTGCCTGGCATTTCAGCGTCAACCCGAGAGGAGCTAGCATGTAGAGGCAGGAGAGAAGAGCAGGTGGGGAAGGCGTTGCCGGCCGTGCGGACCCTATCACATGGATTTGACCATTATGCCCTAATTATCAGTCACTGTCTGTCAGTTGCAGCTCATTACTATCATGTTCTCTGTCTGTGCAGGACTTTATCTATATAGCTCCTCCCAGACCTTGTATGACAGCTGAAAATTTCAAAGCAAAAGGAAATTCTCTGGGGAGTGTGGTACAGAGATATCCCAGGTCACCAGACCCCAGGGAAGATTGCTCTCTGCCCTTCAAGACTGGGCAGTGCCCTTGCCCAGCCCTGAGCTGCTTGGAGAGATGCACGTCTCTGCCTTGGTATTGTGGTGTTATTCACGACCTTTTTGGCTGCCAGTGATGGAAGTGCTTTAACCAGTTTAATTTTTAAAAAAGGAGCTTAATGGTTCTCCCAGCTGGAAAGCAGAAGTGGCAGTTCCCTTGGGGAGACAGGGCTGGGGAATTCAAGTACCATCAGGTCTCTCTCTCTTTCTCTTAATCTTTCTCTCTCTCTCTCTCTTCCCCTATTTCTCCTTTCCTTGTAGCCCCACCTCTCCACAGGCCGGGACACAGCCATGGATGGTCCTTGGGCTCACTGATGTTAGCCTGCAGTCACAGAGGAAGAAAGACTTTTCCACCACACCTGCAGCTGGAAACCCCACTTGAGCTTTATTATCTAGAAGGGAGCATCTCTTTCTCCCTGGGCTGTTGTGGGCTGTGTGCATTTCAGTGCCAATGATGTCATCACGGCTGGGTCATCGGCTCTGAAATCTTCCCAACCCACAACCCATGCCCATGGGTCTGCCACCAGAAATGGGGAGGGGTGTGGGGCATACAGAGTCACAGTAAATACACAGCTCCTTTGGGGAATTTAATGAAAGCTGTGGACCTTCTGCTCATGCACACGAACATTTCCATACAATTCCCAAAGCTTATCTGACCCCAAAATAAGATAAGGATCTGGAAGGCAAGATGCCTTCCAGAACTGGGATGGTTGCAGGTGGCAAGCCCTGGACCAGCTGAGGGACATGGGTGGACCTCCAGGCCCTCAGTCTTTGCCTGCTTTTGCTTTTTCAGGCCAATGAGATGCTGTTCTGTGGGCGGAAGCTCACCGCCCAGGAGGCCTGCAGCAGGGGGCTGGTGTCGCAGGTCTTCTGGCCCACCACGTTCAGCCAGGAGGTCATGCTGCGGGTCAAGGAGATGGCATCCTGCAGTGCCGTGGTGAGTTCCTGCGCCTCCTGCGTGCTTGTCCTTTTGATAGACCCATTTTACACATGAAGACAGCAAGGCTCAGAGGGCTTCACTGACTTGCTAGAGGTCGCACAGGGAATAAGCAAAAGACCCTTTGCAATTTAACAAATGCCTTTTCTCAGTATTGACAGCTTCAATCAGAGGGAGACAGTCAGCATTATTACAAATTGTCCATCATCTCCAGGCAGAGAAACCTCACAGGAGAGATGGATACTCTAGGGTAGCGTCACTGCTTTCAAAGAAAGTCCTAAACACCACAAAAACGCAAAACATCTATAGCTTTCAAAGAAACGAGAAGCAGCGGCCAATAAGGATAAAAAGTATTGAACCCATCCGGAAGATGACTAGAGAAAGCTGTACACACCATGCCTCTATTTCATTTGTTTTCTCCACCGACTGCTCGTCACATTTAAATGTCACTGTTTGAAGATGCACTGAAAAATACATAAACAAATAACACCTCTGCAGAGGCAGTGGTTTTTAATTAAGTGTTGATTTTATCTCATAACAGTCACTCAGAGCGCGGCAGGGGAATATCCTGTGGGAAGGTGGAGACAAGGCCACTCCTGCGGCCCCAGGGCTGGTTCCAGAGCTGAGAGAGGCATTTTGGGAGATTGAGGCTCTAGGACTCGCTCTGTGCTTGAGAAACAGGGAGCTGCTGCGTGCATTTTTGGGGCCAGACCCTTGCCCCTCCCTTCCTTGTCTCCCTGTGCCTGTGTTCACACCCGGCTGTCATGCTTCTCATCCCTGACTGTTGGCACCTACTGTGTTTAAGTCTTTCTCCTGCTGGGCCTCATCCCTGACTGTTGGCACCTACTGTGTTTAAGTCTTGCCCCCTGCAAGCTGAACAGACAGTGCTCGCGGGGTGAGGGTGACGGTGGGGGGTGGCGGTCTCCAGGTTGTTAGTCAACACTCACGCGGGCCACGAGCATTTCTGATCTCTTCACGTGGATTCTCTTTTAATCTTACTAATGACTAGGGTCACCAATTTGCCCCACCTTGTCTGGGACTCTCCTGGTGTGAGGACTGAAAATCCTGCATCCCAGGAAACCCTATTGTTCTCACGCTGCTGATAAAGACATACCCGAGACTGGGTAATTTATAAAGAAAAGGAGGTTGAATAGATTCACTGTTCCATGTGGCTGGGGAGGCCTCACAATCATGGCGGAAGGCCAAAGGCATGTCTTACATGGCGGCAGACAAGACAGAAGTGACAACCAAGTGAAAGGGGAAACCCCTTATAAAATCATCAGATCTCTTGAGACTTCTTCACTACCAGGAGAACAGTGTGGGGGAAACTGCCCCCGTCATTGAATTATCTCCCACAGGGTCCCTCCCACAACATGTGGGAACTATGGGAGCTACAATTCAAGATGAGATTTGGGTTGGGACACAGGCAAACCATATGCCCCTTAGTTGTGGGCAAACAGGGGTGGTTGATCACCCTGGGGTTAGCTTCATGGAGAGACAGGTAGAAATTCTAAGCAGAGGAAGTGGCAAGAGTGAGGGCACTCAAGACAGGAAATCCACAGGGAGTGTAGGCAGCAGTGTGCAGTCAGGTGGCACGGGGATGCTAGGAAACATGTGACTGAAAAGGAGGGTGGGAGACTGGCCTGCAAGCTGCATGGAGGGGGTTGGCCTGTTCTGTGGCAGGGAAGAGAGGCTCAGGTGAAACCAAGTGTTGAAGGACACCTGAGGGTACAGGCTCTTAGGACAAGGAATACTGCAAGGAGGTCTCTGCTGCCAAAAGCTGTGAATTCAGGAATGCTGGGGGGGTTTCCCAAGAAAGGAACTACTCCAGCAGAGTAAGGCCCATGGCCTCTGGGAGACGGTGCTCTTCGAGGCCATTCCAGGGGGAAAGAGCCAGCTGGGTCTGGCAGCTCATCCCACCACCTGCAGCCTCTAGCCCAGGCAGGGGAGTGAGGGTGCAGCCCCTCCCAGTCTGCTGGAGCCAGGGAGCTGCCATCTTGCTTCTTTCTGTTTGAGGGCATTTCAGGAGAGGCTGGTGGAGGCCAGCGAAGAATGCACGAAGGCCTCACTTCTGGCTGTAACGTCTGCCAGAGGGCGGCAGCAGCAGCGTGGCTGTTGGAATCAGCCAGACCAGGTTTTCCTGCTCCCTCTACCCATGAGTGGTCAGGCAGCCCTGGGCCACTTTACATCATGGAGCTTTGGGTTCTGCATCTGTAACATGGGGATCAAAAGACTACTTACTTGCAGGGTTATCATGAGAAGTAAATGAAAGAATTCAGGAAAAGTATTTCTCTTAGATCCTGTTGGATAATGGTGATCATAGTGGCATTATTATAGTTATTACAAATATTACTACAATCATTACTCATTACTATTATTAGTATTACTATTACTGTTATGAATTTTTACTCACTACTATGATTATTACTATTGTTACTGTGATTATTGCTCATTACTAAGACTATTACTATGATTATTGTTCATTAATATGATTACTGTTACTATGATTATTACTATTGTTACTATGATTATTGCTCATTGCTGTGATTATTATTGCTATTGTTACTATGATTATTGCTCTTTGTTGTGACTATTATTACTATGATTATTGCTCATTACTATGATGATGGTAGTAATCATCATAGTAACACTGTGGGATTAATACTATATTTACATAATATGTATATATTATATATAATACATATACATAATTATATATTATACATATACATAATATAATATGTATATATTATAGTGTATATACATATATACATGTGTTTACCTATATACATATGTGTTTATACGTATATATAATGTATATAATACATAATATGTGTATATACGTAATACTTTAGTAATGAATAATCATAGATCATTTATGATCATTTATCATAGCTGTGGACAGCAGCTACTACATTTATAACCATGATTACTATGATCATTATTACTCATTACTACAATTATTACTATGGCTGTGATGATTGTTATTCATTCCTATGATTTTTACTCTTTACTATAATGATTATGAAGGTGATAGCCTTGAGTGTTATTAGTTGTTACTACCATGATTACTAACATTGTAGCCTGAACACGGGGCATTGCTCTCAGGGTGAGTTGTATGTGACAACCATTCGTTCATTTCATCGTCTTATTCTGTGTTCTCAGTGATCCTTGAGTTATTGCCAACAGATCATGAAAATGAATCACGGGAGGTTAAAACAGTGTCTCCCACACTTTTTCATGACACCTATAGAAAAGGACTCTGTGTTTGTATCACCATTGGGCAACAGGCAAGCCTCTAGTGGTCTGGGGTGACATGGGCCCCACTGAGCCATCCCAGGGCCTCACAGTGTTCACGTCTTGACACATCTGGGATCCATTCATGGCCGTGCTGGAAACATGGGACTGGGAAGGCCCAGGCTGGAGGAGGCAGCCTTCTCTGGCTGTGAGTATGGGAGGTTGGCCAGTGCCCCATGGGCCAGGTACCTAGTTCTGGAGCAGAGTCCCTGGTGCCCGGCTAATCAGGCCTGTCTATTTCCCTCTAGGTGTTAGAGGAGTCCAAATGCCTCGTGCGGAGCTTCCTGAAATCAGTGCTGGAAGACGTGAACGAGAAGGAATGCCTCATGCTCAAGCAGCTCTGGAGCTCCTCCAAAGGCCTTGACTCCCTTTTCAGCTACCTGCAGGACAAAATTTATGAAGTCTGAGGGGCCCCAGCTCACGGGCCCCCAACTTCCAGCTCTGCCCTGTGTTTCGGAAACCAGAGCACAGTGTCTGCCCCGGCCAAGGAGTTTGTCAAGGTGTCTCTTTATACGTAGGGTTGTGTCCATTTCCTCGTGTCCTTTGGTTGCTCCTCCTTGGTTTGATTTTGTGTAATGGATGGAAAACGCAGCATACTTGGCCTCCCCCACCTCCCTGCCCTTCCTGGCCAGAGAGCTGTCCAAGGCTGTATCTTCCCAGGGCTCCGCCAAGCACCGCTGTCCTTTCCCCACTTGCTGAAATGCACCATGACGGTCCAGGAAGGGGAAGACCACTTTCACATTCTTCTGACTCAGGCTGTGTCTACACAGTGCCTCTGACTTGGAGACTTGGCCATCATGGCTCTCTCTGGTTGTATTTAGATCGGGTGTCAGAGGACGACCAATCTTAGGGAATTTCCAGACCAATGAGCAAAATGATTGTGCACACCTGGCCTCAGTCTCCTTTCCGACGCAAATCTGTGTGACTATTAGGGCTTGGTCTTAAAACCCAATTGAGTGATTTGCAAACCCAGATATTGTACATTTAGAAATGTTTTGTTAAATATATATTTTTAAAACAATGTAAGTGGAAATTCTGATAATTTATGTGTATTATATGTAAAGCTAGTTTTGCAAAAACAAACTACTAGGGAAATGTTTTTTCTTTCCTTGGACTTGTTTTATTTATTTATTTTTGTTTATATATTGTGATGTCTGTTGTTCACACAGATACTATTTTCATACTACCCTGGACCAAATCCCACACAAGGTTCATGCCGTTTGGTGCATTCTAGCAATGAACCATGTAGAAATAAAGTTTAGAGAGATGAAAACAGAAGGATTTCTGTGGACAAAAGGAATAGCGCTGCACCTCTGTGTAAAACGGTTCTCAGCTGTAATAATAGAATACTAGTTCCTTAGGTTTGTCCTTAGGAGACATCTTGGGAGAGTTTTTTCTTCCCTCTGCTGTCTTTAAGGAGTTAAAGGGCCCTCTTAGCCTGAATGATCCTGAAACAGACCCAGTCCCAAATTGCGTGATGTTGGGCAGGAGTGGGGATAGGCCCTACCTGAGAATAGCATACTGTCTAGAATAAGACTTCTTTCTTTGGGGCAAATGACTGAACTTGGATCCTGCAGTCTGTTGCTTCCATGTGATCAGTGATTTCTGGTATTGGCCAGGGGGATGGGGAAGAGTTCCCACTCTGCTGAGCTGTCTGGAGGTCTGAATCTTTTCCCTCCAGAAGCTGAAATGACTCATCTGTTTTCTAGTTTTTTTATGTACATAGGGAGCAATGACCAGGAATGAGATCTCCTTGCCCCTGTGCCCCTGGGCTGCAAGGGGACTCCAGCAGCTGTGTTAGACCATCAGATTCAAGTCCCTGGATTAACTACAGAGAAGGAGGGATTGGGGGTTGTGGTTTTGAGTGGTGAGGAGAAAGTTCAGGAAAACCTGAAGTTGAGAGCAGACAAATGGAAGGGATGTGTTCTGCGTGAGGTTTAAACCATGGGTCAAGCACCCAGAAAAAGCTAGATTCTCAGATTCTCAGGATGGAGGGATTTTTTTCCGTTTCTATCACAGCCCCTGCGTATTCCTGGAGGCCCTTGGCCCTCCCCTTCTTCCCCTTTCCTGTTGGGCACCAGCCTTTCTTGGCCCTTCTTTGAAGAGAGTGGAATAAGGCAGCAAGAAGTGGGCACAGCTTATGGAGGTGAGGCAGGCTTAGAAGAGAGAGTTCTGGTGACAGTTCTCTAACTCTCTGTGGTCCTTTATCTTTTCCTGGCAATCAGGTGCACTGGGCAGGGCAGGTGGAATGTATTCGTGGCCCTGAGCTTTGAGTTTCAAAGAACACGTTGATAGTCTACACCAGATCTAGAGACATGGTCCTTTAAGCAGTGACCCTCAAGTTAATCTGGACTGCTGGTCCTTCTGATGACCTTGGTTCCCTCCCTGGAAAGCGTGTCTCCTTTAAGAGTTCATGAGGGTCAGGAAGGAGGGGAAACCTCTCCTTCAGCCAGAGGAGGATGGAATTAAAGTCCTGTGCACCCTCCCCTTTGTCCATGTAGGATCCTGTAAGGACTTCGGACCTGTCCTACAGGGAGTTACTATAGGGAGACACCTGCTTTTGCCCAAATGCCTGTTGTCACAGCTCTATCTGGATCTTATCTCCTCCTTTGAGAAAGCAAATGTGAGCTTTCCAAAACCCTTAGATGACCCTGGTTCTTACATATTGTGGCAGACAGTGTCTTCACTACTGCTAAATTTTCATTAGAAAGAGCCCCCTCTTTTCTGTTGAACTTCTGATTGGGCGCAGTTATATTCAGCATCGGTTGAAGTGGGGTCAGGATTCTCCTTGGACATGGAAGGGGATGTTTAGAAATTCCTTTAGATCAGTGTCCACCTTCATTCCCTGCTTGAAAGAACTAGAAATGCTTCAGCTTTGGATGTACTATCAAATCCAAACTTCTAAACATTTCAAGGATCTCTGAAGATTAAGGTAGGAATGTGAAACCATTTCTAAGGTGGAAATCTTGCTGTTAAGTCACAGGTCCTGGGTGTAACGGGGGTGGTGAAAGTCTGTATTTTGGTTGTTTCCATACAGTCAGTTCCACCAATTGGGTGAAAGCAGGTGAAATCTTTTTGCTGCAGGGTGGACTGAATTTTTCACTTTCTGGGTAGTTGTTTTGATCATGTGTAGGCGAATTCCAGGTAACTTACAGCAAATAGATTTGGGATGGAAAATACCAGACCTCTGGTTGTGTCAGGGTTTATCCTAATAGCTTTCCTGAGACAGAGCTCAGACTTTCATTTTTGATCTTCCACCCCAGGGCCCCCTCTCTGTCTATGGGATCCTTTCTCCCCTCTCTCTACCATTTTCCCGTACCTTCCCCCATAAGTCACTCCCAAGAGCCTGGGCAGGTCTTTGAGGAATTGCGGCTCATTTTGGCAGCCCCGTCCTGCAATTACCTTTGGGTTTGAAAGAATAGCTGTGGGTGGGCAATTGAGGACACCTCTTTAGTCAGGGACCTTTCTAGCAATCCACTCCCTCCCATCCTGTTAGCCATGCAGTGGAACTCTCCTTCCCTCTCTGCCCCAACCCCGGTGATGGCTCACTCTCAGCATCTTATGGGACCATCTGAGTTAACAACCCTGTTCCAAGAAGACTTTGTGCAGAACTTTTGTTAGGGTGGTCATACCTTCTCACCACCATTTGGAAGACACAGCCTAATGCTGATGTACTTAATGTGCCCCTTCCGGCATAGAAATAATGTCTGGGTAACAGCCATCAAAATCACTAAGAATGACATTGGATAGCTATGAGAAAGTAGTAGAGAATTGATTTAAAATATCATTCTTGTTTGGTATAGATTAAACTAGGAAATGTTCTCTCTGAAGCATGAAAATGTTTTTCCCATGTGAAGTTTAGTACAAGGATGGAAAAATAATAATCACAGTAGACTTTGAACAATGCAACTGTATCTCTGAATATCCACATTTAAAAATAGCCTTCACTGAATGCTGAATTGCATTTCCCATTAATTTTTGGTTTTAAAAATTTTGTAAACTTTTTTTTTATTTGGAATTTAGTCACATCCATTAAATTTTCCAATCTAGTTTCTGTGGAAATTTTTTAACAGAGAGAAACAAATAGAAACATCTTCAAATCTTCCTAAGTGAATATTTAAAATGCAGAATTGCTTATCTTCTGTTTTTCTGTATTCAGACACTTATATCTGTTGTATATATTAGTTTAGACACTCTCACTAATATACACAGTATTTAAGACTCTAAATGAGATTTCTTAAGTATTTTATTTTATTCTCTGTAAATGGTTTTGTATAATCTTTAAACATCTACACTTTGCCTTTGTAGATATTTAAGGGAAACCATTTGGGGTTGTCTTGCATGTATATTTTTGTTGTAGATAAGTGTTGCTTAGTTATTTCTGCAAATTTTGGTTGAAATGCTTACAGACTTTAATACAGTATATATTTTCAAAATATAAACTTTTATATTTCTGTGATAAGTTAGGATATGCGTTTTAGGCAATATTTTTCATTAATATCACTTGTTCTTTTGAAAAATAGCATACTGGTTTGGTGCCAATTTTTTCATTAGAATATAATGCTCTTATATTGTTGGAGAGCAGGTTAATCTTTTTTCGAAGTAATTGCGTTTGAAGTATAATTTCAAAATGTATTGAATTTGTGAATAAGCCTTACCATTAGGATCAGTAAATTTTTCAACTTTGCAACTACATAAGTAGTTTAAGATCTCCCCGTAAATTCTCACTGTGTGGCAGTTGATGGAGTTTGTGAACAGAGCCTTAAGCTTGTTGCAAAAAAATTTAAAAAGGGTAATACGGGTTGTTTCCTCCATGCAACGTAAGCCATGCTGATGGACTGAATGCAGTCTGTAATTCATGGCTAATCCGAAGAGTTTGATTGAGTTGATGGCGGCAGGGACCAGATAGACACCTTGGTGATTGTCTTTGGCCATAAGAATAGACCAAGGATAGGTTTTCCAGAGACACCTTCATACTGTAAACATGGTTTAGACACGGTCATAGGGAAGGCTGCTGGTCCATCATTTGTTCTGAACAAATGGCATTTCCTGCTCCTGACCCTGGCAGTTGGCCCCAGATTCCTTGTCGATGACTTGGAAACGTCCATTCTGGGTAAGGTCAGCACTCCCTGAGAGATGTTAACAAAGTTTACCTATGAGTCTTACTGTGTAGACAATCTGAAGTCAATTTTAGTTACACAATCAGCATTCCCATGTGTCCTCAGTGTCTTATCAATGAACTATGTGTATCAAGCCATACTAAACTGGAGTTTAGCAGGACAAAGGCAAACTAAATGTAGAACATAACATATCAGCTGAATATGTCTATCCAGGACTGTTTTTCTAGAACATAAATCATGGAGCTCCTTGACAGTGTATCCACTGTTTTTGGGGTTTAATAAAACCAACTAGAATTTAGACTTAAAAAGAAATTATTATTCCTTTTGGTTGTCCACATAAAGTAGTCCAGGGCTATCATATGGCTAAAATCAAGTTATTTGGTTCATCTCTGGTATGTATTTATAAAGTCAACTTATCAGCCATTAAGATGGAGATTTGCTTTAAATTTTTGCAGTGTGTGTGGCAGTCAGAAAAACCCATATCTAGTTTTCAACTTCACCTCTGGTGTTTTTATGGCTTAACCTTATATCATTGATCCAACATCTAGCCTGATGCTGGAGCTCTTATTTCTAGCCTGATGCTGGAGCTCTTATATCTAGCCTGATGCTGGAGCTCTTGAAGCTGACTCTTGGAAGTTTGGAGGGTGTAGAGTTTCCCATCTAGTATTTAATTTGTCCCTGTGCCATTAGTCCCAGCTTGAAGTCATTTGCCAGTGTCGATGTTGACAGGATTGTGACAATATTGCCTTTCATAAAACCGAGAACCAAAGAATTCCATTATTCTAACAAAGCCTGAGTTTCATAGATTGTGGGCACATCTAGACAGATATGTGCATGCTTGATGGTGCAGAGAAACTGCTGACTTCCACCAACCTCATGCTCCCCCTGGCTGGCCATACAGAGGGATTCGTTGTCATATTGAAAAGGCTCTGAAAGATGAGTTTCTAATTGAAGCTCACTATCTCAGGTTGGTGTTTCTACTGTGTAGTCCCAAGCCTGTATCCATATCATAAAAGTGGAGGCCTGGTACTCCTCCAGGTTATCTGGCCAGTGTAGACTCCTCCATCTGAATATGAACCTCCAGGGTAAGAATTTTTCAGACATGTCTATACTGAACAGTAGGATCCTGCACTTTCCAAATGTCTGCCTCCTTTTGTTCTTCATTGACCCATTCTAATTCCTGTTAGGTGTGAGAAGAATTGTCTTCAGTTCTCTCTCCATTCTCATTCATGATGGAATCATTGATCCATTGACCAGTTGAGAAATGATTGATGCTGAAGAAGTGGTATTCTATTGGTAAGGCTTATTACCAAACTTCCGATAATGAAGCAGGCTACCAAAAACTTATCCAGCCCACCCTAGGAGTGTTTGGATTTGATCATGGATGTAGCATACACCAAAATCCACCGAGACCTTTGCAAAATTAGGCTACTTGTTTTATTTTGCCAGATTATCATGGGAGAGTCTTTAACTAGTTCTGAATATTTGTAAGTCTGAGTACTTCATAGAATTATAAAGAAGGTACAGCTGACCCCTTCTCACCATGTTGTAAATATTTACTGAGACTGGGTGCAGTACTGAGGGATAATAATCTTCTGATTTATCAAATCCTGACTGTCTAGAGCAAATTGTACACTCTCTTTGTGAATGGTCCTGTAACGTGTATGAACACATTTCTGGGTGCCTTAGAAGTTGTATTTTTCATGTGTGCTAATATGCAGTATTTATACATTGTGAGAAGCTGCTTTGAATAAAAAGGTTGAAACTTCGTCTGCATTTGCTTGTGTTCCCCGTTTTGCAGGCTGCACATAAAGTTCATGAGTAGATTCTGTGGTTTCTGAGCAGAGAAGTTTTTGGGGGCCTTCTAGCGGTTGAGACATCTGATATTTCTAGGTTGTGCCTGTGTTTCTAGGGAGCAGAGGCATCTGAATTTGGTGCCTCTGCTCCCTAGAAACTACCCAGATTTGGCCAGGAGGCTTCAGTTATTCAGGAAGACAGTCACTAGGTGGGAGCAACAGCTTGATGCCAGAGGATCCCAGAACTGGGGGGCACAGGAGTGATTTTTTGGGGGGTTGATATCAGCATTTATCCCTTCCCTGATATTTCCAGAATGTTTCCTTGTACCAGGGGCTCCCTCCTCAACTAAAGATGAACCTCTCTGGAGCTCGAGCTTGGACAATCCCAGCTGCCACACCTTTGTCACTATGGACTTACACAAAGTTCTTTCACATACATGCTCTCATTGCTTTGATCATCACAATATGGCTCTTAGGAGTGGCACCCTGGTGAGGACCCTTGGTTTCTAGGGCCTGGCCTCAGAAACATTGTGAGGGCTGCCGAAAAGAATGATAGGAAGTCTTTCAGGGATTTGTGGTAATAGGGGATTCTTGGAAAAGGATTTACACAAGTTCATCTACCCTTCCTCCCATCCATCCTATCAGTCTGTCAGTCCAGCATCCAACCATTCATTGATCCATCCATCCACCCATCCATTAATCCATCTGTCCTGTTTGTCCATCATCCAACCATCCATGCATCTGCCATTCTTCCATCCATCCTATCCATCTATCTGTCCATCATCCATCCATCTATCCACCATCCTTCTGTTCATCTCTCCACCCATTCTTCTATTCATCCTGTTTATTCACCTGCCTTTCCATCCAACCATCTGCCCATCTGCCATCCTTCCATCCACCCATCCTATCCATGTCTATCATCCAACCATCCATCCGTCATTCTTCTGTTCATTCGTTTGTCCACCCATTCATTCATCCATCCATCCATTCATCCATCCATCCTATCTATTCATCTGGCTGTCTGTTATCCAACCATCCATCCTATCTGTTCATCTGTCTATCATCCAACCATCTGTCTGCCATCCTTTTATTCATTTTACAACCCATATCCATCCGTCCATCTACCCATCCATCCATCCACCCATCCATTCATCCATCTATCCTGTCCATTTGTCCATCATCCAACCGTTCATGTGTCTGCCATTCTTCCATCTATCCATCCATCCATTTCTATCTATCCATCTATCCGTTATTCATCCATCATCCTTCTGTTCCTCCATCTGTCCACCCATTCTTCCATCCATCCTGTCGATTCACCTATCATCCAACCATCTGTCCATCGGCCATCCTTCCATCCATCCATCCTATCCATCCATCTGTCAATCATCCAACCATCCATTCATCTGTAATTCTTTTATTCATCTATTTATCCACCCATTTATCCATCCTATCTGTTCATCTGTCTGTCCATAATCCAAATATTCACCTGTCATTCTGTCATTCTTCCATCTATCCTATCTATTTGTCCATCTGCCCATCGTCCATCCATCATCCTTTTATCCATCCATCCATCCATCCATATATCATCCTTCCATTCATCCATACATTATCCTTCCATCCGTCATCCATCCATCCATCTATCTGTTTGTTCATCCATTCTTCCATCCATTCAGTAATGGCTAATGGGCCCCCTGCTCTGTCTCAGGAGCTGCACAGGTGCTGGGGAATCATGAGATTACTCAGACAGCCCCAGTCATACAGGAGCTTGGAGTCTAGTAATGTGAGAAGGGTGGGTAATCTGCCATGATTCTTGACATGTCTACAGTACAGTGCTGGAGAGAACATCTTACACAATTATGAACACTTAGAGTCTAGAAGACGGTGCCACGTTAATTTTTCATATTCTCCATACTTTTCGGTCTGTGGGGAAGCCATAATTGGATGGAGCTCAGGATTTTACCTCTGCTGGCCTCCCTTTCCTTTTTGCTTTCTGTTGTTCTTGGTGTTATCATTGTTGTTTTGTGTGACTGTTTTCCCCTTCTCTAAAGACCTGATTCCATCTTAAGTAGTGAAGGTCAAAGCTGTGGGGTCCTTTGCTCCTAGATTCTTATGGCCCCTCCAATAGATTGGATGAGGTCTTTTTGATGTTTCAGAGTATAATATCTATAAGACAAACCCTCCTTATTTCAATTATCTCTCACTTGCTAGCTTTGATGTGACATTATGCTGAAAGAACCCCTCCCCCAATAGGGGAGATAAAAGTTAAGAACAAAGAGAGTGAAGTGGGCTGAGACCCCACATCCATCAGATATATCAGTAATTAAATGATCAAGCAGTATATTGAATAAGCAGTAATGGAGTGCAATCACAAAAGCAACTTGATTTGCCTCTCACTGTCCCTTTAAGTCTGTTTAATGGGAGTAGTCCTTCCCTAACCCTGAATGAAATCTTGATGGGTTTCAGGACCTTTCTCTCATTCATACGTAAGAGTTACTAGTCACAAACACAGTCTCAATTCAATAATCAAAAATGACTATTTTCCACATAAGAATCATTGCTCCCAACTTCATTTAAAGTGTCTAATCCTTGCTGCCTTTTCTGCACTGGGAAAAGCAGGAAAGATCTTCTGTGACTGGTGCTGTTGACAGGTGGGGCTTTTCACTCTCTGAGCCTCATAGGTGTTTATACCTGACTCTCTCACATAGTGAAATTGTATGAGGTTTTAGTGACCTCCCTCAGTTGATGGTGGGCAGTCCTCTATAATTGCCAGATGAACCCTATGTCATCAGCTATTCCTTCAGCTCCTAGGAGTCTGGTTGTCCACTGTCAGCTTTTCCAGTTCATCTCTGTTGACCCCTTTAGGGCAAGACAGTCCCCAGGCCAGTTCTTTGCCATGCCACACCACATGTGGTTCATGGGAAACACTCATGCATCCTCTGTCCAAACTGATGCAAGGGATTTCTCAGGCATGAGTCAGACACCAATCTACTATGTCCTCCAAGTTTTGGGAGGTATATGTAAGGCCCCATTCTTCAACCTGAGATGAAGGGGGAGACCTCTTTCCTTGCTTTATGGGTGTGTGTGTGTAATAGTGGGTAGCATAGTTCTCTGTAATGGAGTCCTCTTAACAAACCCTTCTTAATAAATGTGAGATACACAAATTACATCTAAAAATTATGCAGGCATTAGAAAGTGGTGATTTCAATGTGGTGGCATTCTCCATATGAGAGACACGCTGTAGGGCTTTGTAGGCTGTGACAATGACTTGAGCTTTCTCTCCAACTGAGATGGCAGACCCTGGAGGGTGCAGAGAGGAGTGCCTGGGCTGACTTGTGCTTTAACAAATTTCCTCCATGTAAATAGACAAAAGCCAGTGATGGCAGGAGCAAGGTCAATAACATGAGACTCTTGGGATTGTCCATCTGCACCTCGACAGAGGCTTGAATTTAATCAGAGGTGGGGTGGTTGAGGTGGTGAAAAGGAGCAAAACCCTGAGTCTTTTGAAGGCAAAGATTTGCAGGTGGATGGGCTGTGGAGTCAGACAGAGAGAGGGGTCAAGGGTGAGCCTGGGACTTTGAGTCCGAGCAGCTGCAAAACTAGAATTGCTCATAACTGAGGCAGTAGTGGCTCTAGGATTTGTGGGAGCAGGTCTAAGTGTGATTTCCAGGAGCCCAGCTGAGACCTGGTGATATGATTTGACTCTGTGTCCCCACCCAAATCCATGTCGAATTGTAATTCCCAATGTTGGGGGAGGGACCTGGTAGGAAGTGATTGGAGTGTGGGGGCGGTTTTTCCTATGCTGTTCTCGTGATAGTGAGTTCTCATGAGATCTGATGGTTTAAAAGTGTGTGTCACAACCCCAGTTGCTCTCTCTCTCTCCTGCCGCCATGTGAAGAAGGTGCTTGCTTCCCTTTCACCTTCCACCATGATAGTAAATTTCCTGAGGCTTCTCAGCCATGCTTCCTGTTAAGCCTGCTGAACTGTGGCTCAATTAAACCTCTTTTCTTCATGAATTACCCAGTGTCAGGTAGTTCTTTATGGCAGTGTGAGGGCGGACTAATATACCTGATTATCACAAGTGCCAGGTGTCTGGTTTTGCTCAGCCTTTGAGGATAACAGCTGTGCCTGCCTCTAGGGACTTTTTGAAGGGTTAACAGAGTTACACACACCTGTGTATATGTCTGTGTGTCTGTATATTTGTGAAATTATATATATATATATATATATATATATATATATATATAAAGTTTAAGTATATAAATGACACTGAAATCTAAAATTATAATGTATAATATAGAAAACAGTTATTGGCCTATAGTCATTTTTAATGATTAAATTTGCATATGAGATTTATATATAAATGAGTATATATAGTATTTAGAACAGTTGCTAACATATAGTCACTGTTTAATGATTAAATGAGATTTTCACGTGTATATATATATATTTGCAAGATCTTTTATATGAGTCATGTAAATTAGATGACATGTCATTATTATACACAATTATTAGTAGAGTTGTTGGCATAAAGTCACTATTTAAAGACTGTGATTTTTGTATATGTGTGTGTTAGGTATATTAGATTTATACAAATATATGAAATATACATTTAAATAAGATTATATACATATATACATGAGATTTTTATCTATATATAGAATGCTTAGAAGAGTTTTGGGCACATTGTCACTCTTTAGTGATTAAATGGACTTTACACCTGTGCATGAGATTATATGTGTATTAGATTTATTTTATAATATGAGATTATATAGATAGATACATACATGCATACATATACAAATACACACGTGTGTATATCTTTAGGACAATTGCTGGCATGGTATTACCACTTAACCAATAGTGACCACATTAATACTTATGCTGGTGAATGCCATGGGCAGGGCTTAGGGCACTCCAGTCAGTGAACTCAGCACAGGCGTCTTGCTCTGAACACATGCAGGCCTGGGCACAGCCGAAGTGGGGCCCAGGAGAAAGCTGGTCGTGATGTGCTAAAGCCCCTTTGCTTTCCCAGAGAAGGATCTGCAAGCAGGGTCTTTGCTGGTAACCAAGCGGAGCATTGTCCCCCTAGAGAAACTCCCTGATTGAGGGGCCATGGCACGCCCCTGCTCTTCTGTGGCCTTCTGTGTCCTCATCTGTATTTGGGGCTCCCACTACGTCTCTCAGGATTGGTGACAAGATTAAATGAGAGTATATGAGACTTGGCGTACTTTCCCCCAGGGATTCCATAAAGCAGTCCCATTGGAAGCTCTTGCATTTGGAGATTTCCAGTGATGTTTCTACTTCATCATTCACATCCCTTCCTGGAAACATGGATGTGGTGGCACTGGACCAGGAGTGTGCCTACGCTGGGCATGAAGCCAAGTCCAGAAGTTGGCATCCAAGATCAGAAGACATGACCAGTGCATTGATCTGGAATGCCTGGCCAAGAGCCTGAACTCAGAACCCAGCAGCAGAATGGACAGTAGTCTCAAGAGCCAACATGGGGAGGTTCAAGATGAGGGCAGGAGGGGTATCCTGGGCACTTGTATAGGGCAGCCACTGTCTTGCCCAAGGAAGAGAAGGAGGCTGTGTTTGGTACCAGGTGAGTGGGAAACGCCAGTGTGTGCATGACCCATGATAATTCCTCCACCAAGATTGTCAATTGGTAATAAATCTGGGGAGATTTTGCTGAGAAAAGTGGCCAGAGAGAGCAAAGGCAAGAATGTTAGAGATTCTTAGGTTTTAGTAGAAAGAGCATAGTTTGAAGCCAGATGACCTTGCGTTTAAATCTCTGATTTGACTTTGATGAATGACACAGTCTTGATTATGGTCACTGTAAGTAATCTGTTCGACGGGCACGATAACACCTACTACAAGTTTTTGTAAAACTTATGTGAGCCAAGTGTAGAAAATGCCCAGAAGAGGGGCTGGCTCGTACTAGGTGGCCCATAAGTGTTCATTCCCTGACATTCACCTTCTCCCTTTCCCCTTAAAAGCAATGGAAGCCTGGCTGAAGACTGGGGCAGGAGGGTTGGGAGTGAATTTGGAGGCAGAGAGAGTCTCTGAGACTCTGTCATTGGGGACTGACATCCAAGCTGGTGTAATTCAAGAAGTGCCAGGAGACCCCACCCACTCAGGAAATCCCCACCAGCCAGATGGTGACTTGTGGGGTGTAACTTAATAACCTCCTGGATTAAGGGCCTTAACAATGATTGGTGGCTGTAGGATGGTTGGGGGGTCCGCAGATTTAGCCACTGTGTGCAGAGAAGCACACACAGATAGAGCTCTCAGGGCAAGCTCGGCGGGCCAGGTCGAGAAGGCTGATCCTTGGAGTTTTCCTGCTGTTGTGGAGTGTGGAGCCCTGGGCTTTGCCAGGACAGATGGCAGGTGCGTGCAGTCTCAAGGTGACAGAGGACCTAATGGGTTCCATCCTCATGGCACATACTGTGTCCCAGTGTGCCACCTGTGCAGCCACCCTTATTTACACTTTCACTTGCAAAAAGAGACATATGAGCTGCTCTCACTACAATTTGGATGGTAACAAGCAGTTATTGGCAAAGAGGAGAATATTCAGATGTTGTGGGCCAATCTTTGGTGGAATAGATCTGTGGTTGATAATGTTTTTTCTTAGCTTGCGGTTGTGTCTTGAAGATTATATCTACTCTTGGCCACATTTCCTGTTTGATTGTGGAGTCTTTGGGTCTCTCTTCTCGTCTGCCCTGTGTCTTGTGTCATTCATCAAGTTGTCCTCATGGTAACAGCCCTGGTGGAGCTGGGAGAGCTTGGCATTTGGAATCAAATAGACCTGGGTTTGAATTCTGCCTCCCCTACTCTGTGGCGTATTGTGATGCCATAGCCTCTTGGCTTCAGATTTCTTGTCTAGGTTTCTGTTGCTGTTGTTTTCAGAATTGTATATGATCCTAAATGTGTTTAATAGCATGCAGACATACTATTAAATAACGTGCAGTTATTTCAGGTTAGTTCCTTATTTATAAGGTATTTTTATGCCCAATCTCTTTTTATTATTATTATTATTATTATTATTATTATTATTATTATATTTTTGAGACAGAGTCTTGCTCTGTCACCCAGGCTGGAGTGCGGTGGTGTGATCTCGGCTCACTACAAGCTGCGCCTCTCGAGTTCACGCCATTCTCCTGCCTCAGCCTCCCGAGCAGCTGGGACTACAGGTGCCCGCCATCATGCCTGGCTAATTTTTTGTATTTTTAGTAGAGACGGGATTTCACCGTGTTAGCCAGGATGCTCTCGATCTCCTGACCTCATGATCCTCCCGCCTCAGCCTCCCAAACTGCTAGGATTACAGGAGTGAGCCACTGAGCCCAGCTTTATTATTATTATTATCATTTTATTATACTTTGAGTTCTGGGATACATGTGCAGAACGTGCAGGTTTGTTACTTAGGTACACACGTGCCATGGTGGTTTGCTGCACTCATCAACCCGTCATCTACATTAGGTATTTCTCCTAATGTTATCCCTCCCCTAGCCCGCCACCCCCTGACAGGCCCTGGTGTGTGATATTCGCCTCCCTGTGTCCATGTGTTCTCATTGTTCAACTCCCACTTATGGGTGAGAACATGCGGTGTTTGGTTTTCTGTTCCTGTGTTAGTTTGCTGAGAATGATGGTTTCCAGCTTCATCCATGTCTCTGCAAAGGATGTGAACTCATCCTCTTTTATGGCTGCGTAGTATTCCATGGTGTATACGTGCCCCGTTTTCTTTTTCTGAGACAGGGTCTTGCTCTGTTGCCCAGGTTGGAGTGCAGTGGTGTAATCTCAGCTCACTGCAACCTCTGCTTCCAAGGCTCAAGCAATCCTGCCACTTCTGCCTCCTGAGTAGCTGTGACTACAGGTGTGTGCCACCATGCTTGGCTAATTTTTTAAATTATTTGTAGAGATGAGGTCTCACTGTTTTGCCCAGTCTCTCAGTCTCTTTTAGTACCTCCATTTGATAGGAGAGAAAACTGGGGCTCAAAGAGATGAAGTGACTCGCCCAAGGATACAGTGGTAAACAGCGGAGCAGCAACTCTATTATTTATATTTCCGTTTGTTTTAAAACTTTTAATTCTGAAATAATTTCAGATTTACAAAAAAGTTGCAAAAATAGTAGCAAAAATAATTCCACATACCCTTCACCCAAATCCCCTAAATGCCAACTTCTTGTGTGTGACATAATGGTAAGAATTAGAAAGTTAACATTCATAACAATATTACAATTTAATTATTCAAATGTTTCCAATTGTCCCCTGAATATCCTTTTTCTGGTCCAGAATCCAATCTAGGATTATGCATCACATTTAGTTGTCACATCTTTTTAGTTGCCTTTAACGTGGAACAGTTCCTTCACCTTTCTGAGATGTCCTTGACCTTGACATTTTAAGGAGACTTTAACAGGCCAGTGATATTTTGTAGAATGTCCCTCAAATTGCGTTTGTCTGAACTTTCCCCATTGTAAAATTCAGGCTATGCACTTTTGGCAAGGACATCATGAACGAGATAGAACTGTTGTGTCTTTCTCAGCGCATCATATCTGGAGGCACTTGGTGTCCATTTGTTCTTTTACTGGTGATGTTAACTTTAGCTTATGGCTTTAGATTCCCTACTTTTTCAACTGCACTGTGTTACCCAGACATTGATCTCTGTGTACTGGACTCAAGCTGTTGGACTTGATAGTGTCGTTAAAGCAATTGAAAATAATATTAAATGATATTGCAACTCAGGATGCTGCTTTTACCTGTGAGTTTAATTGATGGCAAAACCCAACTCTGATGGTCTGAGTCAAGCCAGAGAAGGGAAGAGAGCTCAGCACACTGACATTCTCCCAGGAGAATGTCGCCCCAGTCTTCTTCTCCTTCCTCTTGCCCCTATCACAGCCTGGGGAAGGTGCTGGTGAGCTCACAGTACATGTGATGGCAGCTCAAGCTATTTACTGGGGGCCATTTTACTTGAATACCCATTCAACCTTGGTGTTGAAGGGAAGGGGATTTAGGTGGCAGATGCTTGGGTTAGTGACAAGGTGGACCCTGAGGGAATCTGAGTCCTCTAGGGTTGGTTTTCTTTGGGGGGCACTAGTGATTCTCTTGTGAGAGAGCATGGCATCCTCTTCACCAGCTGGGAGATCAGGGATGGCAATGGTGGTCAGAGTGGATGAGTTCAGCAGAGTTTCACTGGGGCTTGGGACAGGGATTAGCTTCTTCCTTGGGCCTGTGGGTCAAGAACTTAGACATGAGGGGTTTCTTGTCCCTTTGTGATGCCTCTGTTGTAATTTATCAGTGACTGTTGTCTTTCTCTCTGCCTGGATTCTGGGGCTGGGCATCAATTGTCAGAATTATTTGTCATAATTAACTGTCAGATTTTTTTTTTCAGGTCTGAAGATGTGTTAGCTGGCTCAGAAAGCAATTAATCCTATGTTTGCTTGTTTTCTAATTAATGTATGTTACTTTTTAGCGCAGTTTAAAGTTTACAGAAAGATTGGGCAGATTGCACAGAGTTCTCATATACCCTCTTCCCCAAACCCCATACGCTTTTCTCTATTATTGCCATCTTGCATTAGTGTGGTATATTTGCAACAACTGATGAAACAATATTGATTCATTAATGTTACTAATGAAAGGCCATAGTTTACATGACGGTTCACTCTGTGTTGTACAGTCTGTGGTTTTGACAAATATGTAATGTCATGTATCCATCATTATAGTATCATACAGAATAGTTTCACTGCCCTAAAAAGGTCTCTGACGCTCTAGCCATTCATCCTTACCTCTCTCCTCTGAAACCCCTGGCAACTTTTCTTTTCTTTTTTTTTTTTTACTATTTCTATAGTTTTGCCTTTTCCACAATTTCATGTAGTTGAAATCAAGCAGTATGTAAGTATGTAGCTTTTTCAGATTGGCCTATTTTGCTGAGCAATATGCATTTAACTTTTTCCATGTCTTCTTTGTGACTTTATTAAAAATTTCTTTTTATTGTTGAATAATATTCTATTGTATGGGAGGCCAGTTGTGGTGGTGCATGCCTGCAGTCCCAGCCATTCAGCAGGCTGAGGCAGGAGGATTGCTTGAGTCCAGGAGTTCAAGTATGCAGGGAGTTATGATCGCACCACTACACTCCACCCTGGGTGACAGAGTGAGGCCCTGTTGTAGAAAATAAAAAAACAAAGAAACTCTATTGTATTGATGTCCCATAATTTTTTATCCATTCACTTACTGGAGGATGTGTTGGTTGCTTCCAAGTTTCGGTAATCATGAACAAAGCTGCACATAAACATCATGTGCAACTTTTTGCATGAACGTAAGTTTTCAAATCATTTGCGTAAATACCTGGGAGTACAAATACTGGGTAGTATGGCAGGACTATGTTTAGCTTTAGCTTCGTAAGACTGTTAAATTATCTTCCAAAGTAGCTGCGCCATTTTACATTCCCACCAGCAATGAATGAGAATTCTTGTTGCTCCACAACCACATCAGCGTTTGGTCTTGTCAGTTTTTTGGATTATCATCATGGAGGCCGTTTTTAAATTTTTATTACTACAGGGGAAGCTCTCTCTTCCCCTTCCCATGTTCCTACTTCTGCTCTTAGTGTAGGAACCCCCACCAATGACTCAGAAGTGCTGGCAAGACAGCTTGCACTTCTCTCTAGTCCTTCTTCAAGTTTCTCCATGGGAGACGGTGGTGCCCCTCTGATCAGTGAGAGCCTGACATGCACTAGGCCTTGTTGACTGGGTCCCAGAGACAAAATACACATCTCTTCCCTTGGCTGGTGTGCACCCCTGGAGGGAGGGCTTCCATTCTTTATCTTTTCTGCCTGAATAAGAGGAATAAGAAGAGAAGGTGTACTTGGGAATGAAAGGTAGACAAGAGGTCCCATTTTATTTTCTAGTCATGCTGTACAAGGGAGCTCAACTTGGAAGGTTGTGTGCCCATTAATCAATCCTGAGATCCCAATTTTTACCCTTTATGTTTCTTAGCTGTGGAGTGAGAGAGGTTAGTTTCCCCCCTTCTTCAACAACACCCACATCATCACCACCAATAGCAGCAAAAAAAATTGTTCCTAATACAGTTATAGTATTATTAACACAATGCAAGCAACCAGCACCATTGTTGCCTATATGTAACATATCAGGTCCCATAGTCAGCATACCATCTGTAGTAGATCATGATTCCTCACAATGAACCCAAGAGTTATGTATCATGGCCCCCAAGGAACTTGGCTCTTGGCTCCAAGAGATCACACAGCCAGATAATGGCAGAATCATTCTTGGAAACCATCTCTATCTGAATCACAAGACCATAGTAGTTCTGATAGCACCTAGCTCAAGGTGGGGATGGGGTGGCCCCTGTACCTTGGAAGAAGTGAGGGAGAATTTGTCTCCCTCTTCAGCCCACTGTCCACTTTTACTCAGGACTCAGAATAGTTTTCCCTGTCAGCTTCTGAATTCGATTGTTATCAGGAGAGAGAGATAATCAATTGAGTACCTTCCATACCCTGGGTGCCACACACTGACTTTTGTATCTGTTGTTTTGTTTAGTTTTTACAATCAAGCAGTTGGTTGGAGAATATTATGATCCTCCTTTTACAGACAAGGAAACTGAATTTCAAAGAGGTTAAGTAACTTTTCCAAATCCATTCCTAGTCTCAGCTAATAAATGGCAACTGCTGGGAGTGGAGTATGGAGTCGTCTCATTTGAAAAACTGTGATCTTCACACTTGGTTTTCTCATACACTTTGGTCACAGGATCCTTTCATGCTCTTAAAAGTGATTGAGCTGTAACCACTAATGAGTTATCAGATTTATGATCACCATTCTTGTCAACTTCCCCAGTCAGACATCTTGTGCCTTCTCATGCTAGGACACACCACCACCGAGAAAGCACCCTTGCAAGTATTATCCCACCTGGGTATAATCGTGCCTGTAAATGAAACTTGTAATGTCCAGGAAATACAGAGGGCAGAGAAATACGTTAAACAAAACTCCATCAACGCAATTAGTCAAACCTAGAATGTAGAAAACCACACAAACTATTTCAGCTTTAGGTTTTATAACCAAATGAATTTCAAAGAAAAAAAATATCAGTGGGATGGGATTACCTAGGAGGCATATCTACCAATTGCCATATAAGGACTACTTCGGATCCCAATTTAAATGAAAAACTGTGTATGTGTGTGTGTGCCAATCTGAAATATTGGAACAATGAATATTTCATAATATTAAGGAATTATTGTTAATTTTTAGGTGGTTAATCCTACTGTGGTTATACTTTTAAAAATATTCTTATATTTAAAAAATAAATATAATTAAGGATTCATGAAAAAAATGATTAAAGAGCCCAAAGAGCTTTTATGTATATGAGTGGTATCTACTGATATTTAAGATATTAGAAATGTAATGAAGAAATTTTAAAAAGTTTTAACTCACATAAATATAACAATAATAGACCCGTTACATATTGACATGAATAACATTTTTATGAAAAACAACTGCATTTTCCAAAATAAAAAAGTAGTGAGAAGAGTGGCATTCTTTTGTATTTTTAAAAATCTTTTAAATGTCTGATGTAATAGATGACAGGTGGATTTTATATCTGCTTCTGTATTCAATCTGTTGTGATATCACATATCATGTAGCTTCTGGAATATTCAACCAGACGCTCATGACAGTAAGAATGAAAAAAGTAAGCAATGCCTTAGTATTATTAATATGAAAATAGCCTTGACTTCACAGGCTCCCTGGAGGGGTCTTAGGGACCCCTAGAATTTCCCAGAAAATACTTTGAGAACTGCTGCTCCACACCATGCGTCATCCAAGAGAGTGGTGTTGGACACACCACTTTTGGGGTTGCAGTGGTTAGTGCTATGATCCTAGACTGGTAGACTGGCAGTTAGGTAGTAATGGTGTGTCGACCAGACTTTTGACTCAAAACAAACTCACAGATACGGCTATTCCTGGTCCAAAATTCATTCGCAAGGAGTAAGAGAATCTGTGAGCTGGAGGAGTGCTGATGATAAAAGACAAAGTATAAGACATCTCAAAATCATCATCATGACTACAAGACATTGAGCAATTGCAAAGTACCTTACTGAGCATATTTCCTCCAGTTTTTAGATGAAGTAGGAGAACCCCAGATAACTGATTTGCCACTGTCACACCTGTGTTGATGAAAAGAGTCAAGCTCTGTGAAATATTTGAAGAGATTTATTCTGAGCCAAATATGAGTGACCCATGACCCATGACGGAGCCCTCAGGAGATCCTGAGAACATGTGCCCAAGGTGGTCGGGCTACAACGTGGTTTTATACATTTTAGGAAGACATAAGACATCAATTAATACATGTAAGCTGTACATTGGTTTGGTCCAGAATGGTGGAACAACTAGAAGTGAAAATGAGGGAGTGAGGGGGTGGGGTGAGGTGGTGGTGGTTGGGGTGGAGGGGTAGTTCCAGGTCATAGGTAGATCAAAGATCTTCTGATTGACAGTTGATGGAAAGAGTTAAGTTATTGTCTAAAGACTTGGAATCAATAGAAAGGAATGTCTGAGTTAAATAAGGGGTTGTGGAGACCAGGCTTTTATCATGCAGTTGAAGCCTCCAGGTAGTAGGCTTCAGAGAGAATAGATGTACATATTTCTTATCAGACTTAAAGAGTCTTTTCTATCAGTCTTAAGGTTTGTGTTGATGTTAATACTGGTCAGCTGGGCCTGAACTCCAAAGGCAGGAGCATGTCCAACTCCTGCTTCCCATGATGGCCTGCATTAGTTTTTCAGGCTAACTTTAGAACGCCCTTGGCCAAGGGGAGGGGTCCGTTCAGATGGTTGAGGGGCTTAGAATTTTATTTTTAGTTTACACCTGGTACACAGCAGAGATGGGCGTGAGGCAGCAGGTGGGGAAACTTTTCTGCCTAGGTACAGCTTGGCTCCATCCCTTTACAGTCTCTGCTCTGTCCTTTGTTGGTGTGGCTACTCGGCAAATCATTAGATAAATGTGCAAAAGTCGTGGAATTGCAAGGTGTGGCTCTAGCAAGATTCAGTTTAGGGGTTTTTCTATGGCATTCCCTATAGACAATTTTGAAAAATACCCAGAAACAGCTCCATGCCTGGAAAGGAAATGCCAAAACCAGCCTGATTAAGACTGAAACTCCAGATGTCATCAAATTTCCAAACATGTGCATTTCTTGGTGGGTGGCAAGCAGTAGCCTGGGTGCTGACTCACCAGGCTGGGATCCAAGTGGCTGGGGTTGTTTCCCACAAGAATGGTTCATCAGCTGGTTGCCATTGTGCCACTGCTGTGTTTGCTCTTCTCCGGCCCAGACAGTCCTCACCATTTCCGAAGGTCCACACTGAGGTCCACACTTCTTCATCTGAAGCACACGTAGGGCATGCACATCTGGCTTTGGAGCTCTTGGTTGGCAAATCAGCAGCTCATCCTCTGTCTAATGAACCCATGGGGTTGGGACACAGAGTTGAAGGGGTGAAGTTCTGCATCTGACCTTCCATGAATCCTTTACCTTCTTATTGCTAAAGCATCGTTGAATTTTAATCTTTCTCTCAGGCTCCTATATCCAGTTAACGACCAAGTCCTTTGAAACCTGACTCCTCAACATTGTTCTTATCTATCCCTTCCTCTCATTCCTATCATGGTAGGTTCTTTCATTTTATCTCCTGATTCTCTCTCCTAGCTGGTCACCTACCCTTCAGTCTAATCCAGCATTTCCTAAACTTTACCTTTTTGATTTTGTCCACATCTCTCTCCCATCTGTAGTATTCAACCTTGCACGTTTGTTTACATTGACTGCATTTATTATATAAAATCTAACATTGTACTGTCTACATAAACACCTGTAAAACATATACACATACATTTTCTAAAAACTTAGCTAGTAAAATAAACCTGTGCACAACATAAAGACATAAAATACTTTGAAATATCTCCATTGGTGCATGGAGCACTCTTTGGGAAACTCGAAACCCATTCTTTACTCTGCAGCTGGGGTGGTCTTTTTATTAATTTAAAATTTTTTATTATTAAATGTTTTTATTTTAATAGCTTTAGGGGTACAAGTGGTTTTTTGTTACGTGGACGAATTATACAGTAGTAAAGTCTGGGCTTTTAGTGTAATCATCTCCTGAGTAGTGTGATGAGTACTTGGGTACGCATCACACTACTACATTGTGCCCAAAAGGTGATTTTTTTTCATCCTTTACCCCCCTCCCACCCTTCCTCCTTCTGAGTCTCTAATGTGATTATACCACTCTGCATGCTTTTGTGTACCTATAACTTAGCTCCCACTTATAAGTGAGAACATGCGGTATTTGGTTTCCCATTCCTGAGTTACTTCACTTAGGATAATGGCCTCCAGTCCCATCCAAGTTGCTGCAAAAGACATTATTTCACTCTTTTTTTAAATGGCTGAGTAGTTTTCCTTGGTGTGTGTGTGTGTGTGTGTGTGTATACACCACTTTTATATGGTATATACGTACATATGTATATCCATGCCATATTTTCTTTATCCACTCATTGGTTGATGGACATTTAGGTTGATTCCCTATCTTTGCTACTGTGCATAGTGCTGTGATAAACATATGAGCAGATATCATTTTTATATAATGATTTCTTTTCCTTTGAGTAGATACCCAGTAGTGGGATTGCTGGATCAAATAGCAGATCTACTTTCAGTTCTTTGAGAAATCCAGGAGTGGTCTTTTAAAAACACAAATTCGAATACATTACTCTACAGATTAAAATCCATTGAAGGCTTTGTACCAGATTCAGTTTAAATACCATCCTGTATCTGAGCACTTGCCTTGCTTTCTAGCTGGGGCAGCCCTAGCAGCGTCTTATATTGTTCCCTAGTTTTATAGCCAGGTTGTTGAGGCAGCAGGTGGGGAAGCCAGGTAGTAGGCTTCAGAGAGAATAGATATACATGTTTCTTATCAGACTTAAAGAGTCTTTTCTGTCAGTCTTAAGGTCTGTGTTGATGTTAATGCTCGTCAGCTGGGCCTGAATTACAAAGGGAGGAGCATGCCTCTACTGTTGCTCCAAATCCCAGTTACTGTTAGGGTCTCTCCGGCCATGAGCCTGCATGGCCCTCTTTTCTCCTGCCCAGGGGCTTCCTCCAGGTGCAAGACACTACATGATCCACCTGGTGTTCCCACATGCCCAGTGCTTACACATCAGAAGTGCAGGAGTTAATCACCTATGGGGCAAATGTTGACCAATGCCTTATGGAAGCCTTGTGTAAAGTCCCCTGTCTTCCCTCGCTTAGATGGATGTTTCAGAGATGCAATCTTTCTCACGTTCTCTGCAAAGATGCCTGGTAAAGCCAAAGAGATCATCTTGTCACCAAGTCATGACCAGTTGGGTAATGACATCCTTCTATTTGCTCCCAGTGCCTCCCTTACTTACTCCCCCTTTCCCTCATTTCTACTTCCCAGGGATTGCACTCCCTGGAAAGCTTTACCCTCGGGCTCAGTTTCCTAGGGAACCACGGACTAGAAGTTCTCATTTTGAGGTCTTCATAGACCTCATCTCTTCTCATGATGCCACTCCTTCTTCTCCCTGTACTCAATGTTCCAACTTCTACAATCTACTCTTGGTTTCCCCTACCAGCCAGCAGTCCCATTCCTTTGTTTACACTGTGTCCTTGTCTTCAAAACCTATTAATACCTATTATTCTATCAAGACTTCACTCAGGGATCACCCCTCTCCCCCACCGCCAGGAGCCTTCCCTGATCCTCCTCCCCTCTCCACATAGAATTAATCATTCCTCTTCTTCACCCTGTTGTATTCTTCCAGAGTTCTCTGATAGCAGCTCCACTTGGTACTTCATTGCATGTACTTATTCATGCTCAAATGCAAGTTCCACAAGGGAAGATATTTTTTGCATTTTGTACATTTTTGTGCCCATTTTTTGAATAAATGAATATCTGACCCTTTCAGCTATGCGACTATGTTTTGCACATCAGTGTCTCCAAATGCCATCCTAGGGCCATTGTAGGGTGTACAGAGCAGAAGCTCATACATATTTGATGAATGCATGAGTGAAATTTAGTCTAAATCATTGAGCATGTATTGAACAATCATCATGAGCAGAGATGAACCCCTCATGCTAACCATTTGCCTCAACAATGCACAAAGTTTCTCACAAAAAGCAGCCAGACGCTGTGGATGAGTCATTTCAAAACCAACCCAGTACTAAGAAGACAACCACAAGCTTTGAGTCGCTACATGGCTGGCCAGAAGCTTGATCTTCTGAGTGTGAGTCCCAGCTGGGAAGCACAAACTATTGTGTTCACCGCAGGAGTCAGAAATGCCTGGGCCTGTCTAGAAGATGATGGGATGGCCTCATGGAGATTCTTTGCTCAGGGTCTCCTGGGAAAGAAACATTCTGAAGGAAGATTGAATCCAGGCCAAAAGCTTGCTGCAAGAACAGAGGTCCATATCTGAGGAAGGCGCTTCCCCACTGAACTCCCCCTAGAGCAAGGCAGCTATGGTAAAACCTGAGCACAGAACCAAAGAGCTGCTTCATATCAAAACTTGGTGAGGCGCTGCAAGCACAGAGCCGTGGTGTTTTTTAACCAGGGAAACAGGATGTAGCCCGAGTGGGGATAGGTACTTTCCCACCAGGGGTGGTTGTTGGAGCCCATGATGGCGTCAAGCTAGAGGACATAGTGCAGTGCAGTGGGGCTTTGGGAACAGCAATGGACGCTTCCACAGAGAGATGGCGCTGGAGCTGGTGAGCAGGACTATATGGCAGGCTCCATGGAATACCTAAAAGGGGCTTGTTCTTGAGCTGATGTGTGATGCCCCTGGTAGCATATAGTGGGGATAATGGGAAGATTAAGTCAGAGAAGGAAAGTTTTTGTATTGCTGTTGCTATTTTATATTTTTATTGTTGTATCAAATGACCCTAGGTTCTGACATATATATAAACCATTGGTAATTGATTTAATTATATAATTTATGTAAAGTCTTAACCCAATGTCTGTACATAGTAAGTGCTCAATTGCTTTTAGCTATTATTATTATTATTATTAATGAAGGAGATAGTACTAATTCATCCAGGCCGCTATAACAAAATACCATAAACTGGGTAGCCTATAAGCCACTGAAATCCATTGCTCACAGTTCTAGAGGCTGGGAAGTCCAAGATCAAGGCACCAGTAGATTTTATGTCTGGTGAGAGCCTACTTTCTCAGATGGCACCTTCTCACTGCGTCCTCACATGATGGAAGGAGCAGGGAGCTCTCTCAGGCCTATTTTATAAGGGCACTGATTCCATTCATGGTGGATTTGCCCTCATAACCTAATCAACTCGTAAAGGCCCCGCCTCCTAATACCATCACCTTGGCAGTTACATTTCAACATAGGAATTTTAGGGGAACACAAAAATTCACACCATAGCACCAGGGTCGGGGATAGAGAAATGGCTTTTGATTACAATTGCTCTGACCCCTGTTTTTATCTCTGGACTAATAATAGGGCTGGGGATCACATAGGCAATGTTTAAATACGTGTGTTGAAGTTATTAAAAAAAGAAGGAGAGAAAGAGAGACTCAGAATAGAGACTTGCAGATTCTAGTTTCCATCTTGGTTCTACCCACATGGATTGAGTGTCACCATATGTCCCTGGGCTAGGCACTCTTGGCTTGCCATTGTACTTAACCCTCTTGGAATTTTTCTGAGTCGTAATTTTTCCCTGTGAAAGATAGGGAAACTGAGGCTTGGGGACTGGAAGATATCTAGTAAGTCTTGCTCTCCTGTGAAATATAGGGAAATTGGCCAGGCAAGGTAGCTCAAGCGTGTAATCCCAGCACTTTGGGAAGCTGGGGTGGGTGAATTACCTCAGATCGGGAGCTCGAGACCACCCTGACCACATGGAGAAACCCCATCTCTACTAAAAATACAAAATTAGCCAGGCATGGTGGTGCATGCCTGTAATCCCTGCTACTCGGGAGGCTGAGGCAGGAGAATCGCTTGAACCCAGGAGGCGGAGGTTACAGTGAGCCGAGATCATGCTATTGTACTACTCCCGTCTGGGCAACAAGAGTGAAACACCTTCAAAAAAAAAAGAAAAGGAAGGAAGAAGGAAAGAAGAAAGAAAGAAAGAAGAAAGAAAGAAAGAAAGAAAGAAGAAGGAAAGAAAGAAAGAAAGAATGAAAGAAAGAATAAAGAAAGAAAGAAAGAAAGAAAGAAAGAAAGAAAGAAAGAAAGAAAGAAAAAGAAATATAAGGAAACTGAGGGTTGGGGACTAGAAGATACCTGGGAAGCCTTCCTTTCCTGTTGTAAGAGGTGATGAAATGAAGACTCACCTGGGTAAAAGTCACCTGCCCAAGGTTTTCTTACCTTATAGATGAAGGAAATGAGATACAGGAAGCTTAAGATGCTAGTCTGAGATCTTAGGCTGGTTAGAATCAGCAGCCAGTGCCAACATTTGAACATCCTCTCTGACTTCAAATTGCTTTATACCCCACTCTCCTGTCTCAGGCATGAGAAAGGCCTGGAGTGTCTTGGCCCCAGTGCAATGGAAACAAAAATGGAGGCAAAGCAGGTTTGGATCTGACCTCCCATCTGTGTCCCTGGCTTTCAGAAGCCCCCTGGCTTTCCCCAGCCAAGGGAAAAGACGCTCGGTGAGCTGGAGAAATGGTTTGGCTGAATGTTCTAAATTTAGAAGGGGACCTGGATGCACCCTCAGTGGCTTTTGACTCGAGCCCAAAGTTGAAGCCTGTTGGTGTTTTTCCTCTTTGGTTTCCCTGCGGGGCAGGAAAGCTGCTCTCTCTCAGTTTCCTAAGGGCTCAGTCACCAGCGCCAGGTTTATAAATACCCTCTCCCTTCCCTGGCAGCTCTCACCTCAGCAGATCATTGGTGATTTCAGAATTCCTTGTGGAGTCTTTACACTCTGATGCACCAGGGTGATAACCCGGGGAGGGTCTGTGGCAGGGGTGTACCAAGACCCTGAAGAGCTCATACCCCCCTCGCTGTGGCCTTGCCGAGTAGTGCAAAACTGTGTGGGGAAGTAACACACTCCTTTGTCCCACTCAGGAAAAGGGCTTTGGAGGTTAGCACTGTGTGTCATTAAAGGGGAGAGAGAAAAGGTCATCAAGGGAGTACTTGTGGGGTGCTGTAAGTAGGGCCTGTGAAAAATGGTTCAATACTCGCTGATAACGTGAGCTAATATTGACTGTGGCTGGGTGCCAGCTCCACATGAGGCTTTTCCATGGACTACTGTATTGATGAACTCATATGCTTCCATGGATTCCCTACACTGATCCAGGGACAGAAATGGTTCTATTTTATGGGTGAGGCACTGAAGCCATAAGAAATGAAGTTATCCCAACCACTTAGCTGGTGCACGCAGGCATCCACATTTTCTCTCTTTCTACCATGCCATGTTGAGTCTGCTTATTGTGCCTAACTTGCAGCACAGTGGGCAACTAGGCAACCTGAAAAGTTTTGAAGTCGTGTAGACTGGCATTCAAGTCACAGCACTCCCACTTGTTCCTAAGAACCTGGGCAAATTCTCTAAACTTATCCGAGCCTCAGTTTTCTTATTTGTCAAATGGAAATGAGGTAGAGTCAATGTGAAGACTAACTGAGATTAAGACATTAACTTGAGAAGTAGTATTCCCTGAATAAATAGTAGTGACTAATAATAATAAAGCTAATATTTATTCATTCCTTCATGTGTCAGGCTATGCTTTACGTGTTTTATTTAATGATCTTAGCCATCTTAGGCAGACATGCTTTTATTAATTTTATTTTTCAAAAGAGAAATCTGAGGGTCAAAGAGGGTAAATGACTTGCCCATGGCTTCATAGCTAGTAAGTGGTGGAATGTGGATTTGAATCCAGAGGATGATTCCAAGTCCCTGTTCTTATTTCATCGATAGTGACTTTATCAGCAACACTATCATTGTTCATCATTAGCTGCATCATTGTCTGTCATCATCACCATCACCACCATCATCACCATCACCATTGTCATTATCACCATCGTCATCACCACTGTTACCATCATCAACATCATCACCATCACTATAGTCATCACCATCTTCATCACTATCATCATCACCACTGTAGTCATCACCATTATCACCATCACTATAGTCATCACCATCTTCATCACCATTATCATTACCATCATCATCATCACCATCACTATAGTCATCACTGTCTTCATCACCATCATCACCATCACTATAGTCATCACCATCTTCATCACCATCATCATCACCACTACAGTCATCACCATCATCATCATCACCATCATCATCATCACCATCACTATAGTCATCATGATCTTCATCACCATCATCACCATCACTATAGTCATCACCATCTTCATCACCATCATCACCATCACTAGAGTCATCACCATCTTCATCACCATCATCACCACCACTATAGTCATCACCATCTTCATCACCATCATCATCATCACCATCATCAACATCATCACCATCTTCATCATTACTACCACCATGTTTATCACTATCATCACCACCACCATCACTACTGTCATTATTGCCATTTTCACTATCTTCATCATCACTGGCACCACCACCATAATGATCATCATCATCATTGATATCATTATATGATTATTGCTATTCTTTAACTTGTCCTATTAGCCCAGGACCTCCTCCAGGGTAGGGACGGTGCCCACACCTGGCTTGGGCTTGGCTCACAATAGGGTCTCAGCATATGTCTGTGGGTGGGCTGACTGACCTGTGACTGACTGGAAACATGAAAGGGGGATCCTCTGTGAACTCAGCTCATCCAAGAGGCTTCCTCACCCCTTAGCCCAGAGAAATGGAGGGCTGGTTGACCTGAAGGAATCATTGAGAAGGACATGGTTAGCAAAAAGCCCACAGACTGAGTCCTACATTTTCCCTGCACTGTCCAATGTGGAAGCCACTAGCCACATGTGACTTTAAATACATAAACTCAATTGATTAAAATTAAATAAAATTGAACATCCTGTTCTGAAATTGTACTAGCTCACACCTGTGGCTAGCAGCCACTACATTGAATAGCGTGAATATAGAACACTTGCATTGTCCAAAAGTTCTGTGGGACAGTGCTGTTCTAGGAGGTCCTGATTTTAGTCCCATTGTGCCTGCTAAGTACACTCAATCTTTTCAGACCAAGAGGCTGGTCTGGGGCTTGGGACATATGCTTACTGTGGCCAACAGTCCCTAGTGGGATAGAGAAAGGAGGTAGAGAGAAGCCCCCAGTGGGCCCACCAGTCTTAGCACCATATTGCACAGTCACACTGGGCCTGAGGTGGAGTGGTTAAAGGCATCAGCACTGAATCAGGGCTCAGAGCTGCCATTTCCCAGCTGTACAACTGTGACCACATTAACAAACCTCACTGGGCCTCAATTTTCCCAGTTGTGAGATGGGTGTAATATGACTTTGCAGGGATTTCTGGGAAAATTGGATGAGCTGTATCTAAAGTACCTTTGCAGAACAGATGGGGAAAAAGTGTTAATTCTCCTCCCTTCATAAGGGAAGAAGCCTAGCTATGTGTGTTGTCTGGGGGTGATCCTAGCCCCTGCCCCACCTCCAACAGGCTCAAAGACAGAGTGGCCCTATACTCTGCAGTGGAATCCCCCTGCCCTCCCTGCAGCCCACTCTTTTATGTTTACAGGTTTGATTATTTCTGTGAGACAGAGGATCATGGGCCTTCACCAGCAAACCAAACACAGCACTTTCCCCAAAGGAGGGAGGACAAAGGGACATTGGGTGCAACAGTTCTGGCAGCTACAGGAATGGACTGCCTCCTGTCCCTCTCACCTTCTTGCCCCCCACCCTCAGTCTCCCTTGCTTGCGCTATGTGGCCGTTTCCCTAATAAAAATCAGCACCTCTGTGGCTCTGAATTTCAAACTCAGTAGTAACAATCACAGTCATAGCTACTGTTCACTGAGGTCAGTGTGCTAGGCCCTGTTGGAAGGCATTTACATACAATACTGCATAAACCCTTTGGCGGGTCACATTATTGGCCCATTTCACAGATAAAGAAACAAGAGAGTTTCACTAACATGCCCAAGATTTCGTGGCAAATAAAAATGGCAGAGCAGGTCATAGAATTCAGGTCCATAGGAAGCCAAAGGCTGTGTTTTCCCGACCATTCCACATTTCCCATGGAGTCTAGAAGGTGGTATGTGTGAGAGTGACTGGCACAAAGTAAGAGCTTTATAACTGTGAGCACTGGTTGTGCCTGGGGCCAAAAGCCAGGCTTTGGGGTCAATTCGGCTTCGAAGGCTGGCCGTGTGTGGACTAGCAGTGGGATCTTGAACAAGTTGCTTAACATCTTCTAGAAGCTCCTTTGCTCTCAGTTTCATTCATTATCTGTGAAACTAAGGTGGTAATTAAACCTCATAATGCTGTTATGAGGATTCGGCGATGGAGCCTTATGTTTGACAGTGTTTGGCCCATGGTGAGTGTTCTGAGTCCATTAGCAGCTTCTGCCTTTGTAGATGTTTAGGGAGCTCCTCTCTCTAAACCAGGGCTTCTCAACTGCAGCACTGCAGATAACTTTGGGCTGTACAATTCTCTATTGTGGGAGCTTATCCTGGGCATTGCAGGGCGTTTAGCAGCATCTTTGGCCTCCACCCATTAAATGCCGGCTGGAGCAACCAAAATTATTTCCAGACATTGCCAAACTTACCCTGGGGGCTAAAATCACCCACCCCTGTGAGAACCCCTGCCTTGGCCACACTCACTGCCAGATTCACTGAACATGGTGCATGCACTATTCACACTCTGGGTTTCCCTTCACTGAGTAGCAGACAAAGGCAGGGAGGCTCACGTGGCTGGGGGGCTGCAATCAGCCTGTGGTGGCCAGTGTTGTTGCCTTTGGAGGATTGGCACCCAGCTCACCATTTCAGCCAGCAATTATCTGAACAGAAGTGCTCTAATTGCCTGAGGATCGGGTTTCCTCTGGGGGTCATTTTTTTCAAGTCTCCTGTTGTTGTTTATTTATACTCATCCCAATAAAAAGCATGTGCTCAGCTGCATAGAGTGTTAATGACTGGTGGGTCGCTCCAGATAGCGCCTGGGGAGGCGTCTGCAAATTCATCCTCCAGAGGTTTCTCATCCGCTGGATCTGCTGGCAGGGCCCTGGTGGGTCTGAGGTGGGGTGTGTGTGTGTGTATGTGCATATGTGTGTGTGTGTGTGTACACTGAGAAATAGGCATTTGTTGCCTCTCTAAGTTTGCACTTGTAATAACACAAGCGTCTCCCCCAAGGAACTTTCTTTCTTCTTGTCTGGCCACTAGACTGGGTCTCTGCCAGCTCAGACTTCCTACACCCCATGCCAGGCCCCTGCATCTTTCAACTTGATTCTTGGGGTGCTGAGACCCAAGGCAGTCCCAGCTGGCTCTCCCCCAGCAGGGGAGCTAACGCAGTTAATGAGGAAGACACACTTGTGTGTAGGACTTCATGGTGAACAAGCCACTTTCTCATTGGTCATCATCATGATAAGGATATTAAATAAGTCATCTTTATTCAACACTGACTCTGCGCCAGCCACTATATAGGGCTGCGTTCCTCCTTTCATTCATTCATGCATGCATGCATTCCTTCATCCAAACTGATAAATATTGAGTGCTGCCATAGCCCAGCCATCATTCGAGTGCTGGGGGACTGAGAAACAACTGCCTCACTCCCCGCATCAACCACACAATTGTAGGCAAAGAAATAAATAAATGAATAAGGTAATTTCAGTTACTGATAAATGGTAGAGATGAAATAAACCAGGGGAACGTGATAGAGATTTGCCAAGGACAGAGGGGCTTTTTTTTTTTTTTTTTTTTTTAACATGCAGATGTCATCAGAGAAGACCTCAGACCAAGCCCTTAAGGGCAAATGACAAGAAAATTCCTGGAAGAGAAACAGCCCAGAAAAATGCCTGGAGGTGGCAACATGGGTGAATTGCTCAAGGAAAAGAAAGACGTCCAGGGTGTTTAGAGTCTAGAGAAGTGGGGGCAAGAGGGGGACATCGGAGGGAGGGTGTACTCAGAGAGACTAGGAACTGGACTTCTTCAGCCATGTTGAACAGTTGGAATTTTGTTCTAAGGATGATGGAAGCCATTGGAAGGTTTTCTTTGCCAAAGTGATGTGATCTGATAGAAGGTTTTATGAAGCCCACGTTGTCTACTGTGCAGAGAATGGAGTAACAGGCCAAGAGGAACCGTAGGGAGACCAGTTAAGAGGCAGAGACAGTGAAGAGGTGGGTGAGTTTCCCATTGCTGCTGTAACAAGCTTACCACAAATCTCATGTGGCTTAAAAAACACACACACGCATATTTATTATCCCATGGTTTTGTAGGTCAGAAATCTGACATGGGTCTCACTGGGTTAAAATCAAGGTGTCAGCAGGATTGTGTTCCTTCTGGAAGCTCCAAGGGAGAATCCATTCCTTGCCTTTCCCAGCTTCTAGAGGCTGCCTGCAGATGCAGGTTGTGACTTCTCGCTCATCTTGAAAAACAGAAATATAGCATTTTCAAATCTCCCTCCTCCTGTCTCTCTCTGTCTCTCCCTCATCATCACCTCTACAGTAACTCTGACCCTCCTGCCTCCCTTTCCTAAGGACCCCTCTGATTACATTGGACTTGATATAGTTTGGATCTGTGAGCCTGCCCAAATCTCATATTGAAATGTAGTCCTGAGTGTTGGAGGTGGGGCCTGGTGGGAAGTGACTGGATCATGGGGGTGGATTTCTCATGAATGGGGACAGTACCATCCCCCTTGGTACTGTCCTCTCGATAGTGAGTGAATTCTCATGAGATCAGTTCATTTAAAAATAGGGAGCGTCTCCCTCTGGCTCTCTTGCTCCTGCTTTCGCCATGTGGGGCGCCTGCTCTCGATTTGCCTTCCACCATGAAGAGAAGCTTCCAGAAGCCTCCCCAGAAAGAGATGCTAGCATGCTTCATGTACAGCCTGCAGAACTGTGAGCCGATTAAACCTCTTTTTTTACAAATGACCCAGTCTCAGATGTTTCTTTATAGCATTTCAAGAATGGACTACCACCGGGCTCATCTAGACAACCAGGATAATCTCACTATCTCAAGGTCCTTAGCTTAATCACATCTTGACAGTCCCTGTTGCCATGTGAGGTCACCCAGTCACAGGTTTTGGAGATTTTGGGTAGTGGGCACCTTTGGGGCCTATTATTCTGCCGATCCCAGGAAATGAGCCATGATGGAGGCTTGGATGGTGCCAGTGGGACTGGAGAGCGTCCACTGGGGATTTATTTTGAGGCAGAACCACAAAGACTTGCTGATGGAGGATGTGGGGCTGTGAAGGAAAGCCCAAAATGGAGAAGATGCCCTTTACTGAGATGGGGAGGGAGGGCAGGCTTGAGTGGGGAGGAGAGGCTGATCAAGGGGTTTTGTGGCCATGATTATTTTGTGGCCCACTGGAGAGTTGAGGGGACATGTCCAGGAGGCAGCTGGATGAACGAGCCTGGAGTCAAGGACAGAAGCTGGACTAGTGATGTGAGTGTGGGGGTCTCCAGCCCAGAGGCAGGATGTAGCCACAGGACAGGACGAGAGCACCCATGATATCAGGAAGAACAGAAGGTCATGGGGTTTCAAAGATGGAACCAAAGAGCAGAAGCCAGCAAAAGTATACACCACTCCTAAAACACAGATCTGACCTCATCACCCAATGCCTAGACACTTCTCTCCTCTCAGCAGTTAGTTTCAACATCAGCACTTGGGGATAGAGATGGTCCCCACCTTGAGTGATTGCTCACTCTATGCCAAAAATAGTGCTAAATTCCTTACATACATTATTGCATTTCAGACCCCCTTTTTTCCCTTCCTCCTTCCCCATTTTGGGGGAAGCGTGGGAGTGATGGAAGTAGGTTGACTGTGGAGGGTGGGAGTGATGGGGGTGGGGTTGAGTGTGGATGGAGGGAGAGTGGGGTGGGCTTGAATGGGGAGAGTGGGAGTGGTGAGGGTGGGGTTGAGTGTGGAGGGTGGAAGTGGTGAGGGTGTGATTGAGTGGGGAGGGTGGGAGTGGTGGGGGTGGGGTTGAGTGTGGAGGGTGGAGTGGTGGGGGTGGGGTTGAGTGGGGAAGGTGGGAGTGGTGGGGGTGGGGTTGAGTGGGGAGGGTGGAGTGGTGGGGGTGGGGTTGAGTGGGGAGGGTGGAGAGGTGGGGGTGGGGTTGAGTGGGGAGGGTGGGAGTGGTGGGGGTGGAGTTGAGTGTGGAGGATGGAGTGGTGGGGGTGAGGTTGAGCGGGGAGGGTGGGAGTGGTGGGAGTGGGGTTGAGTGGGGAGGGTGGGAGTGGTGGGGGTGGTGTTGAGTTGGGAGGGTGAGAGGGTGGACTAGTGGGGGTGGACTTGAGTGGGGAGAGCGGGAAACCACTTAGCCTTTGTTGATTTTTCCAGCCAAGGCAGGAACTTTGTCTTTTTATTAAGATCAAAAGGAATGCATGAGGGGTGTGGACAAGGGCTGGCGGGCTGCAGGTGGAAAGTGCATGCAGTGGGAACGTGCAGCCATGAGGTCCAGGGTGCATTTTAGAGAGGACGGGTTGGAGGTCATGGTGTGGTCTGGAAGAAAGGTCAGGAAATGGAATCATGGTGTTAGTGGTTTAGAAAAGTGGTCCGATGCCAGAGGCTAAGTTACTTGGCTTGGTTCACACATCAGCAAGTTCAAACCGAGTTCAGTTGTGCTGCGAAGCCAATATGCTAAGTCACCATAATTTAACAACAGGTTTCCCCTCAAGGTATCATGACATTATTTTTTTGGGTCTCAACCAACTAGCATTTGTCAAAGAGAGATGGAGAGAGAGAGAATGAAAAGAAGGAAGGAAGGAAGGAAAGAAGGAAGGAAGGAAGGAAGGAAGGAAATAGAATAGAATAAAATCACAGTTTATTTCACGGAGTGAAGGAAGGGTTGCTGCGTGCAAATGTGTTTCTGTGCTGTATGCTTATCTGCAGATGGATGTACCGGGCTGTGATATGAAACCTATTTTTATGGCTGGTTGTGGCTCCTCTGAGCTGCTATTGGGTTTGCCCTCCACCCCCTCTCACGCTGACTCTGGGCCCTTCAAAATGAGTCATAGAGAGTCATTACCACTCCCCCCGACCCAACCCTGACTCTGCTGTACACCTCATGGTTTCTGATAATACAGCATTGTGAAGTCGGGGGAAGGCTGGCAGAGGGGCCCAGTCTAGTCTGTGACCTGAGCCATCATGGTAGGGTGTCCAGGGTGAGGGGAGGGTGGTGTGAATCCCCAGTAATGCAGGTCCTTTCCAGGCCAGGCCCCTGGTCCCCAGGAGTGCGGGGATGCCTGAGGTCTACTGCTGCCTTATCCAGAGCTGCCATCCCCGGCGATGACTCAGAGTTCCTGTGGCCCCAGCATCATCCCTCCATCCCTGGCTGTGAGGCAGGAGCAGAGTTGCAGACCTGAGAGGCCTTGAATTTGTTTGATATAGGACTTTGCCACCAGACAAAGTGCTTTGCCTGTGAGGTCTGGCTTGGCCTGGCCTCTGAGAAAGAACAAACACAGACCTCACTGGAAGGAACCTGGAGAACGGGAGAGGAGAGGCTGCTGCTGTCTGCCCTCCCAGCAGCAGATATAAAGACAATGGGCTTCTAAGTCCCCTAGAGTCCCAGCTGTGTAATTTAAGGCGAGTTCATCTCTCACAGCCTCAGTTTCCTCATTTGCTGGCACCTGTCTTTCTCCTTCATAGCCATTGTCACTGTTGCAATGATATCAACAATGCTTACATTTCAGATAGATCCCCAGCTGGGTTGAAAGGAACGTCAAGACCCTTCCTTTCTTATGACCTATGTATCAACTCCCTTCTACCTTGCCTCCCTCCACTTGGAGCGAGTTCTAGTTGGTGAAATGTAGCCAGAGGTTCCTGGAAAGGCTTTCCTTCTCAAGTAAAGCCTGGCTCAGAGAAAACCACTGGTCTCTTTCCTTTTCTTCCTCCTGACATGAACATGGGGCAGGAAGGAGCATGGAGAAGACAAGAACAAGGCTCTCAGAAGGAAATGGTGTGGCTGGAGCCATGAGAACTGGTTGTGGAGGGGGTGAGGAAGGTGGGAGAGGTGGGAGTGTGGTTGAGTGGGGAGGGTGGGAGAGGTGGGGGTGTGTTTGAGTGGGGAGGGTGGGAGAGGTGGGGGTGTTGTTGAGTGAGGAGGGTGGGAGAGGTGGGGGTGTGGTTGAGTGGGGAGGGTGGGAGAGGTGGGGGTGTGGTTGAGTGGGAAGGGTGGGAGTGGTGGGGATGTGGCTGAGTGGGGAGGGTGGGAGAGGTGGGGGTGCGGTTGAGTGGGGAGGGTGGGAGAGGTGGGGGTGTGGGTGAGTGGGGAGAATGGGAGAGGTGGGGGTGTGGTTGAGTGAGGAGGGTGGGAGAGGTGGGAGTGTGGTTGAGTGGGGAGAATGGGAGAGGTGGGGGTGTGGTTGAGTAGGGAGGGTGGGAGAGGTGGGGATGTGGTTGAGTGGGGAGAATGGGAGAGGTGGGGGTGTGGTTGAGTGGGGAGAGTGGGAGACGTGGGGATGTGGTTGAGTGAGGAGGGTGGGAGAGGTGGGGATGTGGTTGACTGGGGAGGGTGGCAGTGGTGGGGTGTGGCCTGGAGATACAGCAGCCACTTTGGGACCATGAGGATATTTGAAAGACATGAAGAATAGAATGATAGAAGCACGTTTGTGACATTGTGACATACAGCAGACTTTATGCCCACCTTTTGATTTCTTACCTATTTAAACACTGAAATCTGGTCTTTTCCTTGTAGGCAAATATAATTTCTGACCTACGTAATGATGTATGCACAAGAAGCCTCTCTTGAATGTATTAATTCAGTAAACAGTTATGGAGTCCTTACAATGTGCTAGTGGGACTTTGAAGATGAATCCAAATTTGGATCCTGGCCTGGAAAGGCTCAAAGCCCAATATGGGAGGTAAGAAATGTAGAATCCATATAACGATGGGGTCTCCCCGCCCCTTAAGATCTAGTTATGAGTAGCTGCAATTCCTGTGAATTCCAAGGTAGTTTCACCACCTCAAGTTCACCTTTAGATCTGACTTCTGGCTTCTTTTAGGAAGTTCCCATCTCTAAATCTCATCTCTGTTCCTTTATTTCTGCCAGCCTGGATACAAATGTGAAACTTATCTTCTTTTATTAACCAATCAATCACCTCCTGCCAAAACAACATCAGCAAAAACAACAGAAAAAAACAAAAACAAAAACAAAAACAAATCTGTGTACACAAGACCTTTGTTTCCACAGCAGACTTGGCTAAAGGTTTGGGCATGCATATGCATACCCCCAAAATTAAAAATGGAAAATTGAACACTTCTGTCCTTCAAAGTTATTTGTTCTCTCCTACAGGGTCTCACTCTTATCTTCGTTCTTCTCCCCGCACTCCCACCACCTTACTTACTCCCATGGCATGCTACATCCTTGAATAAATATGCCCAAGGCAGATGTGGTAATGAAGATTGGTTGAGAATTCTGAAGGCAGACGTCCCAGACGCCAATCACACAATTTCTCTGTGGCTCACTTTTCTTATCTGTGAAAAGGGAGCTAGTTACCACCAGCCCCAACCCCAATCCTCTTCCCACCTCACAGAATGGGGAGAGGATTCAGTGGGCAGTCCCTGGCATAGGGGTCACAGAATCTACACCACCAAATATCATTCATATTCTAATTCTGTATTCTGTGTCCCCTATTGCCCCAAGATAAGTTCATTTAAAACAAAAAAGCTTCTATCTCAGGTAGAAAACCCATCATCACTGGGCATTGTCTTCCAGTGATTCTGAGCAGAAACAAAGGGGAACGTATGTCTTCATTGTGACTCAGCGAGCAAAGAGATGGAGTCTTTTCCAAGAAGAAAGTGGGAGATTTGGGACCACTGACATATTTGGCCCACTGATTCCATTCCCCTAGACCAACACGTGTTCATCAAATTGCATCACTCTTATGGGGAACTTAATGCAACTCCGGTGCCCATTGCATTAGTTTTTGATGATGGAATTCTCTTTGTGAACTTGAACTTGAGGGGTCTGGCTACCCCTCTGAGACTTCTTTTTTGAGATAAAATCATATAACATAAAATTCGCCCTTTTAATGTGTACAATTCAGTGGTTTTTAGTGTATTTACAATGTCATGCCACCATCACCACAATCTAATTCCCAAACATTTTTATCTCCTTAAAAAGCAGCCACTCCCCATTCCCCCATCTGCAGCCCAGGGCAATCCCTAATCTATGTTCTGTCTCTGTGGCCTCTCAGAGACTTCTGGCACCAGTCTCTCCAGTCCATGAGCTGTGAACTCCCTTTTTAGCACATTTGGCCCTGACACCTGCCATCTTACCTTTGCTTCTGGACACCCAGATTGAATCTTCCCTAAAAACCAACTTTGCATTGTTTGCCCAACATTTGAACCTCCTTCCTATATTTGTGTAACTGCTCAGTGTATGACTCATTTTCGGAGGAGTCAGTGGCCATCTTTCTCTATTAAGGCTCAAGAAGATAGATTCCTGCTTTCCCAGACTTCCTTGCAACGAGTCCTTAGATGGGTGTGCTAGGCTCAAGCTCAACCAGTGACTATGAATCTGGAGCCAGTGGCCTGAAAAGTCAGGGGTAGTGAAGAATCTTTGCTGTTAGTGTGGTGGTAGCAGTAGTAATGTCAAAGGCCTACTGGCAGCAGGGCTGTGGGCCCATGGCAGCGGGACCATGCTCAAGTGGCACTAATGTCTGCATTGGGCTGGCTGGTTCTGATTTTGGCTGTCTCTTAGACTCTCTTGCTCCTGGGCACTGTTTAAGCTGGTCCTCCAGCCTTCTTGGCTATTGAGTGAGCTAGATCCTATCTTTAAAATAGATTTTCTTTCAATTAAAATCATCCAGAGTTGGTTTCCATGCTTGCAGTTAAGGACCCCATCTGGAAGAAGTATTTTATGAGTAGAGTCTTAACCAGAACGGGTCATAGGGTTTTGCCTCAGAATACTGCAATTAAGAGGGCACCATATTTTGAAGCTTGAACTCCCTCCCCCATGCTCTTCCTTATTCCTGTTGCAGTGCTGAGCTGGCCTCTTCTTCTGAGACCAGTACCTCAGCAGCAGGTGAACAAAGACAGAGATGGAGACTTAGGATCAAAGGCACTGAGTGCCTGACCAGGGGTCCCTCTGTGAGGCAGGAGAACAAGCCCCTCCTCTGTTTCTTTGAATTTCCTTGTTTAGAAACTGAATTTCTGGGCCAGGTGTGGTGGCTTACGCCTGTAACCCCCGCACTTTGGGAAGCTGAGGCGGGTGGATCACCTGAGGTCAGGTGTTTGAGACCAGCCTGGCCAACATGGCAAAACCCCATCTTTAATAAAAATAGAAAAAGCAGCCTGGCATGGTGGTGGGCGCCTGTAATCCCAGCTACTCAGGAGGCTGAGACAGGAGAATCACTTGAACTTGGGAGGTGGAGGTTGCAGTGAGCTGAGGAGCTGAGATCGCACCGTTGCATTCCAGCCTAGGTGACAAGAGCAAAACTCCATCAAAAAAAAAAAGGAAAGAGAAAGAAAGAAAGAAAAAAGAAAGAAGAAAGGAAGGAAGGAAGAAAGAAAGAAAGAAAGAAAGAAAGAAAGAAAGAAAGAAAGAAAGAAAGAAAGAAAGAAATTGAGTTTCTGGCTGCTTGTTGTGGGTTGAATCATGTCCCCACAAAACACATGCTGAAGTCACATCCCCAGTATCTAAGAATCTGACCTTCTTTGGAAATAGGGTTGGTGCAGATGTAATTAGTTAGGATGAGGTCACACTGGAGTAGGGTGGGCTCTTAATCCAGTAGGGCTGGTGTCCTAGTAAGAAGAAGGAGGATGACACAAAGACAGACACACAGGGAGAATGCCGTGTGACCCTAAGAGCAGAGGTTGGAGTGGTGCCGCTACAAGCCTGGGATTGCCAGCCACCACCAGAGCTAGAAAGATATAAGGAGGGATTTTAGCTTCAGGAACGATGAGGAGCATTTACGTTGTTTTAAGCCACCCAATTTGCAGTAAAACTCAAGGAAACTAAAACATCTTTTGAATCCAAATTCCTGGCCATAGCTCTGCTTAACAGGACATCCTTGGAAGCAGACAGAATGGGGTTTGAGTCTCAGCTCTGTTACCACCTGCTGCATGGGTTCGGAGGTAAGCTGTTTACCTCCTTGACATCTCCATTTCCTCATCTGCAAATCAAAGATGAACATAGCTTCTTCAAAGACTGTTAAACATTTAGAGGAGTGCACGGCACATAAACGGCAACTATTAATATGAAAGAACTGCTTCCTGTCAGTATCTGGCCCTGATGGTCGCTTCCTGTTGAGGGAAACAAGTCTAAAACCTGCTCTTAGAATACAGATCAGTGCCACGGATTATTCAGTTACAATGAATTTTCTTTTTTTAAGAAAAGAGATAATTCCGCGTTTGCTATGTTTTTCCTTCCTATTTTTAACATCTATCTGTACTTTTAGATTATGGTGCAGGTAGCCCTCTTTCCCAGGAAAAGTGAGTGCTTCACAAGGGGTGCCCACTTTTGCCCAAGGACAGAGCCTCCTCCAGCCAGCTAGGGTAGAATGGGAGAGGGTGCAGGTGCTGCCCAGGCCAGTAATCTAGCTGCCGATCTGGGGGACACTCAAAGCAGCTGGTGGCTTTAATATCCGCTCTTCACAGCTTCATCTCCACTCGAGATGGCTGTGCTGATTGTAATGCAATAAAGCTGGAGTTTTGCGGGGAGAATGCTGTCCCTGGTTATTTCATTTAGAAGCCATCGTAATACTCTTCAGGGAGAGATAAGAGTGATTTAAGTAATTCAGGGCTCCAGGAGTCCAGGACATTTATGGTTCCTTCTAACCCTGGGGAATTTTATGATTTGAGGCCTGTGGCCACAGAGCAAAGCCAGCCTGCTGTTGATATGGGGAACAGATTTAACAAGTGTGAGCACCTGTCGGTGCCAGGTGATTTATACACAACTATCCATGTTTACCTTGCAACAATCTTTAGGGAACATCGGACCAGGTACCCTAGAAGTGGACCCTGTATAAAGATTCCTATGGATGGGCGCGGTGGCTCATGCCTGTAATCCCAGCACTTTGGGAGGCTGAGACAGGCAGATCACCTGAAGTCAGGAGTTTGAGACCAGCCTGGCCAACCTGGTGAAACCCTGTCTCTACTAAAAATACAAAAAGTAGCTGGGCATTGTGGCAGGTGTCTGTAATCCCAGCTACTCGGGAGGCTGAGACAGGAGAATTGCTTGAACCTGGGAGGTGGAGGTTGCAGTGAGCCGAAATCATGCCACTGCATTCCAGCCTGGGCAACAGAGACAGATGCTGTCTCAAAAAAACAAAAAACAAAACAAAACAAAAAAATCCTGTGCATGTGACTTATTAAGGAGGAACTCCCAGGGAAAACTGGCAGAGGAGAGGGGGAGAGGGGTGAAAAGAGAGAGAAGCCCAAGAAGAGTGTGATTTCAGGCCGAGACCTGTGGAGGGGAGCTTGAGTTTGCTCCTGCAGGGGAACCCTGGAGCGTACAGTGCACCTGTCCTGCATGCCAGAAAGCTGGAGTTCCATACCCCTGCACCCGACAGTCACTGGCTCTGGGCCTTGAGGCTCAGCATAAATAAACTCCCAGGCACCTGTGGTTCCCATCTGTGCCTGTAAAAGGCTTTAGCAACCCAAGGGCAGTTGGATGCAAAAATACCCAAGGCCAGCAGATGAACATTGAGCAGGAATAAACAGAATACAAGGACATCTGGGTGGAAGTCACCAGTGCCTGCACATGGAACTATGAAGATCACCATTTTTCAGATTAAGAAACTGAGGCTCACATTGTGAAATAACACTCTCTGGAAAGGTGAGTGGCCGGGTCTGGATTTGAACCTATGATTCCAGAGTGTTTGTTTTTTCCACTGAGATTGCTGGATTGCTGGTATCTGGGGACCAGTGGCTGAAAGCATTGACTTCTCTGGTTTCTTTTTCCTGTTAAAAATATTTATGTTAGTTTTTATGCCTAAAAAAGCAATAAATAGCAATGAGAACAAGTGATTTATGGCTCCAGCATAATATGGACAAATCTCACTAGAGTTCTGATGATTGAAAGAAGCCAGACACAAAAGAGTGAGATTCTCTTTATACCAAGTACATACACACACACACACAGAGAAAAAATTCTTCTCTGGTGATAAAAATCAGGCTCTTGGTGACTCTTGGGGGTGGGCATTAGGGACCGAAAGGGAGCCCCAAATGTACCTTTTTGGAGCTGGTCATGTGTAGGGTCTTGATTTGGGTGTTGGGTTCACGAATAGTTTCAGTTTGTTAAAATTGCTCAAGCTAGGTACTTAAGTGATGTGTGCTCTTTATATGCATGTCATGCCTCAATACAAATTTAAATTGAAGAAGAAAAGTGTAAAGGTGGAAAGGGAGAAAATAAAATTGGGCATAATCCCACTCACGCAGAAATCACTGTCATTAGCTCGGCATGATGGTGGGTGCCTGTAATCCCAGCTACTTGGGAGGCTGAGGCGGGAGAATCACTTAAACCTGGGAGGTGGAGGTTGCAGTGAGCTGAGATCCTGCCATTGCACTCACTTCAGCCTGGGTGACAGAGCGAGACTCTGCCCACCCCCACAAAAAAGAAATCACTATGATTAATGTTGTCTTGATGTATATCTTGTAAAATGTTCCCATGTGTGCACACACAAACAAATATGCCCACAAACACATGTGAGGGAGTTTCTGGCTGTGTTGGAGGTGATTATCCTAACCTTGAGCGTGGACCATCTTGTCTTCTGTATTGACAGGAATAGAAAGTACACCAGGGTCAGTGGTCTGGGAAGAGGTGGAAAGGGATAGGTCCAAGAGAACCCAGATGTCCCGAGGATCTGGAAGGTGGAGCTCCCAGTGATGAGTGTTTTCATTTAAAGCATGTGTCCCTATTTGCATCCCCACCACTGCCGATGTGGATTGTGGCCACATTCACAATTCGTTTACTCTTTTATTCAACAGACATTTGCTGAGCACAGACGAAGTGCAGATACTGAACAATGCACAGGGTCTGGGGAGACAGATAGTGAGAAATAAGGCTTAGTTTCTGAACTCAAGAAGCTTTGAGTCAAACAGTGCAGCTCTGAGCAAGATACTGCCCTCATAGGAACCTCGTTTTCCTTATCAGAAAAATGGGATTAATAAGGCCTGCCAGGCTAGGTAATTTTGAAATCAAGTGGGGTGACATTCATAAATAACTATAACAAAGCATAGACTCCTTTACTCTACACTGCGTTGCACACGTGCTCTAGGAACCTGGTTTGAGCCCAGGTTGTGTTCACACTGGGATCCAGGCACATCTAGCCGATGAATAAGCTGTCTCTATCAGAAATACGTTTGCATGCATGTTTAGGAGCTCCCAGGAAAGAACTCACCCTAAGTGAAGAGGAAGTCACGACAAGCAGGCTTAACTTGGTAAGACCACCTTCTCTGAGTGAAAGAACCATTCTGATTAGAGAATGAGGTCTATATCTAGGAAACTTTCTGAAATGTGAAAACTCAAAGAGTAGACTTCCCAAGGTGCCCAAACAGGACTCCCGTCTTCTAATTCCAGACGGACCTTGCAGGTGGCAATCGTGCATGGGAGGACATGGTGGTGGCAGGTGAGTGGGGTTGTATCCTCTAGTTCAGTGGTTCCTGTAGGAAGTGTCTGTGATGTTCAGAACTCAGTAGTTCTGGAAGGAATGGCATTGTCCTGTGGACATGTGAGTGCCAAGGGAAGAGGGTTGGAGGAGGTGTAGGGGAAGGTCATGGAGATGCCACATGGAAAATGGGTGGACTGGCTCACTGGCAGCCTGAGGCTCCCCTGGGAACTCACAAATGCTTGGGGGCATGAAACCTGGCTGGGGAATCAGGATTCCCTACTTTGGGTGGATTTTACAGGAGTCTGCTTTCTCTTTCTTTTAGTCAGGATGGGGGCATACCTTGACTTATATACAATAGTCCTTTTCTTCTCTCAGGGTTCCTGACTGTGGCTGTGGGTGGCCTGGACTTGGCAGTGGAGGGAGATTCATTCAGAGAAGAGCGATGGAGCTGCTATGTTCACCCACTTTCCCAATTATAGCCCCTCTCCTCCAGGGCATTTGCTGGGGGTGGGGGGTGGCGGAATAAAGTCCCCTGACTTGGAGTAGTGCTTCTCAAAGTTTAATGGGAATGAGAAAATCCTAGGAATCGGGTTAAATGCAGATTCTGACTCAGTAGGTCTGGGATAGGGCCTAGGATTCTGCATTTCTGACAAGCTCCCAAGTGGTGCTGGTGCTGCTCTTCCCTGACCACACTTGGAAAAGAAAGACACGAGAAGTGATAATCAGAATCCTGGGAATCTGGATTCTTAAGTACCAGGATTTTTAAGTATCATAACTTGCTGTTATGATCAGGCAAGTGTGGAAAACCCTGGAATAGATCATCTTGAAAAATAAGCTGAGATTTGAAAGGGTGTTTTTAATTCAAGTTTTTATGAAGTATCTACTTGGTGCTGGTTAGATCTGGGAGGGGCTTGGGACACTGTCCAGGTATATTGAGTGCTATGTGACTTTTCATTAAATAAAATTTGTGGGTTTTGGTGGGAGAAAATGCAGGGAGAAGATAGATCCTTGTTTGTAAGTCATTTCCAGATGTGAAGAGAGATGGGGAACCCACACAACTAACTGATTTTGCAGGAGGTGACCATGGTGGTAATTTCAGACACCTCCAAAGAAAGAATGAAGTCATCAGACTTGATGAGGGGAGTAAAACTGGAAGGATCTAGGGTGGCCTGACAGTATCAAAACTTTCAAAAGGCCATCCCAGTTCTGACTTTAACCATTGCAAATGCAGAATTTGTATTGCTTAGTTCAGTGGTTTCCTAAGTCTGCTTGTATAGCCCTGGGGTTCCATGAGACTCTGGTGAGGACCACTGTGTGTTAAGTGTGGAGTGGCCAAGGGCAGGATGAGAGAATGGCATGGAAAAGGAGCCCCGTCCTGCTTCATGGAGAGTAGCTTTGCTGGCCTTTGATCAAGGTTCTGTGTGAGCAAAGGCTACTGTTTCCTAAAGCAAGGTTTGAAAAGCCACTTGCCTAGAGCATGCCCTCCTTTGGGGTTCCTTCTGTCCAGATAGTGCTTTCTCTCTTCTTTCCACCGTAAACTCCTATTCCCCCTTTATAGTCCAGCTCAGGTGTGTCTGTCCTAATGCAGCTTTCCTTAAACACCATGCACACCAGCAGTCCTTTTTCTGCATTTCCACTGTCCCTCACTCATACTTCATGTGCTGCTATTAACTTACTGTATTGAACATGTACATCTCTGCATGCCTGTTTCCCTTATTACACCAGGAGCTCCTTTAGGCAGACCTGACGTCACCCATGTCTGTTCACGGGCATAAAGTGTGCCTGGCTTAAAGCAATTATGGTTAAATGCTTGCAGAATGGGATGCCACCTGGTTAATGGTTCTCTGATTAAGAAGCACACCTTCTTTCCGTTAGAGCCTTAGATGGAGCCAGCGTTTTTATTAATTCAAGATTTCATAAACGGTTAATAATCTCTCTTTGCCTCTCCTGGAAATTGCCAGGTTTGGCAAGAATAGGTAAACATGTCCGATAATATCCCCTTTCCTGTCCTCCTGCCCTCACTGACGGTGTTGTGCTTTTAATTTTTTTTCTTGGCGATACTAGACATTTACTTTCCTCCACTTCCCCTGAGATATGACCGAATACCCAATGCAAAGGTTCAGAGTTGGTGAACAACTTAAAGCTCATATTGAATACAAGATCTGGCTGCTGGCACCATTTGGGGCATTGCAGTCTGATGATTCTTTTCCCAGAGATGTGGGACTTGCTGATACAGGCCTCCCATTTATGCTCCCCAAAGGGTGCAGCTGAGATGGCTGGAGCCTGTTCTGAGAAGCCGGGCCTTCTGCTCTCCTGGCATTGATCAGGAGGCTCCAGATATTTCCTTGAGGCTATTCAAGAAGCAGAAAGTTGTGCAGGAGCAGATACAGAAGGAGGCCTGTGAGAGTCAGTGACCTGCCTTGATTCATTTTGCAATGTGAATTGAGAACTTCAAGCTTTGAAGCTGCTAATTAATTGGTCAGGATCCTGTCTTGAGTATTTTTAGGAGATTTAGCTAACTCTGTCTTCTTCAAAGGCACTGATTACCTTGGTGGACCTTTTTTGCAACCAATCTTGTGATCCAGGGAGCAGTGTTCCTAAAGTAGGAAAATAGGATGGGGATAAACATTGATCATTTAACCCTCAGACACTGGGCACCCACCATGTGCTAGATTTTTCTGCCAGGTACTGGGATAAGAATAAGGCAATGCAGAAGCTTAATGGACTGTCAAAAGCACAACAAGGCCAGGCGTGGTCGCTCACGCCTGTAATCCCACCACTTTGGGAGGCCGAGGCGGGTGTATCACTAGGTCAGGAGATCGAGACCATCTTGGCTAACACGGTGAAACCCCGTCTCTACTAAAAATACAAAAAATTAGCCGGACGTGGTGGTGGGCGCCTGTAGTCCCAGCTACTCGGGAGGCTGAGGCAGGAGAATGGTGTGAACCCAGGAGGCGGAGCTTGCAGTGAGCTGAGATCGCGCCACTGCACTCCAGCCTGGGTGGCAGAGCGAGACTCCGTCTCAAAAAAAAAAAAAAAAAAAAAAAAAAAGCACAACCAATTCACCTTCTCTTGATTGTTGAGTCAATGTAGTTAGTCAATACAGAACAGAAAATCAGTCTGATGGATTGAATTAGTCAACCAATCTAGACAAAATAGAAAAGCTGGCTATATGTATAGGCAGAATGGGGACAGGGGAAGAAGGAATGTTTCAAACTGGTTATAAGTATAGACAGTGGGAGGAGGATAAATCATAGAACAAACTAGTTTTATGTGTAGACATAATGGGATAAAGTGTAGGCTTGGTGAACACACAGAATAGTAGATGTATTCTCGATGGGAAAGTTAATCCTTTTGGCAATTCCAGATATGAGGATGTTCCATGAATGGAATGGTGATCTGAAATCCTGTTGATCCATATGGATGGTTGGTTGCTGGAGATCTGAGGGGCTTTGATGAAAAGATTAGGAGTAACTTCTCTGTCAGGTGAACCCCATCAGATATTGTTAAGTGTCAAAATTATGATATTGATTATATTTACAGTGATAACATAACAGCCATGGTGGTCATCTCTCAGCACTTATTGGTTCTCCAGATAGCATTGATGATGGTGATGATGATAATAGCAATAATTGTTGAACATCTACAAAATGTCAGATGCTTTCTATGATTTTTTTTTAGTCTCCTAACAACCTACAGTGCAGGATTCACGGCCAGTATTTTACAGGTGAGGATTCTGAGGTCAGAGAGGTTAATTTCCTTGCCAGCTGTCTGGTGAATATGCCATGTAAAGGAGTGGCTACCAGTGTGTGCTGGAGTCAAGTATTGGGGTTTGGGTGCCTCCTTTGACATTTAAGAGCTTGATTGACCTTGGGCAATCTGTGAAACTTTTCTATGCCTTGGTGTTCTTATCTGTAAAATGAGACTGTTGTGAGGATTTAATGTGCCTGTCACATAGTAAATGATCAACAAATGTTAGCTGTTGCCGCTGCTGTTCTTCTTGTTATTTTTACTATTGATGGCCGGGCTGTGAGCCAAAGACAGACCTGTCTGGCTATAAAAAAGTGTCCTTTCTTCTGTACCTCACTGCCTTCTGGAAACAGGGGAGAGTAGGAAGTCATGTTATTCCATACTGTACTTTATCCCTTTTTTCTAGTGTGTGGATCTCCACCACTCCAGACGCTCTCGGACACCTGGAGTGCTGCTTCGGAAATGCACCTGCCCAGAGTCCAGGTGGCCCATTCTTTTTGTAGCCAATGACAAAGGCAGATGCCACTCATCAGGTGGAAATAAACTAAAGTCCCTGCTCCCCAGTGAGAGTGACACCTCAGTGTCTCTCTGTCCCCCAGAGTCCACCTCCTGACAGGCCCATTAGTGCCCTGTCCTCCTGACTGGCCATATTGGAAGCTAGGGAGGGAGTGACCATGACCCCATTGCTCAGAGCCTCTGATTAATGCTCACTTCCTGAGCTGGCTCCGCTTCCTCCACTGTGTCTGATTAAAACAGCCAGGGGCGACCCAAATATAGCCCAAAATTGTTGGTTAAAGTCTTTTTGGTTTCAGGCAACAGAAACCTACTCTGGCAGTGTACACAAAATGGAAGACTTATTGTAAGACCTCAGGGCTGCCACATAGAATCCAAGTGCCAAAATGCAGCTGAGGACCAGAAAACTGCAGGGAGCCCCTGGAATGAACACTGTACCTCTCGTTCCATGTCACAATGCACAACTGCAGCATTCTTTTCTTCTCAGAACTGGTTTTTTCTGCTACTCCCATGTGGAGCACACGGCTACCCCCAGCACCTGTGTTTTCCTGCACAGGTCAAGCCACATGGAAATTTTCTCTCTGTCTTCCACATCTAAATACTAAGGAAACATCTCTCATTGGCCTCACCTGGACCACGTCTTTACCACTGACCAACCTGATGAAACTGCATTTGGGTATTACACATCAATATGAATTATGGTTGGGAATGTGGAAATGCTAACCAAATGAAAAGGAAAGGGATTACACAAAACTGTGCCCCACAGGATCACCACTCTGTAAACCTATTAATATTTACAATTAAAGATGAGAAGAGGCCGCAGTGAGATGCATTAAATAGCTTGTATTGTGGTAAACTTGTATTTTGCCACTATTGCTATTATTAATAACAGTAATTGGCATCTATACTGGCCTGTATAGTTCAGAATTCAAGGCTGCTGTGGGTGGACATTCTTCACATTTGTAGACAGGAAAACTGAGGTTCAAAGTTGTTGGCTCTGCTAGTAAGTCATAGAGTCAGGCCCCAGATGTCATGTTCTCTCAGCTGTATCGTATTGTGTCTCAAGTTGTAAAGTTGACCAAAGAGAGAGAATTTTAAAATCAATTCTGTTTGTGGCAGGAGTGTTCTAGGCTGGTGACATCTATAGAGGGAGTCTTGAAACCATATATGCTGAAGGGAAATACAGAATGTAGGTTTCCTGGGGTAAGAAGCCAGGAGGAAGTAAGAAGATTCAGTGTTCTCTTCTATGGGTTCAAGGAATGGCTGGGTGCACGGCTAACCCTCTATGTCAAATCTTGGACAAGAAACATACCAGAGAAGACTTTGAACCTTATGTAGTCCAAACTGCTCAGGGAATGCCTGAGTTTCCATTATTAGAGATGCTTTTATGTTAAGGGAGCCTTCTAGCCCTATGATTCTCAGGATTTGAGAGACCAACTTATATTTGTAAGTCCCCCATTAGAAGAGATTATACCTCTCTGAAAACTGTTATGCCCCACATATGATCCATGTTTTCCTGTGTTTTTGTTTGTTTGTTTTGTTTTGAGACAGAGTTTCACTCTTGTTGCCCAGGCTGGAGTGCAATGGTTCACTGCAACTTCTGCCTCCTTGGTTCAAGCAATTCTCCAGCCTCAGCCTCCTGAGTAGCTGGGATTATAGTCGCCTGCCACCACACCCAGCTAATTTTTGTATTTTTAGTAGAAACGGGGTTTTACCATGTTGGCAGGGCTGGTAACTCCTGACCTCAGGTGATCCATCTGCCTCGGCCTCCCAAAGTGCTGGGATTACAGGCATGAGATACCGCGCCCGGCCTTTCTTGTCTTTTTTTTTCAACAAAGAATATAAGACCAAATATTGGTTGAATGAATATCTATAGGCATTTCACCTACACGTGATAGTTTCCATTTCAAGGACATTACATTATTTTCTAACACGAAAAGAGTGGAGATATTTTGCCCCATATCAAACACAAATTGGGGATAATTGTAATTTTTCAAAGACCAAGAGGGGAGACAAAGTGTCCAGCCTTAGTCTGTAGTAATTTTGGCTTTAGAAGAGAATAGGTAATGTATTTCAAAAGCCAGAACATACCCAGTAAAAGGGTCTGCAGGAGGCACCGCTCTGGAGATCTACGTGGGTTCCTGCTCATCCTCTACTGGGATAGTCCAGCTGTTCAGAGATGAAGATTTGGGAGCTCATAATGCTAATGATGTATAAATTCATTTTCAGCTATTTTATTAAGCTGGTCTTTCCAGGTTCATTATCATTAATATTTATGGTTGCAATATGTTCCTCCAGAGACTCTGCAAATAGCTCTTCTATTGTTCAGGTAAAATTTATAGCAAGTTAGACTAAGAGGGAGCACTATATGAACCCAGGCTTGCACTTCCCATAGGAATTGAAAGCTTTGCTGATGGTTTTGGATGGGTGTGAATCTTCAGTCTATAGGTCCAGCCATCTTTTAGATATAGGTCATTAACTATGCTGTTATGAATCCAAGAGGGAATATGAAGTTGTATGTGCCAGAAGGGAGAGAGGTGCGGTGCAAACTTCCCGAGATCACATCCTCCTTTGTTGTAAGTGGCTCTGGCAAATTCTTCCTTTTGCTGCCACAGTCTCTGCCCCAACGAAGCCTCACAGTTTCCTCTGGATGCAAAGGTACAGGCAGGACTGTGACACAACCACTGTGAGTTTCCTGCCCAGTGGGATAGAAGTGTCTTCCTCCCCTGAAGAGTCCACATAGAGTTCTGGCACTTGCAGCCGTGCCATCTGCACCTGCCAGAGATTTCACACTGCTATGTTGCAAATAGGGCTTGAAATTTCTGGCTGTGTCAGGAGGAAGGAAATGGCTTTACCACTTAGCCATGCATCTGATGACAAGCTCTGGGTGGGCAGGAAACTATGGGAAGAAGACAGATTTGGGTATTAGAATCAAATGTTACCTCTGGAACACTTTAAAACGATGAGCTATTCTGTGCCTCCTAAAAACAATTTTTGGGGATGGTATGGAGGGTTCTCACAAGGGCATGAGCCCCTGATAATGTCATAAGCGCCAGTTTGATTAGCATGGCTAGACCAATACAAGTTCACATACCTGATGTCTTAAAGACACCTGACACCAGGCTCAGGTGAAATCCTCACCTGTAAAACCAAAGGGTCAGATAGATGATCTCTACGGTTCTTTCCAGGTGTGATGATTTGAGACTCTAAAAAGAATGGATTTCCCTTCACTAGTGTATTTCCTTGTCATTTAGATTCTAGCAAGACCTTGTTTATGTTGGAAACTGTTAGCAGACGCCGAAGCTGTCCGGGGCTGAGTGAGTACCACGTTACTCAGGCTTCACTGCGCTGAAGGAAGAGGTTGAGATGAGGGCAGTCACTCACCTGTGATGAAGACCCACTCTGCAGCTTCATTTCCTGTCATTACAGACAGTGCCTGGGCCCAATCAGGAGGGGCTTATGGGGAATGGGGGGCAGGTGGCACTGGGGTGTCTAGGGAGAGCAAATACAAATTGGATACCACCTAGAGGTCGCGAAATGGAGAATAAGTTTCTAAGAACAGCTAAAAAATGAAAGAGACATGACAACCAAATGCAACATGTGACCCTTGATAGGCCCTTAGACTTTTTTTAAAAAAAAGCTATAAAGAACATTATTGGGACCACTGTGTCAATTTGAATATGATTGCATGTTATATGATATTATTGCATTAATATTAAACTTCTTAAGTATGAAATTGGTGTGGTGGTTATGTAAGAGGATTCTTTAATTTTGGAGAAATACCTGCTATTATAGTATCTGCAGCTTTTATATGCTATGTGTGTGTGCATATATATCTATATCTATATATAATATGTACTTACAGAGAGAGATGAAGCAAATGTCATAAAATATTAACAGTTGGTGAATGTGGGTGAAACTTGTATGGTGTTCCTTGTGCTATTCTTTCTAATCTTCCGTAAGTCTGAAGTCTTTTAAAATAAAAAGTATGGGAAAATGGCCCCAAAGTCAGCTATGTGCCATGGCATAGCTTCCCTATCCTACAATCCTTCTGGGTTTATTCATCCCATAGGTTAAGGCAGACACACTCCTGTTATACTTTGGGCTCATCTCCTTATTTGCTCTGTTCTCTCTGCAGACAGAGTCAGCAACCTCCTTATAATTGTGTGGCTTGATGATGTGAGGAACATCAGAGTTATCCCTAAAACTCATTTATATGTGTCTTGGGCTACTCCTCCTCAGCACCCAAGTAACAGCCATTTTTGAGTGACGGCAACAGTGTCGGCAAAAGCAAACATTTATTGAATATTCACTGTGTGCCAGATATTTTATCTGTATCAGTTCACCTGATTCTCATAAACAAACCTCGGTTAGGTTCTCTTATCACCCTGTTTTATATATGAGGCGATGAGGCTCCTACTGCTGACAAGCAGTGGAGTCAGAATTTGAAGAATCTAGGGCCAGTGACTCTAAAACCTGCATTCCTGACCACGGTTGAGCATGTCTCGGCCTGCAGCTGCATTGCAACTACCTAGAGAACATTTGCAAAATTTACACGTGCAGGCACTGCTCCCAGGAGTATGGAGTTATGCAGTGGGGCTCAGACATCTGTTGCATACAAAGGTTTGGCTGTTTGGCTTCAGTCTCCCTTGTCTCCCTCAGCCTTGGGTAAGTTTCCTCCATGACCTGTCTCCTCTCCCATCACCACTTGGGAGAGTAAATCCCTTTAACCTTAGGGATTTGGTGTGGCTCTTCCTTTCTGCTGATACCACCGTCTGTCTGGGTTGGCTCTGATAGTCTCACAGGGTACAAGTTGGGGCCAGTGGTGTGGCTGAACTAATAAACTTACCAGGCATCATTCTCATACTTGGCTTCATGTGGAGCTGTGGCAGAAACTTAGGTGAAAGTGCCTGTGGACCCTTGCATTGGGTAACCTGTGCCTCCTGACAAGAATCTTCTGGGGAAGGAGGACAGAGGCACAAGGAGGAGGAGCAGGCTTCAGCTGTATCTGCAATGTTTCATTTCTGATTTTTTGGATGAATCTCAAGAGAATGATGCAGAGGGAAAAAGTCAATCCCTAAAGGTTACATACTGTATTTTTCCGCTTACTTTTTTTTTTTGAGGAGGACAGAGTCTAACTCTGTTGTTGCTCAGGCTGGAGTGAAGTGGTGCGATCTCAGCTCACTGCAACCTCCACCTCCCAGGTTCAAACGATTCTCCTGCCTCAGCCTCCTGAGTAGCTGGGATTACAGGCACGCGCCACCATGACTGGCTAGTTTTTGTGTTTTTAGTTGAGATGGGGTTTTACCATGTTGGCCAGGCTGGTCTCGAACTCCTGATCTCAGGTGATCTGCTTGCCTCGGCCTCCCAAAATGCTGAGATTACAGGCGGGAGCCACTGTGCCTGGCCTACATAACATTTTTGATATTTAAAAATTATATAAACAGAGGACAGCTTAGTGGCTGTCAGGGGTCAAGGGTTGGAGGGAGGTGCTACCAAAGGGCATCTGAGGAATCCTGCCGAGATATTCTGTATCTTGATTGAGTCACTGTCAATTTCCTGGTTGTGATACTGTCCTAGGGTTTTGGAGGATGTTGCAACAGGGGGAAACTGTATAAAGGGCACACAGAATCACTATATTATTTCTGAAAATTTCACATGAAACTTCAGTTATCTCAAAATGCAAAGTTTAGTTGGAATAAAAGAGGATATAAAGCAAATGTGGCAAAATATTAATATCTCTTCTCTATGGGTTTGGGGTGCATGGAAATCTATTAGATTTGTTATATTATTTTCACGATTTTCTGAATGTTTGCAACATCCAGTAAAAATAAAACCCTCTGGAGTTACCTACTCAGCCTTATATGTATGAAACCTTGCCTAAGACTCATTCCTGGTCCCATCAGACTGGTGTGCTAGAAGCACAAGTCCGAGGGATGGAGGAGCTGCTTAGGTTGGCACTGATCCCAGTGGGAACCACGCTTCGGACTCTCTACTGTCCTTATTTAACCTGGGAAACCACTGAACACTCTTTGAGTATTGGGACTTTCTACTCTCCTTATAGCTCCCATAATGGTCTACTGAATCTCCTTGGTATACCATAGAAATGGGCGAAATTCTACTTCTGTACTTGATGACAGCTACTTCTAGACTAAAATAATTATCACAAGGAGCGCTGTCTTAGTAGAATCCTTGGTTTTGTGTATTATAAGACAATAGAGACGTATATACCAGAATTCACTTATTGTATCACTAAAGTACAACTTCACAATATAATCAAAAGGGACTAAATGAGACATGCAGAACAGTTTAGATATAGAAATAGAAAAGAATGTTTGAAGGGTCAGTTAGATTGAAATAGAATTTTAATACTCATGAGAGAGCCAAGTGTTTCCAACCCAGTGTCGCTTAAACAGCCTTGGCCATCGCAGGTCTATTCACATGGATTCTGAATGACGATCAGAAGATATTCCTTATCTATGGAGAGATGGATAAAATCAATTCACCCTTAATTTAAATTTAATCAAGGAATATTTCAACTAGTCTTCTTTTTTCTTCAAAACATCACAGGGACCTTGTGCAGACAGATGGTTTCCCACCCTATCTGCACGTATGAATTACCTGTTCAGTCTTTAGAAAATACCCATTTCCTAGGGCCTCAGAGATTCTGATTTCATTGGTTTGGGGTGCAGTCCCAGGAATGGAAAAAATTTTAAAATGTCCTCCAAGTGATTGGATGTGTAGCCAGGGTGAGGACACTGGTGTAGGAAAAAACTTTATTCAGTTTATAAGCAATTCTGATTTGATGGATTTGCTGTTACAGAGGTTTGTTCTAGATTAGTTTAGTGGCATAGGTCCCATTGTACAGTCATTTTGTAATATTGCGAACCTAATTCCTTCAGGGAAAGGAGTGTTTCTGTGGCTGATGTCTTCTGGTAGACCTGGGGGATGTACTTTCCTCACAGCCATGGTTTAAGAACCTACAGGCCTTGGGTTCACTGCCTACTTTATCCCCAGGACAGGGAACATTTCTCCCATTCTGCAGAGTCTGTATGCTAAGTTTGCTGAAAATGAGACGTACATTTTCTAAATTTTTTCATTACTGATAATAAATGCAAGTGGGCAAAATTCAACCTGTTCAAAAGTCATGGGTCATATTAATTGCTAATTTCATACAATTTTTTTGGTTGGGATTTTTACATTCAAACATCATTTTGTAATAGAAGAATATTATGTTTTATATTCTATACTAAAATCTGTACTTACCATTCATAGAAACAAGGCTTTTAATCTAGCAAATTAGAAAGATGATTTAACTAGGAAATGAAATGCCAAATTACCTGGAGCTACCATGATTTCATGTTTCTTTGATCTGATCCTAAGAAAAGTCAGGTCGTTCTGAGGATCAATATCACGAACTGTGCTTTTGGCTTTCATTGTCAGGTGATGAAGAAGGCCTGCATATTGAACAGTTGTTGAGTTGTCCAAGGTTGTTCGGATGGGAATACCTATTATGAAATTTAATTTTGGTTAATATTTTTTCTGATTAGAAAAGTAATAAGTACAGTGTGGAAGTATTGGAAAACACTGATAGTTGTAAAGAAGAGAAAAAAGTGATGGCTTATCCCTCTCTGGTAACAATTTTAGTTTATTTCCCTCAAATCCTTTTGTCGCTACGTAGATTTTTAAGTATAGTTGTGTGAAACTATATTTACAAACTTGACTGTTGCTTTTTTCTTCACAAAATTATAACATACAAGTTGTCCTTGTTGACAATGTCATCAACATTATTTTTAATAACTGCATACTTCACTATTTTATGGACATATAATCAATCTCCTATTGTTTGGTCATTTGGTACCTTATATTTTTTATAGCTAATGGGGTGATGATGAACATTTTTGTGCATAAATCTTTCAGAAGCCATTAACTGACTACTTGAGTACTAAGTTAACATATTTTTATATGAAATGCACTCCCCTGAACATCTTGTCTATAGTGAGTCTGCTCTGAAGTTCTTGCTCTGTGACATGGTGTTAGTCTTCTTCCCTGAGGCCACAAACATAAAGGGATATCACTGCACATGCTAGAGGGTACATCAAAAGGGACTCCTCACACAGTATTTCACAAATCTTAAGTTTTATGTTAGAAAATGTGGTAATAAGGATATTGTAGTTTTGCTGTGCATTCCGTGGTTTGCACCCATTTTTGGCTTTATCACTATTAAATTTGGCTACTTGGGTGCTCTATTTTTTTTTTTTTTTTGAGACGGAGTCTTGCTATTGTAGGCCCCCCAGGCTGGAGTGCGACGGCATGATCTTGGCTCATTGCAACCTCTGCCTCCTGGGTTCCAGCAATTCTCCTGCCTCAGTTTCCCGAGTAGCTGAGATTAGAGGAACCCACCACCACGCCCGGCTAATTGTTGTATTTTTAGTAGAGACAGGGTTTCACCATGTTGGTTAGGCTGAACTCCTGACCTCAGGTAATCCACCCGCCTCATGCCTCCCACAGTGCTGGGTTTACAGGCGTGAGCCACCATGCCCAGTCTGCTCTATTGTTCTGTTACATGAGTTTAAAACAGAAACTATTAAGTGGAAAATTCTAGCCAGAAGAATATGCAAGTGTAATTCAATTCAGTTGAAATCAATCTAACTCAACTTGGAACACCCAGCATTAATGCCTATTATGTACCAGGCACTGTGCTAGGTATTTTATATATATCGTATCTAATCCGAGATAGCCTTCATATTATTTTAAGAACTACTAGATAGCCAGGGATTTGATTTGCAAATGTGCTTTTATTTTAGGAGGAGATATGAAGGTGAATTTGGAATTGCTATCAAATTCCTTAGGTATCCGTATTAAGGGCACTCAAGAAATGAGCCTAACATGGCTCCTGGTTTCCTTCAGAGAATGTGGGTCCAGAAACGATTAAACGAGACAAGCGCTTTCAAGAATGGAAGAGTGTTACAAACTTAGGATTTTACCAGGTTTTCATAAAAATCTTGAAGACCATCAATTTTGACTTTGAAGACTGATTTCTCTTTCTTTTAAGATAACTGCTATGTCCAGAATGTTTTGCTAAACAGTATGAGGATAATATTTACAGGAAAACCTATTCAATAAATAAAGCATAATAAAAACCTTGCTAATCTTTTATTGTGATTTGTTGGCCACTTTTTCTCTGGAAGGCAGTCAGCTGTCTTGCATACTTGAAGGTCACAAAGCGTGGATCTTTAACAAGCAGAAAATGGAAACGTAGCAAGCATGCAACCTTTGATGGGAACTTTTTGACGAGCAGTTTTATTTTGCATCCTAAGTAGTGACTACCTACTAAGGGTGCAATGCTCAGTAGGAAAACAAGAAATACAACCAGAATAAATTATTTAAAATGTAGATGACAGGATTATGAATCAGATGCTCAGGTCTATTTAGTCTGTTCATGATCCAAGTCAATAAATAAAACAGCTAGCCTTTTTGAATAAGTGTGCACGGTGGAAACACATGGAGTTTTTCATATCCGCCATACACACTTGGAAAAAATCAATCAACAAATATTTATTGAACTCTTGCTTGGCACCATGTGAGGTAATTAAAAAAATTATTGAGAAGTAATTTTAGCACATGGTATAAAATTTACCCACTTCCCTTCTGAGAAACAACCACTGGTTTCTTAGAAGCCTTCTAGAGACATTCTAGGTCTATTCAAGAATGTATGTGTTTGTGTTTGTAATCTTCATCTTAATGATACCATTGTCTATTCTGTACCTTGATTTTTAAATTTAATACTCTTTGGAAATTGTTTGATTCAGTACACATAAGTCACTCATCAGTGACTGAATAACAGTCGGTTGAATGGGTGTTTTGTAATATACTTAATATGTCCTGCTGATGAGCATTTAGGCTGTTCCCAATCTTTTACTTTTGTAAACAAGGCTACAGAATATGTCCTTGGTCATCTCATTTCACATTTATACATTTATATGTATGTGTAGGATAAATTCCTAAACTGAAGCTCCTAGAACAAAGAGCATGTGCATTCTAAAATCTGATGGCACTACTTTACAATATGACTCCCTGTGATCCTAGTAAGCCAGCACTCATTATTTCAATTTGTCATCTTCAACTGCACATTTGTGCTTTGGTTGATAGATTGTATTTCAAAATAAAAGGAATTGGCTGGATGGCTGTTACAATCTAATGAAACTCAAATGATAGATTGTTAGAAATGTCAGGAATATTTAAAATTAAGAGCCTGTAGAAATCAGACTTATATACATAAGAAAATACGACAGATCTGACTGCCCGGGTGACAAATATACATATTTGCCAGTATCTAATTCAATGATCAGTGTTGCAATATTGTAAACAATGAATGGTTTTATAAATGAGAAACCAATGCTAACAAAAATCTACTCTAATAAAAACGTGTAGCATTGGGCTAAATTGGGAAGACTACTTTACGGTCATCAATAGGAAGTCTGTGTTTCAGTAACAGTGAAACCGAAGGACTATATATAAAATGGCATATGATGATATCTAAATGAATAAGCATGGTAGAAGTCTGACCTAACCACAAATATAATCTGAAAATGCTAAAATGATTTGCCTTGATTTAGCAGACCAAAACCGCTAGTAGAAAACAAGAATACATAAAACACCATCTTAGTTAAATATTTTGGTATTAAATTTCATGGGACTTCCCAAAGCTGAAAAGCTACAAAGCTGCACTGAAATAAATGATGCTTTCATCTAAAATTGAGGAGGTTGTTGAAATTGAGTATTTTATTACATTCTGGTCACGTAGCTTACACCATATGCCATTAATAAACACCCTTGTTATATACTCTGGTTATTAACAATCGAACCATAAAAATAAGCCCCTCATTTATATTTTAGGGAAAAAAGGTTAATTTGGCTTTCAGGTAAAAACTCTTAAGTACCCAGAAACCTTGAAAAGTGTCCTGAATTCTAATACAAACTTATCCTATTAGAGGTTAATTAGAAGTTAATGGGTATTGAAGGCTGGGCGTGGTGGCTCACGCCTGTAATCCCAGCACTTTGGGAGGCCGAGGTGGGTGGATCACAAGGTCAGGAGATCGAAACCATGGTGAAACCCCATCTCTACTAAAAAAAAAAAAACAAAAAATTAGCCAGGCGTGGTGGCGGGTGCCTGTAGTCCCAGCTACTTGGGAGGCTGAGGCAGGAGAATGGCGTGAACCAGGGAGGCAGAGCTGCAGAGCTTGCTGTGAGCTGAGATCCTGCCACTGCACTCAAGCCTGGATGACAGAGAGAGACTCCATCTCAAAAAAAAAAAAAAAAAAAGAAGCTAATGGGTACTGAAAATAATATTTTGTTGCCTTCGGATAAGAGAAGTGTTAATTGAGGAACCTCAGGAAAATAAAGTGAAAATCACTTTTCATCTCACTACCCAGGGTGATCACTGTAACATATCCCTACCCTTCCTTTCCTATTTATTTGAAGTGTATGTGTGCACCTGGCCATAAATAGGATTAGAACATGCCGGTGACCGCTTTGTTCTCTGCTTTTTTCATCTAATACTGTGAGTAGTTTCCCAAGACACTAAACAGTCTTCAACCTTTTAAATAGAGTAATGTTCATCAAGTAAAATTAGTTACTTTAAAAATTCCCCTACTGTTAGGATACATTTATTTACTTATTTTTTCTGTTTATTTATTTATTGCTATTATATATGATGCCTCAGTGAGTATCCTCATACCTAGATATTTTCTTCATCACTCTTTAGGATAAATTGCTAGGAGTAAAATTATAGATCAAAGGGGGTGAATATTTTTCAGACCTTTGAGGCATATCACCAGGATTACCTACTTTAGACCAAGATCTTCCAAAGAATCACATTAGATGAGTGGTTCTGGCTGTCACAGGTGAATGCACCTGTACAGGGTTGAAGAGTGTCCCCCTAGACCCCCCAAATCCCCAAATTCAAGTCCAATATAAACCTCAGAAGGTGGCCTTATTTGGAAACGGGTCTTTGCACATATAATTAGTTAAGATGAGGTCACATTGGATTCGGGTAGGCCCTAATCCAATAACTGGGGTTCTTATAATGAAACAGACAGACAGACACAAAGATGAGAATGCTACGTGATGATGGCGGCAGAGATCGGAGTGATGTGTCTATAGGCCAAGGAACACTAAAGATTGACAACTACCAGAAGCTAGGAAGAGGTAAGGAATGGTCCTCCCACAGAGTCTTCAGAGACAGCATGAGCCTTCGGACATCTTGATTTCAACTTCTAACCTCCAGAACTGGAAGAGAATACGTTTCTGTTGTTTTAAGTTAACAGGCATGTTGTAGTTTGTTACTGTAGCCAAAGGAAACTAACACACCATCTCTATGAAATCACATGGACGGCTCATCTTCGGAGCTGTGGCAGAGTGTATGCAAATACCTGGAAATAAAATCAATGCAACCAGATCCACGTACTAGGGCTGGAATGCTTCCTGGAAATATTACGCATAGTTTGTGACTTACCTGGAAGGCAGATCTTAAATCCTCTCTTCCCCCTGATTATTCAAGCTCGAAAATTTATTATGTTCTATTATCTCTCTCACTCATTTGGCCTTGAGTTGCTGGTTATAAAACAAATGTTTTAACTGTATAAATGAATTAAAAATCCTCACATTCTCATAACTATTTAATTACTATCAAGTATTGGGTATTATGCCAAGCACTCAACAATTATTGTCTCATTTAACAATGAAAACCCCCAGTAAAATAGGTTATTGTCCATTCTTAGTGGTAAGGAGTTGTAGTTCAGAATTTAAGCAGACTTTCAGTTGGTAGTTGCTTAATAAATATTTACTGATGGATTTTTCCAAGGCACTGAGTTGGTAATAGGCCAATTCCATGGTTGCACCACAAATTATGTAAAGTAGCTACTCTTATTTTAACTAATGCTCTGGAATTTCTGGCACTCCTTGCCCTTACAAATGTCTGAATTAGCAATGAAACTAGCATGAACTCTTAAGAGGTTGCCACCATAGCTGAGCGTGGAGCAATGTGCCAAAGTAAATGTGATGTGGATTCTTAACAAGGATCGTGCAGCAAGAGCAAGTTTCTGGTAAGTCTACAGATTTCATAGTTGGAAATATGTAGGGCCTTCTTATGCTATATCCACAAAGACTATATTATAAATGATATCGTTAATTCTCAAAGATTTTTAAATAAAATATGTTCAAGGAACAAGTTCCATTTAAAATAAACACTGAAATTCTGTATGGTTCATAATGTTGAAACGCAAACAACCCACCAACAATGATATTCTCCCTATCTTCTATATGATAGTTTTATTGGCACTTCTGAAATGTTGGAAGAGAATTACCAAAGCTTTAAAAAGTAAACAATGTATAGTGCTTCTTAGGAGTATATAGAGATTTTTAGACATGTCTTATTCATATTTATGCCCCCAGATCTTAGCAGAGTGTTTGGCATATAACAGATACTCAATAGATGTTTGGTAAGTGAATGCCAGAGCTAAAATATATAAATATATTTTTGATGTCAAATTCGAAGATGTTTGTCTTAAGGACTAACACGGCAAACAGGTTCCTGGTTGGCTTCTGTGTGTCAAGAAGACAGCCTGTGATATATTTACCTTCTGCATTTACAACCATAGTTCCAATAACCCCTTTATGACTCTGGATCCTCTTTAAGGTTTCCTCCACCTCTGCCTGAAAGAGACCAGGAAGATAATTAACCAAAAGGGCCCTGTGGTAACTTCAACCCTAAGGAGAATAATGTTTAGCAAGATACCTACTCTCCTATCTCCTTAACCTAAGGTGCCAGGTGTGATAATCTCAGATTTTTAAAAGACAGCTTAGAAATTGTCAAGTCCCACATAAATACCTACGTAAGACCTCCTGGATACAATCCTGATGAATCTCTTGGCTTGAACCCTTGTAGAGACAGAGAGCTTACTGCCTCACAGGAGTTCACTCCATTTTTATCTGTTTCCATTTACTAGAAAAGTATTCTTTACATTGCATGGAAATTTGTCCCAGATTATCTTTCATTCATTGACCCTGCTGTATTCAAATGAAAATTCCTTTTCTACATTACAGTGCTTTAAATATTTATAGAGCTATATCATGGCCTCCCTCTGTCTAAAAGTAGTCCTTATTGAGAAATCTTATTTTCATTAATGTGACCTAATCAGTTCGGATGATTAAATTTAAAGGATAGTCTATAAAAACAAAGTATTCCAGGATTCTAGGATTTTCTTGATAACTATAGCTTGCGTCTCAGTGCAAGCTGAATGTTCAACTATGAGTGATTATTCTGGAATCTATTATTGTGTTTTAAACTCATTCGGAATCTTATGTGTAGAGTGTATTGTATGTTTTCTTCCCCTGTAGAAAACTCAAAGACAAGAACGATCTTTTCCAAACCTGCAAATTTTTCATGACTGAGCAATCACTGGATATTTTGAATTCTGCAAATTCTCTTGATGAGGGTTTGCTATATTCTTTTTTCCTCAGTATTGCACAGGTGAACATTTTGTTACTTCAAGATAGTTTTCCTTTGTACTTGGTATGGGCAGGAGCACTTATTTTCTCTATTTCAGCATCAGAGCCAAGGTTTTCTTGACTTTAGGCATTTGTGTACTAGATTCATGATTCTTGCCATTATGAATGCCATGTATACTATTTATCTAGGTGTTCTTTAAATTATCTCACTGCTAAAAGCTTAAATAAATGCATTTTAAGAGGAAATCGTATGTCACTACCACAAATGGAAACCTGACGTTATTCCTCATAAATAGAAATAACTGTAAAACAAACAAAATGAACAAAATGAAGAGAGAGCCTATCATTAAATTCTACTGCAATGAAAGCTCTGAGCCTGAGGCCTGCTCTTCGGATGAAAAAATGGAAATTTCCAAATGACAGTGGTATTAAGGACCTAATAGCAACAGAAATTTTCTCCTGTATGTAGTCTGAAGGTTGAACAAAATGGAAGAGGAATAACTTTCTCACGATGTGATTCACTCTTATTTAGCATTTCTCGGCCATCTTATGTAGCAACGAATGTTTGCATCTGACTTTGAGAAACACTACACTAAACCGTAAGCGTTGAACAGGGGATCAATAATTCACTGCATTTTGGGCAATCTTTAAGACGATGTCCACAGCTTCTTACAGCCACTGTGTCCTTATTTATCTTTCTCCCTTTACTTATCTCCCAAACTCCTTTCTTTTCTTTCCCTGGCCTTTCCATTTCTCCACCCAGTTGTTTCTCTTCTCATGATTTGTAAGTGCTCCTAGTATAATTTCTTAATCCCCATCTCCAATCCCCGTTTCATTCTTCTCTTAACGCCCTTTGCTTTCCACAGTCTCTACTTTTTTTTTTCTTACCTCTTTTTCTGGGGGGGAGGGGGGCGGGTCTCCCATCACTTCTTTCCTTTTTCTTTATTTCCCTTTCTTCTTTCTCAGTATCTTCCCTTCTCACCCTTCCATTCCCTTGCTTTCCCTGTCCCACCTCTTCCTTCTCTCTAAGGGTCTGATTTTTTTTCCTCTCCATCTCGGCCTCCCGCCCCCTCTTTGGAAACTTTCCTGGCTCCCCGGATTTCTCACTCCCCTGAGCATTCTTCATCCTCTGAATCTCTCTCTTCCCTTTCTCAACATCACCCCTCCTTATGTACCATCCCCGCGAAATCAATTCCCAAAACAGCTTCCAGTCATCTAGACATCTTCTTGCCCCTTTCCAAGGTCTCCCTCTCGCCCCTCCAGGAAGATCCTGGAGCCACCAGCCTCCGCCGCGGCCCCTGGACCGCCCGTGCCTGGGTGGGCCCCAGAAGCTGGGTGCGAAGGTCCTTGACGGTCGGCGTGCTTGGAACGGCGGGGCGTGGACGGAGACCCCAGATTTACCATCGCGGAGGCCGCGAAACTCTGGGCTCAGGCCGGCGGCACAGCCTCCCGGGATGTCAACAACGCTACCCGCCGTTGCTAGGAGACAAAAAAGGAAGTGGCCCCACGGAAGCGTCAGGGCTGCGCCTGCGCGCTCGCGAGTCGGCTTTTTCGCCCTGACCGCGCTCCTGATGCCTCCCGGCCGCCGTAGGCGAAGGTTCGCGGAAGAGGGGAGCAGGCGCTCACCTGAGGTTCGCCCAATCCTGGAGCAGTGGGTCCCGGGAGGGAAGAGGGAAGTGGGTCAGGCTCCCGGCCTGTGTTTGTCCATTCATTCATTCATTGAGGCACGAATTAATGTGATAACCACTTATTCGTTCAAAAACTGCTGATTCACCACCCACCAGGTGCCAGGGAGACGGACAAAATGCACCAAACAAAATGCACGAAACAGTACCGGAAGCAGTAATGTCCACGTGTGATACTTGCCCTGGAGCAAGTAAGGAGGGGACAGGACCATCTGACTTCGGGGTTGGGCTGCTCTAGGGGTTTGGTGATAGTCTTAGCTGCCTGTGACCGTCCATTAGTACTGCCCTGTTCAGGGCAGATACTGTTCGCTCGCCTCCCAGTAGTTTTTATATTGAAGAAAAATATATCAGAGCATCAAATAGTACAACCTTATGTACTTAAAAAAATTACTTTCTATCTGTCTACTCTAAGATCAGTAGAGTAAGCACAGTTGCACATTTTATGTTCTCACCTAGTTATAGCACCCTCTTCCTGTTCTCAACTCCATTGAAGAGTTGCTACTTGTCAGTATTTCTGTTAGTTGTCAGTATCCATTAGGATCTGTATTTTTGCCATTTTAAAAATCAACAGTTCTGAGTTACTAAAAAATTGCAAATGGTAGTTCCGGAGGTTCTATACGTTGCCATAGAAGAGCATTCCATTGGGTGTTTAAGGAACTGTTGGAGGAAACACGTTAAAGATCAGTTAGGAATGATCAGAAGTCACTTGACCTTTTGAGGGACATTGATAATATCCTTATAGCCTAGGAGGAAAAGAGCCACTATTGTACGACGAAGCACAGCAGGAAAATTTTATGGCTGGAGTCGTGTTATGACTTCCTGAGGTTAGAGGAGGACAAATATTGATTACAAAATACAAGCTGTAAGTTGGGAATGCATCTTCATAGGGATCATGCCATAACAACTTCCTGTAATACCGATTCTGTTTGTGCATCCATTTCCAGAAAGTAGTCTCACACTGAACAAGGCATACATCGTGCTAGGAATGTCAACTGGATTCTGAATGGTCCATGTTAGGGGTGCTCTGGGACAGTTTTGAACTCATTGGCAGGCTTGGACTCGATGATCCATTTCAACTCCACATCTGTCATTTTATTATATTAACTACAGAAATACTCTGAGAAACTGTAGTTCTGCTCTAATTTTTGTTGAGGTGTGGGTGATTCTGATCACTGTAGTTCTCTCCTTTTTTTCCCTCCAAGAAATCTGTATATCTCAGCCAGTTCACTATTACTAGCCAAAGAATCCCGCTTGACTCTCAACACCTGGTACTCCAACAAAGTTGCTTTGGAAAGGACTGCTATAGCTGTGGGGAAGGAGTCTGAGTCTGGTGTGTGCGTGTGCGTGTGCATTTGTGTGCTTGTGTGTGTATGCATGCATGTGTGTACAGATCTGGCTCTTACCTGATTGACTATAGCTACCATTTTGCAGTAATACAAATAATAGGTCTTTACAGAAATACTGGCTGAGTTGAATGAAGAGTGATTCTTGGGTTCTCTGGGTGTTTCTGATCAAGGAGATTCCACTTGATTGTGTAGCCGTTTGTTTTTCTTACAAAAATCAGTGACAGTGCACCATGTCTGATATGTCAATCAGCTTTAATGAAGGAACCAACTGCATATGCATGGAGTGTGAATTTCCTTGTTTCTGGAGTCAGGATGTCAAGCTCATTCAATAGCTGACAGCTGTAATTAGAGCAAAGAACGATTCTAGCATAAAACGCACTGACGGGAGAACCCAACTGCTGAAAAAGAAATAAGAAGTAGCCAAACTGACTTCCAACCAACAGTCAAGTTTGACTCTGTGCACAGAAAATCAATGAGGAGAACTTGAGCCATTTCCCCTTTATCAATTTTTCACTTCTAATTATTCCTTGGAGGTAGCTCGGTTTAATTTTCATGCCTTTTTTGGACCTGTAATGAATATCCAGAGCTGTGCTATATAAAGTGTCTTTGCAATGTCTTACATGTTTCCTACTCCATCCCCAATATATGTGAATTCCCCTTTTACCCTCTCCTCTTTCTCCCATCCCCTCGGCCTTTCTTTTTGACTCACAATAAGTGCTAAATAACTTTGAACGTAAGTGAAAATATTAGTGAATAATAGTTTTTGCAAGTACTCTGACTTAACCCCAAAAGTGATACATGCAGAGACCAAGTCCACTATTTTTCACATATGATTTTGTTAGAAGGAGATGATTTTCTTCTGGGAGTCTCTCTTGCTGTTTGATACTTTGCTACTGCTCTCTGGTTAGCTTGAAGAAATCCAGATAACTTAATGATCTTGAGTTTTTTTTTTGGTATTTTCTATACCAACCCATATAGCTATCTTTGGCATTCTTGGCAGTTGGCAAATATTATGAACTGGGCTGTAGAATAAATTTTGTGCCCATTTTCTCATAAGGTAAGGCATTGTTTGTCACTTACCAGAACTTCTCCTGGTATTCTACTGGTTTCCCTCCAGAAAATAGACACTACATTCTTCTAACATGTTCACAGGCCAGGCATGGTGGCTTTCATCTGTAACCCCAGTGTTTTGGGAGCTGAGGCAGGAGGATTGCTTAAGGCCGGTAGTTTGAGAACAGCCTGGGCAACAAAGCAAGACATAATTTCTACTAAAAATCAAAAAAAAAAAAAAAAAAAGGCTGGGCGTGGTGGTATATGCCTGTATTCCCAGCTACTTGGGAGGCTGAGGCAAGAGGATCACTTGAGGCTGGGAGTTTGAGGTTGCAGTGAGCCACAGTTACACCACTCTCACTAGCCTGGGTGACAGAGTGAGACTTGTCTCAAATAAAAAAAGTACAATAAAATAATAAAATAAAATACTCCTTAATACTAGGGCATAATTAGAAGATACCAGTAATATCAATAAGTATTTCCTAAAACTGACCCAATGTCATAGAATTGCAGTATTATAGATTTTAAGTTTCAGAAAATCAATCATTTTCTTCTTCTTAGGACAAAGGCACCCTCTGGGGTGACTCCTTTCAAGACCTAAGTGTAATAGAAGTATTTGCTTTCCATAAGGGAATCCTTCCTGTTGAAATTAAGTGTTTTCCTAGAGCACAGGATTTGGAGTTGTATGCATGTGGGGTTGACATTTCTAGGCATATTTCCTTCAATAAAAAAAACAGCATCAGCTTCTTCATTTATAAAGTAAGAAAGATAGTATCTACCTTAGAAGGTTGAGATGCGAGGTTTAAATATTATGTGGGTGAAATGTCTGGCTCATACCAGGTGACCAGTGTGGATCATTTAACCATGTTTCTTTCTTCTGTCTTTTCTTTGGTCCATCTTTCCTCCTTCCCTGCATTCCTTCCCTCCTCTCTCCCTCCTTCTCATCTTTTCTCTAACCTTTCCTCCCCATTTCCTTCCCCCATTTCCATCTTGTCTCCCTTCTTCACTATCCTCTCCTCAACCTCTCTTCCTTCTTACCCTCCCTAGGAAAAATTTCTGTAATTCATATTGTTGACGTTGTCACTAAAGAACATCTTTCCCTTTCTCTTTGTAGACAACCTGTTATTAATTTAGAACTTTCATCTGTTTCATCTACCTCTAATCCCATTTTAACATAATTCCCATTTTTATACTTCTAGCTCCAGCAAGCAGTTCCCATCTTGGTGTACTGCACATCATAGGTATTCTCAGTATCTTATGGTTGAGGGTAAACCGTAAATATTTCCTGGTCGATTAACTTTGTTCAAAGAAGAAGAAAGGAAGGCCTGAGGGGAGCAATAAAATGTCATGCTCTTTATGTACCTCTCCTTTTCTCAGATAATCCAGTCTTGAGGTCTCTGATCTATTTAGTTTCAAAATTACTTTGGGAAGTATAACACATAAAAAAGTAAGGTGCACAAAACAAATGTACAGGGGGTGAGTTACCATGAAGTGAACACCTAAGCCCCCAAACCAGGTTAAAATAAATAGAACACTGTTCACACCCAAGAAACTTCTACTTGGCCAGTCCCAATCATTATTCCCACTCTGCCTGCAAATTTAGTTGTCTGACTTCTAACAGTATAATTTAGTTTGCTTCATTTAAAATTACATAAATGGAATTACCTCGTAGGTAATCTTTTGTTTTGGGCACAATTTTACTCAGCATTGTGTGTATGATAGCCATCTATGTTGTGTGCAGTTGTGGTTTCTTCATTTTTATTGCTGTGTAGTGCTCACTTTTAGAAAACACTACATTTATTTATACTTTTACTGCTGAGAGATATTTTCGTTGTTTCTAGGTTTTGACTATTATGAATAATGCTGCCAAAGCATTCTTTGACATGTCATTTGGTGCACATAGGCATGCGTTTGTTTCAGGTATATATATATGTATATATATATGCAGGAGTGGAATTGCTGAGTCATAGAGTATGATCCATTATCACACACTGTCAAACTGTTTTCCACTGTGGTTGTGCCAGTGTGCCAGTGTACCTCACACTGTAGTGCAAGATAATTTCTTTTGGTCTACAGCCTTGCCAGTAATTAATATTGTCATGCTTTTAGATTTTAGCCATTTTGGTACATGTAAAGTAGTGTCTTATGTGGTTTTAATTTGCATCTCCTTGATTACGGATAAGACTGATCACTTTTTCCCCCACATAATTATTGACTTATATTTTTTGGATTTTGTGTGTATGTGTGTGCGCGTGCATGTGTGTGTGCCCTGTGGTACAAGATTTTTGATGATTATATGTATATGTCTACGTTTACATAAATACCTACAGCTACACCTATATCTATCTATTACAAATCTGTTCTACTCTGTGGCTTACATTTTATTCTCTTAATTGTGTCTCTCAATTGTGCATACCTATATGGATGCTTGGTGTGTAGCAAAAGTGGCGCTGCAGTCCAGTGGGGGAAACGTGTTTTTTTCAATATATGACACTGTGTCAGTATGATATCCATGAGAAAATAAATGAAACATCTTCATTACCTTGGGCTAGGGAAAGCTTTCTTAAACAAGATACCAAAGTACTAATCCCATAAAAGAATTAATTACTGGACTATATAATAATTAAGAAATTAGAGGTGTCTTTGTCCTAATAAGAATAAAATGATTGATTTTCTGAAACTTTATAATACTGCAATTCTATGACTTTGGGTCAGTTATGGGAAATACTTATTGATATCACTGGCACCCTCTAATTATGCCCTAAAAATTACCCAATCTTAGGTATTCCTTTATAGCAACACAAACCAGACTAATACAGGGACCTTATTCTCTGAGCAGAGGGGCATTGGTTTCAAGAGTGTGTGGCAAACTTCACTGTTTTTTTCTGTGTTCTCTTACCACTGGACCTCGACACAGATACAATTACAGAATGTGGCAAAGTTGGGTAAAGTCTCAGCATTCTGGCCTGAGGATTAACAAGAAAAGCCCCAGAGAATTTGAAACTATCAGGGGATTCACAGTGAGGGAATTGCTCAGGAAGGCAACCCCATGAAGTTGTTTTTGGACTCCCAGACTTACCCCTGACTGAGCATATGTGTTTCTGATCCCAGACAATATATCAAAGACTTTGAGAATAGAACTGTGGTATAGACCACTGTGCAAGTCCGAGACTGCTGACTGGGTAGAATAAACATGGGTCAGATCCAATATTTCTTCAAATTCTTGGAAAGTGGAACCTACACTGAAACCATAAGCCACAGAAGGCTGGTCAGAGCTTGGAGCCAGAACCAAATTGGATTGATTTCTGGCAAAAACAAAAATACCAACATTCTTTATGGGATTTAAATAAAACTCAGCATTTCATTACCTAATATTCAAAGTGTTCAGTATACAACCCCAAATCACTTGATATACAAAAGTCCAGAAAAAAACTTTTTTAAGAGAAGGGAATCAATAGACTCTCTTGTGATGTGAGATGACACAGATTTTAGAATTATCTGGCCAAGACTTTAAAATAACTATAATCAAAGTAGTCCAGGAGGTAAGGACAAACGTTCTTGAAACAAATGGAAAGATAGAAAATCTCAGGTAGGAAATAGATGATGTAAATATATGTTGTAAAGAAGGAGCAAATGGAGGTTTTAGAACTGACAAAATAACAAACGAAAACCTCACTGGGTGAGCTAAACAGCAGACTGGAGATGTTAGAGGAAGGAGTCAATGAGCTTGAAAACAGATCAAAAGAAACTATCCAATATGAGCAAAAGAGAGGAAAAGCAAACCCTCAAGGAACTGTGAAAAATCTCCAAAATCTAAGATTTGTCATCAGTGTCTCAGAGGGAGAAGAGAAATAGGGTAGTGCAGAAAAACATTTGAATAGGTAATAGTTAAATTTTAAAAATGTATCTTAAAAGATACAAATCTATAGATTCAAGGAGCTCAGTGAATCCCAAAGAGGATAAACAAAAATGAATTTATATCCAAATACATCATAAGCAAAATGCTAAAATCTGAAGATAAAGAAAAAGTTTGAAAGCAGTCAGAGAAAAATGAAGTATTATTTATAGAGAAATGATTTTGATTTATACAGGCATGATTCCTGGTCATAAACCTTGGAGGGGAACTATCTCTTTAAAGAGCTGAGAGAAAATATTGTCGACCCAATTTTCTATATACAGCAAAAATACCCTTCAGTAATAAAGGGAGAAATAAAGACTTTTTTTTGTTTTGTTTTGTTTTTGAGTCACAGTCTTGCTCTGTCGCCCAGGCTGGAGTGCAGTGGCGTGATGTCGGCTCACTGCAAGCTCCGCCTCCTGGGTTCACGCCATTCTCCTGCCTCAGCCTCCCGAGTAGCTGGGACTACCCGTGCCCGCCACCACGCCCGGCTCATTTTTTGTATTTTTAGTAGAGATGGGGTTTCACCGTGTTAGCCAGGATGGTCTCGATCTCCTGAGCTCGTGATCTGCCTGCCTTGGCCTCCCAAAGTGCTGGGATTAAAGGCATGAGCCACCGTGCTCGACCAAGACATTCTTAGATGAAGGAAATTTAGTGCCAGCAAACATGCACTTAAAAAAACATTAAATGAAGTTCTTAAGACAGAAGTGAAATGATATGAGAGGGAAACATACAACATTAGAAATGAAGGAAGAAGAAACTAAAAATGTAAGTATAATACACTAGCGGTCAGCAAACTATAGCCCATGTACCAAATTCAGCTCACCATCTATTTTGATTAATATAATTTAATTGGAACACAGTTATGCTCATTTGGCTATGTGTTGTTTTGGCTGTTTTCGTTCTATAAGCACAGAGTTGAATAGTTGTGACAGACACTGTATGGTCTGCAAAGCCTAAAATATTTATTATCTGGCCCTTAGCAGAAAAAGTTTGCTGAATCCTGTAATAGACTGTTACTCGCTTGAATTCTCTAAAATGTGTTTGATGGTTGAAAAAGGTTATAGCATTTTTGGGGGTTTTGAAAGAATGTAAATGTAATATGTAAGGTAACTACAAGTAAAGGGAGGGTAAAGAGACTAATCTAAGGGTAAGTTTCCTACATTTCAATTGAAGTGGTCAGGTATTGGTTTTAAGTAGATTGTGACAAATGAGCTATATAATCTCTTGGGCAATCAATAAGAAAAATTACAAACTGATACAGTAAAAAGGTGAAGTAGATAAATTATCATATGAAAAATTGTTTGGGCAACCCAAAAGGGAAAAGGGCAAACAGTAGAATGGTAAATAGATGGAACAATCAAATCCTGATACATCAATAATTACATATATATCACATAAGCAGACTCATTAAAAGATAGAGATTGTCAGCATGAATTAAGAAACCAAAAATGATCAGTGATTTCTGTTTCTGTAAAGATGAAGTAGACATGCTTCTGCCTATTGTTTCCCCTAATTATACCTAATAACTCTGAAGATTATATATACAAACAGAAGAGATTGAGATAACCAGACAGATTGGCTAGGGACCTTGGGATCCAAGGAATGACACGCTCATAAGTTACTTGAGATTTCTTTTTGTCACATATATCCTAGACTAGGATATCTTGCACAAGGAGCTGGCAGACCAGAAATGTCAACAGGCACAGAAAGATTTTAAAAGTCCCAATGAAAGCCTACCTTTTCTACCCAAAGGATCAACAAACATCCAGCCTAAAAAGATGGAAACTCTCAGAAAACAACCACTCGACTCCAGCCAAACACCACAGAAAAAAACCATCAAAGCCCAAGAGGAGAATATAGATTTCCACTCTCATATTGCCATCATTCCCTCCATCCTCTGTGATAGTATTGCCAGAGAAGAATGAGTAGGGAGTTGGGACTTTCGTCCCTGTTGGGTGTTAACTAGTTGCCCTCTCCCCCAGCAGCTTCAGTAAAGATAATGTGGGAACCCATTCTGCCACTTCCACCACACCCTAGCCTGTTAACAATAACATTAAGTATAAATAGTCTAAATACACCAATACAAAGACAGAGGTCATCAGAGAGCATTAGAACAAGCATGACTGAACTATATATCATCTACATGAAACTCATTTAAAAATATAATAATATTGGCAGGCAGAAAATAACAAGATGAAAAAAATGTTGTGTAAACATTAATCCAAAGAAAGTGAGTGACTACATAAATACCAGATAAATAGACTTCAGAGGAAAGAAAATTACCAGAGACAGAGAGAACCATTATACATTGATAAGATGATCAGTCCACCAAGAAGACATAGCAAACCTAAAAATTAAAATGTATGCACAAAACGATAGAGCTGCAAAATATTTAAAGCAAAAGGTGATAGAGTTGAAAGAAGAAACAGACACTTCCTCAATGATAGTTGAATTCAACATCCCTCTGTCAACAATTGATAGAAAAACCAGACAGAAAAATCACCAAGGATAGAGAACTAATATCATCAACCAACAGAATTTAATTGACATTTATAGAACACTCCCACCAACGTCAGTAGAAGACGTATCCTTTTCAAGTGCCCAAAGAACATATACAACAAGATAGGCCACATCCTGGACTGTAAGACAAACCTTAACAAATTTAAAAGAATGGAAATTATACAGAGTGTGTTCTCAGACTACAGTGGATTCAAGATAGAAATCAATAACAGAAAGATAATAGGAATATCTGCAAACACCTGAAAACTAACCAACACATTTCTAAATAATTCTAGTTGAAAGAGGCAGTCTCAAGAGAAATTTTTTAAATACAGTGAACTGAAAGACAATGAAATAAGATGTATCAAATTTGTGGAACCCAACTAAAGCAGTTAGAGGGAAAAATTATACGTGCTCTCATTAGAAAATATGAAAAGTCTTAATCTGAACTCTCACTTCAAGAAACTTGGAAAAGAAAAGCAAAATAAATTGAGTTCATATTTAAAAGTTCCCTGTATTAGTCAGGGTTCTCTAGAGGGACAGAACTAATAGGTTAGATGTATATATAAAGGGGAGTTAATTAAGGAGTATTGAGTCACATCATCCCAAGTTGAGGTCCCACAATAGGCCGTCTGCAAGCTGAGGAGTAAGGCAGCCAGTTGGAGTCCCAAAGCTGAAGAACTAGAGTCTGAAGTTCGAGGGCAGGAAGCATCCAGCATGGGAGAAAGATGTAGGCCAGAAGACTAAACCAGTCTTGTCTTTCGACGTTCTTCTGCTTGCTTTTATTCTGGTGACATTGGCAGCTGATTAGATTGTGCCCACCCAGATTGAGGGTGGGTCTGCTTTTGCCAGTCCACCGACTCAAATGTTAATCTCCTTTGGCAACATCCTCACAGACACACCCAGGAACAATACTTTGCATCCTTCAATCCAATCAAGTTGACACTCAATATTAACCATTACAAGTCCACCCATTGTCAACTTGAACCCATATACATCTCCTAAAATCATACATAATCTTCAAATAAAGACAGAAATAAGGTCATAATTATGCCTAACATAATCATAAATGTGCCTAACAGCTATCCTTTGTACAACTGGAAACACATCAATCCCCAACTCAAATGCTGTTACATAAAGTTAACAATACTTAAATGCTGATATGAAGTCAATAAATCTTACATCACATGATAAAGGAAAAAGAAATAAAATGAGTATGAAGAAAGGTATTTTCTTAGTATAAGTATACATATGCACAAACATGTTCTTAACAAAATAAGAAGGAAATATTTATGACAATTACAGTCCTCGTTTTTAGCAACTGGTCACGTGGTCATAGCTGGTATTGGTGACCAACGGACCAAAACATTCCCCAAAAGAAATCTCCACTGGGGACTCACTAAATAATTCCACCAAATATATGAAGAAGAATTAACATCGTTTCTGTACAATCTCTTTCAGAAAACAGAAGAAGGGGGATAACTTCCCAATTCATTTCATGATTTTATAAAGTTAGCATTACCCTGGTCTTCAAATCAGATAAAGACAGTACACACACTGAAAAAGAAAGAAAAAGAAAAGAAAAGTGTGGTGGTGAGAGTTTGAGAGTTCTTAGACTTGGCACCAAAAATACAATTCATAAAAGGAAAAATTTATAAATTAGACTTTATCAAAGTTAAAACTTTTGCTCTTCAAGAGACCATCTTAAGAGAATAACAGACAAGCTGCAGACTGGGAGCAAATATTTGCACATCATGTGTCTGACTAAGGACTAGTATCTGGGATAATTAAGGAACTCTCAAAACTTAACAGTAAAAACAACAAAAACAGCAGCAACAACAACAACATGATCCAGTTCGAAAATGGGCAAAAGACAGGTAGAAACTTTCCACTGAAGAAGATATACAGATGGTAAATAAGCACCCCAAAAGATACTCAGCATCGTTAGCCATTGGGGTGGTGCCAATTAAAATGGTGGGAGTGTTCTATAAATGTCAATTAAATTCTGTTGCATGATGATATTGTTAAGTTCTCTATCGTTGGTGATTTTTCTGTCTGGTTTTTCTATCAATTGTTGAGAAAGGGATGTTGAATTCTTCACCTATCATCAAGGATGTGTCTGTTTCTTCTTTCAGTTCTATCACTTTTTGCTTTAAATATTTTGCAGCTCTATCTTTTCGTGCATACATTGCAGTTGTACTATGTGTGGTTTTCTTTGTATTTATCCTGCTTGGGGTTTGTTGTGTTTCTTGAAAAATGTGACTTGATGTCTTTTGTCTGGGAAAATTCTCATGCTGTGTGTTGCCAGTTTTCAGTAATTAAAAATGTGCTTTTATGAATGAATAAAGGCTACGAGTCTTTTCTAAGAGAGTCGACTGAGACATGTTTACTTACCATGTTCTGCATGTATATTTTCATCTATACAATTGTAAGTATGAAAAAAAAACAGAGCAACTGTATGTGCCATTTTCCTTGTATTTCACTCTAAATGATCACTAACTGGTTCTCATGCTCAGGATCCACTGATCATCATTTAACATATGCTGGGCCAATTTTTCTCTAAATTTTATTTCCTAATTGAAGTAAACATTTGTCAGGGTGAAGACAGTGAAACAATGTCCTCCAATCTTTAAAACCTAAAGGTATTGGATAGTGGATAGTATGGCAGTCTGCTGCTCTTCTATAAACACTAATCTCTTATTTTTTGTTTCCTGGGCATAGTTTTCCAAGCACTTCCATGTGTTCTGTCTCACTTGCCTTATAATGTCCCTTTGAATTTGTCAAGCTTGGCTCCGTTTTGCAGATGTTGTGTCTGAGGCAAAGAAACCAAATGATGGAATAAGGATCCAGAGTGGTAAATCTCATTTCACCCCATTCTGGAACTTTCTCCATGATAGTTCTGCTTCTGTCTTGGAGTGCCTGTTGTATATCCTCCAAGTTATCTAGATGGCTCTATGCTATTCTCATTCCAAAATATAGCCTGTCATGGACACGATAAGTGGCCGAGCAAGAAACAAGGCTGAGCTCCCTTGTCCTCCTTCTGTGTTGTTCTGCCAACTGCATACAAGAGAGAAGAGGACATTGTTACCTGACTGGCAAAAGGAAGGAGTTACATCTCCTTCCCAGGGAGGATGCTGCCTTGTAATGTCACACCAGACATTCCAGCATGATCCGATCCCTTTTGTAAATCTATTTGGTTGACTTCTTCTCTTGCAGCTGACTCAGAAATTGGAATGAGTTGTCTGTGGATCCTGTAAGGAGCCTGGACATGGTGAAGAGAATGCCTTGACCATCAGGAGACAGCTTAGCTTGTTGAATCTTGATCACTTCTTCTGACCGCTTTGGATCTTAAAAGAACAAGGTAAGAGTGGAAGCAAAATGGTGGATGCTGAGGCACATGCTTGGAAGGCAAATAAATGGAGACTATGAATAGAACATTAGAGTCCCTCCCAAGATAAAGCAGACTTATATGGGACAGTCATTCCTTCTACTATATAAATATATATATATATATATATATATATATATATATATATATATATTTTTTTTTTTTTTTTTTTTTTTTTTTTTTTGAGATGGAGTCTCGCTCTGTTTCCCAGTCCGGAGTGCAGTGGCATGATCTCGGCTCACTGCAACCTCCGCCTCCCGGATTCATGCCATTCTCCTGCCTCAGCCTCCCGAGTAGCTGGGACTACGGGCGCCCCCCACCATGCCAGGCTAATTTTTTGTATTTTTAGTAGAGATGGGGTTTCACCGTGTTAGGCAGGATGGTCTTGATCTCCTGACCTCGTGATCCCCCTGTCTCGGCCTCCCAAAGTGCTGGGATTACAGGTGTGAGCCACCGCGCCCGGCCTCCTTCAACAATATTGATGGAATATTTGAGGCAGAATCGTGGGGGTGAAGGGAATACAACCATAAATAAGATAAAAATATCCCTTGCTTGCACGGTGCCTACAGTCTTGTGGGGGATATGGTTAATGAACAAACAGTTGCAAAACTGCACACAAAGTTTCCCAGTGGGAGAAGTTTAGGTTGCAAATGGTGCACGTAGAAGGTCATCCTAACCCAGCATGAGGTGATCCTAGAAGGAATCCTGGACTGGTGCTATCTAAGCTGAGATCCAAAGGAGGCTCGGACACTAGTTAGGTCAGTAGGTGTAGGGGTGGAACAGAGGGAAAAGCAGGTGCAAGAAAAGTCTGATGTTTCAAAAAACTAAAGTTACTGCAGTTTGATGTGACTTCAGCTATGACTTTAGCATACAGATTGGGGAAAAAACTTCTCTAGGCAAAACCTAGTATTATTTTGGTAAACTGTGCTCAAGTGCCTTACCTGAAATTCAGAGCATGCGCATGAATGGACCTGCCGCCTTTCCTTTACTAGTGTGCTCAGGTAGGAACCCCAGCTTCATATATGGAGGCCAGAAAGTACAGGTTAAGGCAGACTTCTGCATTTGCTGCACTGACTGGCAAAATACTGACTCAGCACCCCCGCCTCACTGAGGCAGACAGCGCCCTCAAGTGGAAATGAAGATGAGCGGTACTTTGTGCCTCATTAGCCCCAATTTGTATATGCAGTAAATGTGCTGTTTTGTTTTGTTATGTTTTGTTTTTGTTTTTGTTTTTGCCATTCCCCTGTGAAGCTGCAGTCAGCTGATGGTCAGCAAAGTCTGCTGAAATTCTGAAACCAAATAATATAAGGAGTGTTTTCATTTCTATGAAGAGCTGATTTGTTTTATTATCTAAATTTTAATCCAAGGAAGTTTTCAGGTTGAGAGGTTGAGAAAAATTATAAAAGATAACAGAAGAAAGGATGGGAAATAATAAAAAAGAAAAATGTTTTGTCATTTCTCTTTCAATTCCATCTCCAGAACATTAGTTCAGCTTTGGCTAGTGGAAGGGAACTAGTAAGTGGATCTTCTGATATAAACAATGTTAACAATGGAAAGTTAATTTCTTCTCAACATCTCTAACTACACTTTGGGCAGTAGCTCAGGAACATAACTCTGAAGTGCTATCAAATGTGCAGTCGGCCTGGGCACTCATGTGTTTGGGATCAAGACAGAATAAGGAGGTGTGTGTTAGAGAGAGGATGCCTGTGTCTCACGTTGTAATGTCCCAAGACCTGGGCTGCTCCCGTAGTTGCCCAGTTTCATCTCCTATGCCAGGGGGAAAATTGACATCTTTTGCCAAACTACATTGTGATTTTGAGGTTATTCAATTTCATTTAGCTATTTTGTAAATATTTCAAGATTTAAGAATATGCTGAATAGAATTAAAATGCTTTCGGTGACAGAAGGTGCTGAAATGGAGTAGCTACTGCTCTTTGTCTCTAAGTAAGAAGGCAAGTTTGGGGAAATGACCTGTGTTACTCCTCACAGGCCTCTAGGTGGTGCTGCTGTGACAGCTATTGGCTTTACCGTTTCTTTTTAGCGCTTAACTATCAAACCAAATATTTAACTTATTAAATCTCTTACACTTATGGTTAATTGCTAATATAATACTATTGATAATTTATACCATCACATTTACATTAGATTCTCCTAATAATGAGCCTATATTCATAAATTGCACAACAGAGTAATTTTAAGGGTTGGAATAAATGTAGGTCTCTGGTTATTAATTAATAAAGTCAAAAACTTTCACGTGTGGCTGAATTTTTCCACATACATTAAAACTAACTACATAATTAGCTTTTCCTTACCTCTACTTGCATTGGGTAAAATAGTACTTCGTACACAGTAGGAGCCAAATTAATGTTTATTAAAGGACTTAATTCTTTTTTGAGTTTCCCTTTCTACTATTCATTGAGGATGAGATAACTACTGGATTAAGTTTTTTAAAACGCTGGTCAGACATTGCTGCTTATCTCGGCTAATAACAACAACGGGAGGCCATTTTTTCTTTATTTCTGAAAATGGCCTGAAGAATATCTATAAAATCACTTCTTTATTTTAAAAGCAAATTGGTTTTTGAGGTTGGTTCTATTGAAATGCAAGAATGGTATGAAAAAGAGCGTTTGATAATTGCTCAAATCTTAATCAAGATTTTATTAAAATCAATATTTGATGGGCTGCTCAATTTAATTAAATTAAACCACAGAGAAATGAGGAATAAATGAGCTTGAAAATCAATCACAGGATGAGGTATGTTTCTTTTTGTTAGTTTAATATATGAAATGTTGTGTTAAGCAATTGCTGACCATGGGAGAAGCAAACAAAATCACCACTTCGCTTTAGACAACATGAGCCCACATTTTGTGCCAGGCACTGTGCTAAACACAGTCTACATGTGCCTTAATTAATTTTGAAACAAAATCCCGTGAGGTCGGTCTCCTCAGTTTATGATTCAGGCCTAGGTGTGAGCCAGGATGGCTGTTCCAGGTCATTCCATTGATAAATGGCAGAGTTAGCTGTAAATATAATGACCAAGCCTTTCCTACTACCTCAAATTGTTCACAAACAGGAAGAAAAAGCGCAGTTAATGATTAAGTTTAGAGAAGGGCATTGGTGATAATTTTCTTCCTTAAAAAAGTGTAGCTTTATAGGTAAGTAATTAGAGGGGGCAGGGGACCCAAATTAAAAAGCGTGAGTGTTGACTTAGAAGCTCTGAGTCCCAAGATGGCAAAAAACAGGAGGGAGGTGGGAGGTGTTATTTTTCTGGATAGACATATAATATAGTTATTTGCCATATAATTTATGCTTATTGAGAGTGGCAGAGATTTATGGTGTTAGTAACAAAGTGTTTTAATTGGGATTAGCTAATGAAAAAGTGGCAGAACTGGCAAGGGAGAAGGTAGGAAAATGTGATTTGAGCTGAGGTGTTTCTTCTCATGGGATGCTAACAAAAGAGTTAGTGTTACGCACCGGGGCAAGAATCATACTTTTAATTAGGCTTTCAGAGTTTGTGCTTGCATTCTTGGTTCTAAGGAGTCTTAGTCACCCAAAGAATCAACTCTAGGAAAGTAACGATATTCTCGTTAAATATCACTGGCAATGAGAATGAAATTGCAGCTTCCTAAAAATAAAAAAACTCCCTCATTTTTATTCACTGCTTCTTTGGTGCGATGGAAATTAAAGATCAACAACAATCACACCCACACAATTGTGCAGCTTCCCTACACTCCAGGCTGAGAAGAATTTGTTTCTCAAGCCACTGCTTCCTAAACTTTAGTCATTCATGTTTCATGTTTATAATTTTTGCTATCTCCCTGCACCTCTTATATTACTTAAAATTTTTATTAAAAATGGCTCATTAAAAAATTAAAATTAAGTACATTTATTTTAGAAAAAATACGTAAGTGGGAAGCTAGAGTCACTTGCCCTAAGAAGGGTATTTGTGAAAAGAAACAATGAAATCAAAACAGTGTTATTGAATTTTAACTTCAGGGAAGTGTCCAGAGGTCGTAAAGACATACTTTCACCACACTGAGACTTCTTTGATCATAACTGAGCCATAAAAGAAAAGACTTGAAAAGGGAATAATTGTCTCATTATGTGAATCACTTTTTATCCAACAGTGTATCTATTTGCCATCTAAAATTACATTTTCTAATCAAAGCTTCATCCTCCAAACATATGTCTTTGTTTGCTGGTCATAGGAATCTCTCACCCCTCACCTTTTTAACTCTCCAACTTCCAACTTCTCCCAGTAGTATTTAAATCTCGCCTTCTACCCATCTAATTCCATTTACCTTATGTCTAAACATTTAGAGGATCCTGTTAAGCAAACACATTGGAGATGGAGGCCGATTACAAAATGAGCTTCTATTATTGGTTAATACAACTTTTCTTCATATATGCTGTTTGAGATCATGTTTTCTCTAATAAGATATGATACATTTCCAACTGTAATAAAAGTCTGTCTCTTTACTACTCCTGACCTTAATACACCCCCTTACCCTTCTTGAGGCAACAACCGCTGGCTGTTATCCTGTTTCATATATTCTTCCAGAGATAGTTTGTGTATGTGCAAGTCTACTTGAATCTATACGACTCTCCCGAAATTTCACACACGGAAGCACACTCTGCATGTCATGCTACACTTCATTTTTTTAAACGCAACAATTTTTTTAGTATATAGTTTCATATTAGTATATACAGCACTAGTCTCTTCTTTTGAATACTGTATAGAGGTATTCTATGCATGTACCCAATTCCCCTTTGATGGACACTTGGTTATTACTCTTTCTTCTACAAACAATGCTGCAATATCCTTGTGTAATTATCTTTGGGCCCATAATGACCATTAAGAAATAAATACATCTAATGCTGAGCAGTGCTCACTGAAATGGATGGAATTCTAATTATTAGAATTGGACAGGGCAGACACAATTGTATCTCTTTCATGAGTACTGGTTTTCTCTTCATTTTTTTTCACCCATAATATTAATTTGTATTTGTTGTGGCGCCCTGCACATTACCAAGCATTCCGATTTCCACATGAAGTTATAGGCTCTGAGTTATGCTTGTTACATTTGTCTAATACTATTAATTCTTCTTCCTCATGATCTCTTTTGAAATTAGTTGTATAATTTCATGCTTAATTCCTCTCTCTAGTAGTGGATGAAAAGCTCCATGAGGCTGGAAAAGGACTATAGTTGTCTTGGGCACTGCTGTGTCTCTGTCACCTAGTGAGCATCTGATATACCATAGTTCTTTGGTAAACATTCACAGATGAAGGAATGAAAAACATATGCATTGAATTTCGTTTGTTTGCTTGTTATAGACTGAATTTATCTCCCCACCCCTGAACCCATATGTTGAAGCTCAAACCCCCAGTGTGACTGGATTTGGAGAGAGGGCCTTTAAGGAAATAATAAAGGTTAAACGAGATCATATGGGTGGGGCTTTAATCCAGTAGGACTGGTGTCCTTATAAAAAGGGGAAGAGATGCCAGAGATCTGTATTCCTCCACCATATGAGGACGCAGTGAGTAGGTGTCCATCTACAGGCTAAGAAGAGAGGCCTCACCAGAAACCAACTTGCCAGCACCTTGATGTTGAACTTCTAGCCTCCAGAACTATGAGAAAATAAATTTCTGTTATTTAAGCTACCCAATCTGTGGTATTCTGCTATAGCAGCATTAGCAGACTAATACACTACTAAATACCCCAAAAGGCTAATATAGGTATTGAACGACTAAATGGATAAAATGTACATTACAAGTAGAAAAAATTAGGTCTCACCTTATACTCACTGGGCATTACTCATTGACTAAGGTTATTGTGGAGCTGAGGATGGCTTTGTGTTCTTTGCATTTTTTTCTCCACATTTGTTCCTGCATTTCTGGTGACAGAGATGCTGGCATCTAACCTATCCTCACAATTAAGCATCGTTGCATGTAATATTTTGAAAACCAGGCATCTGACTTCTTAATTCAGAACAACTGCTGGAAATATGGGGGCCATTTTTTTTCTTAACTTCTATTTTAGGCTCACGGGTACATGTGCAGGATGTGCAGCTTTGTTATGTAGGTAAATGTGTGTCATGGGGGTTGATTGTACAGATTATTTCATCACCCGGGTTATAAGCCTTATATCCATTAATTATTTTTCCTGCTTCTCTCCCTCTTCCCAACCTCCACCCTCTGACAGGCCCCAGTGTGTGTTGTTCCCCTCTATGTGGGGGACCATTCTTAGTATGGAAAGTTGACAACACAATCCTTTTGTAGATAGGGAACTTTATTTTGATTGGGATGTGCTGGAGGGTTGCCTTTCTCCTGGTGTTAGCATTTGGTATGAATGGCTCTCCTTCTAGCTACTTGTCATGGTGGGGAGATAGCCTTATTGATTGACAAGACTTCCCATAGTATTATGGCAATATCCTGACTTCCTCTAGTTCATTCTTCATGTATTCATTCATTCATCTACTTTCTCAAGATATGCTCGTAAGGTGCCTCATTCTTGTAACTGCTGGAGATATGATGATGACACAGATTCTGTCTTCAAGAAGTCCGTAAAAAAGTGGGAAAAAGATGTGACTGCAGATAAAGACTATGCGAAGGACTCTCTACACAAGGCATTTGCTTAAGTGCCGAAGGGCCTAGAAGAGAGAGTGACCAGTGTCCAAAACCCTTTGTGAATTGAATTCACATACAGTGCCTGATTTGATTCTCAGAGCACCCAGTTGGCTGGTTTTTGGTGGTTTTTTAAAGTATCGTAAGACAAATGCTCCAGTTGCCAGCAAGTTCTACTTCATCATGCTATTATAGGCTTCTGTGAATAGGAAAAATACACCACCATCAAGAAGCAAGCAGCTTGCTTGTGTTTCAGAGGAACCACCTGTGGAAGAATGTTTTCTTGTATTAAAACTGGTATTGCCATGTTCCATTCTAGAATGTCCAAGTGCCACCCTTCTGAAGGTGTTTAGTTCAAGAGTTTCCATTTTCATATTAAGTTTCTATCTCCATACCTAGTGGGATGAAGATGGTGGTGTATGGATTTTCTCTCTTACAACATTTTTTGTCCCTTATCTATACATCTTTCCCCTAAATATTCAGTAAGATTTGAAGCTGTTAAAAAATCCTAAACTTCTCCAACTGTAGGAAAGATAACTGGAATATTATTTTAAGAGCAAATACATGTACATTCCTAATGTTGCTCGAATGGGAATTATCAAGAAGAAGAAGAAGAAGAAGAAAAAAAAAAAAGGAAAACAAACCCATGAGAGTTTGGGTTGCTATTTCTGACCAAGTTTGAATTGGGAAATACCAGGAGTCCCATAGGAAATCTTATCTCACCGGAAGACGATCATGGTCTCTTGGCCAAAGAATGGGTATGCATTTTTGTGTAAATAAAACTTGCAGACTCAGACAGAGGGCTGGTCTACCTTGCAGCTTAGCATGCCATTTATTATCATTCACAAGGTGGTGTTAGATGCTCAGCTTTAAAAAGAAATGACTTTTCAGCAGTATTTTTACCCTTGAGAGTATATAGGGAGAGCTCTGTGTTGTATGTTAATCAGAGCTTTCACAACTTGCTTTGAATGGTCTTTGAAATGTGTCTGGAAGAAGAGTGAATGAACTATGCCCAAAGTGTGCTCTATTATTTATTACTCAGGAGCCTTTCCATCTGAGACATAGGCTGAAATTAAAGGCACCAAGTACCTGTCTTTACTAACTCAATGTTCTTACAATTTCCGTTCCCTGTGTACTCATGCCACCTGCAAAGGATTCCAGGATTTGATGCTTCATCAGACTCAGTTTTTTTTTTTTTTTTTTTTTTTTTTTTTTTTTTTTTGAGACGGAGTCTCACTCTGTCGCCCAGGCTGAAGTGCTGGAGTGCAGTGGCGCGATCTCAGCTCACTGCAAGCTCCGCCTCCCGGGTTCACGCCATTGTCCTGCCTCAGCCTCCCGAGTAGCTGAGACTACAGGCACCCGCCACCACGCCCGGCTAATTTTTTGTATTTTTAGTAGAGATGGGGTTTCACCGTGTTAGCCAGATGGTCTCGATCTCCTGAGCTCCTGATCTGCCCGTCTCGGCCTCCCAAAGTGCTAGGATTACAGGCGTGAGCCACCACGGCAGGCCAAGCGTCAGTTTTTTAATGAAAATTGTATTTTAATATCTGTATTTTAAAATGCCCCACTCCTTCTGTGGATGTACAGGTCTCAGAGCACACCATGCTTTGCAAACAGTTAGCAAACATGCTTGGGAGCCGTTCCTCCTAAACTCATTTCTCTCCCTTTTCTCAGATGGGAAACTCTTACTTATCCTACAAAACCTAGTTCAAATGTTACTTCCTCATGTACCCTCCCTGACTGTCCCAGGCAGTTAGTTGACTAACTGTGCCCCGTTATCCTTTCCATATACCTTTATCACATGCATTCTCAATGCAGGTAATATTGCCCCCAAGGGGCACCGACTGGTTATTTGGAGAGGGGAATAAAAAGATTATTTTTATGTATAAAATGTAGATATATGTAATACATAAACAGATACACAGTATATAAAATTTCATGGTAGGAAGAGATTAGGAAAAAGATATCTAAAATGGCTCTTCTGGTGGTAATCATGAAAAAAGGTTGGGAAATACCTGCTTTATCATAGTATTTGCCTCTTGTATGGCAGTTGACACTGTGTATTAGACTGTGTATCTCTTACAAGTTAGAAAACCATGGTTTTGAAGCCTCAGCCCCTAGCACGTAGTTGGCGTGTGTATTAGCATTCACTAGTTATTAATATCTACTTGAAGGACATAATGATTGAGATGTTTGCTTCCAAGCATGATTGCTGCACACCAGAAACTCCTGCAAAAATTGTTTTTAATGTCACTTGCTGGGATCTAACTCCAGAAATTCTACCTCAGTGGATCTGGAGTAGGGACTGGTTCTATGTATTTTTAAACACTACCCAGGTGATGGGATTTAGAAATTGTTGCTCCAGCCCGATAATTTTTTTTCTTTTCTTTTGAAAATGTCTCCATTTATAAAAACCAAAACCAAAATCAAAATAGGTGTTTTATTCATGTGTTGGTATTTCCTGTGCTGGTCAGACCACAGAACACCGGTTTCCAATCAGGAAACCATTTTCTAAAGGAACATCAGCAGGCTCAGGCATTTCCAGAAAAGCTCAATGACATGAGCTTTTCTATTTGGTGAGAATTTTAGACCAGAGGATTATGTGAATGTGGCAAGCAGCATGGTCTGGCTTTGTGGGGTGGCTTAACCCCAGGAAGTTCCTGGGCAGGGTTTCTTTTGCTAACCTGCTGGGCAAAATGGACAGATATGAAAGGTGAGGTCGTTTTGTGATTGAATGAATGTCTAGGGACTGGTTAATGGATGCATGAGAGGGCGATTTCTACTGGCAAGACCTGAATTCTTTCTTTAGTCCTGTCCTGGAAAAAAAAATCATTTTAGTGATTTGAATGGCTCTGTGGGAGACACATTTATTAAATCTATGGATTGCACATACCAAAGAGGAGTAACAAATGCATAGAAACGCAATTCTTCAGCAACTACTCAGTAGGTTAGATCAGAGGTTCTCAACCCTTTTAGACCCAACACCCTCTTTATATGAAATATTTTGAAGTGCCACTTTCATTATTGTGAACTGAATGTCTCAGCCACCTAGACATGTAATTTCCAAACTTTAATATAAAGCCCTAAATGTAGTATAAAGGAGAAATAAAGGGCATTAAAAAATAAAATCACACTAGGAAATAATGACACACGATTGGTTCTGCCATAATACTTGTTTTGGAAATGCAAATTAATTATAGCACGACTGATACAGGAAGGAACAAATAAACATTTCCGTTTGCTTATGCATGATTTCTTTCATGAGCAACACGAGGTGAACAGAGGAAACTGCAGCCAGCTGAGTCCACTTGCATACGACTCAAACATCTCCCAGCAACCTCAGTTTTTTGCATGTGGTGAGTCGTACCCATCTGCAGCTGGTGTTACACCCTTTCTTCTCATTCAGACAACTCTTCTTTCCACAGAAAGGTGCAGCCTCTGAGTGACTCTCCACAGTAACTCACAAGCTGTACGTTTCCATGGCCCACAGGTACACAAGCAAACTTTTGGTCTTTTTCAAGGTAAAGTACCATGTGCGTTGTAGTACTTATATATTTCTTAACCATTTAACATCTGTAAAACCATGCAACCATTTTTATTTGTTTCTTTAAATGTGTCAATATTGAAGTTTTTGAATGTTATGCCGTGTGATTTTGCATAGCGAAGTGATTTGTAGGAATGCATATATTATATTATATCAGAACTGATTGTACTTAGATGCTTGCCTCTGATGTAATGAATTAGTTTGAATTTAAGAGAAAACAATATTCAATTGAATATTGTTGACACTTTTTCTTTATATTTGACATTTTGAAATAAAAATTTAACAGGTATATTATTAATGGTAAAAACTGCAATTACTTTTGTACCAACCTAATAGGACCTATGCATAGAATTATCTTAGTGGAGCAGCTCAAATGTGGATCAAAGCAGTTGAGCTACTCTGGTGACTCATATACCAGTATTGCCACTGTTGTAAATGTGTGATTTTTCTAAATGATGAATAACTTCTGAAGTTCTGAGCAAAACAAAGTATACTTTTCCCTTCATTTACACAGCGGTCGCTTTCCTGGAGAATTCATTTACATTAGCCCCATGCAAAAAATACCTATATTAATAAGTAAAATGAAATCAGCTTCTGGTCATTTTTATACATATGTATAGGGATTGGCATGTGGGAATGGGAAGTGAGACAGTTCTCTTATCCACTATGCAATATCCAAGCCCCTGCTCACTAAATGCCACAGTGTCCCCTCCCCCTTATGTGACAACCCAAACTGCCCCCACATATTTCCAGCATGTCCTCTGGTGAACCATTGGCCTGTAGCAATGGACTTCTAAGCTATAATTAGGATCAACATAAATTTCTTAGGTTAAGAAAATAACTTCAGAAAACAGAATGGAGAGAATGATTAAGCACAAGAAAGGCTAAGAAGAGTTCAGAGACTTTTGTGGACGGCAAATGAAGTATTAGTAAATAATGTTAAGAGACCTAATGTCCTCAGGCTGATTGGAAGAAGTACAATAACTGGATCAGTGCTGTCTAATAGAAATACAATGTGAATACGTACGTAATATTAAATTTTCTAGTAAGCAAATTAAAAAAGATAAGAAATAGGCGAATTGACTTGAATATATTTTATTTAAAACAACATACAGAAAATATTATTGTTTTGAGATGTAATGGATATAAAAAGTGTATTAATGAGATCCTTAATTTTTTTTTTCTTCACTAAGTCTTTCAAAATCCGGGAGTATTTGCTCACAGTATAGCTCACATTTCAAGTGCCCATGGGTTCTGTCTTGCTCCTGAGCAAGTCTTATTTGGTTATCACAGCACTTACAAATGGAATTCTGTGTTTTCTAGGATGCTGCTGAGGGTGGGATGAGAAGTCCCAACTCAAACTGTCTTAAACAATGAAACATTTGTTCTCATACAGAAATTAAAGTTAGGGTACGCTCTAGGACTGGTTGGTTCAGCGATTCGTGGCATCATCAAGGATGCAGGTGCCTTCCATGTTTCCATCCTGATTTTCTCAATGCGGGTCCTGCTCCTCAGGGTTGTAAGGTGGTGGCCAGTGGCAAGATGGCGGCTCATGCTTCTTTGTTTGTGTCCAACAGCAGGGATGAAGACATTTTTCCCTAAAATATGAAATATCCATTCTTTCTTTCAGACATATTGGGCAAACATGCCATGTCTCGACTGACTTACACAAATCATCTGGGTCAGAATATTGGATCCCTTCTTGTGATTGATGCAAGAATGGCTTTGGCTGGACATTTTCTTTTCATTTACTCACCATGAGGCACACTATTTCTTGTTGTCTTGTACTTGCTTTCTTTATTCAGTTACTCTACGTTTCTGTCCCTGGAAGTGTTTGAGTTTGTGGCTGCCTCTTAAACACAGGCTCCAATCATTGTTGACGGAGCCACACATGCAACATTGCATTAAATTTTGATGTGAGAGGATTTAAGAGAATGAGAGGAGGTTTAAAGGAGAGAGCTAAAGTGAAAAGGGAATTGACATCATGTCGTATGAGGAAAGTCGAAGGGAATGGCCTTGTAAACCTATGAGAAGTGGAGGGCTTGTGGGTGGGATAGAATACCCTCATCTTATCGATGAGGGTATGTCTACTTGTAGCAGTTCTGTGCTCCCATCAAATTAGCTGCTTCAGCCAGGCGTGGTGGCTCATGCCTGTAATCCCAGCACTTTGGGAGGCTCAGGCGGGCAAATCACTTGAGGTCAGGAGTTCGAGACCAGTCTGGCCAACATGGTGAAACCCCTCTCTACTAAAAATATCAAAATTAGCTGGGAGTGGTGGTGAGCGCCTGTAATTCCAGTTACTCAGGAGGCTGAGGCAGGAGAATTGCTGAACTTGGGAGGCGGAGGTTGCAGTGAGCTGACATGGCGCCACTACATTCCAGCCTGGGCGACAGAGCAAGACTCTGTCTCAGAAAAACAAACAAACAAACAAACAAAAAAACAGAAAAGAAAAAGATTAGCAAATTAGCCGTCTCTAATTTGTTCTGGATCTGGAAGCCAGATAATGAAACTTGTTAGAATAACAAATGGGCTGTGAATGAGAGGCTGAGGTGCTGTCCTATGAATATAGTGTTTATATATTAATTCATGAACTGGGTTACCCCTTGCCCACCTCTCTCAACTCACTCCTTTTTGAGATATATATTTGAGGCCTTAAGCTTAGTTCTGGGTAGGCTTCTAACACATCACCTTGTTTCTGTCTCAAGACCTTTTCATTTTCTCTTCCCTCTGTCTAGAGTGCTGAATAACAAGAAAGGTCATCAAAGACATGATGAAATATTTTTAGATATTTTTAAGACAAGCCCCAAAAGTGTCTCTCTTACTTACATCCTATTGGCCACATGGTTCTAATCTAACTCCAAGGGAATCTGGGAAATGTAGTTTTTTGTGTACCCCAAAAGAAGAAACACATAGCACTACCTCTGCGATGTGATCCTTGGCGGCCAGTCTCACAAGGGTTCATTTTTGACCAACGCCAATAGAGTTCAAGAGAATCTCTTCCTTGAAGGAATAGTTCTCTATCATCTCCAAGTTTTAGCGCCACCCACACAACACTATAGCCACGCACATGAAGGGAATATGTTCCGAAAAGGAGCTAAATCAACTAGCTAGTGCATCTTCACCCTTTGATGTGGGAGACTTGTGTTCATTTCCCTAGGGCACCCTTAACATCTTGCACCACTACGTGTAACCCCTACGGAATCCAGACATTAATAGTTCTTTGGGCAATTCACAATCAAATGAATAGCCAAGTTATAGTAAATAGGGAGAAAGTAGAAATCCTTCTAAGTCAAAGGGAGTGTAGGCCATTACTATGTTATAGAAGGAATTTCAGGACAGAGGGATGAACTGTTCCTCAACCCCAGAGCAGTTATAATAGTTAACACTGGCCATGTGCTCACTGTGAGCCATGCCTTGTGTGAACATATTCCACAAATTACTTTACAATTCCTACAACAAACATCTGAGGGAGTATTCTTATTCCCATTCTACAGATGAATACATTGAGACCTCCGGAGGTCAAGTGACATTCTGAAGTCATGTGATAGTGAATGGTGGTGTGTAATTCCAACCCAGCTGTCTGAGTCCAGAGCCAATATGTTACACTCTAATGACTCTGGACCCTGTGAAGTTAAATTCAGAAACCTGAGATTGTGCTGCTCCTCAAACTAGGATTGATGTCATCCTATGAAATAAAGAGCAAGTTTGGGACTCCTGCCTAATGACCCTGTGGAACTGATCAGTGTCACATGATCCTAATCATGTACAGCAGAGACACACATGTACATATATAATCTCAATGCTCTAAAGTCAGGTGTGCCATTGGGCAGTACACAATCAATTGTCAAACACATGGCACTAGCAATTGAGTGTTAAGCTGTCTCTACAAGGTATAAATAAGAATGTGGAAAGAAAGAAGTTTGCTAGATACAGGATGCCAGCTGTAATTTCAAGAAAATGTTGATTGCATGTTTTAGGAACTATTCCACAAAGCCTTGCTCCAGTACAGATTTTCCTTGTAAGGTAGCATGAAAAAAAGAGAGAGAAATTTTTATTTTTATTTGGTGTTTATTGTTTCTTCGTCAGCAGCTGTGCCGATGTGGTGTTGATTATGCAGAGAAGAATTATTTTGATTATTGACAGTTGGCATTCTTCTCATAATTTGGAGTTCTTCATCTCAGAATTGTTTCCTCACCTCCTCTCCTGTCTGCACATGAATAAAAATTTAAACGCACTTGCCAGGATTCTTACCCAAGGCAGCTGTTAGGAGGACTGTAGTTGAAAGTTCAGATGCAATTTGATGTAAACCTCTCCCTGCCGTTTGTTCCTTTCTGTGAGCCTGACTTCAGAGCAATGGAGCTTGCATGGTTCATCACCAGCATCTGAAAGGCCTCCCCACAAAGAAAAAGCTATGCTCTGTGTTATGGCTTCATCCCCCTGCAACCTTATCTGCTGGCTGTGTGCCCCTCTCTCCCAGCAGCGTTCATTCGGAAATGTACTTCAACGGGTTACCCGTCAGGGTTGGCTCACACGAATACTCTGTGCTACTTTCTGTATTTTTTTCTTAGAAAAAAGACTGCTTAGAAAAACAAAAACAAAAGTGATCTATAGATCCCCTTTCAGGTGATTTTCTTTTGCCTTTTTTTCTTTTCTTTTTCTTTTAAGACAGGGTCTCACTCTGTTGCCCAGGCTGGAGTGTAGTGGCAAAATCACGGCTCACTGCAGCCTTGAACTCCTGGGTTCAAGCGATCCTTCAGGTGATTTTTTAAGTGGTATATGTAACAGAGTTCTTTGGCTCCTTGTCTTGCATCTCCTTGATCTAATTCTCTTTCAACTTCAGGTGAGACACACCTCAAATGACAGAATCCCACATCAAGCTTTCTCTCCTGGGGAGTTAACCCCCCTGGGGCTAACCCTTCACAAAGGCGGGATGGAAGCCAGTGGAAAAGTACCCAGCTTTTCCTCCTTTACCTACTGTTCAGAGATCCCAGAAGAATCAAACCCTGGTGTCTGCAGCAGTGAGCCTGTGTGTTTCCTTATCTCGGCTTTTCCTCCTTCTCTGGATCATCTCCCAAACAAGCAAATCATGCATCTAAGTCCTTGTACTTAGGCTCTGCTTCTGGGGAGACGCAAAATAAAACAGTTAAAAAAAATTTCCCCCGAGTTAATTTGCTTTTGCTTTCTCCTTTCCCAGATCTTATCTATTTTTATTGTTTTGGAGTAAGTATGAAAATGTATTCTTTTGGCTGGGCGCAGTGGCTCACGCCTGTAATCCCAGCACTTTGGGAGGCTGAGGCGGGTGGATCATCTGAGGATGGGAGTTTGAGACCAGCTTGGCCAATGTGGTGAAACCCCATCTCTACTAAAAATACAAAAATTAGCCAGGCATTGTGGTGCATGCCTGTAATCTCAGCTACTCGGGAGGCTGAGGCAGGAGAATCGCTTGAGCTCAGGAGGCGGAGGTTGCAGGGAGCCGAGATCGCGCCACCGTGCTCCAGCCTGGGTGACAGAATGAGACTCTGACTCTAAAAAAAAAAAAAAAAAAAAAAGAAAATGTATCTTAAAAAAAAATAGGGGTAATATAGGTACATCAACTATAAACATATATACATACATATATATTCTATGTTAAAGAATAAAATATATAATGAACATATTTATTTTTAACATGAAAACTGTCTCTTTGTAGAGACAGTACATTATGGGCAGTACTCTGTCATGGGTCAGACAGACCTGTCATGGAGGAGTGGCTCCGTGGTATCCTAAGCTAGTGAACTTGAGACAGTTATTCACCCTCCCTAGGCCTTAGTTCTGTGTCCCCTGTAAGACAGAGGAAGCATTTTTATGGGATTGTGATGCGTATTAATTGACAGTGTGCATGTAGCTTGCTAGCCTGGTGCTGAGCATTTAGCAAGCACCTAGCACATTTCAGTGATTTACATAAAAAACGAAAGTCTCCAGTAAGGCACACATACCCCGTACTCTGTGTGGGAGGAGGAGGGGATAGAAAACCACTGAGTCTGCTGTGTATCCTTCTAGAATTTTTCTGTGTTTATACACACATTCTTTAAAAGTGCATATGTATATGTTGTTTCATATAGTTTACTTTCTCTTTTATGCGTGTGGGACCATAGTATACATACTCTTCTGCAAGTTGACATTTGTTTTAAACAGATAACACATTGTGGACATTCTCCTGGATCAGAATATATGCATTTATTGCATTAAAAAAATGGCTGCATGGTCTTCCTCTGCATGAATGAATCCATTTGTGATGGTTAATTGTATGTGTCAACTTAATTGGGCCACGGGGTTTGACATTTGGTCAGCATTATTCTGGATGCTTCCGGGAGGGTGTTTTTGGATGAGTTGAACATTTACATTGATAGACTGAGTAAAGCAGGTTGCCCCAATGTGGGTGGGCCTCATCCAATCAGTTGAAGGCCTGAATAGAACAAAATAGCTGAGAAAATGTCCTCCTGCCTGACTGCATGAAGCTGGGACATCAGTGTTTTCCTGCCTTTGGCTTGAACGGAAGCCTGGGCTCTTGAACTGAAACATTGGGTTTTGAGCCTGCTGATGTTTGGACTGGAAATACGCTATCAGCTCCTCGTTCTTAGGCCTTAGGACTGGGACTGGAACTAAACCCTTGGCTTTCCTGGTCCTCTAGTGTGATAACTGCAGATCTTGGGACTTGTCAGTGTCTATAATTGCATGAACCAATTCCTTATAATAAATACTTCCCACCCTATACACACACACACACTATATATATATATATATATATATATATATATATGCATATTGTATATATACAAATATAAATATATACTGTATATGTATATCTATATATACACACACACACATATATTTTGTGTGTACATATATACACACTATATATAGGTTCTATTGGTTCTGTTTCTCTGATGAACTCTCATTAATACACCACTGCTTTACCCTTTCCCCTGTTCATGTACATCTAGGTTGTCTCCAAGCTTTCAATATTTCTAAAATACCAACGACATTTTTGCACATTTCTCTTCTTGGCCTCTGGGATGAACCTGGAAGTGGCATTATTCATTTTAAAATACAATTCTGGGCCGGGCACGGTGGCTCACGCCTGTAATCCCAGCACTTTGGGAGGCTGAGGCAGGCAGATCACGAGGTCAGGAGATCGAGACCATCCTGGCTAACATGGTGAAACCCCGTCTCTACTAAAAATACAGAAAAATTAGCCGGGCATGGTAGTGGGTGCCTGTATTCCCAGCTACTCGGGAGGCTGAGGCAGGAGAATGGCATGAACCAGGGAGGCGGAGCTTGCAGTGAGCCGAGATCGCGCCACTGCACTCCAGCCTGGGTGAGAGCGAGACTCCGTCTCAAAAAGAAAAAAAAAAAAAAAAAAATACAATTCTGGCCTTTTCCTCCTTCATGAGACTTTCCTGGACTGTTCTAATGGGATTACACACCAACCTTCCCATTTCCTGAAGTTCTTCTATTATCTGTAAATGGCACTTGCTTAGCAGCCAGGCGCACAGCTTCTGTCACCACTGTTTCTGTACCTTTGCCTTTGGTTTAAGTTCTGAAATGTTCCTTAAACTTTTACAAATTTATGCCTTTTTCTGCACAATTAGTTCACTAGGTCTCTGGAAACAAAATGCTCTGCTTCTCTGCATTTTAATCTAGACCATGGTCTTCAGCTGGTGGTGACGTTGCCTCCCGGGGACATTTGGCAATATCTGGAGACATTTTTGATTGTTACCGCTGGAAGTGCTCATTGTCTAGTGGGTCGAGGCCAAGGATGCTGCAAAACATCCTACAATGCACAGAATAGAATTGTCATTGAGAATAATTATTCTTGATAATGAAAGAACTATCATTATAGAACTGTGAGTTTATCCTTTCAATCTGGTTAGTTTTTTCAGCTTTACTGAGGTGTAATTAAGAAATAAAAATTGTACATATTCAAGGTTTAAAAAAAAAAAGCTATCTGACCCCAAATGTCAGTAGTGTTGAGGTTGTGAAGCCCTGATTTAGAGTACAAAAAGCAGGTTTATTAAACTGTGTTCTAGAGGGTTCTAGGGCACTTTTGGGGCTGCTACAGGCAGGTAGGCATGTGGAGTTTGGGTCGTTTCGTAAAGAGAAATGCTAAGATAGCCACCAAAGATTTCCATCCCCTGTCTATTCGATCCAACACTGATCTAGTTAGTGCTGTGAAGGGAATTTGCAGATGTAATTCAAATCCCAAGTCAGGTGACCTTAAGATACCAACATTATGCACAGGATCCTGCCCCACTAAGGGGAACACTTTGAAAGCAGAGAGTTGCCTTTGGCTGGTAGCAGAAGAGGAAGTCAGAGACGTTAGGAACATGAGAAGGATTTGACGCACCATTGCTGCTTTGGAGTTTGAGGAAGCCACGTGAGAAGGAAGGTGGGTGGTTTCTAGGAGCAGAGAGCGACCACATGCTGACAGCCAGCAAGGAAACGGAGACAGCATTCTTGTAATCCTAAGGTACTGAATTCTACCTACAGCCTGAACAAGTGTGGAAGGGGACCCTTCTCCAGAGTCTCCAGATAAGTGCCCAGCCTGGCCAACAACTTGATTTTGGCTTTTGAGACCCAAAGCAGAGACTCTATCCAAGTCCCCCTGCGATTGTGACTTACAGAACTGTGAGCTAGTTAATGGGTGTTGGTTTAAGCAGCTAAATTAGTGTCAACTTTTTATAGACAACAGTAAACTAATGTGGAGCCCAACCCCTGGTTTATCCACAGAAGCTCCTTTTTATATTATTATCTGTTTCATATACCGGGTTAAAAATGGGGATCTTTTTGCTTATTAAATAATTGATTTAGTAATTAGCTGAGCTTATTCTTGAGAAGAGATGGTGTAACATGCATGGTGTGGTGCTTAACCACTAGGCTTTTGGCATTAGACAGAGGTAGGTTTGGGCTCTGTCTTGCCACATATTATTATGTGACCCTTCTGTGAGTCTCAGTTTTCCCATCTGTAAAACGGGGCAAAAACTCCCTGTCCCATAGAGTTGTGATCTGAATCATAAATTGATGTAAAATGCTTAGCAGCAAGGTTGGCTTATATAAGATGCTCACTAAAAGCAACATATTAGTGTGAATCAGGGTTACCAGCATGAGTTCTGCTGGGAGACTGAGCTGAATAACAGAATAACTAGCAGAGTCCTGGAGTTTAATGTCTTACAAAGATATTCTGAACATCTTGCTTTTGGTCATTGCCCTCTGTCTTTCAAATGTTGAATGCATGACTATGAAACATTGCTGGCTTATTGGAAAATGAAGTAAATATACCAAAAAAAATGAGGACGTATCTCTGAAGGAATTTTCTTACCATCTGCATTTCCTTCTTTCCTTCACAGACATTGTTAATCTTTTTTGATATGTCAGTAGTTTTCCAAAATCATCCATGATGAATTGAAAGTCCATAGGGCTTCAGGACTGGGGTAATATTAAGCATTTCTTTTGTGTCTGGTCCCATTCTTAGAGATGTAATCCTCACACCAATTCTATGAGGTAGGTCCTGCCATCCCTGTTACACAGATAAGACAGGGTAGGTAACTCATGGAATGTAATACAGATAATAATCGGCAGGGCCAAGATTCACACGGAGGCAGTCTGACTCCTGGACCTGTTACCTGAAACCACTGTGCATTAATATCATGGAGAAGGATGTTTAGGGGAGGCATTGTGCTGAGAACAGCTGATGTGAGAGGAATTCTGGCCATTGTAGCAAGGAGAAGGAGGGGTCTTGGGTGGTCAAATGGTGATTGAACCCATGAAGAGAAGCCTATTTTCCAGGATGTCCAAGACAAGTAGCAGGAGGTACTGCACTGTCCCCAAGCAATCCAGCTGGAAGACCCAAGACATGGTCCCAGCCCTGCTAATTACCAACTGCATAGATATGGGCAAGACATTAAACCCCTCTGGACATTAGAAACTTCATCTGAAAGGCCGGGCATGATGGCTCACGCCTGTTATCCCAGCACTTTGGAAGGCTGAGGTGGGTGGATCACTTGAGCTCAGTTGAGGAGTTCAAGAGTAGCCTGGGCAATGTGGTGAAACCCCGTATCTGCAAAAAATACGAAAAACTAGCCAGGTGTGGCGGTGCACACCTGTAGTCCCAGCTGCTCGGGAGGCTAAGGTGGGAGGATTGCTTGAGCCCAGGAGGTTGAGGCTACAGTGAGCTGAGATCATGCCACTGCACTCCAGCCCGGGTAACAGAGTAAAACCCTGTCTCAAAAAAAAAAAAAAAAAAAAAAAAAAGGATACTTCATCTGAAAAATGGGAATAATCAGATTCTCCCAGCCTCTTTCACAGACTTACTGTGAGTATCACATAGTAACGCATGCCAACATGCTTCAGAACACACAAAATACACACGTGCTGTAATAATCACATTAACAAAATTCTATCAGCTGAAATTCTGGGCTCTGGGTTTTATCTGGTCCTTAGCATACTCCTTTGATAAATTTGGACTTTCTGTGGGTCTTGAGAAGGGTAAACTCAAGGCCGGGGGAGCTGGTGAGATGTCTGTGGTCCTGTCATAGAGACTCTTTGACTCTCTTAATCCACCAGGGATCTTCCTATTCCCACCAGCACCTTTAAATAGACTGGTCTGCTTGGGCTTCATCTCCCTTTTTGGTTTCCAGGCTCACAGACTACCATTTAAGGACATGGTCTCCAAGGATGTCGTGGTGATGCAGGATCAAGTCCCTCATGGGAGGATGACAATCCTGGCTCTAAAGCTGACCCCGGGGGAGCTCTTGGCAGCATGTTCTTTGGAACTGTTTGTGCCTCCTCCGAAGATACTAGACAACTATGAGTCAAATTAAAATGCTTCCTTTGCAACATCCAAGTCTTTCAACATAGTGTTTCTGAAGTTTATAGACAGATTAACCAAAGCCAAAACTCTGCATGTGATTTTACTTCACAATCACTTTGTCCTGTAGATGTCTCATATCGAGCATTAGGAAGAGGCTTGAGCATGAGTTATCCAAGGAAGAGATAACTTAAAAGGGAACCATCTACAGTGTGGAATTTCCCAGCTCCTCTCCCACCTGGAAATAAAAGAAGATTCCTGGTTCTGGATATTCTGAACAGAGGGTCTTCAGGATTGAGGGGCCTCTTCCTCTATTTTGATCTGCAAAACTCAGCCTGAGCTACTATGGCTCTCGGGGAGCAGTTATTCAAACCCATCCTTTGTGAATTTCACAAGTGTAAAGAAATGACAATGCACTGAAACAAACTAGATATCAGGCATCTGTTCTATTTCATTCCCCCCTTTTCCATTTTCTTCTCCTCCATCCCATTCTATGTCATTCTGGGCAATTGTATTTTATTGCTAGCCATTCTATTCTATGCCATCCCATTACATTTGAACTTCTGACCTTTTTATTCTGTATTGTTCTGGCCTATTCTATTCCATTTTGCAGCCAAGAAAATTTATGTATTTTTGGTAAATGTTTTAGCATAAATATGCCAAAATTTTGCATGGGATATACCCATACCAAAAATTGTTGTTCATCTGAAATTCAAATTTAACTGGGCATCCTATATTATTTCTGGCAGAATTAAGGCAGAAGAGCCTTAATTCTGGACCTGCAGTATGTGTCGTATTTCCAGGACTAGGAAGCTGAACTTAGCCTTATGCAGACTCTCAGTAAACACTACATTGTGCCTGAATTGTTTTTCACCTGTTACTTGCACCTGACAGGCAGCCAAGCCTAAAACTAGAGTACTATGAAGAGGCAAACAGGAGATGGGGAGATAGAGAGAGGAGGTACAAGGAGGTCTTAAAACTGATTTGACTGAATGGTAAAGGGAAAATTATTGAGAAAAAAAATCAAACCCACTAATCAACAGTGTTGAAATTAGCTGTGCTGTGTAGGGTCAGAACCTGTCTTTATTTAAGTTTTTCATGTTTTGTTCATCATGGATGTTTTGCAGTAATTTTTACTTTAAAAATATTGCATTAACAACCTGGGAAACACGTGAAACCCTGTCTCTAAAAAACAAATACAAAAAATAGCTGGGTGCAGTGGTGCACGCCTATAGTCCCAGCTACTTAGCAGGCTGAGCTGGGAGGATTGCTTAAGCCCAGGAGGCAGAGGTAGGTTGCATTGTGAGTGGTGATTGCCACTGCACTCCGGCCTGGGTGACAGAATGAGACCCTGTCTCAAAACAAAACAAAACAAAACAAAACAAAACAAAACAAAATAGCATTAAATGTTGTTCGTCTTGATTATTAAGCTTTTTGGTGTCTCCTTAAATTTTGCATCCTTGTCCTAATTATGCTTGTTGCACTTAACAGAATGTAGATTCTGCCGGGGGCGGGTGATAATACCCATTGGTGTGTGTCCTATGGAGAGCATTATTATCTGGGTGACGTACCTCTTGTTGGAGCATTCTGTGTTAGATGTTTCCTTGTTGAAGTCTCTGAAAATTTCTTTAATCTTAGTCATCACCTTTTCTAATTGTGTCTGTTGGCGTCTTTCTAACAATCCCATCTCTGTCCCATTGTGACTACTGTGTACTTCCTGACTTCACTTTCCCTTATGGGTACCATAAGGAGAAAAATAGTTCCTACTTCATGGAGTTATTTTGTTTTTTATTTTTTATTTTCTTTTAGTAGAGAGGGGGTTTCACTGTGTTGGCCAGGCTGGTCTCAAACTCCTGACCTCAGGTGATCCACCCACCTCCACCCTCCAAAATGCTGGGATTACAGGTGGAGGCACCGCATCTGGCCTCATGAAGTTATTTTAATGATTTAATGGGATTACTACCTAAAGCACATAATCCTCATATGTGGTAAATGGGAAACAACCCATAAATGTTATAATAGTAATAATTAACATTTGTCTAATTTGATGCTCCAGGCAACTGTGTGATATGGACACAATGTTTACCCTCATTTCACAGATGAGAAAGTAGGGTACAGAGTGGGAGGGTGGTTCGTGCAATGTAACTCAACTAGTGCATGGGGGTAGAAGCCAGACTTTCTGAGTCTAAGTCCATTTCCCATTCCAACATACCACACCAAGATCATTAGCAGCCTAAAAGACCAAATGTGGAGACGTGGAAGCTTCTAGAAGGTTCTGGAATTTAAGGTAACATTCTTCTTCCTGGCCCCACACTGGAATATTATTTGTAGAATAGTTCTAATTGTCTTGGATTTATAGCACATCACTATGCCAATAGCTTTTGATTGAGCTTTCAGACTTGATGTGTGTGTTTAAAGATCTAATGTCAACCTCAACTAAGCATTAACTTAATGCATTTATTAAACATTGCGTATAGAATATAATCATGGTGAAAAAATTCTCATATTGCTGCATTTTAGAAGCAATACATTTTCCTGTAGGGAAAAAGTGATTGAAATTTATAGAGACCCCACCTTTAAATAAAATTTGGGGAGAGGATCAGTGAGACTCATCAGAATCTTCTAGTTGGCAAGAGATCACTTCCTGGAAGGTGTATGGTTATACGTAAAGTGCTTGGCAGTTTACTTAGAAAACACTGGTATCAGCAATGAGCTAAGGAAGATTCAAGGGTTAAAGCCTTGTTTTTCTTTGTAGTTATTTATTAGACTATATTTATTAATGGTACAAATCCCATAGTAAATTAAGATAAATTGCAGTCTATATTTGAAAACTCAAAGCCACCAACGATCCAAAAAAACTGAAAAGTGAATAAAGGCAGTTATCTGCTTTCAGATTTATTTCCCAACAGTCCCTCTTTAATGTTGGCTGTGATGTGTGCCTTGACATCTTTTTGTTTGTTTTTCCTCTGAGAGTCAGTTATCCTGGGAATAAAATATGTTTGTGAGAGGCAGTCTAGTGGCATGCTTTAGGCTGTGGGCTTTATACTGAACTCAGTTTGAGTGTCAACTCTACTAATTCCAGCTGTATGAGCCTGGGCATGTTCCTTAAGTACTTGGAGTCTAAGCACTTGGCTAATAGTGGTATCTCCTTCATGATGTTCTTAAAAAATTAAATGAGATAATGCATGTAAAGTGCTTAGGGCCGTGCCTTACCAACATTAAGTGGTCAATAAATGTTAGTTATTAGTTGGGAAATAGGAATAATGTAATCCTCTTAAGGATATTTTGAGGATTCATTGAGATGCTTATAAAGCATTTAGGTCACTACCTGACCCACAGTGAGCACTACTCAATAAGTGTTCATCATTGACATGGTTGTTTTTGTTTTTACATGTTATTTGTAAAATGTGGATAATGTAATTAACTTAGTATCGTTCTGAAGACTAATAGAGATAATGTGTGTGAAGTATTCAGCTCTGTGCCTGTCACAGAGTAAGAACCAAATTATGTTAATCTCCTTAAGGACAAGAACTGTGCTTTTATGTCATTTTTTTCCCCAGCACCCTGGTTCAATGCTTGACACATAGAAAGTGTCCAATAAATATTTTATAAATAATTGAATGAATAGCTGTGTTATTAATTATATTCTCTTCTATCCAAAATGAAATAGGAGGTCTTGGAAAAAATTCCTGTTCTTCTTTAGAATCTGTTGACCCCTGGAAAATGGAGAATAAAATAAACCTGAGAACACAGGATGTTCCCAAACTCTGAGATCATCGTCATAATCCCCTACATTAGAAAGGTCTTTATGGTTCACAAAGAACTTTCACATCCATTATGTCATTCAACATAAAAAAATAAAACAGGCGAGAAATATCCTTAGGGTCAGCCTGGACATGGAGCTCAGTCTCTCACGAATGATTTAAAATCCACTCTGTCTTGTTGCAGATATTGCTTATAGAAAACTTCAGGCACAGAAATGCTACCCAGCTTGATTTAGCTTAAAGAAACCTTTTGTGACCTTATAAATAAACATGGTCCAGCAGGAACACAAGCGGAATTTCAGAATTTTGAAGATGAGCTGAGAGAATTTGCTCAGGAATAGGACATATTAAAACAATCTCTACCAAAGGAGTGAAAACAATAAAGAGATTGACTCAGAAGAGAACAGAAAGGACAGTGCCACTTACTGGCGAGCAATGAGTGCCTTACTCATTATAACTGTTGACTGTGTAACAATAATGTTTGGGAACATTGCAATCCCTAGAGCAGGCTTATAATGATGCTCATTTCCTCATATGGATAGAAGGCCTGACATAAACTCTGATTGCTCATGGAAAGAGCTTCCTATCCTTAAAATATGCTCTCAAAATTGGCCTGGGCAAGGCTGATAATAGACATTTTTATGAATATAAATATCAGCTTTTAAATATCTGTCCTCTGATATAATGCTGTGCGTTCATGCAAGTGTTGGGTGAATGTGTTTTGACCTTATGTCCAGAGTGAGTGGGTTAGGCCAGTTGATTAATTAAGTGAGTTATAGAAAGACAGAGACAAGGGCTGTATTGCTCAAAGTCCCAGCAAGGAAATGATGGTCCAAATGGAGGTTCAGACGGTTCAAGGGCAGGGAGTTTATTGACTGAGATATGGGCAGCCTTACAAAAATGAACAATGGATGATGAGTGAAGTCCCTAGAGATGGGCAATGATAAGAAGCCATTTCAATGCCTCGGTGTGCATAGCATTATGGAAACGCAGAGATAACTGGAAATGTGGGAGAGGAGCACCTGGAAGGACCTGTGATCATGGAGAGACACAGATTCTCTCAGAGATATGGTGAAGCAGGGAAGAAACACTCTGGCCTCTCTCTTTGCCCACTTTCTGATCTCCTACAGGTAACTCGCATTGTTCAAACCCAACTGTCTGCCAGCAGGCAAGGTGATATGGTTTGGCTGTGTCCCCACCTAAATCTCATCTTGAGATTTATGTCATGGGAGGGACCAGGTGGAGATAATTGAATCATGGGGGTGGGGGTTCTCCCATCCTGTTCCTGTGATAGTGAGTTAGTTCTCACGAGATGTGATGGTTTTATAAGGGGCTTCCCCCTTCACTGGACACTCATTCTTCTCCTTCCTGCTGCCATGTGAAGAAGCACATGTTTGCTTTCCCTTCTACCGTGGTTGTAAGTTTCTTGGGGCTTCCCCAGCCCTGCAGAACTGGGAGTCAATTAAACCTCTTTTCTTTATAAATTACCCAGTCTTGGACAATTCTTTACAGCAGCATTAAGAATGGACTAATACACAAGGGAACATGGGAGATGTAGTGTTCTGGGGTGTCCAGGGCACAGAACACAGCAGAAAAGGTTGAGGATGGATCCAGGTGGGGGAAGAACAAGGACTACGTATTTTGCTCACTGACTTCCTCCCTGAAGCCTTGCCTGCAATCTTACTTCTTTGTTCTTTGCTTGTATCACCCTATGTGTATGATGTTTTTCTTTCTCTTTCCTGATGGCCTGGGAGCTTTTTGAGGGTAAGAATGCTATCTTATTTCTACTTGGATGCTCAGCCTGGCACCTAAGGAATGTGTCAGGATATTAATCAAACGACAGGGTAACTTGGGGCATCCATTCATTAGAGTTCATGGAGAAGCTAAGCAGGGCTCAACAAACTTTTTCTGTAGAAAACTAGGTAGCGAATATTTTAGTCTTTGCAGGCCATACCATCTTCATTGCAACCTCTCAACTCTGCCTTTGCAGAGTAAAAGCAACCATAGACAAAATGCAAATGAATAAGTATTTCTGTGTGCCAATAAAACTTTATTTACAAAATAGGCTGTGGGCCAAATCCATAGGTCATAGTTTGCTGACCCCTGGAACAAAGTCTCAAAACCATCAGAAAATGGTTTGTGTGTTGAGTCCACCATAAACATAGTCTTCTACCTATAGACACCACCATAAGCAGTGGTGTCTTCATTAAATCTTTTCGGTGAGGATCTGCCTCCACTTGATTTCTGCCCTAGGTATGACATAAGTTGAAGCAAATGTCCCAATTCAGTGTTAGCATACACCAGGGTAAACTTTGGTGGAGGCCTTTAACACACTTGAAATGAGAAAATAAATAATTCAGTGTTGTACATAAATGTTTGAAGCCAATCCCAGTAGTACATGTGCACGTGCACAAGTGTGTGTGTTGTGTTGTTTGTCTTGAGTGAAAGGGCAACATGAGAATTATGTGTGGACCATATGGGCACAGCCTGAAGGCATGCAATCTATCTCACAGTTAAACCACCAGACTTTGAAGTGCATGTGAGCCCTGGTCAAAACTTTAGACTATTTCAGATAGGAGCGGGATGAGGGGCCATCTTGTTTGTGGAAATAAAGCCTGCCTGAATGAAGACAAACAGAGGCCATATATTCAGAGCTTGATATAGAAAGGAGTCAGCTGCTATCACTTACAGTTGGCAGAGACTCAAAGGCAGGCAGGGAAGTGGGAAAGCTTTATAGTAAAAAAAAAAAAAAAAAAAAGTGAAAGCTTTGGGTGGAGCCTGATTGGAGGCTGTGGCGTGGGGAAGCTGGAGGGGGCTAACTAGAAGAAAGGCATACTATATGAAAGGCAACATATTTTTAGCTTTCTTTGGTTGGTTCTGAGTTGGAAGCAGAGCCAAAAATTAAGGAAGCTTTGTGTTACTGGCCAAGCTTTTGTTTTGGGTTGATTGCTGCAGAGTTTGGGATTTCGCTTCCTGGGATGCTGCAGAGGTTGTGGATCAGTGTTCTATTGTCATATATGGTCTGGTCGTTGTCTGTTTGTACGTTCATTCTCTCACATTATACTGGTTACTGCTGACTCTTTCCTGGCTCTGCCACCTCCTGGTTGATGTTAAAACAGGAAGAGCATCTTTGGGTCTGCATAAATTTACACAGGCCATGGTGACCTTTCCTAGTCCAGGCTCCATGCATGCAGCCATGCCAGTGAGGAGAGCAGGTGACTCAAAATGAATCTGTAGCTACCTGATTATCACAACACTCAATGTCACCCAGAGAAGCTATGGCCCGATTCTCCGTAAAACCCAGCCTTTTCTATAAATCTCAAATTATTCCCTTAATGACTGATTTGGCTGTGTTCTCACCCAAATCTCATCTTGAATATCTCCCATAATTCGCATTGCTGTGGGAGGGACTGGTGGGAGATAACTGAATCGTGGTGGCAGTTTCCCCCATACTGTTTTCGTGGTAGTGAATAAGTCTCATGAGACCTGATGGTTTTACAAGGGGAAACCCCTTTCACTTGGCTCTCACTCTTCTGTTGTGTGCCACCACGTGAGATGTGCCTTTCACCTTCCTCCATGATTGTGAGGCCACATGGAACTGTAAGTCCATTAAACTTCTTTCTTTTGTAAATTGCCCAGTCTCCAGGTACGTCTTTATCAGCGGCGTGAAAATGGACTAATACAATGACCTCATCCTTAGCATCCTTTAATCTCCTTTCACATCCTTTCCAGGTCACCCTGTTAGGTGGACCCACCCAGATCACATTTGGATTCTTCTCTGGTTTCTGTTTATTTCCTTTGCTTATGATTTTTCTCATTATAGTTTTATCATCATAAGGGACAGCCTGAAGCCAGGATGTCCCATTGTAGAGTGCACCCGATGAACACAGGGATACCACCCAGGCTGAAACAGACGTAGGCAGGTTCCTTCTGTGTTCCAAATTTTTCTCTCATGAGTGGTTAAAAGATTGCAAACCTTTTCACAGGTCTGTCTGTTTTCTCTTCTTGCTTCAGTTCTTCTTTTTCTACAATGTTTATCTTTCTTTCCTCAACATTTAGCTGGATTGTCCAGTTTGTCATAAATTTGCCAAATTACTGGATGCCTTTCTCTTCTTCTAAAATAAAATATACAACCCTCTGAATTTTATTTCTATCATTGCTTCTCTCTCAACGGACACTACCTTCTTGCCTGTGAAGCAAATAAGCCCTGCAGGCAGTTCATTTTTTGTGTCTGTACATTTGCTCACCTGAGTAAAATGATACAATTCTTTTTCATAGACTTGCAGATCTCTGGAGCAGAAAGGGATCTCTGAGGTCAGGGAGGCTAATATTCTCCAAATGTGGTACGTAGTTCCCTGGGAGTATGCAAGATGCTGTTAGCTAAGCATTTCAAATAATTCTAGTTGTTTTATATTTACTTAAATCTTATTAGTAAAAATATATGATGGGTACATTAAACTGCATGAGTTCATAAATATTGTCTAGGATAAGGCTGAAGCAGATGGTGCCTTGGAAACTGATTGTACTCAGTACATGTGAATTAGAAGTGTTGTCAGGTAATACCTGGATATGACACCTATCATGAAAATAGAGTTTGTAGACGTATAGATCTGCTCCAATATCCTCAGTGTGACACATGAGGAAACTGAGGCTCTGGACACGGAAACGGTTTTTCCAAGACATCAGCTTTACACAAGCAGGACTAGGGTTATATCGTCACTGCCCAGATTCCCAGTGTTCTTTTATTCAGTTTTCAAAGATCTCTTTTTGGCAACTGTGAGTTCAACTCAAGAATGGATACCATGATCAAGCCCTCAGAAGGCCCCTCTGGGATGAATTTTCAAAAGCACAAGAAATTGGACAAAAGCCTATTCTACCTACATGGCGAATTAACCTGAAAAAGTTTCATTTTCAAAGACAAAAACTGGCCATTTACTTGATCTAGAACAACTGAAACTTCACTGGATAACAAGGTAAATGAATGCATCACACTGTTCACCAAAGTGGAGGCCTACAAGCTGCTGGTTGCTCCCAGTAATGGGAGATTCGGAAGGCAGTTAATGGGTTAGTATAGTTTTTATTGTGAAAGCAAACTAAATTAAACTGATAGTTTTAATTAAATTTGAATTGGCTGTGATTTTACTCAGTTTTAAAGGCCACTTGAGACACTAGCATTGCACTTAAAATCTAGTGTTGTAATTAGTGACATCTACATTTATTATAACGGTTACGGCACTTTATTGAATTTATTCAGGAGTAAACAAAAGCTCAGCATCTAAAGAGCTTGTATTCCAGGATAGGTTGGCTTTGGAAGCCTGTTTTGTCTCTGTTAGAACATCAGGTGATGATGCTGATCTTGAAACAGGAGGTTTATGGTTTAGCCATCTAGCCACAGGCTCGGACCTTGGGCTACCTCAAGGCTGAGCCATCCGCAAACATTGTAATTATGCTTTTGCTGTGATCTTTGTCTGGAAAATCCAAATTTGGTGCATGTTAAGCATCCCCCACTATCCCAATACGTCTGGATTTCAAGGTCCATGTAATGGACTGAATGTTTTTGTTCCCTCCAAATTCATATGTTGGAACCCTACCTCCCAATGGGTTGTTGGAACCCTAACTCTCAATGGAATATTGGAACCCTACCTCCCAAAATGGGATGTTGGAACCCTGCCTCCCAGTGGGATGGTATTAGGAGGAAGGGCCTTTGGGAGGTGCTTGGGTTTAGATGAAGTCATGAGGCAGAGCCCCCATAATGGGATTAGTGTCTTTCTAAGAAGACAAAGAGACTAGAGCTAGTTCTCTGCCATGAGAGGATACAGCAAAGCGTCGTCTACAAGCCAGGAAGAGGGCCTACACCAGGAACCCAATTGGCTGGCACCTTGATCCTGCACTTCCCAGTCTTCAGAACTGTGAGAAATACATTTCTGTTGTCTAAGCCACCTAGTATTTCTTGTTATAGCTTCTCAAACTAGAATAGTCCACCACAAGTCTAGATTTGGAGACAGCCAAGCAACTACTAATTTGATCTGGAAATCTGAAGAGCTGCAAGGTAGTCCCAGAAAATGTTTGCAAGGGAAGCTGCTGGCTTCCTGGGAGGGCAGTGTCTTGGTGGCTCCATTTTTATCAGTTCCAGGCAAAATTAGAATCTGAAACAATGGTTCTCATCACTTTGCTGTGGGCAGCATCACCTGAGAGAGAGGCTTGTTAAAAAGAATCTCCAGGGCCTCATTTTGAGAAATTCTCTTTTAGGATGTGGAAGGTAGGAAAAAGACAAATTAACTGCTTTTTCCTGCTATACTCTCGCTCTCAACACAGAAAAGTTCTGACACTGGTTGTGTAGTTTTTTTTTCCTACACATCAATTCAATTCTCCAACAGACATCAACTGGATGTCCTACAATTCAATTTAATCTGGTCACTCTCTACCTGGAGTTTGAGTCAGATACCACAGGTTAAGGGCTGAGTCCCACAAAACTGTCCCCCATTTCGGGGGCCTCTTCATCTTCTGTCCAGCTGGCTGTCAATTTGAGGTTCCCTTGATTCTCTTGTCAGGTTTGATCATTTGTTAGAGTGACTCACAGAACTCAGTAAAGTGCTTTGCTTACATTTACTGATTTATTACAAAGCATCTGGATGAACAGTTAGATGAAAGAGATGGCATAGGGGAAGGTATGTGGCAAGGGGTGCAGAGCTTTAATGCCCTCTCCTGGCATGTCACCCTCCTATCACTGTGACGTGTTCAGCAGCCTGGGATCTCTGAAGCTTGTAGCTCAGGGATTTTTAAGGAAGTTTCATCACCTAGGCATGATTACTTACTATCTCAATCTCCAGCCTCTCTCCTCCTCCAGGAGGATGAAGCATGGGGCTGGAAGCTCTGAGTCTCTAATCATGGCTTGGTCTTTCCGGTGACCAGCCCCCACCCAGACACTCACCAGTGGTCACCTCATTAGAACAAAAGACTCTCCTACCACCCAGGAATTTCCAAGGGATTTAGGAGGTCTTTGTTAGAAACCAGGTCAAAGACCAAATATGGAATAAAAGATTCTCCTAGCACCCTGATTGCTCAGGAAATTACGGGGCTTTAGGAGCTCTGTGCCAGGAACCGGGGGCAGAGACCAAATATATATTTCATATTGTATCACAACATCACAGTAGGTGCATGGGCAAAACTTCTTTTTGCAAAACTCTAGTCTGAAGCATTAATTCAGTCTAGTGGAATCCTCAGAAAAATCAGCTGAGAAACAGGAATAGGAGTACCTTCTCAAAACAGGAATAGGAATCCCTTCTCAGAGGGTCACCATGTTCTATACTTTGTTGGGAGGTCCATATGAGGACAGTCTGTTAAAAATTATTTGATGAGAGTGAGATTAAAGCATGAAGTATATTTTAATCACATATGACTAAATACTTATAAAAATAATACAGGATGATATAACGTAAAAAATGAATTACTCTTAGTCCATTTAATCCCCCTTCCCAGAGGCAGCAGTTCACTGTTTGGTATGTTATTCGTCCGGATCTTTCCCTCTTTGTTTATAAGCATAGATGCTTCCCTAGTAGATTTTCCCTCATTTTGTTCTGACTTCTGAGGGATTTTTTCTACTTTGTCTTTTAATGGTCTTGGGTTATTCCTTTGACGTAACATCCCATTCTTATTTTATGGATATAAATACTTTCCCAATGTCTCCAAAATAGTGTTGAGTTTCTTCCCCCCTTTTTGGGGGTACTATCTCTGGTTTTCTCTGTTAGCACATTTCTTGCTTATCTTGGTCTTTCTCTGGCAAGCTGCAGCCATTTCTCAAATGCCTGTTGATTCTCACTCATTCATATGTAAGAACAAGGCAATAGGAAGCTTAGGGATGGTTGATGAATGAGTTTCTCTGTAGGTACAATGGGCTGGAATCTGGACATTTTGCTTTGGGTCCCCTACTGCCAGCATGCAGAGTGCTTTCCTCAGGGATGTCCACATTTACACTCACCCTAGCTGCCCCAACTTTCTCCATTTATTCAATTTCTTTGTAAGAAGACTCCATGTTGCTCTTGTTTTTTTCTTGCGGTTGTCTTTATTGCAGGCAAACACCTGCTTTTAGGACATTCTGAACATGCAGGGAGGGAAGCTTCTCCTCCGCAGGCAGAACTCAATTAACCCCACTTTCCTCCTTCCTGTTCTCATTTCCATCCTGGTGTTCAGGAGTTCCAAGCCTCACTGGAGTTTTCTTCTTTTGAGATTGAATGGTCAAAACTCAGAATTTTTCAAGAGAGTGACACATGTACTTACTAAAATTAAAAGAAGTTGAATGTCAACAAACAACAAATACTAGGAAAACAAACCTGGGTACTTCAGTAGTGACCAAGACTTGGGACACTGCCACATTATTCAGATGAATTTCAGGCTTGAATCTGTGTTTGTAAAGAAGAGTGAGCTTTGATTAAAGCTGACACAAATCTGAATTGTTTCCACCTGAGTCCTTCAATTCAAACCCATATTCTTGCAATCTATGGAACCTGAGATTACTTAATAAGAATCAACAAAACAATCAAATTACAAAGAAAAATCCCAAACACGATGAACATGGACACAACAGGAAAAAGTTAGATGTAATTTCTTTTTAATCAATACAAATAAAATTACTCTTATTCTTATTGTCAGTGTAGATCTGTGGAGCATTGAACACCAATTTCTGAATTCCACTATTTTGTTCACAATAGCTATAATAGTAAAAAATATTCAGATCTTGATAGGGCCTTATAGATTAATTGGAACACACTCCTAATTGTATAGAGAGGGAAATGAAGGAAACCATATTGGAAAGAGGTTAAAAATTTAGGCTTTAGGCTGGGTGCGGTGGCTCATGCCTGTAATCCCAGCACTTTGGGAGGCTGAGGCGGGTGGATCACCTGAGGTCAAGAGTTTGAGACCAGCCTGACCAACATGGTGAAACCCCATCTCTACTAAAAAAAAAAGACAAAAATTAGCCAGGCATGGTGGCAGATGCCTGTAATCCCAGCTACTTGGGAGGCTGAGGCAGGAGAATCGCTTGAACTCAGAGGCAGAGGTTGCAGGTAAGCTGAGATTGCAACACTGCACTCCAGCCTGTGTAACAGAGCGAGACTCTGTCTCAATTAAAAAAAAAAAATTGGGCTTTAAATTTAGGTAGACCTGATTTCTCATCTGCTTTGGCCTGGAGGTGACACCATTTCTTCTGCTCAGAGTCTACTAGTCAGAACTGATCACATGACCCTATCCTAACTGCAGGACAGTTTGGAAAATGTGGGACTGTACATAGACTATTTGGTGAACACTAACTCTCTTTGCAGAATCGCCACCATTATTATCAGATTCAAAGAGATGAGTACCTGTTGTTTAGGTTTATGGTAACTTTTGTTTAGGCCTACAGTTATTGGTGGAATTAGGACTAGAAGAAAAATAAGAGGTTTGAGCCACAGTTGAGGGCCCTATTTGTAAAAGCCTTTCAGTTTACATGTGGTGAAACTTAGGTTCCCAGAGACGGAGCAAGCTTTTCAAGATGTGGGATGAATTTTAGGAGCAGAAATGAATCTTGCTCTTTTTACTTAACCACACTACCTCTTTCTCCTCTCCTGAAGATTTCTGTACTACCATTTCACAATTATTTCTGTGATGTTTTTCCTCCAAATTACTGAATTGTTTATTATCACCTAGAAAGAATAAGTCTTTCAATGAAATGTATGAGCATGTAAATTTTATGATAATGAGAAACATTTCCTCCTAAAACTAGGATTGAGCATCTGGAAACATAAAACACACATTAAAATGACTGAAGAGACCCCCTCCCCCAAGTCAAAGTAATTAAAGTTTGTTTGCAAAGATTTGTGTGAAGATCAGGAAATGCTTAAGTTCCGTAATAATGAAGTCTTGTCGTAATGACAAAAGGGTCTTCTAACATGGAAATGCCATTGATACTTCATTGTGGAAGAGCATTCTTCTAGAACTATGATTGTGAACTATGAGGTATCCATAAAATTATGTGAAGTAGGTAGGCACTATCTCCAGACTGTGTTGGACTTCCATTTTGGTGGACTAAAAATGGCCTCAGATTCTTTGACATATTTCCCATTGAGGGGTGGGGTCCCATTGAGAGGACTGGCCCCATGGCTTCTTTGACCAACAAAATAAGGTAGAGGTGACACTGTGCCAGTTTCCAGGCCCAGGCTTAGTAACCCCCACTTCCTGTCTTTCAAAATACTTATTCTGGGAAACTTAAGCCTTCACATTGACAGGCTCAAGAGTATGTGGAGAGAGAGGGGTTTTGCTATAACTAGCTTTCCAATCATTCCCGCCAAGCACCAGATGTGCCCGGGAAGAAATCATCTTGGAAGTAGATGGAGATGGAGGAGATGGAGACATCCTGGTTGTCCTACCTAAGTCTAGAGGATCAGAGACAAACTGCCTGGCTATGCTGTTTTTGAATTCCTAGCCATCAAAACTGTGAGCAAAATAAAATGATTGTTTAAGCTGGGACCTGCTGGGGTGCCTTGTTACACAGCAATTGGTAACTGATACAACTGTCCCATATGGTTCCTACCTGGTTATGAGGGCAAGCTTGGTTTTGAATCTCACCTCCATGACTTAGAATCCATGTGACCTCAGCCTGATTACTTAAATTCTCCCTGTTTCAGTTTCTTCCTCTATAAAATTAGGATACTGAGATTTACCTCATAAGATAGTTGCGAGGACTAAACACATGAATTACTGTAAAGTTCTTAGCACATTATTCAATGAATATTTATTTAATAGTTTTATTTGTTTTTTGAGGCTCTACTCTGTGCCAGGTACTGTTCTAGGCTCTAGAGGTTTGTGTCAAAAAATAGGCAAAAGTGATCCCCCCGCCATCTTGAAATTAATTTCCAGTTAAATGTTATTATTCTATGTACATTTAAAATAAACAGATAAGTAAAATCCAGAACTCACAGAATCCAGGGCCTTTCTACATCTGTAGAACTCAACATACATCAGTCAAATATGTGTTTCCTTACCACAATTCTGCACAGCCCCACCCCACTTTTTTATGTGAATAATGTTTGATTGTAGGGATGATGGTGACTTATGGTGACAACCAAGAACAGGCTTCAGAAAGAAAGCAGCTGTGTAGCTATGGCCAAATTGAACTTCTTGAGTCGGTGTCCTCGCTTGTAAAATGGACAATTCTACTGAAGGAAATTGAAGGTCTTACCGACTCCATCCAAGGAATTGACAAGAGATCCCCAAGAAGGTTGCATAGAGCGAGGTAAGAGCCCATTTTCTGTTGATGAAGCTGAGGGGTTTAGAGCACTGGGGCTGGTATTTTCTAAACTTCAAATTTGTATCTGTGGCCTAATATGGACAAGTTCAGGTTCAGGGGCAATAGGAAAGTGTATTTAAAATGTGACTTAGAAAAGATAAGGCAAGTGGCTGCCATGTTGCTGAGTTATTTGTATGTAGAACACAATGTTCCCATCAGTGGGAGGCTTCTCCCTCACTCTCACACTCACACGTCCAGCAAACATCACTCTCTCTCCATCTCTTTTTCAAATCCACATTCCTTTTCTACCATGACAGCCACTCTGATTGACTGTGGTCACTGATACTTCTGCTTGGAGCTTCATGCTCTTATCCATGAATACTTACTGTGCAGCTGTCGAGTGCTGCACGTACACAGGTGACAGTAATGCACCAAGAGAGGCTTAACTGCACCAACGGAGGTTTTTCCAGGATTACGTGAGAGCTTGGGAAAGAGGATCTTCACCCAGACGAGGAGGCTCTGAACAGGGTTCAAGGGCAACTGTTGTTTCTGTCTCTCCAGTACCCCTTTCTTCTCTTTGCCGGTAATGAACCTCTTTCTTGTGAAGAATAAAGCCTGCATGTTCTGAGTGGGGCTGACTCAGAACCCCCTGGGAACAACAGTAGGCATGTGACCCACACCAATAAATGTCTCCGTGGGAATTTTATGACGTAGCCGTTGGCAGAGACTCATTTAGCCAGGTTTGCTAATGGGATGGAGTGTAAATTTGGGGTGGCCACTGGCCATCTTTCTTATCATTTGGAGAAAGTCTGTCAGTGAATGGAACATATTCTAGAAAAGATGGAGAGACACTTTCCCACATCAATCTAAGGTCATTGAAGGTTTGTTGCAAAGATTTATGTCAAAATCAAAAAGTATACTCTTATATTTTAGGGTGGATTTTAATAGTGTAATAGTGTAATAGTGTAATAGTGTAACAGACTAGCATTGCTCTTCTGTTACAGTGAGAACACTGTCTTGAACTGCTGGGGCATCTGCCTAAGAATGAAAGCAAAGAACAGAGGAAAGCAGACCTAGGAGAAGGAGGGAAAGACAACGTCCCAGTAATAACATTCAAGCTTCTGGATCCAACCATGTTTGCTGCCGGACATTAGTCCTGGTACTTCTTGTTACATGATCCAGTGAATGGCTCCTCGTGCCCTCCTCTCCCCATATGTTTCCTCCTTTTTTTGCTTAAGGTAGTTTGAGGTAGATTTCCATTGTCTGCAAGTACAGAAAGATTTGTGGAGTAGATAGCACCTCAGCTGCATCTTGAAGGATGAATAGGAAATTCTCAGGAGAAATAGGGATGGAACTGAGGTGAGTAAGACTTTTCGGGCAGAAGGAACATATAAACAGCTTAGGGAGAAATATTCTAAGTGAAATATTTATATAAAATAACTATACAATGGGCATTTCCATGGGCTCAGGCTTCTCACTTAGAAAAATACTCTTGGCTCTCTATAGCTGTGAGTTCCACGTCTGTGGATTCAAACAACTGAGGATTGAAATATTGGGGGAAAAAGGATGGTTGTGTATGTACTGAATATTTGTGGATTTTTTGTCCTTGTCATTGTCCCCAAACAATACAGTATAGCAACTGTTTACATAGCATTGATACTGCATTGGGTATAAGTAATCTAGAGATGATTTAAAGTATGCAGGAGGATGTGCACAGGTTATATGCAAATCTATGCTTTTTAAAATTATACTTTAAGTTCTGGGGTACATGTGCAGAACGTTCAGGTTTGTTACATAGGTATACACGTGCTATGGTGGTTTGCTGCACCCATCAACCCGTCATCTACCTTGGTATTTCTCCTAATGCTCTCCCTCCCCTAGCTCCCCACCCCCCGACAGGCCCCGGTGTGTGATGTCCCCCTCCCTGTGTCTATGTGTTCTCTTTGTTCAACTCCCACTTATGAGTGAGAACATGCAGTGTTTGGTTTTCTGTTCTTGCGTTAGTTTGCTGAGAGTGATGGTTTCCAGCTCCATCCATCTCCCTGTAAAGGACATGAACTCATCCTTTTTTATGGCTGCATAATACTATGCTATTTTATATCAGGGACTTGAGCAGCTGTGGAGTCTGGTATCCATGGCAGGGTCCTGGAACCAATTCCCAGTGGATACTGAGGGATGACTGTACAGCTATAGAGTGGCCAACATTCATTTGTAAACAGTACCCACGAGCCTGTGTCTTTCTGAGTGAAATCTGTGAAGCAATAATGAATTGGGAAAATACTAGCTTGTTATGTAGATTCAGTTGCTTTCTGCTTTTATGAAGTTCTAAGTGTATTAGTCACAGGATCAGCGACAGAAATGCTACCTTTAAGAAGAATTTCAATGTAATCTATTGGGGCATGCTCACAGAAGTTAGGAAATCAATCATGTTTACTTTGTGTTCTTATTTGTTTAGAATGGCTGATAAATAAGCTTTTTCTGTGTAATTGCTTATGAATAATGGAACTATTTTCAGTGGATCCCTGCCATTTTACAAAAAACAAACAAACAAACAAACAAACAAAAAAACAAAAACAAATACTAATCAGTTTTTTTTTTTACCAATACTAGTACTAAATTTAATGCACCTGAAATTAAAATGACTCATTTACATGGCTTGATCAGTGATGACTGAAGCCATAAGCGATTTGAATACATCACTCTCCTTCCTTCAAGTAAATCCTTTTTTCCTCTTGTCTCCTACTGAGTAGATTTACCCATCCTTTAATGCTCATTTCCAATTCTACTTGCTCCAAATAGTTGCTTCTGAATGCTACAACAGAATCAAGCCCCAGAACGTATTCTCTTCTGAAAACATGCTTAAGTTTATGAAACACCCTAAGTACTACCTGTTGGCTTGTTATGAAATTAATTTGAATTACAACTGAAGTTGGGTTCGAGGTCTACTTGGATGTAGTGTGTGGGGCTTGGGGAGTTTAATCCCCATGTCTCATGTTTTGATTGCAGATCAGATTCTGTATATAACTCCCTAGGAATGCCATCAATATTCTTCAGCCCTTTATGAAAGGTGTTTCCAGGTATTGTAGTTTCTTGAGATTTTAATAAGTAATATGCAAAAATGGCTTTTTGATGAAATACAAATATGTTTGAGGGAAATTTTGCATTCAGTGGGTCTCCATAATGCAGGACTTATCAGAGCCTTTAATATACTTTTATTTCTTTCCAAAAGGGAGATATGGTACAAAGCACTTCACATATTATCTACTGGCCCATTTCCCATAGGAATACTAAATTCCTTGGTTTTCTAGGGAAAACTGTGTTTTTTTTTTCTGTCTTTGCTCACTAAGTGACTTCTAGAAATATCTTTCCATTGCAGATACCCATTTCACTTGGGCGGCAGAGTATCTCAGGCATCTAATTTTATAATAAGAAATGATTTTGACCCAAGAGACCATGCAGGTCTGCTGTGACCTTCCAGTTCTTGCTCTTTCTTTAAGATGTGTCAGCAATTAACATTGAAGGAATTTATTTCACTGAGTACTGTATGTTACAACTTCATCTACTAGAAAGGTCCTTTCTTCCTCCTCAAATCTTAGTCCAAAAAGAGGCCAACTGTTTTTGCCTGCTGAATACTTCCAGTCATATTTGAATATAAGAATAGTTTTTAAATATATAATTCACCACGCCTTCCCCTACGTCTATGTATGCTAAGAGTTGTGCTCATTTTAAGGTGATTTCATAAAAAGTGATTTCTGTCCCTGTATTTCGAGATGCCTGGAAAGACTGTTCATATCCTCTTTCATCCTTAGAACTGGAAGCTCTGGGAGTCATGATGTAGTAAGGCTTTGAGCTTTGGAGCAAACCCAACTTGAATTTGAATACCCACTCTGTTTCTTACTAACCTTATGGGTTTGGGATAGTCTTTTACCTTTCTGAATCTCATTCTCTTCATCTACAAGATTAGTATGTTAGTACTGGCAACATAAAAAAATAGAGATGAATCTCCAAGCAAAGGATTTATTTTGGAATAATATATGAGAAGTAGGATTGCGATTTGAAATACATAAACCAGAGCAGCCCCTAGATGTGTCTGAAGAACAAAGGGAAAGGCTGGGGTTGTACTGGAGGAAAGGAAGAAGGTTATGTAAATTATTTTGAAAGGAAATTCATTGGTGGCTTACAGGAGCTGGCAGGTTCTGACTGGTGAGCAGTAGCAGTTACTAGGTAAAATTTGCAGTCATAAAGTTGTAGCTGGCTGTTGTGGTTTTGGATTGGGCTGGCGAGATAATTCCTGGAGTAGGTGTTTGTGACCTGAGTGTTTTTCCCTCTGGCTCCCAGACTCTATTTTAGTTGGGTGTGACCAAAATGACTCCATTTTGCATAATCAGTTTTCACAGCACCCACCCACCTCATCATAAAGTTGTGGTCTTCCTATGCGCTCATCTTTGCAAGCTGAAATACAAGATGATTGATATGGTTTGACTCTATGTCCCCACCCAAATCTCAGGTTGAATTGTAATCCCCACGTGTTGGGGGCGGGACCTGGTAAGAGGTAATTGGACACATGGGCGTGGTTTACCCCATGCTCTTCTCACGAGAGTGAGTGGTTTCTCACGAGATCTGATGGTTTAAAAGTGTGTGGCAGTTCCCCATTCTCTCTCTCTCTCTCTCCTTGCCACCATGTATGATGTGCCTTGTTCTTCCTTTGCCTTCCACCATGACTGTTAAGTTTTCTGAGGCCTCGCCAGCCATGTGGAACTGTGAGTCAATTAAACCTATTTTTTTTTTATAAATTACCCAGTCTTAGGTAGTTCTTTATAGCAGTGTGAAAACGAACTAATACAATCATCCAGTGCCAAGTTATTGCCCTGAGTCCACCTATTCCCCACATTGTTTGAAATTGTGCTCACATCTGCACATGAAACTTCTTTTTTCCATACCAGTGTGTCCTCTCTGTTCAATTCAGTACACAGACCTTTCGTGGCTCTCTTATTGCCAGTTTTTTTGTACACATGATGTCCACAGGCTGTAGATATCATATAGATATTTCAGAATCTCTCAGGTCAATTATGGCCTGAGATAAAATCTTGTATTATTTTGCTGAAGTGAGTTAACACTGTCTGAAGCTGCGTCACATATTCTTTTCTAAGATGCACTTTGAAACAGCCTTAACTACAAAAAAAAAAAAACAACAAAACAATTGAAATGTATTTTCTTAGTCTTTATCCACAGTGACACAAACCAATTCCTAATCTGATCCATTTTTTTTTGTTTTGAGAAATTTATTATAGCCTTTCATTATGGAAATATTCAAACACACAAAATAGAGATAATATAATAAAGTCTTACGTGCCCAGCACCCAGCCTCAACAATGGCCGATTTGTAAGCAATCTTGTTTCATTTAGATCTTCTACTTCTTCCTCACCATTAAATTATTTTGGGACAAAGCTGAGACATCTCATCATTTCATCTATGACTATTTTAATATGTACATTTCTAAATGATAAAGGCATCTTGTAAGTATATAATTACAACACAAGCATCACAACTAAAGATTAAAAAGAATTTTGTAATATGTGAACCATTTTGAATGGAGGAAAAAGACAAAAAAGTGTGTAGGAGTTGAGGTTCATTACTGAGACTCTGTGGACTGATAAAATAATGACCTGAAAGCCTTGAACAATGTATGATCTTGATCTTCACCCCTATCTGCAGATTAGAAGAATCTGGAAAATTCTAAATCTTGAAAAGAAAAGAAGTAACGTCTATGGAGGGACCACGTAGTATTTCTGAGCCTGTGGATGGGGGATGTGGTTTGTGCCCACCCTGCCCCCAGCAAAGGTTACAGGGAGCTGAACATTTCTGGAGACTTATAGACATACTTGCTGGGTTCCCCTGAGCTGCAGTTTTTTTTTTTTAAATGGGGTCTTGCTCTGTTGCCCAGGCTGGGGTGCAGTGGCATGTTCACAGCTCACTGAAGCCTTGACATTCCTGGCTCAAGCGATCCTCCTGTCTCAGCCTCCTGAGTAGCTGGGACCACAGGCAGGCACTACCACACCTGGCTAATTTTATTTATTTTTTATAGAGATAGGGGTCTCACTATGTTGCCCAGGCTGGCCTTGAACTCCTGGGCTCAAGGAATCCTCTCGCCTTGGCCTCACAGAGTGCTGGGACTACAGGTGTAAGCCACTGCACCCAGCCTGAGCTGCAACTTTTGACCCTCTCTCCAATGTTAGTCATCACTGTATCATTGATAGAAGGTGATTTCTTCTATTTTAGAATCAATAGGGTTGCTGCAGTATGGATTTTAGACTCAAACGGGAGAACTGGTATGTTTATGATATTATTATTCCTCCAGGAACTAGCAACAAGGTAAAAAGGAAGCTCTTCAAAATATGTCCTAAGTGTGCTACTGAGGACCAGTAAGTATACCCAAGTGGCAACATTTCCTATCAAAACGTGGCAGAATTTCTTTTTTTAGAAAAGTGCTAAGTTAATTAGCACCTTATGGGACCTTGTTATGGCTCAGAACGACTTTACATCTGTTGATAATTTAATCATTATAAATGTGACACAAGGAAATTGAGCTTCACGTTCTGTTACATAATGTAAATTGACAGTCAGTGAATGCTGCTCAATAGCTTGATGTCATTAATAAGGTTGTTCTTAAGCTCATAACAAATATCAAGTTGTTTTCTCAGTAGGTTAAGAAAATAGATTCAACACTTGACAGTTTTGAGATGTGACATTGCCCAGGGCATGTCTGTTATGCTTTCAGAATTTGTAGGCTGCTGATAGAGATCATATGGGCGCTGATCTCTGTTCGAGGTCAAGAAGGTTCTAGAAGCACATCCTATAGGGCAGGACAAAGAGCCCTCCAGCCACTGCTCTCCCAGACTGACTTTAGCTATTGACAAGGGGTGAGGGAAGGGTCCTGTTCTGCTCACAAGGACTTCTGCCTGGGAAGTGTGGGGATACATCTGAGGTCTCACCATGTGGTGTGAAGGAAGGAGTGCTTTGTGAACAGAGCCACAGGCTGGCCTCCTCCTGTGCATCCACAGCCTTTCATAATCAGATCCTGGGATCCTCTCTGATCAGAACATTCTGAGAGACACCCCTGGGCCTGGTGTCCCAGAAGAGCAGCACAGGGAGGGAAGGAACGTACAATGCCAAAACAGCGTGAACCACATCCCCACTCTGAGCGCCAGCCCAGGCAAGTGGTGCAAACTCACGGAGTCAGCCTGCATGGCCAGCTCTGTGCTGCCTTGGGAGGGCACCTTGTCTCTTTCTCTTCCCACAATGTTGTCGTTAATCCTCAATGTTGCGTGGAGCCATTGGCTTCTCTCGATCCATCATTATATTTTTTTCCATTCAGATATCCCATTGTAGGTAAATGAGGCAAGGCTCCCCACCTCTTCTAAGTGGGGTAGAAGTGTGCTCAGAGTTAGTACAAAACCAAAATTGACAAGCAAATGAAAACCAAAAACAAGTCAACAAAAAAACACAGAGAAGGCAAGGGCTTTAGGTTAGCAGCAAGGATCATAACAGCAAAAGATTTGGGTTGGTTGGAACAGAAAGATTGTCAGGTTTTGCAGGCTTCTCAGGGGAGTCAGTGATGGAGACTGAAGGAGTCTTAGGGAAAGGATCTGACATCAGGAGGACTGGACCTGCAGAGGGGGTGTCTGAGCCCAGAGCACTCCGTTTTTGGAGAGTGGGGATTGGAGCACCTGCCCTGGTGGATGGAGGTTCCCAACTGAGATGCTGGGGGCAGAAAGCCTTAGGGAGGCGACAGGTAAACCTCTAAGAGGCCAGCATGGGGCTGACTCTGGCAGCCCAAGGAAAGGGACAGGACCCCGAGGGGGTCCTGGACACTGATTACCATGGAAGCAAATGTGTCCACAGCTTGGTCGTAAGGTGGGAAGGGTAAGTCAATCCCGAAGCATGTGTGAGGTGTGGCTGCTAAGTGATCAAACAATGGAAAATGGACTCCAAATCTAGCTGGTTTTGTGTTCTCGAATAAGAAATTGCCTGATTTGAACTATATGTTTTTTTTCTTCTTAGTACATAAATACATGGTAATGATAGAAAACCAGAAACTTTCATGATAAAAATAAAGAAAATATAAACAAAATCCCCCTCAAATTTCTAGTATATACAGATAAATCACTATTGTAACTTGATATAGGTTCTTTCTCTCCCTCCTTCTTTCTTCCTTCCCTTTTTTATCTCCTCTCATTGGGCATGTGTGTAAATATATATGTATATATATATATATAAATAAATATAATATATACTGCATTTCATTTTGTTTCATAGTTTTCTTCCTTAATATTGAAGACACCTTTTTATGTATCTGCACATTATTTTTGATAGCTGAATAGTATTCACCGTGTTAGTGTATTCAGTCTTCATTGTCTAACAGTTGACATGATGCTCTAATATTTTTTTTGCTCAGGACAGCAGGACATTGGGGCATTATATTCCCTGAGGTGTACCTCTAATAGTGAACCTGTGAGGTCTACTGGGGAAGAAATGAGGAAGGTTTCCAGAGACATAGACTCGAAGTGGGAAGGAAACGTGGTTGAGGTTTTGGAAAATTTTGATCTAGTTTCATTTTGTGTCATTTATAACCACCTCACCCTTGGGTGGTTCAGCCTCTATGTGACAGTGGCTAGGAATCTTCTATGTCTGAAAGCCACCGATGAGCTTATGAAATATCCATCTGATATGGTTTGACTGTGTCCCCACCCAAATTTCATCTTGAATTGCAGCTCCCATTATCCCCATGTGTCATGGGAGGAATCAGGTGGGAGGTAATTGAATCATGGGGGTGGTCACCCCCATGCTGCTGTTCTTGTGATAGCGAGTGAGTCTCACAAGATATGATGGTTTCATCAAGGGCAGTTCCTCTGCACATCCTCTCTTGCCTGCTGCCATGTAAGACTTGACTTTGCTCTTCCTTCACTTTCTGCCATGGTTGTGAGGCCTCCCCAGCCATGCTGAACTGAGTCAGTTAAACCTCTTCCCTTTGTAAATTACCCAGTCTTGGGTATGTCTTTATTAGCAGTATGAGAACAGACTAATACACCATCGTAAAATATTTTTTCTGTGCAATGATCCAGAATCTGCTTTAGAACATGAGATCTGGAGTCTGACAGACTGAGTCTACAGTCCTGGACAAACGTCCTAACCTTTCAGGCCGTCAGTTTTCCACATCTGTAAAATAGGTATGATAAAAGAATGTGCCTCAGACAGTTGCTAGGAATATTAAACAAGATAAGGCATGTGAAGCATGTGACAGAGCTCAATAAAACTCAGCCATGATCACAATAATGGCTGTATGTTATCACAACACAGCATATATTTGGCCCCTGCTATGTGATAGCCCCATGGCACATAAAGGTGCTGCCTGTGTCATGGCCTCTCAGTCTACTCTTGTTGACCCTAATTCCCTTGTTTTTCAGAGGATAGCAGTTCATGTCCTTCACCCCACCCAGCTCTCTTCCCTCCATTTTTACCCATTTTGAATGGCTTTAAGATCTTCTCTTCATCTTCTCCATCCCCTCTGCAGCTCCCCAAAGACCTGCTTTAGTGACGTGATGCCCAGTAGGTTCCCCATTGAGTATACAGGGGTCTTCCCTTCCTAGAGCCTCTATTGCATTTCAGCCTCAGGAGACATAGGTGGAGGAACGTCTCTGTGCAGACGAATTCTGTTTAAAAAGAAGCAAATGTGAAACATAAGGTGTTTTGATGTTCAATATCACTTGCTTCCTGCTTCCCTCTTACGGACACATTTTGATGGAATTATCAGTATAAGAACATTCTGAAAGTGGAAATTACACACTGAACTTCTTGAGGGCAGAGACTGTACCTTGCTTTTTTTTTTTTTTTTTTTGCCTCTCTAGCTCGTGGAAGGCACTATTATATTTACTGTGTATCAAGCTCTTACTAGGTGCCAGCTTCCATACAAAGTACCTTAAATGCACTTTAAATTTCCCAATAACCCCATGAAGTAAGTTATTTTACCATTACCACTTGAACTGTTGGGGAAACTTGGAACTCAGAGAGATTAGGCAAAATATTCAAAGTCACACAGTTGTTAAGGTTTGGGATTTTAGCAGGCCAATAAATAAGGATATTTTCCTGTTATCACAAATTCAAAATTAATTGACAGATAGATATTGGAGTGAAACAGATAAAGTCTAAAATATTGCCTTTAGTATTTTAAAGCTGGCTAGAAAATATGGTCATAGATTTATGGCCAGCGGGGCTTGTTGATGCCTTCTTCTTTCTTTCCTTCTCATGAGTTAAGATTTTACGAAAGGCCAACCAAGGTACAAAAGAAAGTTACAGATTGAAGAGCAGGTGACTGCCCCACATTGATTTGGGTAAGGGGTGGGACATGGGGAGTAGGAAAGAGAGGGGTCGGCTGTGGAGACAAAAGGATATGAATTATTATTCATATTTCCAAAGAAAGTTTATAATTTACATGATTTCCACTTAAATAAATAGATCATCTTATTCCATTTTGAACTTATTTCCATTAAGTAGATTGGCTTTACCTAAATAGATTGGCTTTACCTAATCACCAAGCACGGACCAATAAGCCCCCACATTCCGAGCTCACTCCTTTATGGGCAGCACAAGAAGCTGAGACCCTCATCCACAGAAGATTCTTTGCCAGGGAGACACAATTCCAGGGGAAGGAGGGTCCTCCACCAATCCTCCATGCAGACTTGGACCCAGACCCTTCTGACTTCAGGGTGTTTCTATTTTTCAAAAGGCTTCTCTGTTTCTCAATAGTTTGTTTACTGAATGACTTTGATTTCCTCTTCAGAATATCTTAGAAATGAAATTACAAAAAAAAAAAATCTTCTTTGGAGACTTTTTCACACGTCAGGACTTTTAAGAAAATTTAAATACTTAGTATATCTTTGGCAGAATTCCCGCTCTTCACACAATGCGTAACTGTGCCGGCAACCCAAACTCTTCTGACAATGCATGTAACTGGAGCTACTGGCTAAAAACTATTAAGTGATCGACAAGGTTAACAGATTTTCTAGGTTTTCCTTTTCTGACCAGCCATCTTGTCCAGCTTGCTTTCTTTCTCTCATTGGAATAGATTAGACAGAATGGTGTCTCATCTCTAATTAAATTCTCATCTTTGCCCAACTGTTTCAAAGGGCAACTGTCTTAAACCTTTGAACTTTATTTGTAATACAAAACTTCAATTAGATAAAGGACAATAATTAGCAGATCTTTTCTCTTTGGGTATAATTAAATCTTTAAGAAGGGACATTTTAATCAATGAAATGTAATGACAAGTTCATAAATTAATTAATCCCACCAATGGAGACTTGGCAGTAATCAATGGATCTTTAAAGAGGGCCAGGGTGAGGGGACATAGCTGTGGGAATAGAGATGCTCAGTTCAGTTTGGTGTAAAGATTCTCATTTATTAAGGATTAGCTGGCTCAAAGGATGATCTATTTATTTAAGGGGAAATCATGTAAAATATTAACTTTTAATGGGAGGGAAACCTTCTTCTTGCAAGCTTTTGCTTTTGAAACTTTCTTGTTAGAGATCTCAACTAAGATTAGAGCTGCCAATGTATATTCATACCCTCCTGAAACTGCTTGCCCATATACTGATTGGGTAGCTAGACTGAATTAGAGAGAAAGCGAAACCGAAGTTGACCACCAGTAGATGTTTCAAGTATTTTCGTCTAAAACAGGAGTTAGCAAACTTTGATCTGCTTGCCAAATCTGGCCCATTGCCTATTTCTGTAGATAAAGTTTTATTAGAACACAGCGACACCCATTTGTTTCTGTGTTGTCCATCACCATTTCATATTTCACAGGCAGAGTCAAATAAATACCCAGAGAGACTATGTGATCCACAGAGGCTCAAATGTATACTATCTGACCCTTTTTTTTGAAAATATTTGTCAGTCCCTGCTCTAAAACATTGAGGAGTTTGGTAAAATCTAAATTCAATATAGCACTACGTAGACAGTGTTTATTGTAAGACTATGAGTTAAGTACTTAAAATATGAGTTTCTGTGGCTGTAATAGCCTCCTAATCAGGTTCCTGGTATTCACGTTTGCCCCATCTATCTGGGCAAAAAGCAAGGGAAGACTGATTTGGATGGCAGTGGAGTGGGGAAAACTGGAACATGCAAAGGCCCTGTGGCAGAAGGGCATGCAGCTCATTAAAGGGGTAGATGGAAGGTCCCAATAGCTTAGAGAGCAGAGTGAGAGGGACAGGCTGGGTGTAGAGGCCAGAGGTTCAGCAGATCAACTAGTACCCAAAAGCCCATTATATTAGTTTCACTGCATAAATCCAACTACTTCTCCTTTCCTCAATTTACAGCCTTTCAAGAACTTCACATCTCTCTAAGATAAAATCCCGTAGCCTTAGCTGGGAGCCAGAGCAAGCTTGTTTGGGGCAGGGGAGGGAGTTCTGGAGGTTGGAGGGTGACAGGAAAGAGGAGCTTGGAGATGGGAGAGCTGGTAGAGTTTGCAGGGATCCCTCCCATCTCTGCCTCTGTCTTCACATGGCTTCTCCTCTGTCTGTGTCCAATCTCCCTCTTCTTTTTCTTCGAAGAACACCAATCATTGGATTGAGGGCCCATCCTAAATCCAGAATGATTTCATATTGAGATCCTTAATTATATCTGCAGAGACCCTTATTTTCAAATAAGATCTCATTCGTAGGCACTGGAGGGTTAGGATATGGACATGTATTTTTGGGGGTCATAACTTAACCCTCCACCAAACAGAGGATACATGATCTACTTTTTCATTTAAGACCAATGCATGCTTTCTTTGGGTAAAAGATTGGGCCAAAAAGGCACAAATATGGAACGAGGGGAGTCCGCTGAGAGGTGGCGGCAACCTTCCAGATGCAAAATGACAAATACTGCTTCAACACGGTGGCTGTGTGGCAGGCAGGGTTTGGGGTAGGTAGGAGTCACTGCTTAGTTGGGATCTATCTATGGCCTGTAAGAAATTAACCAAGGTAGGTCTTTTGCAGACTCGGATGATTTTTTTCTATCCTCCCACCTCCTTTGAAAGGGTATGCAAAGAGAAGGGCTCAGAAGATCAAGGAGACACTAGCTTAGGGAAGGATTAGACCCAGCACATGGAAGATGCTCAATATATGCTCAACATAGCTGGTAGAATAAACACAAGCAGGGGAATTATTCAGCATAGTTCTTCTCTGACTGTGTTTGCTTTGGGGCAAGGTTGCAGGTCTCCCTTTTCCAAGATGTTTTGAAAAATAATAATACCCATTTGAATGGGGCTTAGAGTTCCTTGGCAGGAAGACATTGAACTCTTGCAAATATTACTATTATTTCTGGAGCCAAATTTAGCAAGGACGGCTCTGCCTTTAATTACTGGTTGATGCTGAGTTGTACAGGCAAATGATTCCATGCACAATTAGTTGTTCCCACAAGTAGCCAATTATGGGAACGATTATTTAAGAAAATTGTGGCTCCTGCTGAAGGGACTTTACATCGTAGCCCCAAAATACATTTCTGTATAAAAGTTCCTTTATTGCTTGTATTATTATTTTTTCCTATCTCCTGGGCTGCAAGAGAAACAGCCCTTGTGGTCTCATTTGTGGGGAGAGAGAACTGTAGAAAACCTGGCCTTTGGGGTATTGTGAGACTCAACAAAGAGTGGAGTTTGGAGTTGGAAGCTCTCCTAGGTCTCACTCCAGAGACCATGTCTTAACCCCAACGATGGAATCTGGAAAAAAACTTAGGATTCTGGATGGTTGATAAGGGAATCTCCTAGAGGCATGTAGTGACCTACAACTCAGCCCTATGTGACTGTTAACTCAATTTTTGCTTGTGCCCATCAATACAGTTTTCTCTGCCTCTTGGTAACTGCACTTCTTACCTAGACCACCTCTCATACCTGAGCATTGGTGACTCCTCCATGCATCCAGGTTGGCATAAAATCATAAGCTTGTAGAACCAGATGGGTCATAGACATTGCCTGGTCTGTCTGACTCATTTCAGAGATGGTAAAATCGAGACCCAGTGAAGCAAAGGACTCACCTGGTGGTCCAGCTGAACCATGACCCCCTCTTGCCTGTCTCCAAAGCCCTGGCTCTTTGCACAAGGTCATGCTGGCTGCTGAGGGCACCGGCTATGGGACAGTGCAACCGTCAGCATGTTGTGACTGTTACCATCTAGGGGCAGGCTGATGTCTTCCTCTACGTCTGATACACGCTAGGAACCATGCGGACACAGAGTTGGAAGGAACTCCAGAGAACCTTCCAGTTTAGACCTCTTTTTCTATGTAAGTGGAATTTTGAAATATATTTACCTAAGATGACTCTTTCCCTTTGAACATTTCTCATGACGTAGACCTTAAAACCTCCAAGATTCAACCTGACCTCGCTCAAGTAGGAGAAACCATATATTCAAATGCCACTGTTTGGGTTGTTACATATATACCCTGTTTCCTGCCCCCAAATAGAAAGCATGCTTTTGAGTTATTGTGTTAACTAATATTCTAGTATTGCTCAATAGTCAGTTTTTTTTTAATTGTATGCACAGTGCCATCTACTATTCTACCTTAATGTGTTATCTTACATGATTGGCCTCAATTGTTCAGTACTCTGCACTAGTGTTTCATATACACACCCTTCCCAAGGCCACATGATGGGTGAAATTTACTTTCTGACACCTTGAATTTGGGTTTAGCAATGTGATTTGCTTTGGCTGAAGGGTTGCTGGCGTAAGTGCTGTGAGCAGAGCTTTGGAAAATGCTTGCACACTTGGGCATGCCCTTTTGTGATCCAGCGACCCAGCGGGAAAAGGACATGCCAAGGACAGTTGCTGGGCCTTCAATCCCTGAGCTTGAGAACGAGGCTGTGGAATACAGCCACTCCCTGGAATAAAAAACCTGTGGATCAGACTTCGACTGCCTCTGCAGCCCAGCTCCCACATCCTGGAGTATAGCCCAGCCCAGATGAGTTGAAGCTGATTTGTGTATCTGTGAAAATAAGAATAGGTCTGGTGTGGTGACTTACGCCTGTAATCCCAGCACTCTGGGAGGCCGAGGTGGGTGGATCACCTGAGGTCAGGAGTTCGAGACCAGCCTGGCCAACATGGTGAAACCTCATGTCTACTAAAAATTAGCTGGGCATGGTGGCACACACCTGTAATCCCAGCTACTTGGGAGGCTGAGGCAGGAGAATAGCTTGAACCTGGGAGGTGGAGGTTGCCGTGAGCCAAGATTGCGCCGCTGCATTCTAGCCTGGGCAACAGAGTGAGACTCTGTCTCAAAAAAAAAAAAAAAAAAAAAAAAAAAAAGAATATATGATTGCTGTTTTAAGCCACTGAGTGCTAGATTGGTTTGTTATATAGAATTGTTTTGGCAATAGCTGACTGATGTATTCCATATTGCATTTTGATTAACATTGAAGGGGATTAACATTTAGACGATGTCTAAAAGAGACTGGGAGAATAGGAATTAACAGCATAGATGGGGTGGGCAACGTTTGAAAAAAATGTATCCAGTATATTTGGAACGAGGCAGTCAAAATGCTATGGATCTACAATTTACTCAATTTTAAGATATTCTAGGGGTTTTCCACAAAAGTAAATTTAAGACAATATTTTTGAAAATAAAGGCCTCATGGAATAAACCAAGGAATGCATGGATCAGAATTTTCCAGCCTGTGTGAGAGATTATAATACATGGACTATATCCTTAGTCACCCCATTCCTCAGCCACCTTCTGAGCAGCCAGAATGAAGGAATGGATGGATAATTGGGAAGTGGCCATTCTTTCATGTTAGCTTCATTGCAAGTATCTCTCTGCACAAGAAAAGTACTCTTTGAGCTGTTTTGGGAGAGTAAAAATACAATAGGTAGTTAAAATCCAGCTGTCATTTGTTTTTCTCAAAAACGAAAGAAACAGCTAGCCACATTTTATACTTCTCAACTGGCCATCTGATAAACTCACGTCTGGCAAGATTCTACAGCATTTTTGTGTTACCTTTCAAAGGCCACCTAGTGATCTTTGCTAAGTAAGGTGAACGTGACACATGGCTCCACTAACTGCTCTCATTGGCTGTGTAGGGTCCTATGCTTTTTCTGGAATCACCGGGTCAACTTCTGAAAAGATAGGCTCTTCTCTTTATCAGAATGAAAATGCAATTTGTTCCTCTGAGGACCATAGCTCAAGCCCTCCTTTTCCTATGACATGAAAACCTTTTGGTTCTGGAGATGATGAAATTAAAGGATGTGGTTTCTTTCTCGCTAGTTGTTTTATTGATTCTCTGCATTGTGAGTGATAAAAGCACATTTTATGGTGGCTGTAAGGGGATCCTGGGAATTGTAGGCAGAACTAAGCTCCAGGATTGGTGCTATGACAAAACACAGAAAATGAGCATCAATTTTTTTTTTTCCCTTCTGGAAACAAGAAACTTGGATTTCAAGTGCCAACAGAATTCCTGAAAGACTCCAAAATGAACCAGAACACCACTGGCTTCAGAGTCCAGGTCTTTACTCTGCCACTAGCTTCCTGAATAACCTTGGCCAAGTCACTCATCTCCTAGAGGATTCAATTTCCTCCTCTGCATAATGAGAACAATGATCTCTCCCTCAGCAAGACTGGACTCCAAGTCTGAACTATGTGTATGGAAAGCTCTCTATTTTTTTTTTTTTTTTTTTGAGACAGAGTCTCACTCTGTCACCCAGGCTGGAGTGCAGTGGTGCGATCTTGGCTCACTGCAACCTCTTTTGCCTGGGTTCAAGTGATTGTCATGCCTCAGCCTTTTGAACAGCTGGGATTACAGGCATGCGCCACCACGCCTGGCTAATTTTTGTATTTTTAGTAAAGATGACGTTTCACCATGTTGGTCAGGCTGGTCTCGAACTCCTGACTTCAAGTGATCCATCTTTCTCGGCCTCTCAAAGTGCTAGGATTACAGGCTTGAGCCACTGTACAACACTGAGAATTTTTTGTTTTTGTTTTTTGTTTGTTTGTTTGTTTGCTTTTTTTTGACAGGGTCTTGCTCCATCACCCAGCTGGAGTGTGTGGTGGTGCAGTCACAGCTCTCATCAGCCTCAAACTCCTGGACTCAGGTGATCCTCCTGCCTCAGCCTCCCCAGTAGCTGGGACTACAGGCATGCATCACCACATCCAGCTAACTTAAAAAAAAATTTGTTTGTAGAGTCGAGGTCTTGCCATGTTGCCCAGGCTGGTCTTGAGTTCCTGGTCTCAAGCCAGCCTCACGCCTTGGCCTCCCAAAATGCTGGGATCATGGGTGCGAGCCAGCGTAGCCCACCAAGAAAATGTTTGAGTTGACTGGAATGACTCTGAGGCTGCTGCTTTAAACCTGAGCTTCCTCTTCGATAAAGTGGATTCATTTTATTTCTAACTCATGAAAATTAAATGGAGATGAAATGAGCTACTTAATTAAGTGAGGATTATTGCACTATTAGGACAAACAGAATAATGGTCCCCCAAAGATGTTCCCATCTTAATCTCCAGAACCTATGAAAATGTTAGCTTACATAACAAAGGGGAATAAAGATTTCAGGTGGAATTAAGGTTGCTAATCAGCTGACCTTGATATAGAAGATTATCCTGGGCCATCCAGGTGGGCTCAATGTAAGAGATGGGAGATTATTCTGGAGTATCCGAGTGAGCCCAGTGTGAGAGATAGGAGATTATCCTGGACCATCCAGGTGGGCCCAGTGTAATAAGGGTCTTTATAAGTGGAAGAAGGAAGGGAAAGAGAGAGCCTGCGAGATCGTACTGTGTGAGGTCTTGGCTCAGTGTTGCTGGCTTTAAAGATGGATGGAGGGTCAAGAGAAGGAATGCAGGTAACTTCTAGAATTGAAAAGGAAAGGCATTGATTCTCCCTTAGAGTCTCCAGAGTGAATGCAGTCCTGCCCATACCTTGATTTTATCCTGGTAAGATTCATTTTCGATTTCTGACCTGTAGAACTGTAAGATAATAAGTGTGTGTTGTTTTTAGCTACCATAATTAGAAAACTAATATGCCTTGTCAGCCCTCAGGGAGTGTCCGTCATTACTGCAGCGACCAATGCCGTTCCTTTTATAACTAAAAGTGATTTTTATACTAATAGTCTCATCGAGTTTTAAATTACATTTCTGTTGGCCAGATGTATTTTCAATTGGTTGTTTTGAAGCAGTTTTGAAGGAGAATGCATGGATGATATTGTTTCTGAGATGATATGGCTTCTGAGAATTTCTTCTTGTGGTTTACCCAATAAAATAATTGAGTTCTAACCATTCCCCTGTCAAAGCTATAGATATTTCTTCATTGTTTTTTGGTATTTCATACACAGCAGAGGAAAAGTCTGATACTTGCCTTAATTTTGGTTTCATCATATCGCTTTTTTCCCTTTGCTTGCATTCTTATCGAACTCATTTTATAATTTTTGTTGTTGAAACATTTGCTAAGATCAATCTGATTGAAGAACTTTTCATGGATATTACTCGGAGTTCATACTAATCTTATCGGCATCATCAATATCTATCTCCCCATCCCCACCAGCCAAGTAAACTCTAACTATGACTTAGATAATGTTTTTTACTCCAGTTGTTCTTGTTGCTTTTTCAGGAAACCCTAATTCCTGGGTTGGATTCCTGGTTGTTGTCTTGAAATTGTCATCTAGTTCCAGTTCTGACATTTTAGACGGAAATTAAAAAATTGACATGAACAGTCCCTGCTTTCAGGGACACAGTCATCATTTCTAGTTTGTGGAGACTACACCTGTAGGAAACCATGAGTCACCTCTAGACCTCCTGGTACTTACGTCCTGTGATGTCGTTTTCTGGGTCTCCAAACATCCAGTCAATAGCGGGAGGTGAGTCTGGTCCGGGAGAGCCTCACTGGGTGTCTTAAACAGCAGTATGGACACAAGAGAAAGACGTTATTTTTGTTTGCTTTTTGGTATAGACTTTGCTTTTCTGAACGACGGGGGCCCATAGTGAGAGAAGTTTCTATCCACACTCAGAAGAGAAGCTTTGCACTGTTTCCTACATTTGATACCTATCAAATGTGCTTTTCCTTTTCTATTCCTTTAGCCTTGTAGATAGGTGAAATTTATCAGAGTTATTGTCACTTGGCTAACTTCATTTTGCAGGATTTAAAATTTTCATGTTTTCTCTATAAATATTTTGCGAAGTTGGGAGAAGCTGGATCAAGATTTCCCAGGAGGATATTCTTAGGAACGTTTACCATGTTTGTTACCTGAATCAGGCATTATTCGAAATGCAATACATTTGGAACTGGAGATACTATTTCAAGTTTAAAACTGAAGAACCCAAAATTCAGAGAAATAAAACAAGTTGCCTAGGCTCGCACAACAAATAACATGGCTCAGCTGGGGTTTGAAACCAAGTATTTTTGACTTCTAGATCTTTTCTTTGCCCCACAATGTAATCTTTTTTTTTCATGGAATGAAGCCTTTGGCCTTTTCTCACCTTCATGAATAAACATGAATATTGAGAATGAAGTACAAAATGGCATTTGCAGCTGCTTTGGGGGAACATGAGCATTATTCATAATTGCTGACACCTCTCATTAACTCATCAATCAATATTTTGAACAGCTATCCCCTGTCATATCTGTAGTGTAAAATTTAATTGAAATTCTACTTATAGATAGATATCTAGCAGATAAACATTCATATATGTGTCAAAAGGTATATACGAAATATTCACAGCAGCACTAATGGTAATAACCCTGAAGTGGAAACAGCACAAATGCCATCAGCAATAGGATGGATAAACAGATCATGCTATATTCACATAATGGAATACAATGCGGGAATGAAAATGAACTACCACGGTATGAAACAACATGGAAAAATCTCACATAGTATTGAGTGATAAAACCAGACCAGTAAGATTCCATTCATATCAATTATTTATTTACTTATTTATTTTTTTAGACAGAGTTTCACTCTTGTTGCCCAGGCTGGTGTGCAATGGTGCTATCTTTGCTCACCGCAACCTCTGCCTCCTGGGTTCAAGTGATTCTCCTGCCTCAGCCTCCCAAGTAGCTAGGATTACACGCATGCACCACCATGCCCAGCTAATTTTATTTTATTTTTTTTAGTAGAGATGGGGTTTCACCATATTGGCCAGGCTAGTCTTGAACTCCTGACCTCAGGTGATCCGTCCGTCTCAGCCTCCCAAAGTGCTGGGATTACAGGTGTGAGTTACTGCACCTGGCCTATTTATATCAATTTTTCTTTTTTTTGATGCAGTCTTGCTCTATCACCCAGGCTGTAGGGCAGTGGCGCGAACTCTACGCACTGCAACCTCCGCCTCCCGGGTTCAAGCGATTCTCTTGCCTCAGCCCCCCAGAGTAGCTGGGATTACAGGTGCATACCACCACGCGCAGCTAGTTTTTGTATTTTTTAGTAGAGATGGGGTTTCACCATGTTGGCCAGGCTGGTCTTGAACTCCTGACTTCAGGGGATCCTCCCGCCTCAGCCTCCCAAAGTGCTGGGATTATAGGTACAAGCCATCCCACCCGGCCCTATATCCATTTTTTAAAAAGAGGCAAAACTAACCCATGGTGGTAGAAGTCACAACAGCCATTACTTTTGTAGAAAGGAAGGACAATAACAGATAGTACAGAAATGGCTTTTTGGTGGTGTTAATGTTCTGTATCTTGAATTGGGTGTTTTTATACGTAGGTATTCACTTGTGATTTCTGAACTTTTCTTTTTTTATATTAAACCTCAATAAAAAGTATATAGAAAGGAGATAAAATCCAAGAGACTCATTTGAATTTTATTTGACTTTCAGCAACATTTAACTTTATTGAATACCCATTTTTTTTTTCTTAATGTGGCTCTTTGCTTGGCTTCCCCAATGCCATCCCCATCTTCCTCTCTGATCACTATTTTTGTCTCTTGCTGGGTCCTCCTCCTCTACCTATATTTTAAAAACTCTTTATTTTGACTTACAAGAAAGTTGCAAAAGTTTTACAAGGGAATTCCTATCTGCCCTTCGTCTATCTTCCTGGAATGTTAGCATTCTACATAGCCATAGTATAATTTTTAAAACCAGGAAATTGGTATTGACACTCATAACTGATCGGCAGATCTTATTCAAATTTCTTCAGTTGGTTCACTCTTGTCTTTTGCCTGGTTCAGACTTCATTCCGGGATTACACATTGCATTTAGTCATCATGTCATCTTAATATTCTCCAATCTGGGACAATTCTTCCGTCTTTCTTTGTATTTCATGACTTTGACAGACTTGAAGAGTACCCTCTTGTTATTTTGTAGTGTGACCTTTATTTTGGGTTTTGCTGATGTTTGCTTTAGTTTAGACTGAGGTTATGCACTTTTGGCAAGGAAATCACAGAAGTGATGCTGTGTCCTTCTCAGTGCATCAAATCAGGAGGCACATGATGTTACTATGTCTCATTGTTGTGAGATTAATTTTGATTATTTGGTTAAGGTAGCATCGACTTTAAAATGACTATTTCCCCTTTGTAATTAATAATTACCTCGGGGGAAGATTCTTTGAGATTATGCAAATATCCTGTTTTGAATCATACTTTTGCCCCCTAATTTCAGCATCTGCTGTTGATTCTACCTGCCTTTTAAGTAGGAGAGTCCCTTAGGGCTTGGTCCCAGACCGTCTTGTGGTTCTCCTTCCTCCATAGGAAAGCTCATGCACTCCACAGCTTCAGGTATGATCTAAATGCTGCTAACACCTGCAGCTGCATCTCCAGGCCAGTCTCCATGTTTGAGAACTCCACGTGGATGCACCCCAGCCACCCCTTTTCCCCCTCACTGCCAAGCTCATCTTGTGATCCCTGACACATGGTTCCTCCCACCCTACTCCTCTGCATGGTTACTCCCACCCTGCTCCTTCTTGAGGCTTCTCCATTTCATCACCTGTAATGACCTGCACCTAGTTACTCGTGTTAGAAAGCTGGGACTTACCTTTGACAAACTTCTCATCTTCATTCCCTACATTCAGTTCACCACCAATATCTGTTGACTCTATCTTTTTAATCTTCACATTTCTTTCCATGTCCACAGCCCATACCTAGTCTGAGTCACAGTCGTGTCCGCCCTGGACTGTTGCTTTACCTGGTAACTGATCCCTTGGTTCTTAGTATTTTCCTTCTAAGATGCTTTTTATGAGGCATCTAATGCAGTTCTATTTATACCTTTTTTTTTTTTTTTTTTTTCTTGAGATGGTGTTTCGCTCTTGTTGCGCAGGCTGGAGTGCAGTGGCGCGATCTCAGTTCACTGCAACCTTCGCCTCCTGGGTTCGAGTGATTCTCCTGCCTCAGCCTCCCAAGTAGCTGGGATTACAGGCACCCACCACAATGCCTGGCTAATTTTTGTATTTTTAGTAAAGATGCGGTTTCACCATGTTGGCCAGTCTAGTCTGGAACTCCTGACCTCAGGTGATCCACCCACCTTGGCCTCCCAAAGCGCTGGAAATACAGGTGTGAGCCACTACACCGGGCCTATTCCTCATTTTTATTATGTAGGAATTGTCATGGAAATTATGGTGACCCATACTTTGAGTTGTTATACAGCTATTGCAAATAATGAGCTAGTTATATACTAGGGGGACTTGGGAAAATTGAATGACTGACTGAATGAATGAATGAGAGGGAAGCAGAAGAACTTTGTTTCCTGGTATTCACGGCTCCAGGGGTACCTTGCCCAGGACTGGGACTAAGGGAGGCAAGTGAAGCACTTGTTCCAAATGCAAAATTTAAGGGGTCATGAAAAACACTCAATAGTGAAGATAATATTTTAATGCAATCTTTAAAAAATTTAATGCCAAAAAAATCCATGTTCAACAAAACATCAACATTTAAATAAAGACAGGGTCTTAAGATCATCACTCACCTCACCCTAACCCTGGCCCTCTCATTGTTAATGGAAGAATTCAGCTCATCAAATTGGGGTCACTTAGAACAGGACTTCACTAGGAGAGAGGGAGTGACTTTGCCCTTAAGGGGATGGTTGGCAATGTCTGGAGATATTTTGGGGTGTCATAACTGAGGGGGAGAGATATGCTACTGACATTTACTGGGTCGAGGCCAAGGATGCTACTAACACCCCACAGTACACCACACAGCCTCCCATGGCAAAGAATGATCTGGCCAAGGTTGAGAAGCCCTGCCTTACACATACTTATAAAATATTGCATCCTTGTGTTTAAAAGCTTTGCATAACTGGAAAGAATATATCAAGAAATGTTTGACAGAGTAGTAAACAATCTATGAGCAGTAGGGATATTCTTTTTAATTTTTTTTCTGTTGAAATAGAGTCTGGGGAGTCTATAAAGAACTATCGTGTTATTTCTACTTCTCAGGTGTTGAATTTCCCACTTCACACAAGTGTGCTGGGCTGAAGGAAGACCAGGGACTCAGTGGTCCAGGAGATCTGTCCCTGCATCTTACTGGAGAGTGACCACCCCCTACCCACTCCCAGCATGACTGAGGTTGAGAAACAGGCTTCCTCGGGAAGACCCATTCAAAGGCCATTGATTGACTTGTTTCTTAGAAAACAGGCCTCCCGCTCAAGTGAATATGGAGTGACTGGTTTTTGGAGAAATGGTTGTCTAAAAACAGAGCCTGTCTTTTGGTGTCCTTGTTTTGGCTTATTTATTTTACTTCCTGCCCATCTTCTTGGTTCATAACACCATCTCTTCCTCTTCTTGCTATTTTAGTCTTGGGAGAGGGAACAGTTTTCCCCTGTTGCTGATCCCAAGGGGCACCCCATTCTGTGTTTGTTCCCGGATCCCTGCCCATGCCTTGTATGTCATCTTGTTATTAAGGCCTCTTGTTTGTCATTTGAGCATCTGGGTTGAATTTTCTTGCTGCAAGCATCCTGATAGACAAACCCCTCTTCCAAGCTATGGCGACTCCTCTAATTTTATTTCCTGATCAGCCCATGTTTTTCTGTTATCTTACTTGCACTTCCAACTAGGCTGAGTTCTCCATGTCGTTAGTGGGTGACCACGGGCAGGGCTCTGCGATTCCATTTGTCTTTGCTTTATAATCTGGTAAACCAAGGTCATAATTATATGGCCTCTCTACCTCACAGGGAAAAGTCCAGCTATCTAAAGAAATCACATGTGCCAGAAAACTGTAAGGCACTACACAAAGCAAAGCTCCTATTACTCTTCCCATTTCTGCACATTTACACCAGGTTATCACGTCTGCTTTTGGAATCCCTCCCCCGTGAATCTTTAGTGATGTAGGAAGGAGGCCGTTCTTCTTACATTTGGAAGACAGATTCCAAGGCAATGTCACCTTGAGGTAGGTTGGAAAAGAGGCTAAATCCTGGAAATAGTACACATGTGTCCTTGGCACAGTTCTTCCAAGGGCCAGAGTGTTGAAATCTCTTGGTTGTTCATTAATATAACAGGCATATTTACTGATGAGCTCGCATGACCTGGCCCACGGATATGTATCCTGGTGCGTTAATCCGCTCGGGCTGCCATGACAAAATACCATAGACTGGGTGGCTTAAACAACAAAAATTTATTTCTCACAGTTCTGGAAGTCCAAGATCAAGGTCCAGCATGGCTGGTTTTCAGAGAAGTCCCTCTTCTTGGCTGGCAGACAGTTGCTTTCTTGATATGTCTTTGCACGGTAGAAAGAGAAAGAGTTCTGGTCATTTCTTCTTTCTTTTTTTTTTTTTTTTTTTTTTGATGGAGTCTCGCTCTGTCGCCTAGGCTGGAGTGCAGTGGCGCGATCTTGGCTCACTGCAAGCTCCGCCTCCCGGGTTCACGCCATTCTCCTGCCTCAGCCTCCCGAGTAGCTGGGACTACAGATGCCCGCCACCACGCCTATTTATTTATTTTTTTTTTGTATTTTCAGTAGAGACAGGATTTCACTGTGTTAGGCAGGATGGTCTCAATCTCCTGACCTCATGATCCGCCCGCCTTGGCCTCCCAAAGTGCTGGGGTTACAGGAGTGAGCCACCTCACCCAGTAGGTCATTTCTTCTTATAAGGGTGCTAATCCCATCATGTGGGCACCACCACCATAACCTCATCCAAAAGAAGCAGTTCCAAAGGCCCCATCTCCAAATACCATCATACTGGGGATTAGGGCTTCAACACACAAACTTTGGGAGACACAGTTTAGCCAGGGCACCTGTGGGCTGGGTATCTCATCACCTGCGGAACTTGCTAAAGTGCCAATTCTCACACCCACCCAGGGATTCTGACTCGGTATGTTTAGGGTAGGGTGAGATATTTTTGTATTTCAGTATACATGCTGTGTGTATCCAGTGTAGCTGGTTTCTGGAGCATCATGTAAGAAACTGTAGAAGTAACTTCAGGGCATGAGACTCGAGTTAGACAGGCTTGTGTTTTAATTTTGGCTGTCATCCTAGCTACCTGGGTGACCTAGCCCAGGGTACTCTGCATTGTTTCCGAGGGACTTAGTTTGTTCATCTGAAAAATGGAGATAGTACTAGCACCTTACCTCCTCTGGGGTTGCTATGAGGGTTAATTTTAAGCAACTGTTTAATTATTCCTTAAGTATTAGTTCATTAATTATTAATTATTCATTAATGCATGCAGAGTGCCTCGCAAATCTTAAGTGCTTTTTATTTGCAGCCATTGTCACCAACATCCAGAACGTAATCCATGACCTCTATCTTGGTCCTCTTTTTGCACCCGAAAGGATCTGTGCTTGGGTCAAGGACCGGTCCCTCCTGATGCCAAGTGAGGGAATGCTTTGCTGTCCCCAGGAGCGCCTACATTTGGTGGTGACGACCCTTAACACACTGCCATTTCTCTCCCTTAGCCACAGATCAGACAAAATGGGACTGGGCCAGGTTTTGCCTACCATGCTGTCCATAAAGGCACGGTTGACTTCTGTTTTCCAAATTTCAAATTTCTTCTTGGTAAGTTAACTACGTGCCCTCGTGAGACAATGGGCGGGAAGTGTAGCTCATCTCTCCTGGAGCCACAAGATGGCGCTGTTTCCTTTGTCATGGCCCGGCGTGCACCCCCATCCCTGCGGTTTCAGGGCCCGGGTGCCCTGCTCTCACGGCCAGGTCTCCCCGACAGGCAGAGGGCTCTGTCAGATCACGGAGTCCCCATCTTTGGGATGAGGGTAGGACAGTACAGTTTCTCAGTGGTAACCTAATGCCCCTATAGAGCATAATCAGGGTTGACCAAAGGAAAGGCTTTCCTTACTTCTAAACAGCTAAGCTGTCCTTTGCCCACAGTTCGGTCTGTTTTTGGAGAACTGTGCCCTGTGGCGCACAGAAGTCAAACAACTGAGACTTGGGCTTTCGTTGACTTTCATTTCTCTCTTTCTTATGTAAATGTACCCATCAGTGGCTTTTTGATAGATGAACTCACAACAATTACCCTCCGTAACATGAATGCAAAACACCTTCCCCACGATATTTGAAGTGCAAAGAGAATGGCCTGAGAGCAGAAACAGGCTGTAGGCAACATCCTCTGGTTCCTTACAGAGACAGGATACCAGGATTCAACCCTAGCCACCTTCGAGGTAATTCTCCACAACTTACCTGATACTGACAGCTGCAGGTTGCACGCCTTTAGAACCGCTCACTTGTCAGGGCTGTTTGCGTCCACCTTTGCTCATGGTCTATGGACAGGGACTATTTGTTCAGAAACCCCAAGTTAGGTCTTTATCTCTTCTCTACTGCATTGACTGCCACGCATTTTTGTGCAGGTGTTTTCTGTAATTAACTGCAGAGGATAGCACAATAGTTAGCATAACGTTAGGCATGAGGCCGGGGATGGTGGCTCACGCCAGTAATGCCAGCGCTTTGGGAGGTTGAGGTAGGAGGATCATTTGAGCCCAGGAGTTCAAGATCAGCCTGGGCAACATGGTGAAACCCCATCTCTAGAAAAAATAGGAAAATTAGCCAGGTGTTGTGGTCTGTGGCTGTAGTCCCAGTTACTTGGGAGGCTGAGGTAGGAGGATCGCTTCAGCCCAGGAAGTCGAGGCTCCATTGAGCTGTGATTGTGCCACTGCATTCCAGCCTGTGTGATAGAGACTGCATCTCAAAACAAAAACAAAAAACCAAATACCCCCATTTGGCATCAGCTGGTATGGCTTTGAGGCCTGGCCTTCTCATTTCTTTCCTCTGTGTTCTGGTTAAGCGACTTAATTACTCTGACCCCAAGTTGCTCTGTCTATAAAATGGTAATAATAACTATGTACATGTTAGATTTTTGTGATACATAAATGAGATAATATAGGTGAGGCACTAGGAACGATGTCTGGCATACTTAGTAGAAAATTTTATTATGTGACTTAGCTTTGTCAAATGGTCCCTAGAAGAGGGCAACTCAAGGAAGGGATGGAGGAAGGAGAGACAAGAGGTCTAAGTGGCACCCTTGGAATGGATCTCAAGATCCATCAAGATATAGACACGATTTAGAGTAAAGCAATAATACTGAGCTTCTTGAGGGCATCTGGACTGGAACCATGAGGCTGGGGCAGCCAGCCACTCAATCTCATTTTAGATACTGCTGGTGAGCATACAAGTTGACCCTTTAATGAAAATGCTATCTGGGCATGTGTATGTATGAGTGTGTGTGTGCAAGTATTCATATGTGTGTTTTTCTTTCTCCTTCTCACCCCACATTCTCTGTCCTTGGCATTCATAATTACTCATCATCCTCCATTGTACTTCCCTGCCTTTCCCCCATGCTGCTCTCTCTGCCAAATCATCTCTCTTCTCTCCCAGGATCATCTCTCTCTTTCTCCCAATTTGCAAGGCCCAGCTCCAACATGGCCCTGTTCTGAGGTCTTTCCCAAGCTCCCACCGTTCCTTGCTCTCTTCTCTGTGCTACTTTAGCCAGCCCTACACCTCCATCCCTCCAGGAGCAAATGCCTCCTTGAATTTTGTCCCCTAGGTGCTGTTACCTTTCTCCTGGCTCAACTGCAATTAGAGGATTTTAGAATTAAATTACATGGTAGTAGAAATAATATCACTAAGTATAATACATTTTTAATGCAAAACCAAAACCAAAACACCCAAACATGACAGACATTCCACCTCTTTCTTCATCTAATCCACATTCCCACACCCTTTTTTGGAATGGGAAGGGGGCATTTACCATTATCTATTTCCAATCCTTCCTTGCAGACTTTTTGCTATTGCATTTTTGTGTGTGCCTGTGTCTGTTTATCCTTGGATCTGTAGTACTTTTTACACACCATGACGACAACATGATTGCATGATGTTGAGTGTTCTATGTCCATATCATTCTTACCCAATAGGCTACAAGGTATTAAAGGTCACCAACTGTATTTTATTAATCTTTTTATCTCCAGGAACCAACACCGAGGCAGGCACAAAAAGACTGTGTTTCCATAGGTAACTGAGTAGAAAACAAGTGTGGTTGAGTGTGTGCACATGGGTGTGAGGTGGGAAGAAACAGAAAATCACAGAGGAAGGTTTAATTGGAGTGTCATTTCCCCTTGTTGGCTGAAATTCCCAGAAGACATCTTGGATCTCTGCAGAAGCTGCAAGAAAGGGCAAGGTTGGAGTGAGCAGCTGAGCAGAACATTGAGTTAAGTGCAGGCACTGATCCTTGAAAGGCCTGGCTCATCCAGGGAGAGAGGGCGACTCAGAGGGTGCAGGATGTGCATCTGCAAAACCTCCCGGCTGGAGCTGCGCATTAAGATTTGCTTGGTCATTAAGATTCAACGGGAGAAGCAGGGTCTCCCTGCCTGTCAGGTGACTGTTGAGAATAGGCTGTGTCGGTACGGATCTGAACACTATGAAGGACTTAGGAGCTACATCTCAAAACCTAGGGGGGAAAATAGTGCAAAATGGCTTTTGTTATTAGAGGTGTATTTTATTGCCTGAGGTTGGAAGGCTGTTTGCAGGTGGGAAATGTGTTCTCCAGGATCTTCCCCACAGGTGGTGCAGGTCTTCTGTATTTCCAGCCTGTCTCCTTCCCTATTAATCATTCTGATTCTCTCATCCTGTGCAGATGTCATGGGCCTCTGTATCTGAAGACTTTATCGGTGTTTATCTTGTAGCTTTTAATAAATCATTTACTGATGGTGTGTGATCCAGGGTGTTTTACATGAGTGAACGCCACCCTGGCCTCACCTTGCTGCATTCCTGTGACATGTCAGTGTGACTTCTGTTCTGGCTCCCTCCCTGAAACTGGAGCTAGAAAAAGGGAGTGAAATTGCTGTCTCAAAAAGCTTGTTTTGGGACAAGGGTGAACTTCACTTAATCTAATTATCTATAGTCATTATTGTATCAGAGGATGCACATTAAAGCAGAAACGGTTGCTGCAAGAGACTAGCACAGACCACGGAAAAGAAATTTGCTCTTCAGTGAGGGATGCACTTCAATCTGTCTCCTGCTCTCTTGACTCTTTTTGGTTTATGGTATGTTCTAAACCAGGGAGTGGCAAACTATTCTTGGGCCACCAGCCCGCCTCCTGCTCTGTAAATAAAGCTTTATCGGAACACAACCACAGCTATTTGCTCACGTATTATCGATGGTTGCTTTTCCAGGTATAATAGCAGCATTGAGTAGTTGTGACCCTCTGGCCTGCAAAGCGTAAAATAATTATCATCTGCCCTTTTACAGAAAAACTTGTGAGGGCCCCTGTTCTAGATATTTCACAGTTACCATCAGTGGGTGGTGATGCCCTGTCTGTGTCCTAGGGGTCCTCCAATCTGTGCCACAATTCTGAAGAAAAAAGTGTCAGGGACAATAGTACTTATGCCCATGTGAATGTCTACATGCACACATATGTGTATATGTGTTTATAATGTATAGGTGTGTGCCTGGGTGCAGGGGGGAAATCTTGAAGGGTGTACACCAAGCATGTGAACAGCAGTCATCTGGGTGGCAGGATTCTGTGTTGTCTTTCTCACGAGTGTATATTTTTGAGGTTTTCTGCGATCACTGTATATTTTGTATACGGCAGCAGCAACAACAATGACACAATCCTTCCTTCTTTTGTTACCTGATTTTCCCTGTATGGTTGGTGACAGTAAAGTTATGTTCCCATAATGAAATTGAGCAGGGAAAATGTCCTTTGTAGTTGAGAACTTAAGAAGCATTTGGTGACATCTGAGCACATGATCCCTCCTCCCCTGACACAAGGAGAATGAGCAATTATAGCTGTTTTGACATTAAATTTGAAAACAAAATGAATTTACATATGTACATACACGCATCTACATGCATTTGTACGTGTATATAAAATTTCCTTTTTATTTCCCCTTTCCTGTGCAACATTTCTCTAGTTTCTCTTCATTTATTATAATTACTTTTGGTAGCCTACAGATGCCAGTTGTAAGTCAATGGCTTTGGAAAAAATAAGAACATCTTTACAAAATATTTTTTGAAGAGCATGCATTCCTTCATAAGTTAGCAGCTACAGAAAGTAAAGACCACGTTTGCTTGCTCCTGGGAAATTTGCATCTGGGAATTCTTTGGAAACCGGACAAGGTCCCTTAAACTGTCTGTTCCTTGCTGCATGAACACTACATCAGGCACAACGGAAAATGGAAACCTAACTGCCTTTCCATGTTTTCTTTCTTTTTTTCTTAAATGCAAGCTTTGAAGGATCAAAGTCATGAGGACCAGCCAGGATTTGGGCTTGTTCCTGCCTCCCAAGTCAGCATAGCTGGGTGCAGAGATGGGTCAGGTGGTTCTTAAAACAGGTGCCTGAGTGCTGCCCTGGGACACTTGTACATTTAGGGGTGGGCAAGAATACTGCTTGTATTAGTCTGTTTCCAAACTGCTATAAAGAACCACTTGAGATGGGGTAATTTATAAAGGAAAGAGGTTTGACTTAGTTCTGCATGGCTGGGGAGGCCTCAGGAAACTTACAATCATGGTGGAAGGTGAAGGGGAAGCAAACACCTTATTCACATGGCGGCAGGAGAGAGAGAATAAAGAAGTGTCTCACTTTTAAACCGTCAGATCTCATGAGAACTCACTCTGTGTCATGAGAACAGCATGGGGGAAACTGCCCCCCACGAGCCAATCACTTCCCACCAGGTCCCTCCCTTGATAAGTGGGGATTACAATTTGAGGTGAGATTTGGGCGGAGACACAGAGGCAAACCCTATCACTGCTCATACTCCTTAATCTTTATTCAATTTGTTCTCCCTTTGTAAGACTCCAAAGAGAGTCCTGACTCCACAGCTACAGGTATGGCCAAGTGGTGGTGGCTGGTTGTGCAGAGGAGCTTGGTTTGATTCAGAATCTGCTTCCCTAAACCATTTGGATCTGTGAGGGTCCTGACATGAGGTGTGCCTCTCTCTCAGTGCAAATGAATAGGTACACATTGGCAACTCTGCATCCCAGGATATCATTCCACAGCAGCGAGACTCACCTGGCAGAGGCCCTGGTTTAACAGACATACTGGCAGGAAACAGAGCTAGGGTATCCTCTCTCTCTCTCTGGATTCTGGCAAGAGTTGAAGAGGATCAGAGTACTGGATGTAGAAGGTTTTAAGCAACCCTACTTATGCCCTTTTAGATTGGTTAGTTCATTTTCTAATAGATTCCCTTTTGTTTGAGCACCCTTTCTATGCCAGCTTTGGTGATAGATGGGACCTTTTTATCCCTCACCACTTCCTAACCCCACATTCGGGTCCCCAGGTTTATTCTGTTCCTCTACACTTTTGTCAAATAATCCCCTTTCCTCTATCTGAGGATGCCATCCCTTCTCTGACCTTATCTCTAATTATTCAAAACCAAGTTCTAGGTTTGGGTGTCATGTCTTTGTCTTCCAGGAATCTTCCCTAAAGCCACCTGTTCTGGAGTCAAAGCCAGATACCAGTTGTAAGTCAATAGCTTTGGAAAAAAATGAAACCTTTAAAAAATACTTTTTGAAGGGCATGCATTCATTCATAAGTCAGCAGCTACAGAAAGTACAGACCAGGTTTGCTTTCTCCTGGGAATTTCCTGGAGACCAGACAAGGACACTTAAATCCTCTGTTCTTTGCTGCATGAACACTGAGTCAGGCACAGGTGAAAATGAAAATCATTATTTCCCTCCATGACATGCTCTCACGGGTTCCTCTCCATGCCCCACCAGAGTTCTGGGCTGTAGTGATAGTCTTTCCACAGAAACGGTGTACCTGGAAGAGGTAGGAGAACAAGAAAGAAGAAAGAGACAGAACAACTTGTGATTGCCATATATTAGACTCTTGTCATACATTTTTTTTCCATTTAACTAACCAAAGAAGCCTGTGATGAAGTATTTATTCCTCTATCTTACTGATGAAGAAAGTCATAGTGATGTAAAACCATTTAGTCCAGAGTGAGTCACAGTATGGCTGAGGTTAGAACCATCTCTACCCGACTTCCAGGCTCATGGCCTTCCTTTTAGGTCACATTTGTTTCTGGTGCTTAACAGAGGGAGGGAGGAATAAGGCGGGCGGAAGGAGAATAGTTCAGGAGGAATCAGGCACATGAAGACATGCCAATTTATGTGATCATGTGTCGTGCTAGGAGGATGTGATAGGGACGGTGTTGGTGACATAGAGAAGTGTTCAGCTCTGCCCAGCAGGGCCCTGAGTTGGGGGTCATAGTGCTCAGAGATGGGGAACAGCAGGAAAACCTTCAAAGAAGGAGTAATACAAACATGGAGGAATTGCTTATACTTTTAATTTCCAATTGAAAATGAAAAAGCAGAGTATGTTTTGTTATTTTTTTTCACCTGGAAGTTTACTGAGAAATAAAAATAGTCTTGGTGTCTTCTGATTCCAAATTCTGAGTTTCAGAGGCAGGGAGAATGTTCCCTTCTGTTGGCAGTGGGGATGGTGACAGTCCCAGATATTGGTATGAGCCCCAAGGCCCTAATAAAGATTTGCTCTCTGGTTTTCCTGCCAGGTCTGATACGCTTCCATTTCCCAATTGAAAACATACTTAATTGCGACAGGCTTTTGGCAGGGATGAGGTATTCACCAGGTTCAAATCATCACACTGGAAACAGAAGAGTCAATATTCCAGTTTAAAGAGTTGAGCTCAACCTCTCTTGGAAGAGCCCTCCCTGGTCCTCCACCCACCTTTCCCTGAGGACTTGATTCTCTCAACTGGAATAGTCATCTCTTTATCACACCAGGGCGCTTGGGAGGCCATTATGTGGGATTTCTGGAATGAAGCTCTTATTGGAAGCAGCAGCTTCCTCCCCTATCCTCCTCCTCCAGGAACCTGTGGAATGTGATTTTCCATTTGAGAATCTGATCTGCATTTGGCTGGAGTGTTTCTCTTTACTGGGGACTGTATTCTGCAGGTCTCCATTCAACTTCCTTAAGAAAGCCCATTGCTTCTGTTGTTTTGGCTGTGTGTATGGGTAGAATTGTGAATTGAGCTGATTATCTGAAAAATGTAGGCTCCAAAGCTTTCGGCTCTGTGTGTCTAGAAAACTGAGCCAATGATAAAGTGTTCGAGCTAGAGGCTTGCAACCACTTTAATCAACCACCTTGTCATGTTACAGATGGGGATACTGAGGCTCTGAGGGAGGTAGGTATTTAATCAGCAGCTCACAGAAAATTGCTAGTTTATTCTATATTAGAAGCTTGGCCTCTATTTCCAAGTCTGTTCCTGGCCCCTTCCTTTCTCCTTGGGTCCTTGTATCACTCTTGCAAACATTTTCCCTTTAGGTCTGTCTGAGTTGGTGAGTTGGGACTCCAGGATACAAGTATTCTGGGGGATTTTGTCCTTTTCTGGCTAATTTTTGTGTCAGGGCATGGAATGAAACAACCCAAGCCAGACTCCAAGTTCCAGGTACATCACAAGAGGGTGCGCGAAAGAGTCTGGAGTTTGAACCAGGGAAGACTTGGGCACGAGCAAAAACGAGGACTATGAAGCTAGGGTCAGGTCACTTCCCTTTTCTGACATCTTGGTTTTCTCATCAGTACCTTGGTTTTCTCATCAGTACCTTCCTGGTGGGAGAGTTGTAAGGCATAAATGAGAGAATTTGGGAAAGGCTTGGCACCATTGTGCTTGCTCCATACATGCTGGCTGCCTCTCTTCCAATTTCGAGATTTCTGAAACCTTGGGAGTGTAATAATGAAACTGCCTTTGCAAAAATTATGGCAGTAAGAGAAATTTGACATAGCAGACTCTATGCTTCTAACCTCACAAGCTAACTCCTTTTGCCCACTCCTAGGCATGGGCTAACTTAACTATGGGAGAAATGTAGTTTATAGTTTAACCTTAAGGATGATAATAGCTCTTCCCAAAACTAGCCACTTCTTGTTTGTGGACCCACTTTTGTAAAACCAATGGAAGGTCACAAGATTAGAATTATGGGATGGGCCTGAATTTGGCTAAGACATCTGCATAGTTAAATGATAACTAGTCATTGCTTCCTACTTGTTGACTGCTCAGGTGTCACATGGCTGGTGGTCACAAGATTTGTAAGTTCCCTAATTGCCCCTATAGATAACATTGCTATTGTAAAACCAAAGACTGGTGTTTGAGATATTTTTCAGACCTTGCCTTCTGGTAGAAAAAGCAATGTCACCCTGACCAGTGACCCCTACCCAGGAACTGAGTCAGCACACAAAGACAGCTCTGACACTCCTATGATTCCATCCTCAACCAACCAGAAGCACCCATGCCCTACTTTCCTGCCCACGAAATTATCCTTAAAAAACCCTAGCCTCTGAGCTCTTGGGGAGATGGATCTGAGAAATATCTCTCCTCCTGTTGCGCAGCTGCCTTGCAACAATTAAACTCTTTCTTGACTGCAACAGTATTATCTCAGTGAATTGGCTTTATCTATGTGGCAGGCAAGAATCCATGGGGTGGTTACAATAAGACAGAGAAAAAGGGGAAAGGGGGTATATGTTGAGCATCTACTGTGTGCTATGTTGTATGCTGTTGGAATAATCTTGTAATTAACCCTGGCGTGTTCTTCAGAGTAGAAGGAAGGAGTGGTAAAATCTTTCTCTAATAGCTTTTATGTTTGGCTAATCATGTACACAAATAGATTCCATGAGAATGTTAAAACAGTCTTGAAGTTGGTCCAAATTATATATTCCAACCCTAACCAAGGCCAAGACAGTGAAGATGAAAGAGTGGCTGCTCAACTGGCTGTCTCATCCCTCCACAGGAGCTTGGAGACACTTAGGTTTCCCTGTGTGCTTTAACCTGTTTGCTCGTGTCCACCTGCTCCCAATTCAGCTCAGCCTTTGACATGGGTAGCTAGTGAGGCACTAGATGGCTGTTGGGTGGGCAAGGTGGGAGGAGTGTGTCACAATTAACCTCTTCTTAGCACACTTGGCATAAGTGCTTGTGTCCAAAGAACCTTTCTCTCTCTTTCAACCTTAAGCTTCAATGCCAAAGACTATGACAGCGGAGGGAAGGGAGAGGAAACAAAACCTGTGGTCCGTTCTCCATGTCACTACAAGTGACCTCATTTAGAACCCATGAGAGATTTATAGATGAGGAAAGTGAGATTCAGTGAGCTTACACAACGTGCCCAAGGCCACATGGATAGAGTTGAATTCAGAGTTGAATTTTGAATGTGCTTTTTTTTTTTTTAGTTCTTATTTTAAAGGCTGCATCTTTGTCTTAGCAACCCAGCCTTAGCTTTGGATTTCCATAGACCTGTGTTTGACTGTTATGTCATTTTGAACAAGCCGAGTTTGTATTTGGAAAATCAAATCCAGTGAGAATGCCTGTATGCTTTACATCTTTGTGTTAGTTGGCTTGGGCTGCTCTAACAAAATACCACAGAGTAGGTGGTTTAAACAACAGAAATATATTTTCTTGGAGTCCTGAAGGCTGGAAAGTCCAAGATGAAGGTTTTGGCAGAGTTCAGTTTCTGGTGAGGACTTTCTTCCTGGCTGATAGACAGCCCCCTTCTTGCTGCATCCTCACATGGCGAAGAGAGAGAGCCCTAGTGTTTCTTTCCCTTTTATAGCGCACCACTTCTATCAGAGCAGCGGTTCCCCCTTATGACCTCACTTAACTTTTTTTTTTTTTTGGGGGGATAGAACTTCACTCTTGTCACCCAAGCTGGAGTGCAGTGGCACGATCTAGGCTCACTGCAATCACTGCTACCACTGTCTCCCAGGTTTAAGCAATTCTGCCTCAGCTTCCGGAGTAGCTGGGATTACAGGTGCAGCCAACACGCCTGGCTAAATTTTGTATTTTTACTAGAGAGGTGGTTTCACCATGTTGGCCAGGCTGGTATTGAACTCCTGACCTCAGGTGATCCGCCCGCATCAGCCTCCCAAAGTGCTGGGATTACAGGTGTGAGCCACCAAGTCCTGCTGACCTCACTTAACTTTAATCACTTATTTAAAGGCTCTGTCTCCAGTATAGACACATGTGGGGTCAGGACTTCAACATATGAATTTTAGAAGGACACAAACATTTAGTCTATACAATCTTTATGTTGGGAGTTCAGAGAATTAGACATGATGTTAGATTATAGATTTTGATCACAGCCTTCTTAAGGGTTATGAAGCCCAGCTACAAAAAGGGGATGGCAGGGAGAGAGAGTTGGTGAAAGCATTTTCAGGAAAAGCAAGTCTTATCTGAGGCATTTTCCCCTGATTTTGTTTTACCATCGGGAAGCCCAGACCCATTGTCTTGCTCCATTCACTTCTGGCTCTGTTTTTATTCTCCTGACTTGATTTTGCAATTTGTAAGTAAAGGAGTTAGCACTACTTTGGAATATGCTAAATGATGTGAATGTTGCCTATTATTCTCCTATCTTGTTATAATGCACTTATTAGTGCAGTTAACTAAAAACTTCCAGATCTCCCCCAGCCCCATTCTCGGAGCAAGGTAGCTAGCATTTCTAGCCCACCATGAGTAATGTGTCGTTATGTAACTTGCTTTGGCCAATGAGATAGGAATGGAGTTGATGCACGTCATTTCAGGTAGAAGCTTTAAGAGCCAGTACGCGATCTAGCCACCTAACATTTCCCTCACTCATTACAACCAGCAAGCTCCAGACGGTCCTACGGGAAGAACAGAGTCCCCAGCCATAGACACGTAGCATGAGCAGGAAATAAATCTTATTGTTTCAGTCCACTGAGACTCTGGGCTGGTTTGTTACTGCAGCATAACCTAGTTTATCCTGGCCGGTTCTCTGCCGCAGACTCAACATGTCGTCCTGTCTACACTATGAGCCTGAAATCATTCAGCACCCGAGGATTATGTGCCGCCTGGTTTATCAGAGTTATCTTAATGAGGCTATCTACCAGTTGTTGAGAACTCCTCATTTTTAAGTTGTGGGCTTCGGGCTTTGACTTCCATTATCTCACTGAAGGCATAGGATAACTTTGTTAAGTAGGTGCTACTCTTCCACTTTGCATAAGAGGATACTAAGAATCTTAGTGTTGAAAGTATGTTGCAACAACAGACACAACTAGGAAGTGAGTTAGGTCTCAAGCTCAGATTCTTCCAACTCAAAAGCTCGTAGGGTTCTCATGATGGTACACTGCTTTTTTCCTCTTCTCAGGTGTGTGCTGGTGCTTAGACCTCTGCATCAGGGCTTGAACTATCAGCTAATCAAAGACTATAAATCATCTAGTCCAAGGGTTGGCAATCTATGACCTGTGGCCCAAATCTGGTTTGCTGCCTGCATTTATAAATAAAGTTTTATTGGCACACAGCCATTCATTTCCCTGTTATCTATGGCTGCTTTTGCGCTCCAACAGAGGAGTTGAACAGTTGCAGCAGAGACTCTCTGGCCCACAAAACCTAAGGTATTTGCTATCTGACCCTTGGCAGAAAAGGTTTGCTGACCCCTGATTTAGACTATGCTTTGTTTGAAAAATTAGGAAACTGAGACCCAGAGAAGTGCACATGTATTAAAATAGAGAATTACTTTAATGCAAATCTATGGATAATGAACCATTAGGCATAAAAAAAATTCAGGGTTTATATGAATAGTCACTCTAAAATTATATAATTTTAACTTCTCTCTGCATGAAGAGAGTGTTTGTGCTTTTCTCAAAGTTAATATTTTATTTTTCAATAACCCTAATAGAGATGAAAATTTTTTAAAAATCCACTTCTGAATTCGTTTGCAATGAATTCTACTAATATTAGTTGGGACCATATGCCATTTATGGCATTGTCCCTATTTCAGTTCATTTGTCCTTATATCATGAGCATTTCCCGTGTCATTAACATTTTTCATAAATGTAATTACTGATGGTTGCATAACATTCTGCTCTATAAAAATGCCATGATTTATATAATCATTATAATATTTTTAGATTTTTGTTTTACATTATGCTGAATCTTTATATATAAATCTGTCTACGTTTCTATATTTTTTTCTTGGCATAGATTCCTAGAAGTAGAATTCCTGGCCAAAGCATAGAATGTTTTAACGGTCTTGATTTATTTTATAAATTTCTTTTCAAAAGGATTGTCTAACTTATATTCTGCCTTGAGAAGGAAGATGTTTGTCTTACTATACTCTCTGAAGTATATTGTTACATTTTAAGTCTTTCCTATGACAATATGTAAATATTTTATTTTTGTTTTAATCAGCATTTATCACCATTCAAGATGAATTTTTTTCATGAGATGGTTTGTATTTTATTTTCTGAAAAGACTCCATTCTCATTATTTGCCCTTTTGTTGAGAATTCAAAATACTGTTAGAACTTCCCTTGATCTACTTATTAAGTAGTTTTGTTGATCAGTTCTACTATTGTCGTTTGTTATTTATTTATTTTTTTTGAGATGGCATCTTGCTTTGTTGCCCAGGCTGGAGTGCCACTGCATGATCCCACTTCACTGCAACCTCTGCCTCCTGTGGTCAGGCGATTCTCCTGCCTCAGCCTCCCAAGTAGCTGGGATTACAGGCGTGCACCACCACACTTGGTTAATTTTTGTATTTTTTGTAGAGGCACGGTTTCACCATGTTGGCCAGGCTGGTTTGAAGCTCCTGACCTCAGGCGATCTGCCTGCCTTGGCCTCCCAAAGTGCTGGGATTACAGGCATGAGCCACTGAGCTCTGCCTGTTAATGTTTTAAAATTGGGTTGAAATGGTCCTTTCTGACCATAACCCTCAACTCCATCCCATCCTGTTCCTTCACCCTCCTATAAGTGTGATTTTGCCATTGTAATGATCTGGTTTCCTCACCTCAATCCTGCTCCCTCAGGCTAGTAAGTTCCTATGCAAACTGCAAAGCATCGTGTATATGGATGTTGTTACTGCTTAACCATGACCCCGTGTGTAGCCACTTCAGCATCACCTTAACAGTCTTATTGCCTTGACCTTTCATTGCTTCCCTCTGGCCAATCTCAAATCTCCAATAAACCCATCTAATGTTTTTGGTGTCAGAACACTTCTAGAAAGAGTCTTGAAAATGCAATCATTCAATGCACTTATTTGACACATACTCTTCGAGCATCTACTATGTGGCTGGCACCATTCCAAGGGTTTGGTTTATGCCCGTAAAAAAGACCACTGCTGTCATAGAGCTTGCATTCTATGGAGAGATACAGTAATGAGTAAACATAATAAATCAGTATATTAATTATAAGTGCTGTAAAAAAAGAAAAAGCAAAGAAAAAGTAGAGCAAAAGGTAGTGGAACAGTGTTTGCGGTATTCAGTGGCCCAGTCAGGTTAGTTTTCAGTAAAAAACTGAAATTTGAGCAAAGACTTAAGGCTGATAAAGGGAATAGCTGTGTGATATCTAGAGGAAGAGCATTTCAGATGAAGAAAGTGGCCCTATGCTGGCCTCAAGGTGGGCATATCTGGTGTGTCCAAGGGTCAGTAGGAGGCCAGTGGCTAGAGTGCAGCAATAGTGAGGAAAGATGATAGAAGATAAAGGCCAAGAGCTTAAGAGAGAGTCTAGATCATGTAAGGTTAGTCCAAAAAGTATGAATTTTACTCTGTGTGAAACAGGAGGGGTGAGAATGATCACAGCATCTTGGATATGGGAATGGCTCGATTTAACTCAGGTTTTAAAAGGACCGCTCATGTTGCTATAGTGAGGAGATTCTGTAGAGGTACACAGATAGAAGTTGTACAACTATTGAAGTACTGGTGTGGAGTTGAGGGTAGCTTGGTTCAGGGTGGTGGCTCAGTAGTGAAGGTGGGGAGACGTGATCAGATTGTAGATACATTTTGAAGGTATAACCAACTAGATCTGCTGCTAGACTGGATATAAGTTCTTAGAGAAAGGGAGAAATCAAGAATGACTCCAAGGTTTTTGACATGAACAACTGGTAGGATGAGGCTGTCATCAACTGAGATGGGGAAGATTATGGGAGTAGCAGGCTTTGGGGTTAAAGTTTGGGAGTTGCTTTTGGACACATTGTATGTGAGATGTCTAGTTAGGGTTTTAGGCATGGATGTTGAGTAAGCAGTGTAGGGTGGGTTTCAAGAGGAAGGTCTGAGCTAGAAATATAAAGCTGGGGGGACACTAGGATAGATAATATATAAAGACATTGGAGTGTATGAGATCCCAAGGGAGTGAGTGCAGCTAGAGAATGACTAGCTCCTCTGCAGTTTACTGTACTCTGGTATCAGTTGGATTCTGTGTGCAGATTACTAATTCTTTTGCCTGTTCCTTGACTTGTTAGCTCTGTGCTGTTTAATCTGGGTTTTGACTCCTGCCAAGAGTTACAGGGAAGACTATATGATGCTGCATGCTCTTTGTCTTTCTGAAGCTTGTATATGATTTTAAGAACTCAGAAAAAAGTTTATTTGAAAATTAATTCTCTTAGAGTAGCATGCACATCCATTTTTTAAAGGAAAAGACAATCTTTTAAAGAAAATTTATGCTTTTTCTAGGATTCCTGTAACATCTCTAAGTTGGTCAAAGCTTGTAGGTTAGGAGTACTAAGGTGGAACATTAGGGACGTGAACTCATTCATTCTCCGTAGCAGAAGAAAGCCCTGGGTTAACACTTTTCAATTTTTCATCTCACTTGACTGTAGAACTTTTGATTGTTTCTCAAATCAAATCTTTCTCCCTTATGACATTTCTAACACAACACAGACTCTGAAAGAATATTCCAAGGAATGAATTAACATGGTATGGGCCATGGCAGTACCCTTATAATAAATGTGTGGTTCCCTATGGTGACAGTGCTCTTTGGATGTATGATTTTTGGGATCCATTGGTTAAAAATACAGTTTCAGGACTTCATACTTACATTTAGTATAACTTGATTTATCTTTGCAATTTTCACAGTCATATATGCATTAAAATTTTAGCCTCTTATATAGAATACCCATCAGCAAAAGAGGGCAGAAGCCAAGAGATCCAGGAAATAATGTATCCCACTTAGAAGAGTAATGAGGAGAAGTCCCGAGATGGAGCTGGGTTATGTTACTACCACACCATTTGCTTACATGGAAACAGAAGGATGAAAAGTTCCCATAGGGAGATAATCTGGGGAGAAAGGCTTTGATACGTTTTTGAGGCACTAGAAATACTTAAGGATTTTATAAAGACAAATAGTTGGAGAAGAATAGAAAGGCAATTAAAAACTCCATGAAAAACAAAAAGCTATACAGGCAGAGCAATGTTATTATTATGCTCTACTTAGCTTGATAAATCACTCTTACAGAGAAAGCCTTGTTTTTAATCATACAGCAAGATCCTTTTAGAGCAAAGTATGTTCTCAGGGTAAACCAACATTTTTTGAGCATCCATTGTGTGTCAATGCCTTCTTGAACGTAATCACCTTTTATGAAATACTAACAGCTTCCCTCTGTGATAACTATTTTCCATTTTACAGTGGCAAAATGGAAATATTTTGTGTTTTACAGTGATAACAACTCAAACAGAGAAGATAAGAAACTGGACCCAAATTGTGCAGCCACTTAGTAGCACATCTGGATTCAAACCCAATCTGCATGCTTTGAAAGCCCCTATTTTCTTCTACCTGTGCTGTGCTCTTTCCCAAGGTTTGGGCAGAACAGTTACAGAAATGACTGTGACCCACTTAAGTACTATAGGAATAATCAGCATTTTAGTAATAAATATTGATTAACAATGATATAAATAGTAACCAAAGCTACCCAAAATGAAAGCACAATTCACAACCCTAGCTGATGTATATAAATTAATGATTAACCGATTATTCCACTATAGTAATATTGAAGATAGCATTTATTACAGTCTTGAGATCGATGGTTCTCAACTGGGGGAGACTTTGCCCCAACAGAACATTTGGCAGTGACCGGAGGAGGACTCCTGGCACCTAGTGGATGGAGATCAGGGATGCTGTCAAACATCATGCAATGCATGAGACAGCCCCCATCCCCACACAAAAAACTGTCTAGCCTTGAGTGTCAGTAACACTGAGGTCAAGAAGTCCTCCCCTAAATAAAGAGTATATGGAGAGAAAGGCAACAAATGCAACTTGATTAATATGTGGACTCTTTATTCTTTTTTCCTCCGAAAGATAATTGAGTTTTTTCAGTGAATATATGTTTTCTGATCTTATTTAGCAGTGCTTTGATATGCAAACAAGCTATTTATACTAATGTGGATAAATTAACTACCTACTGATCTCCTGTCAAGGCTCAGTTATTTATAAAGTGTGTTGGCAAGAGGTCTGTGTATCCTCAGCATGTGGTAGGTTGTGTATACATATAGGCTGCTGCTGTCTGTGTGTGCACGTGTGTGTGCGTGTGTGTGCATATGTGTGTGCTCTTGCTGGTTTTGATGGGAAGTATAACCTGGGTTTTGAAAAAAGATGCCCTCCCACTACTTCCAACCTTAAGCATTCACTTCTTCCCATTAAGATTTCCCTTGCAACTTGGCTCTTTTAAACTCCCATCTTGTGCATTCTCTCTTCTAATCTAATACCTCTGCGTACATATCTAAACATGATCAGTGACAGTTTTCGCTGCGGGGTGAGGCTTTTACTGACAAGGCCAGTGAGCGCTGATTTGAGACCAGCCATTGTGAGTGACTTCAGCTGTCTCTTCAAGTGACATCTAGCTACTTGAGAAAGGAGTGATGACGAAAGTTCTTTGGACAGAAAACTTTCGCTGACAAGAAGGTGACAGGTCCTTGCACAGCTGGTCTCTGATATGCCTCAGAACGGACCCACAGAGTGACTAATTTGAGCTTTGCAGTAGCTGGGAGGAAGTACAGGGCCCATGCATGCTGAGAGCTTGAAGAGGTCTGTAAGACAGGCTGGCAGTGGACACGGGCTGGAGGAACCCATTGTTGGTGGGCAAAGGCCAGGAAACTTCGTTTGTTTAGAACATGAGAACATTGAACATGTTCATGGTGAGTGGATATTTTGCCTGTCCAGAAACAATTCTTATCCTGGAAATGATACCTTTTCTTTCTTTAGCAATTCACCCCATCTCTCTTCTCATTTGGTTGGGACTGTCCCAGGCTTCCTGGTTCCAGGGATCAGCCAATAAACCCCATCCCCTTCATCACAGCAATTGGTTCAGGGAGGGGTAGGTGACCCAAGCGACTCAAAGAGACTAAATTGTGACTTGCGCCACAATTAGTGGGTAAGAGGTGCCCTTTTTTCCTGCAGTCACCAAGCTGTGGCTATAAATGTGGATTTTCTAGTAACCACTGTGTGAAACAAGTTAGAGAATGAACTAACTGGGAGAGAAATATAGAGGTAAGAAATGGAGAGAAGAAGCATTCCAGTCCTAATGAAATTATTGGAGCCTCCAATCAGCTATGTTTGAACACCCATCTTTCTGGACTTTTTCATTACACAAAAGAATACATTATTGTTTCCCCTATAGCTGATGTAAATAGATTTTGCAACACAATGATTCCTGATCAATACAAATAGCTCCATTTTTGAGTGCCTGCTATATGCTAGAAACTGTATATCCATTAGGCCATTTACCCTCACAACAACTTTGTAAAGTAGACAGTTCTCATGTCCTCATTTAGATTTGAGAAAACCTGACACTTGGGGAGATTAGGTAATAATACCCAAGGGCAGGCAGTTAGTAAGGGTGGCACTATAAAGCAAGTTCTGTCTTATAAACGTTGCAGGTCCATTTTCTGTGGAAAGAAAGTGAAGCATTGAAGTCAGACTGTCTGGCCTTGAATCTTTTTTTTTTCTTTTCTTTCTTTTTTTTTTTTTTGAGATGGAGTCTCGCTCTGTTGCCCAGGCTGGAGTGCAGTGGCGTGATCTCTGCTCACTGCAAACTCCGCCTCCTGGGTTCACGCCATTCTCCTGCCTCAGCCTCCCTAGTAGCTGTGACTACAGGCACCCGCCACCACGCCTGGCTAATTTTGTTTGTACTTTGTAGTAGAGATGGGGTTTCACCGTGTTAGTCAGGATGATCTCGATCTCCTGACCTCATGATCCGCCTGTCTCGGCCTCCCAAAGTGCTGGGATTACAGGCTTGAGCCACGTGCCCGGCCTGAATCTTTTTCTTAACACTTCTTTGCTATGTGCCATTTATAGGAAACTAACTTTCCTGTACCTGGACTTTTTCATCTGCACAATGGAGATTATAAATAATTTGTCTATCTCGGGATAAATGTGAGGATGTGAGAAGATGCACATAAAGTATTTGAAACAATGACTGAGACTCAATAAACAGTCAACGCACATTACCTATCATTGTTTTCTGCGTCCAGGAAAGAGCTAGGGTGGCTATTTTGGGGTCAAGACCTATCAGGCTATGCTCACTTAGAAAGGGCACCCCAAGATCCCTGAACACTTATGCTGATTGACTAGACCTAAAATTAACTATCCTGTTGATATTGGAGAAGTCTTAAAAATAACGAGTGTTTTAACTATGTAACACATCATGTTTCATTTATTCATTTGTTCCATAAGTGTTTATGGAGTGACTACTCAATGCCAGATGTTGAGTTGGATCCAGACATGAATAGATCAGAGCGTTCCCTGCAAGAAGGGAAGAAATTGAAGCACAAATAATATTGATAGTATAGGGAAAGTGTAGTGTACTGTAAGAAAGATGAAGTAAAATACTGTAGAGCCTCAGAGGAGGGAGAGGGGTTTAAAAAGAAGGACAAAATGAATGGTTTTAGGAAACAGATGTTGAACAGGCAAGATTTCCATGTGTGCAGTTTTAGTGTTATAAGAAAGAGAAAAGCGTGAGCCAAGCCACCAGGACCTATGAGTCATACTTCTATGTCCTCTTCCAAGGGCAAGGGGGTTTATACAACTCATTGCCCCAATACCATGAGCAGGCTCTGTAATGGTAGCAGTAAGTCCAGTAACGAGGTCATAGTGATGTGCTGAATGATTAGATAATCATTAGAGTTCACTTAGAGTTTACTGCATTTAATGGTCTGTTCATCAGCTCATCGAGACATGGGAACAAAGCCCGTCTAAGCTAGCTTGGCCCAATACAAAGGAACGGAAAGCTGGCTATATGTACTGATTTCTTTCATTGATATCCCTTTAATTTGTATGGGGGCCTTACATTCTAACAATCTCTGGTTTGTCCATATAATGGGCCTTGTCCTATATTTTCTTTCTCAGTAGGATTAGAAAGTTGTCTTGGCTCATTCACATATGCTTTTTCCTAGCATTATTCACTCTTCCTAGGGATATAAGACTGTCTCTGTTCATTCATCCTCCATTCTCACTACTTTCCCTCCCTACCACTGAGGACCCATCATTTCCTCTTCCTGGACCAGAGCATCTTTTCTGTTTCCATGGTGAAGCCAGTATGCTCTCTATGCTACAACCAAAGTCTCACCAATCGTATTTAAAAGGGCTGGCTGGGGCGGGGGGAATAAATGAGGGTTGGGGCCCTTGGAGAACCAGGGACTCCATAGTAGTCAGTAGTTGAATGTGGTTTAAATGTTGGAGCATATTAAGTGATGGTTAAGAGGTAAGATTGAAAGATAGTGGCCAGATGGCAGAGGGCCTTGAATGTTAGACAAGGGAATTTCAATGATATGTTCCCAGTGCATGAATCCTTTGAATATTTTGAGCATCAGAGTACCATGTTCATCTATCCATTTGGAAAAGATCATTGTGGCAGCAGTATGTCAGGCAGGGTGATGAAGGTATGAAACTAGAGGTAGGACAATTAGCTGGAAGGCAGTCACAATTGTCTTGGTGTTGAGAAGACATTGATGATGTCTTCTCAAGGGATGGAAAGGAAGGGAAGATGTGGGAGATACTGTGATGAAGAGGAGCCCCACCAGAGCACCCTCTTCTGCTGGGTGTCTTTCTGATCAACGTGGGAATATCCATAATGGTAAAAGGTGGTAGATTTTGAATATTCAGAGAAAGAAGTCATGTTGGACCTAGCCCTGTCTCAACAGAGCAACTCATTTTTCCATGATACAAGAATCAGAAACATCATCCCCTTCTGGCGAGAGGGGTGAAGGGTGCAGCCATTTTATTATGTTTGTTGGGATTCCTCATCCCTGATTCTACTCCATGTGCAGGTTGGTTGAACTCAGGCCATTTGACCTAGAAATGTCTCTTCCTTGTGACTTCCTCTCTGTGTGCAGCTCCAGATGATCTTAGGTGATTTATTTAGTATCTGTGTTGCTTTGTTTATTCTTTTAAAAAGTGAGCAATTGAACTTGATTTGTAGGATTTTTGAGGAGTAAATAAAAAACATCCATATGAAAGCATTTAATAGAGTGCCTGGCTTATAGTAGATACTTACTAATAAGAAATTGTTTTTTCTCTTGTAATCATGGTAAGGGAGCAAAAGGGAAATAAGCCATTATTCTTGACCTCTAAGGGCTCATGATCTAATAAGAAAAATAAGGGAAAGCAATATGGAACAAGACAAGATGGTGTCTCATTTAAGGGCCGGGTTTTCTAAGATGGGCCATATGTCCTTGTGGGCCAAGAGACTGTTAGAAAGTGAAAACTTCAAAGAAAAAGAAGGATCAAGTTAGGCCTTGAAGCATGGTAAGGGTCTGGAAATACAGAAGAGATGGAAGATAGTTCCCGTCCAGAGGGTGCAAATGAATGTGAGGTCTGATTCTGACTCTCCTGACTTGGGTAGAGCGAGCCAGGAGGTGAGTGTGCTTTCAGGATGTGGAAGAGCACTGGGCTGGCCATCCAGAGTCCCAGGTTCAAGTCCTGGCTCGACCTTCAAATAGCTCTGTGACATTATTCAAGTGCCATCGCTTCTCTGGACTTTACCTGCCTCATCCAACAAAGGGGGCTACAAATATTTGTTCTACGAGGATAAAAGGAGATAACAAATGTGAAAACAACAAGTAAAACACAGAATCCTGTGCACTTTTGAGTTGTGTGATTATATTTGACCACCAACTTTGCAGGAACACAAATAATTGGAAAGGATTCTTGTGCTAACCATGGGAAGGGACAGAATTTATTTCAGAGAGCATTTATTTGCATCACTCTGACTTTCGTTGTGCATGGTACTCCAGTGGTGTGAGGATACAAAGATGAATAAGGTCGATCTTGGCCTCTGAGAAGCTCTTTGTCTAGTAGAAGAGACACACAGGTGACAATTAAATACAACACAGTGCGAACAGTGGCTATACTGGATCCATGTCAAGGGTCCATATCTAGGATGGAGGAGGGAATAATTGATCCTGTTGGCAGGAGATAGAAAATAATCAGAGAAAGTTTCACAGAAGATAGTATTTCAGCTGGATTTTGAAGGATGAATAGTATTTCATGAAGCTGATAAAAAGGATTAAGAATATTCTGCATTGTCCAATACATTAGCACTAGCCACCTGTGATTACTAAAGTAGCCACTTCAAATGTGGCTAACAGTCTGAATGGAGATATGCTCTTAGTATAAAATACACACTAGATTTTAAAGACTTAGTGTCAGAAAAAGGAGTATAAAGTGTTTCCTTAATAATGCTTTTATGTTGATTGATTATATGTTGAAAAGCTAATATTTTGGGTATGTTGGGTTAACTAAAATATACCATTGAGGTTGATTTTTTTGATGTGACTATTAGAACATTTAAAATTACATGTGTCTCTTCTATTTGTGGCTCATTTCAGTTATGTTTCTCTTGGACAGCCCTGCTCCAGGCAAATGAAACAGTATGAAAAGGGACAGGGGCAGGAAAAGCATGAGCAAGTGGAGGTAACTGGGTGACTCCATTGGAACATGAAGGCTTCAAATGTGCGGGCTGGGGAAGGGGAGTGTCAGGAATTGTGGCTGAAAGTTTGGTGCAGATCATATCATCCAAAGACACTTGGATGATGCCCTGACAGCACTGGGGAACCATTGAAGAGTTCAAGTGTGGGGGCAGCACAGGTGGGTTTGTGTTACTCATCTTCGGGGTGACTAGTGGAGGAGGTAGGAGAAGCCATGTTGGTAGAAGACATTGGGATGGTCATTGTCCAGGATGGTCTATTCGTTTCTCATGGCTGCTATAAGAAATTGCCACAAGCTTGGTAGCTTAGTTAACAACAGGAATTTATTCTCTTAGGGTTCTGGAGCACAGAAGTTCAAAATCAAGGTGTCAGCAGGGCCGTGGTCTCTCTGGAGGCGCTAGAGGAGAATCCTTCTTTGCCTCTTCCAGCTTCTGGTGGCTCCAGACATTCATTGGCTTGGGGTTGTATCAGTCCAGTCTTTGTCTCTGTCTTCACATGGCCTTCTCCCTATGTGGCTGTAAGTCTCAAGTCCCACTCTGCCTTTGTGTTATAAGGACACTTGGCACTGGATTTAAGGACAACCCCAAATCCAAGATGATCTCATCTTGAGTTCCTTAACTTAATTAGTTACATCTGTAAAGGCTCTTTTTCCAAATGTAAGGATACCACATTCACAATTTCCAGGCATTAGGACTTGGATGTATCTTTCTGGGCATGACTTTAACCCACTACAGCAGGTGGTCAGAGTCTAAAGAGGCCAGGCATGGTGGCTCACACCTGTAATCACAGCACTTTGGGAGGCCGGGGTGGGAGGATCACTTGAGGCCTGGAGTTTGAGACCAGCCTAGGTGACATAGTGAGACCCCATTTCTACAAAATGAAAAGAGTCTAAAGAAAGGATAGTGAGGAGGGAGACGAGATAACATATTCAAATAATATTTAGATGATAATTGAGATTTATGCATAAAAAGATACAAATGTCTGATATTTGCTTCACACACAAAAAAGTGCAGAGGGTATGGGCGGGGGGATATAAATGAAACGAGATTTCCCTGAGTGAACAAATTATTGAAGCTGGTGGGTAATATGAATGTCATAATGCTACCCTCTTTACTTCCGTATGTGTTTGAAATTTTCTAAAAAAAAAAACATGTCAAAAAGAAGAAAATTGAGAATACGTCATTTCCTCAGGTTAATGACTTACTAATTCAATTTCTATTTTGGTTAAGTGCTCATGATGTGCCTGGTATTTGCAGAAATGCCAAATGCCAAATGTTGATAAACTGTGGAGTAGCCACAGATTCTTTTTCACCCCAGGGGTATGACACCCCTGTATCACCTGACAAATAAGCTGAAAGATTTACTTTGTGTGTAGGCGCACACATCTGTGACAAGATTTTGTCATAGGATAAATGCCCTTTCATCACAGGCAGGCGGGAAATTCATGTCACCTTGTCCAAACCCAGAGCAGTGAAAACCTATGACTAGCCAGGATCTTGTTAGAAGGAAACAGTTTGTTTTTCTTAATCATCTTGATGTCACTTACAAGAAGGCATGAGCGACGGGGATCCCCTCTTTACTCCATAAACTAACTGTCACAGGGAAAGATGAGCCTATTTAACTGCAGGAAAATGCTGAAATAGTTTAATTGTCTTCCCTCGATGGCAGACGGTTGTTATCAGAGTGGAGGAGGGAATGCAGAACCCAATGAAATATTAAATGCAGACAAAAATGTGTGGGTGAATGTGATTGTGTAGTTTAATCCATGTGCTTTTTTTTCAAGTAGTTTCTAGTTTCATTGCAAAGTGTGGTATAAAAATGATGTCAGAGGAATGGTTTGCTGGGTTATTTAAAAGATTGCATACACCACTTACAAGGTATGTTGTTGATGGTTAAAAATGACATATTTATTATTCATGTGGTCCCCCTGACATAGAAGAAGCTGCTTGAAAAATGAAATGTAGATGAAAAAAAAAAAGGAAAAGTAATGGAGTTCGCAATGTAAATCTGTGGTTAAATGTGTCTGGGGCCATTTCAGGAGCTCAATATTGCAATTTTCCTATGAGACACAACCAGCTCAGGGACATCTGAATCTGATCCAAGCACCACTTAATGAAGTTTTCTTGTATCCTTCAATCATTTGTCTTAGTTTCTTTGCTATAATCTTCACTTTTGGTCTGCATTCTTCTGACTGAAGTGGTTAGGAACATGCACCCTGGGCTCAAATGTTGGTGATGCCACTTGCTATGCTTGAAGCCTGAGTCTAGTTGCATAGCCCTTCTAAAGGCCAGTTAGACTTTCAAGTGAACACAATAACTTTTCACTGTTTCAAAAGGTTGTTGAAAGTTAAATGATATAATGCATGTGACACCCTCAGCACAAAGTTTGCCCCATGTGAGTCACTTCATAAATGTTAGTTATTAGTTTCAGAATAAAGATTTACTGGGGCTTGAAAGCAGTGAGAGACAAAAATGAAATATACTTGCTAACGAGTGGTTTGCAGACCTGCAGCAGCTGCACCACCACTGAGAAGCTTGTGAGAATCTCAGGTTCCATCCTGGACCTGCTGAAAGTGGGTTCACATTTAAACACAACACCCAGGTAATCCATACATACAGTAACAATGAGAAGCACTGGAAACACTCCTGTTATAGGACATTGCAAGGAGTCTGTAAGGGAGAGTTTCCCTGTTGCTTTGGAGTTAAAAACACCATTACTAAGGATCCCACCCATTTCAGAGAGTGGTCAATAGTTGGATTTGACACTTTCCTGGATCCCAACCCCACTCCAGCTTTCTGGGGGTTTGCACAAATGGCTCCCCCTCTCATCCCAATTAGAAGCATGGTAATGGGGGGAACTTATCAGTGTTGGGAATTATTGACTTCAAGTGCAGTGGAGTTTAAAATTTTTTTCTTCCTGTAAGCCATGTAAGGGAATAACTTCAGGGACATCACCTTTGAAGACTGGGGATGCTTTAAAGAATAAAAAAATAGGCATGTCATACCTAATTGGATGATAGCTGAGTTGGCAGCCTTCAGGCCCAGCCTGGTGGTGCCATTTGAACTAAGTGAGGCATGGTGTATTGGTACATTCTTGGGAGACGTTGGCATGTGTCCCCTGGAACATGGGAGTGTATCTGAACTTAGGGACTAGGGGCTGATGCTTCTCCCCTAGAGATTTGTGAAGTCAGGATGTGCCTGGGAACAGAACTGAGAAGACTACCCCACCCTAGGTTTTTGTGACCCTCAGGTAGCACAGGAAAGGGACTTCAGCTCCTCAGCTCCAGGTGAAACAACATGGAGTTGGAGGAGAAGCAGTCTTTTGACGTTGCCTGTGCTTGGGTGTGCCGGATAGGGGCATGGGTCATTAGCGTGGCTGAAGGGACAAAGCTTTCCCCATCTACAGAGTCCTCAATGATGGGCAGAATCTGGGGAAAGTTGTCTGCTGCCTTGGAAAGGATCCTTGGCGAAGAGACCACCTGCCATTTTGGGAAAGGCAGTTGGCAACCAACAGAATCCTCACAGTGACAAAGTGAGACTTGTGTGGCTTCCCCACTGCCAGTCAAGTCACTATTTTCCCTCCTAATCTTCAATGCCAGGGAAGAGGTTCCTTAGAGCCAGCCACTGGGATTCTGTCCTTTGAAAGTTCTAGAAAGGGAGGAGAAGTGAAAATGAAAGCAACTCCCTTCCAGTTCTCTGAGCTGCAAACCCAGCTCGTGATGAGGAAGGGGAGGATTTCAAAGCGAATATGGGCTTGGAGTTTTAAGCTGGGCTGGGCTTTTAAACATCCTTTCATAACTGGAAGTGACCATGATGCTTTGGAATGTATCCAAAAGTTTAGTAAGAGAATAGAGGTAGAAAATCAACAGACTATAGTCCAGGGTGGTGACTGGTGAATAATATAGATGCTTCTGATTTACACCTCACTAAGTTGTACACCTTGCTCAATACACATGTTTGTCTTTCAGGTAGTTAACATCTGCAGTTTTGGCTATTGGTCAGCAATCTTCAGCTTTCATTTGCAGGTCAGTTTTCTCAAGGATGGATTTGAAGTTTTTGCTTGGAGCTGAGACCTGAGAGTAAGTCTTGTCTGGTCTGCAGTCTGCCCACATCTATTTGGTCCTGCCTTGTCTTCTATTTGTTATAATGCATATGTTGACACTGTGCTGTGTTGTCTACTTGCAAATACTGACACAGGACAGAAAACCAAGGCCTGATTTAGATGATAGCAGGGAAATGAAACTGAAGACATCTAATATCACATGATTCAGATCGAGAAAGCAGAAATTTGGAAAACACAAAGAAATGGATTTCTGTGCTGATGGTAGCTTACATCTGCGATATGAACATTGACCAGAAGTTCTATACTGAGACTGGAGGAAGTGTTTAACAGGTTACAGCCTCTTCATCTCACTGATGTAGATCTTTCCTGCATTAGATTCACCTTCAGTGCTGTGATCATTGTTCAACTGTGCAAAAGATTGTCACTGAGGAGTGGGATTGTTGTGATCTCAGGATGTGAACTCAAAACCAATGGAAGGAAAAAATTGAGCTCTGGAAATTTTTGTGGAAGAATAAAGGCTGCCTCACAGAGGAGTGAGCTTTCTGTCATGTGAGTCAAAAAACCTCAGTGTTTTTAGAGCCACCCTGTTGTGCTATCATATACTGGGTCTTATTTATTATTTCTGGGTTTTTTTTGCACCCACTAACCATCCCCACCTTCCCTCCATTGTTGTCTTAATTCAGTAAAAACAATAGCTAAAGTTACTGAGCATTTGCTAAGCCACTCATCTGTCTGTCCATCCATCTGTCCATCTGTCTATCCATCCGTCTGTCTATCCATCCGTCCATCCATCCGTCTATTCATCCATCCATCTGTTCATCCATTCATCTGTCTGTCCATCCATCCGTCTGTCCATCTATCCACTTATCCATTCATCCATCCATCCATCCATCCATCCATCCATCCATCCATCCATCCATCCTCTATTATCTACTTACTGTTTTTGAAAATCCTCAAGAAGACCCTGTGAGGTAACTATGTCAATTTTACAGATTGGGAATGGCTCCGAAGTCCACAGGTTAGATCTGTAGCTGAGTGAGAATATTTTTAATACCCAAAGGTAAAATGAGTCTCTAGAATGGGGCTAGTCAGCTTTGAGAGGATAGAAAAGAGGAAACACAGAAGCAGAGTCTCAGAGGGCAAGGAATGCCAAGGCATCATTCAGAGGAGAAGGATTCTTGTCTATATATCCGGAGGCTTCATGATATCCTTCCTGGGCATGTCCACCCTTTAATGGGGAAGGCTGGCTGATTTGGGAAGTCCCTTTTCCTAACCTAATGCTGAAGTGGGCATCAATTTTAGACTGTAAATCCATCTTATGTACCTCAACTGAAGCTACAGGAAGGAAATGTAATCTGTAATCTGAACATAAGTGACGCTATGGATATGTGTGTATGTTTATATAAAATATGTCAAATTATAATCAATATATCTAAGCATACATTTCTTTTTTTTTTTTGAGATGGAGTTTCGCTCTTGTTGCCCAGGCTGGAGTGCAATGGCGCGATCTCAGCTCATTGCAACCTCCGCCTGCCGGGTTCAAGTTATTCTCCTACCTCAGCCTTTCCCCGTAGCTGGGATTACAGGCATGTACCACCACACCTGGCTAATTTTGTCCATCTTTAGTATAGACAGGGTTTCTACATGTTGTTCAGGCTGGTCTCAAACTCCTGACCTCAGGTGATCCACCTGCCTCGGCCTCCCAAAGTGCTGGGATTACAGGCATGAGCCACCAAGCCTGGCTTAAACATATATTTCATATAAACTATATCTAATTATATAATCTTTTTTTCATAATTTGAATCTATATGTATACATGTATATACTGTCCTAGATTATCTGAGACACTGCAGGGAATGGGAAGGCAGTTTTCTGTCCATGCTGGGTGATATGGTTTGGCTCTGTGCCCCAAATCTCATCTCCAGTTGTAATCCCCACGTGTCAGGGGAGGGACCTGTAATCCCCATGTGTGGAGGGAGGCAAGTGATTAGATTATGAGGGCAGTTCCTTCCATGCTGTTCTCCTAATAGTGAATTCGCACGAGATCTGATGGTTTTACAAATGGCAGTTTTTCCTGTGCACTCACACACTCTGTCTCCTGCTTTCCGCCATGTAAGATGTGCCTGCTTCCCCTTCTGCCATGATTGTAAGTTTCTTGAGACTTCCCCAGCCGTGCAGAACTGTGAGTCAATTAAACCTCTTTTCTTTATAAATTACCCAGTCTTGGACATTTCCTTATAGCAGTGTGAAAACTAATACACTGAGATCTAATATTTGCTGAGTCTCTATTATGTGTCAGTCTAATCCAGCATGTATTAGAGCCAAAATTTGAACTCCCCTCTGGCCACTTCCAGAATTGAAGCTCCTCCAATTCAGAGTTGCTGTATTTCCCTGTCTGTCTCCTTTTTTTGAAGTATTCAGTAATTCAGCAATCTGATCTCTATCTGAGCCTCAGGTAGACAGATGTGCTCTTTAGCCACAGCTAAGAAATGCAGCTGGAAATAGAGTAATGCAGGGGCTGGGAGCCATGTCCTGTATTGGGGGCCTTTCTTCTGATCCTGTAATTGAAGGGCATGGCTCAGCTAGCCCAGCCCCCTCTTGTGGCTTTCAGAGGGATATGGAGTGACATGAGTTGAGGTGTCTGCAGTTCTGAGGTGTAAATAAATCCACAGAGATAAATCTCAACAGCGGAGGTGCAATTTCCCTTCATCCAGTGCTTCTTGGAGGCTTCGAAGAGCAGCAGTTTGAGGGGGATGTTTGAGTCCCTTGCATGAGCTGGATTTCCAGACTCTTGGCATATTGTAGGTGGCTGCATAAGATCGGACCAGCTGGGGATGGGGCTCAGCCAGGGATGGAGCTTGGGTTGAGAGCATTGGATTCAGGTGTTGACTTTGAGCCAGAGCAGAATCCCAGAGGTAAGAGGAGATTTTCTTTTGGGAAATACTATCAGGCTTATCATCCTTTGTTGTTGTTGTTGTTGTTATTTTTTCTTTTTCTCTTTGTGAAGGGCAATCCTTTTTCCGTTTTTAAGAACCTAGAACCATGTCTTCAAAGTAGGTGACTGGGACATTACAACACTTCATTTGGTTTCTTTGGTAGCAGATTCACATGACAGAATGGTTTTTACTTTACTTGAAAACTCTTCCTACCTTAGAATGCACCATAGAGTGGTCAACAGTGATTCCCAAGGGAACAGGAAAGCCACAGTTTGGCCCACCCCCAAAGGATGTGGTAGTGGAATTAATGTTGCCTCTGAGTTCATCCTGCATATATTTAAAGGTGAACTGTCTAGAAAAATAAAATTTTTTAAATGAAATATTTATTTTGCCAGCCCCATAATGCTTCTTGCTTTGGGTGGGGATTCCCTTTTTCTTCGTGCTTCAGGGCTCAATCTGTCACTGCCTTTCCTCTGATTTCATTAACTTGAGCTTGTGTTCATCTTGTGGCAGCTTAATAACCTTTATTTGTGGAGTTCCTCAAAGAAAGCCTTGGTTATAAATCCCATGTCACAGAAATGGAGTTATAAATGCCAATCTGTGTCACTGTATAATATTTATTATTTTAATTAAAGAAAATGGATAGTGACATTTATTTGGTCACAAGTTACTTGTTAATGGCAATGAATGACAAAAAAATTACTAATTTTATGAGCAAATCTCAGAATGTTTTTCAGTGATGATTCTGTTGTGCTTTCAGTATGAGTTGGACATGTTTTTGGAAGCCAGTGCTTGTATTTGGTGAGACATTCTTATCATACAGAAAAGCATCAGCTTACTGAGAGGGACAGTCAGATCTACCTGGTGAATTCAGTTGCCTTTGTCCTCAGCTCTCTTTGGCTTTCTGAGGTAACTGTGTGTGTGTGTGTTACTATCAAAGCAGAACAACTACAGTTTCAAGATTCAAGGATGTGTGCTAGGATTTTGACCCATGTTTAAGGCATTCTCACTGTAGTACACATTCAGATTGGGGAATAAGTAAACTATGTATAATAGTCCAAAGGCTGGGGACTTGCAGGGTGTTTAAATATATGTTATTTAATGCTCAGATTACCGCCATGAGGAACACACTTTTATAGCTCTATCCATTTATTTATTCATTCAGTCAACATACATCATTGGGAATTAGTTGTTTTAGGAAAAAGTCAATGGAAGAGGAAAACAGACTGTTGTTTAGGAACTTGTGCAAAGTGCCACAGCCTGTAAATGGCCTTGCTGGCAGATGAACCAATCATTTGCGTGACTCCAAAGCCTGTGATCTTATCAATATTCTACTTTCCTTCTGAAACAGCATCTTCTAATGATGGGAATTTGACCACAGCAGTGGAAAAGTCAAGGAGCTCTGTGGCACTGAGGAATTTGTTGCTGCTAAGGTTAATTTTTCTTTGTCAGAATATCTATAAAGTTCTGTTTGCTAGGGATTTTGCTCTTTTGGTTTTTGTTTGACTTGTTCCAGGAGTGAAAGGCTAAAGGAGAGTGCTGAAAAACTGAAGGCAGATTTTTTTTTAATTGCAAAAATTGTTAGCTTGTTCACAGTCGTAATGAATGTGGATGTACATTTTACTTAAAATGGGAAATATTAAAATTAAAATAAGTTTTAATTTTCATTTTAAAAGTAAAATAACTTTTAATTTTTATTTTAAAATTAAAATATTAAAATACAAGGAGTATATTGTTTTTACTACAGTATGCTTGTAATTATTTTATCCCTTGAGTCCAATGACATTAGGAACAATTTTGTTCTATAGAGAGACACAGTCCACACTTACAAGGTGGGCTTAAAGATGAGGGCACATGAGGGAAGAGAGAGAAACAAATATTTATTGAATGTGTACTTTGCACTAGCCATTATACTAGGCAGTTGGCATGCATTCTAGCATTTAATCTTCTAAGAGATGTGCTATTATTTTCCCATCTTACAAGTGGGAAAATTTAAGCTCAAACCCTTCTGGCTATACAACCACAAGCTGCTAAGCCAATTGCACCCAATTGGGGCATATTCCTAGGAAGCCCCTGATCATGGGTCACTTGCTGCCTGAATTGAGAGATAGCATATACATATCAAAATGTATCATAAAGGTCTGATTCAGTGAGTTTTGACAAATGCATACATCGATGTAACATGCCAATCAATATATAAAACATAAACATCACTCCAGACAGCTCCCTGGTACCTTTCCAGTCAAGCTCCATCATCCAAAGGCACCCACTTTCTTGACTAGTTTTTTCTTGTTCTAGGACATCCTATAAATGGAATCATATGGCGTATACTTTTTTTTTTTTGAGACAGAGTCTCGCTCTGTGACCTACGCTGGAGTGCAGTAGCACAATCTTGGCTTACTGCAAGCTCTGCCTCATGGGTTCACGCCATTCTCCTGCCTCAGCCTCCCAAGTAGCTGGGACTACAGGTGCCTGCCACCACGCATATGGTGTATACTTTTAAAAATGGCTTCTTGGCCGGGCGCGGTGGCTCACGCCTGTAATCCCAGCACTTTGGGAGGCCGAGGCGGGCGGATCACGAGGTCAGGAGATCGAGACCATCCCGGCTAAAACGGTGAAACCCCGTCTCTACTAAAAATACAAAAAATTAGCCGGGCGTAGTGGCGGGCGCCTGTAGTCCCAGCTACTCGGGAGGCTGAGGCAGGAGAATGGCGTGAACCCGGGAGGCGGAGCTTGCAGTGAGCCGAGATCCCGCCACTGCACTCCAGCCTGGGCGACAGAGCGAGACTCCGTCTCAAAAAAAAAAAAAAAAAAAAAAATGGCTTCTTATATTTAGCGTATTGCCTCTTAGATTCATCTATTTTGCCATGTATCGATAGTTTCTTCCTTTTTATTGTTGATAATAATACATTGCATGGATATACTACCCTTTTCTTATTAGTTCACTTGTTACTGGATATTTAATTTGTTTCCAGTTTTTGGTGATTATGCATGTAGCTATTATGAGCATTCTTTTACAACTCTCTGTGCAGACATATTTTCTCTTCTCTTGGGTGAATAGGTAGGATTGGAATTGCTGCGTCAAAGTCTAGGGGTACACTTATACGAAACTACCAAGCTGTTGACCAAAGTGATTAGTAGCATTTTATGCTCTTGCCAGTAGTGTGTGAGAATTCTGGTTGAATCAGTGATGTGGTCTATGACTCCAGTGTCAATTCATCTCATTGACATTGCTTGGCTTCTGCCACTAAGCTGTGATTGCTGGTGTGAATGGACTCTAGTGAGGAGAGCTGGAGTTAGCAAAGACATGAGGAGTTTAAATAATAGTTCTTGTCAAGCAGTCTCCCTTCACATAGTAGGGCTTCTCACAGGAAGAAGCCTGACTAGGAGCATCAGGTTTGGGGGCCAGAGGCAGCTAAAGGCTGGTATACAGGATCTGGGAACTAGAGGCAGGAAAGGGAATGCTCTCAAAATAGAGAAATGGAAAGAAAGTGAATATGTCATTGATGAATAATGTTTTCCTTGAAAATTTGCCCCAGGTTATCCACATATTCAAAAGGGGATGCAAACTCAAAAGAATAAATGTCAACCTCTTAGAACTATTGGGTGTTTTTTGAATTGAACTAAGATGGTGGACACATTTGCAATTTGCATGAATTCTTTGGTGAGTCACTGGTAGATTACAGAATTTGGGTAAGAGAACATCCGATTTAGAGGTTAGGTGACTCAGATACATGGTTAGGAAAGCTGTGCCCCACCCCAGCCCTGGTCAGCAGCATAACTCAATTCTAAACCACCTTGGAAGGTAGGGATAGGGTTGCAGATACACTTTCTATCTCTTCTCTCAGGATGACCTAAAAGACTAACAGTTTGCCTTGCACGTCAGCCAACTAGCTGTGATGCCTAAGCAACCTCCTGAAGCAGCCTGTCATTGGAGGGAGAGTTACGTGGTGGAGCTTTCTTTCTCTCTCACAGGGTCTCACCTGATAGATATTCCCCCATCCCCCCCAGCTTGTCTTTCAGTTGCTATCACCAGAATTAGTTGAATGAGCATTCCAAGTCTTCCCCCATACCATCCAGTTCTCCTTTGTTACACTTGCCCCATTTTCTTCTTGTGTTGTTATCAGATAAGGAATTTTTACAGTAGACACAAAGAGTGAGAAAAGAACAGTTTGGTGTGTATTTTCTTTCCGCTTTCAGGACTGGTGGTTTATATACTTTGTTGACTCCTGTCTCCTACCATGATTGATACTGGAGACATCATCGTCATTATCTATATCATTATCAACATAATCTTAACCATTATGATCATGATGGTTAATATCTATTGAGGGCTTACTCTGTGCCCAGAGATGTTATAAGTGCTTAACATGTATTATTGAATCTAATTCTCAAAAGAGTTCTCAGGGTTTGCAGATATTGCTATGGGTTAAGTTACTTGCTCAGGGTCCCATCTTAGATGCACGTCCTTGGTTGAATTTGGCGGCGAAGACTGTTTAGGTCTTGTTTTGCTCCTGACATATGTGACATGTAAAGTTGCTAAACTACTCAGAAACTAAATCATCTCAGTAAACATAGGGAAGAGAAAGTTTGAAAATTTTATTTTTCTGTTGTCTTTGATAAATATATAGGTACTAGTCTTGTTCTTTTGGCTCATATTTCATTTTTAATAAAAGTTTAATTTCTGTGGGTACATAGTAAGTGTATATATTCACAGGGTACATGAGATGTTTTGATGCAGGCATGCAATGTGTAATAATCACATCATGGAGAATGAGGTATCCATCCCCTCAAGCCTTTATCCTTTGCGTTACAAACAATCCAATTATACCCATATTTATTTAAAAATAGACAATCAAGTTATTACTGATGATAGTCACCCTGTTGTGCTATCATATACTAGGTCTTATTCTTTCACTATTTTTCACGTACACATTAACCATACCCACCTCCCTCTCACCACTGCTCCCACACTCCCCCCTCCCCACTCCCCATCACTCTTCCCAACTTCTGGTAACCATCTTTCTACTCTGTGTCCGTGAGTTCAATTTGATTTTTAGATCCCACAAATAAGTGAGAACATGCAACGTTTGTCATTCTGTGTCTGGCTTATTTCACTTAATATAATGACTTCTAGTTCCATCCATGTTGTTGAAAATGACAGGATATTATTCTTTTTATGGCTAAATAGTACTCCATTGTGTGCATGTACCATGTTTTCTTTATCCATTCATCTATTGATAGACACTTACTTCTAAATTGTGGCTACTGTGAACAGTGCTGCAACAAACCTGGGAGTCAGATATCTCTTCAATACACCGATTTCCTTTCTTTGGGGTATATACCCAGCAGTATGATTGCTGAACATGCTTCATTTTTTGATCATTAAATGAAAAATATGCAAAATGACTGTTAATCTTTACAATGTTCCTTTGATTCTACTCCAACTTTATTTTCAACAGTATAGATGCTTCTATGCATGCAGGTATGCTTCTAAGAGTGTTACCATAAATCATTCTTATTAAATTTTAGTTCATTTTCAGACCAGCTCTAAGATCTTCAGCAGAAATTTTCTTGTCAAAGGCTTTCACAGTAGCCTGGACTATATTACAGACATGTTTTACAGATTTGTAACACTCTTTCATGATGAAATTTTAGACTAAAAAGAGCAGGTCACTGATGAAAAGAGAAAAGAGAGGTAAGGTGGCAGAGCTCCAGAAGAAAGCTTTGTAAGGTAGCCTTGGGACAAAAAAAGTAGAAGCCAATGAGAAGTATGCTTTGGGTTTTCAATGTCTGAAAATGGGGAGAGGCTTATACTTGAGCTGAGGGGAGTGATCGAACCTGGAATAGAAAGGGAGGGGCTACGTTTATATGGCTAACTTGGATCTTGAGATGTTTGGATCAGAGGAGACGCTGGGCAGGCTAATCATTTTCCCATGTGAAGCATCTATACCACCCCAGTGGGACCAGAGTTGGGAGACCGATACTGATGGTAAAATATTTATTGTCTGCTCTCTCAGCTCAAGTCTGTCTCCACAGCAGAAAACTTTCAGTCCTTGGGCACATCCTACTCTGTGTTTTGGCTCCGCTTCTTTATTCCTTGGTCTCTTTGAAGTTAAAGAAAAAAAAAAAAGCACAGGGACAGGGTAGCCTAGCTGGTTCAGAGAAAGCATGTCTTATTTGGAGACAATGTCCAAGATTCTACGATTAGTATTTTCATGTTGTATTGTGGACTCCTTTTCCTGGTAATTTCCCCCTTTTTAGTGTCTTAATTTTTAAATCATCTTATTTATAAAAATTAGTTTGTGACTGGGTCAATTACGTCATGCTGGGGACTGAATGTTTATGTACTCCCCAAATTCAAATACCATCACCAATGTGATAGTATTTGGAGATGAGGCCTTTGGGAAATATTAATAATTAGGGCATGAGGGTGAAGCCCTCGTGATGAGGTTAGTGTCCTTAAAAGAAGAGACAGGAAAGATCTTGCTTCCTCTCTCCCGTGTGAGAATACAACTAGAAGATAACTACCTGCAGGAAAATAGTCCTCACCAGAAACCAAATGGGTTAACACCTTGACTTTGGGCCTTCCAGCTTATAGTACTATGAGAAATCAATGTTTGTTGCTAAGCTACTCAATCTATGGTAATTTGTTAGAGCTGCCTGAATTGACTAAGACACATTGTTATGACTAAAAGTTTTGAAGTCTTTGCAGGAACAAAAAAGCCTTTTAAATTAACTAAGAATCAACTGAGAATAGCATAATATCATGGAAATAGCATAATCTTTGAAATCGTACAGAGGTGGGATCATATTCCACTTCTGACACTTAGAAATTAGAAAATAGGTGACTTTGGGAAAATAGCTTAATTTCTTTGAATATCAGTTTTCTGATAAAAATGGGAATATTGCTACTGAAAGATTTAAGCATATAGAACATGTAAGCTGCTTAACACAGAGCTTATAAGGTATATGATAAAGTAAGTAGCTATTACTCACATCCCTCAGAATACCAGAATTTTGTCTGACAATACCAAGTGTTGGGGAAGATGTGGAACATGTGGAACTGTCATACACTGCTGATGAGATGAAAAAGTTGGTGCGACCACTTTGGAAAACTGTTTGGCAGTATCTACTAAAACTAAACATCTGCATACCCTATAATCAGCAATTCCAGTCCAGGTATATACCCAACATAAGAGCATATGTATGTGACTGCAAAAGGCATGCGCATGAATATTCATAGAAGCATTATTCATATAAATCAGAATGGCAACACAACTGAAATTACTGTCAACAGTAGAATGGAGAGATAATCTGTGGTGTATTTTATAGTGGAATGCTATATGACAATGAAAAAAATGAGCTATGTCTGCACATAGCAAATGGGTGAATCTACCAAGCATAACATTCAGTGAATGAAGCCAGGCATAAAGGAGTGCATACAGTATGGTTCTATGTATGTAAAGTTCAAAGAGAAGCAAAACGAATCTATGTGTTAGAAGTCAGGAGAGTGATTGCCTTTGAGGAGGAAGGGACTGATAACTGGGGGGTAACAAATAGGTTCTGGTGGAGAGCAGGCAGTGGGCTGGCCATATTCTATGTGTTCCTGAGTTTGTTTTTAATCTAGTAGCAGAAGTGTGGGCACGTTGTGAAAATTTCTGAAGATAGATTTGCGATTTGTGCACTTCTCTGAGTTTTCTTTTTGTGCTTTAATAAAAAGTGTTTACTTAAAAATACAGCTGTTATCGCTTCTTCCTGTTAGTTTTCTCTAGAGGGGTCTCTTTGACTCTCTTGCCTTTGCAACCCCTGCTCCAGTTGGAGACACTTGCTGCAAAGGCAAATCCCAGCGCTCTAGAACTCCTCCATTGTCAGCTTTCTGCCCGCCCCCCGGGGTAATCTCAGAGACAGCACTGTAAAATCGGACTTGACTCTCTTTCACGACAAATTCTTCCCTGAGCGGGGAGGAGACAGCAGCCCTGACCCTCAGGCATGGTGTACTGCCAGCCCCTCAGAGCTCTTGGTTGATTAAACTCTACATCTTGCAGTGCTTGCAAAGCCCAGGATACTGTTTAGATCTAAGCTGCTGGAGGGAGGCCCTGATGGAAATGCTCACATTCTGAACCAAACAATTAAAAGGTTTTTAGACTTGAGCACAAGTTTATCTGTAGCTCCTGGTATAAACTACACTAATGCCTAGGGAAACACCTTGCTCTTAAAAAGGAGATTAGTTAGCTTTGAAGGAAAGCAATTCATTTGCAGCACTAAAGTCACTAAGTAAAGTTGGTGGAAGCTTCTAGGACCTTGATCTCCTCTGTTCCCTCAGGGGTCTATGTTTTCCAAACAAAACATATTAGGTACCTAGTACGTACCAGACTTGACGTGATGCTTACACATACATTATCCCAAATTTGATTCCCAGGATAACTGATAAGGATAGCATTATTTCTTCCCCCAGGTGAGGAAGTTGAACCTCAGAGAACTTAAATAAGTTGCTCATGGACATGTGGACTATTAAGCAACTCAGGAATAGCTAAATTTTAGATATACCTTTTTGATGACCACAGTTGAGTGTCACCAAGCCAACCAGTACAATGGATTTCATACTCGAAGAACTGAGGAAATTGATGCCAGGATAATATTAGCAGAAGGTTACGGAAAAATCTCTAGATGAGGAGAGCCAAGCAAGCTGGAAACGAACACACCGACAGCAGACAGCGTCAACACCTACATCATCATGCCTCATAATTTTTGGAAGTGTTCTTAATCTGTTTTATTGTGATTTCATGGATCAGTGATTGTCTTGGGTGACTGGCCAGGTTGCAGGCTTCCCAGAGTGAGCATCCAGGCTAGAATTGTGCTGATAATGACCTTCAATGTGCATTTGACAGTCAGATTTAGTCATTACCACATTTCAATGGCCATAGAAAAATGCCATGGATGTGCCCCTATGTCATTCTCTGTGACCTCTGATATGCCTAGTAATGGAAACCTTCAGGACATGGTGGGTTTTCTTTTGTCGAACCGACGGGTAACTGACATTGCCACTCTGTCCATTCATTGCTTCCATTACCACTTGTGAGTTAACTCAATCCTTGAAAACCTACTGATTAAAGATCAATCACAATAGTGGCCCAAGTGACTAGACTTGCAATGCCACATTTTAGGGCTCCCTGCCAACTCCTTGGGCAGTTCTGCTTGCCCAATTAAACACCTTGCATCACCCTGACTGCATTTGCAATGATGCCTCTCTTCTATTCACCTGTTATTGAGCATTAAAGGCAAACTCAATTTTATGCAGATAAATAGAGGTTAGTGGTAATGTGCCTTATGACCTTTCAAGGGACAAGATGACATTAATTTTTAGGGATTCTACCTTCTCAGGCTGTCACTGTGAGCATGTAACTTGATGAGAATGGAGGTTTCTGCATTTTGAGGATGTACTTACAGTTTAACATGCTGTTTCAAATGTAAGGAAGCTCTCTCTTTAATTTTTTTTTTCACCAGCTTGACAGTTTTTCAAACATATTCACTGTCAGCCCTAACAACCTGTCAACAAATGCCATTATGTGAACATTGCCAAGGCTCACTTGAGGACTGTGGAGAGTGACAGACATGCCACCCGGATACGTTTCTCAAAAACCCAGGGCTGAAACTTTTGAAAGATACTCTATCCCTTCCAAGGAAAAAATGAACAGTCAGATCTCCAGGAAAAAACAAAACAAAACAACATACACTTGTCATATCAGATATCTGTTTCTTTCCTGGGCAAATTAAGGTGTATGTGAAGGAATAAAACATACAGAGGACAATAGCAGCCAAGATCCGAGGCCATGCCACATCTCCACAGTTGTCTGCGAATCCAAGAAAGGAACAGAAAACCATTTTTTTCTTTCCTTCCACTAGAGAATTTAAGGGGAGGCTACCTTCATTTTTAGGTTGAATATTTCTAGGGGATGGAAGTGAAGAAAGAGTAGTTTAGATAAAGCAAAGTGAAGCCAACCATGAGCTTCAGACATATAAAAAAGAGAACTCGCCCTAATACTGGCACAGGGCGTATCTTGGTGGGAAACTATGCGGAAGTGTGATGGGATAGTACCAGAAACTTCGGATGTGGAGCTAGAATAGCTGGATTTGAATCCAGCTCTGCTGTTGAAGGGTTGTTTGGCCTGGAGCACTTTAATTTGACTTCTGCCTCTGGTTCCTTATTTGTGTACTGGGAATGACAGTGCTCACCCCATTAATCATGAGGATTAAATAAATGGGTCTTGGCTCAAAAAAAATGTAGCTGAAATTTAAAACTTAAACTGACTTGCAAAGAGAATGTCTTTGACACCGCCTCCCCCGCTTTATGTACTTAAGACATAAGGCATTATGTCTTAGTTTTGGATGGAATTTAGCTCTTTATTTGTAAATTCAACCTGGGTGAAATGTTTTATGTTTTGGGTGGTATTTCAAACCAAAGGCAACCCTCCCCACAACAGTGGTGGGAAAGGGAGGGAGGGAACAGAGATGATAGAAGGAGCCAACCTGGACTGCAGTTATGCACAGACTTCTGTCCAAATGACATCCATTGTCACTTTGATGTATCCAGGGGGCTGAGGCTGCCAGGTGGTTGATGTTTGACCAGTTTTCTCCTTTTTATTTTACACTTCAGAGCTTATGAAGAATCCTCCCCCACAGAGGAGACCTGACAAAGATCGTCTCCTTGATCAAACTCTGTTCAAGCTCCTCTGAACTTTTCGACTGGGGCTGACTTTTGGGTTTCCATGGTTTTGTGTGCATTGTCCAATTTTAGCAAGACTCCAGCTAAGTCAGTTTACCCAGAACTCGCCACCCTTGATATCTGGTCACTTTCGGCACCTAATTGTGTTTCTCATCCCTCCACCTCCCTGAGGTGACTTCCAATCACCCTAGCCTGTCTTCAGCAAGAATCCTTTTATGTCAGTTTAGCCAAAATCCCCCTTTACTCCTGATGTTTCCTTTCAGGAATTTTTCATCCACTGACCTCTACCATGCTCCTTGTAAATCCTCATTTGCTCATGCTGTACTCAGAGTTGAGCCCAATCTCTCTTCTGCTCTGTGAGACCCCATTGGAGTGGTCCTGATACCTATTGTGATGGTCCTACATGAAGTCTGCTTCATGATTCTTTAACAAGTGTCACGAGTAATTTTTCTTAACAGATCCACAAAAGGAACAAAGAAACAGTTTCCCAAGCACTATCCAAGAAGAATGAGAGTTTGCCTTTAAGTCTTGGGTGTCTTGTCCTAAGAAAGCTTAGAAAGGGGGTATTTAGACAGAATTAGGGTGAGGCCTCCTGGGGACCTAGCCTACAAAGTAGAGTCTGGACATTTCAATGATGAGTGTACCTGTGTCTTTTCTCCTGTATATTGTGTTTATAGCCATATCTTCTATTTGGGATGTATCTGAAATACCTTTGTATTCTTCGAATTTTTCTCTTAGGGCTGGGATATTTTTAAAGAGTTGGAACTTATTTCCTCCCCTATGTTTCTATTTGGACTTTCTGTGTTGATGATGGTTGACTTATGATTTAGAGGGAAGTCTTTGATGTTCCCAGGAGGTATTGATCCAACTGGACATCACAAATGCTGATTGCTGGTACTTATCAAGGGTCCTCATATCCCCTAAGAAAGCCCCAAAGGACAAATACCTTCTGGATTGACTGGGGGTAAAATCCATATTTGTAGGTTCATAAGCTCCTTCTTTCCTGAAAACACTATGCTACTTATGATCAAATATGGGGAGTTTTGTTGATGGTGTGAGGAAAAACAGAAAAGGGCTGGGAAGATGGGGTTATTATGGCCATGGGTTTATCCTACATATAGGTCTGTAAAAACCTTGACCTTTCTGCTTGTTTATCAGATATGACAGATGCTGTCCTATTTGATACACAGCTCAATCTCTCTGAGCTTCCATATCTGCCAGCTGTGAAATAGGGATAATGTCAGCTTTAGAGCCTTTGGGGAGATGAACTGAGACTGTTCATGAAGGAAACACTTTATGACTACCTGTGGGGGTCAGATTTAGGTGGTAGCAACTGTGGCCCTGAAAGTTTGTAATGATAATGGGCTTGGAAGCCAATTGACATGAGAACAAAATACCTGTTCTGCAAATGTGATGAAGTTGCTGATAATTGAGATGATGATGATAATGAAAATAATAATTCTAACCTTAGTTAATTTTTAGAGTATTTACTTTGTACAGTGTATTCTGCATGTAGAATATTATTTCACTTTCCAATAAAATCCATCATAATTGAGTTAATTACATACTACTCTTATGCCTTTTCTAAAGATGAATAAGCTGGAGTCTAATTGGAATTAACTTTCTCAAGGTGAAACAGCTACTAAATGGAAGAGCTAGTTCTACTTTTGTCCAAGTCTAGGGCTAGAGACCAGTTTCCAACATACATAATTTTCACAAAGTCTAGAACTCAGGTTCCTAGACTTCTTTATGCAGCTATGGGGTTTTTTGAATTTAAACTTCCCCTGTTCTTCTCTTTGCTTTTGTGCCCTTGGGAGCAGAGGCTTCACCTTGGTTTTGGCTGTAACTCCCATTAACTCTACTGGGTGTGCAGCACATCTCCCCCAGCATGTCAAGATGAGATTATTTTCCATCCAATTGTTTTAATGTTGTGGGTGTTGAGTGAGTCTACATTTAACCTTTGGTTTCATTATAAGGTTCAGAGCAGACAAAGTGTGGGGAGAAAATAAACCAGGTCACAGATGCCAAGAAAAGATAGATTAGAGATGGCTTTATGAAAGCACAGTGTACAGAATAATAGAAAAATAATTACAAGTGCATTTGAGAAGTGGAGAGATCTTTCTGCCTTAACTTTGAATGTTAGATGAATATTACCAGAATGCAGAATGTAAAATGCTAGGAGAATAAAGAAAAACACAGTGCATATTATCTAAAGTTGCAATAGAATTTCCCTTATTTTTTCATTATTTAAAAAATGTAATAATATTCGTGATTTTGTAGAGTGCATCAGAGTCTCATATACACAATTTTTAAATTTCGTTTATTTTCTGATCCTCATAATAATCTTGTTTAGTTTGAAAGTTCAAGGGCATGGGCTGGGCGCGGTGGCTCACGCCTATAATCCCAACACTTTGGAAGGCCGAGGCAGGCAGATCAACTGACATCAGGAGTTCAAGACCAACCTGGCCACCATGGTGAAACCCCCATCTTCACTAAAAATACAAAAATTAACCTAGCGTGGTAGCGCATGCCTGTAGTCCCAGCTACTCGGGAGACTGAGGTAGTAGAATCACTGGGATCAGGGAGCAGAGGTTGCAGTGAGCCAACATGTGTCACTGCACCCCAGCCTGGGTGACAGAGCAAGACTCTGTCTTAAAGAAAAAAAAAAAAAGTGAAAGTTCAAAGTCATGGTCTTTGGATGCTCTTGCTTTGAATCCCACTCATGTCACTTATAAATCTGTGACCTAGAGAAAGATACTTAATCTCTGATAATAATGACATATACATTTCTCATGGGATTATTGTAGGATATACCTATACATCCTACAATATTCCTATATATCCAACATGGGAAATGCACAAAAGGAGAACGTAGAGACTGTGGGTATATGATCGGGCTTGGTGATCCTTGTTAATGGTACCAATCTTTATCTCATGGGCAGCAGGACAACACTGAAAGCTTTAAACCAGTAAGTAGCATGGTCAGACTGACATTACAGCAAGTGTTTTCCAAGCTCATCAGAACCAGGGAACTTTTATCTCAGCTTCCTATCTCAAAAACAGCAATTTCAAGTACTAGGAGTCATAATGGTTTCTACCAGAAAGTTTCCTATGTTGAGAGAGGAGGGACAATGAGCTGCATATGGGGCAGAGTTTAATTTCTGCCTAACAAGTTAAACTGCTGCTGAGAAACTAGCCCTCCCGGAACAAAATCATTAACAAGAACATTCATACATCCATCTGAAACCTTGATAGATAACCTTTTGCTAACAGGCTCAGACACCAGCTTTGAAGGTTTTACAGGCATTACCATGACCCTTCGATGGGCTGCCAGTTCCACATTAAGCCTGAGGTACAGCCACCAGATGGTGATTAACACCAATCCCAAACCTATCATTAGGTTGACCCCATTGCACTTAGCCAAAATTAGGGAGAGGAAAGCTGAATGCCCTGTGAAAGCAGGCAAACACGGGGTAAATAAAAGAGCAAATGTATTCTAATTTGTATCTTATACTCCAGATGTGGGGAAAGTTGATGTTATGACCTTCCCCTCTCCTAATAGTTGCCTTAGATTCTTTCCCATTTACTTCCGGTTTTGAAATTTTTACACTCAAGAGAAGTGGCATTTACTAAGCATACTGTATGTGTCAAAATCTAAGTAGAGCTTCACAGTGGCAGTGCCCATTGAATATTCTTGGAAATAAATGCACATATTTATATAACAAATATGTTATACATATGTGTATACATATATGATGGCTTCTGCTCTCAAAACAGTTACATTCCTGTGTAGAAGCCAGACTGATCAACAAAGTAGAGAAGGGTTCTTAGAACAAAGAATAAACCACTTTGGGGAGACATCAGATACATCTATCAAGACAGGTGATAGGGGCTCTTAGAAGGTGTTTATTTCTTTGAAAACCTAAAGGGCCTGTTTGGACTGAAGTTGAAGAATCCCATCCAGGCAGATTGTAGGTCTGAGGACATGCCTAAGCCCTAAAATACCTATCATGTTGGGGTGGAACTCATCCTGAACTCATAGATGTAGCCCAAGAAAAAAGCTAGGGAAAGGATTGGTGAGAGTAGCTGCTTATGGTCACTTGCAGGTATTTGCAGACCAGTTCTAGGATCCAGGGGAAACGAAAGGGGGCTACAAGAAAAAAAAAAAAAAGATCTACTTAAATAAAAGTGCTAAGTTTGCAGTAAGAACTTAGAAAGCCAACCAGCCTGTCTTTGGGACTTAGTGACTGAGGGCACCTCAAGAGTATGATTTCCTGTGGGAGCAGAACCGAGCATGCCACCAGAAACATGAAGAGTGGCCGGAATAGCAGTAACCATCATGAGCTGGGAGACTGGACAGATGCCACATGACTCTGTGCACAGAAATGTTCTGAGAAACAGCCTGATCCAGAAAAGAGTGGTTTGAGACTGGCTTTTCAGAGACATTGGCAGTGGACTCAGAAAATCGCATTTCTCAAACTATTTATTCCCTGCATAACCAATGAAAATGAATCAAAGAAAAAATGTGAAAATTTGCTCAACTGCCTCAATGACAAAGCTTTCAAATTAAAGCAACAATGGGACGTATTCCACCTTTGGAATATGTGTCCTTGGTATCTGTGGAAGTTGCTAGACAGCAAGTTTTCCTGCTAACACCAGAGTTTCAGCCAAGGAGGGTGCGTCTGGGTTGCCTGGTTTCCACGGAAGGAGTTTCGGTGAGCCATTGACCCTATTTCCACATGCAAGTAACCCTCATTGATTCACAATCCTAGGTCAAAGACAGCATTTGGACGTGTCTTCTTACTGCTCTCTTCACAGCTAGAGCAAAGCAATCCCTATCACCTGATGTAACTACAACTGGAGTTTGAGAGATAGGGGTAAGCTGAGGCCAGAATCCCAGCCCCAGCTCTGCTGTTCATTACTAAGGTGACCATGAGCAAGCCACTTTCCCACTGTGAAATTCCTTAAAGGAGGAGGTTGAACTAGATGATTTATAATAGCACTTCCAGCTCAAATATTTACTTTATTCCATTTCATTCTAAGTTGAGCATGGGTAGAGACAGATAAAATTTTTAGTCTCCTCTCTGTGGACCTGTTTCCTGGTGTCTGTTTTATTGCTGACTTATATTCCACTTACGGCCAGCAATTGTGTCCAAGTCCACTTTTGTCTTAAATCACACCATTTTGAGCTTATAATTATTTTTAAGATTTTTATTATTTTTATTTTTTATAGATTTGAGGGGTCCATATGCAGATTTGTTACATAGATAGATTGCATAAGTAGTGAGGCTTGGGTTTCTAGTGTGCTCTTCACCCAGATAAGGAACATTGCAACCAAGAGATAATTTTTCAACTCTCAGTCCCCCTCTCACCTTCCCCACTTTTGGAGTCCCCAGTGTCTATTATTTCCCTCTGTATGTTCACTTATACCCGTTGTTTATGAGCTTATAATTTATAAGGTTCATCCTGTTCCTGTGGGATGATTTTCCCAAGGATCTAAGCCTTCCCAAAATTTAACCCCTCCTTCCCATTTGTTGATAGTATCCCTTGACTTCCGATCATTTCTAAATCCAAAGAGAATATTATCAAGTTTATTTAATTTATCAAGTTTATGTGATAAAATATCAAACATCAATGAGAATATTATCACCAATAATATCACATACTATCAAATTCCCCTCTGCAAGTCATCAATGCAGATATGAATTGGAATGAATTTTAGCTTTAGTTCTTTAATTCATGTGCAGCCATGAGTAACAAGTTAGATTAGTTATCCAAGGGCAATATGGCAATATGTATCTCTGTCCTATGAGGAAAGTTAATCTAGAACTAGAAACAGAGGTATCTAAAGAGATTAATGAAAAGTTAACTATCTTTTACATTATATCTACTTCAGATGTGTTCAACCTAGAGGTCTCTCAGATACACATTCAGTGAAATTTCATTGCACACACATGAAGTTTACTTGATCAAGTTCAAGTACACATGCAGATTACTCAGTCAAGTTCAAGTCATGTGTTCAGCCATCCTTCCTGGGAAGAAAGGCGGCTTCTCCCTTTCATGATGGACTAAAACTTCTGTGTTTGTCTACATAGAAGAAGATAGAGCTGCTTTTAAAAATGAGAAAGATGATGTTGAGGACTGAGTGAAAGCATTTACTCAACATTTATTGAGCACAGAAAGCATATGGGCAACGGTGGCTTAGGCTCTGGGGTTGCGCCGTGGAACTGTCACCCTGAGCTTGGCGTCTCGGTGCTTATGGATTGGGGAAAAGCCAGACTGTCTCATGCAAGGCATGCACGTTTTCCTGCTACTGTCAGAGTTTTAGCCAAGCAGGGTGCACCTGGGTTGGCAGGTTTCCATGGAAGGAGTTTTGGGGAGCCATTGGGTTATCAGAGTGGAGAGAACTCAATAATATGAAATCATGGCATAGGGATCAGCTCTCCTATCTTCTCCCTTCTTCCTGTGCCTTTCAATTACTGGATAGCAGACTTGACATCTTGAGTTGTCAGGAGTATTTTTCTAGAACTTTCCTTTCTCACCTGTATACATAGAGAGAAACATAGCCCTTCATAAAACAGGTGGGCAATCTGTGCCTTGCAAAGAGTAAGATATTTCAGATATTCCCTGAATGAAAGCTGCCTTTCATTCATTTGAGTTTTCTGCTTCATACTAACTTTGAGGTTTACCCTCATTCTGAAGCTGACAGGAAAGTACCCAGTCCTTGGGGTTCAGCTTGCTAGACTCATCTGTTATCCTAAAGGAGCCTTATTCTCCTGGCATTTCCAGACCAATGTCCCTAAATATCTAAGTCATTCCAGGAATGAACAATGTTGGAATGCGTGAAGGAGATATGAAGATAAATAAAGGAAGTCTTATTTTTGTCTTTTATTTAAAGTAGATATCCAAGACACAGGAATGTACCTCATGCAATGCTACAATAAAACTATGGCAAAGTAACTTCAGCAAGACTTACCATGTTGAGAATTGATCGTAGGACTTCCTACATTTTATACAATCATGTGGGCCTATGCCACAAATTTAATAATCCAGTTGGGTGTTTATTTACTTGTTTATACAGATATCTCCAAGGACAGCACTGTTTCTTCTTCTGAGACTGGTTTTCCTCCAGTTCAGATTCAAAGACCATTTATTGAACAATTTTGCTTACAAATTTTGCTTTTATACGTCATTGGTGATGGTTGTGTTCATTTTTTATGGATGAAGAAATAAAAATCAGACAGGGTAAATGATTGACTTGAGGTCACACAGCCAGAATTCAAATTCTGGTTTGCTTATTCTAAATTCTGACCCGCTTCATCATTTAGCCAAGGATGGCTACATATTCTGTCTTATTGTTGATCTCTTTTGTTCTGTTATTGTCTGATGGGTGACCCTCCTAGTCAAGTATCAAAATAAACTTGTGGTTCTTCATAACCTATAATATTTCTGATGCAGACAGGACTTGGGTAGAAAAAGCCCACAGTCATCCCTTTGAGATTTCCTTATCCATTTACGACATAGCTATTGACTAAGCATCTATTCTATACCCTACAATGTGCTGGAGGCTGGAGATGCAGCACTAAATAAGGCTACATGACACCCTCTCAGGGTGCTTATATTCTAGGGGAAAGCACATGGTAAGTAAACAGATAGTTAAGCAAAGCAGGTGATTATGATCATGTGCTAAAGGCTTTGAATAAAAAGGAGAACTGAGAAAGAAATTCAATGTGACTGAGAACTTTGTTAAATGGGGTGGACAGAAATGACATTCAAGCCAAGACCTGGAGAAGGAGAGATTGCTAGCTATGGGCCAATGTGGTGAAAAGTATTCCAGCCATCAGGGAGAGCACTAGAAAGGCCCAAAGGTCAACACTGTTGTCCAGTGTTCTATTAGCAAGACCTGACAAGGGGGGCCAGGCAGGTGGTGTGTGCAGTACATCCCACCTCACAAAGTCTGCCAGGCGTGCGGTCGCCTAGTGACCAGCAAAAATTCTAGAAGGGATGCTTATTGCAAACCACAAGATTTATGCTCTTAGAGGGGTGATAAGGCTGGCCAATGCCAAGAATTCTGCCTGTATCTGGAACCACTGAAATCTTAGGTCAGCCCCAGAGCACAGAGGCCTCTCCCCATCTGCCCGGGGTGGTGGCAGGCAGCACGAGTCCATCGTTCTGCTGCACTGCCAACAGTAAATTACAGCTGGTTATTGCTAAATTCTGGGATTTGCTTCTCGAATAAAAATAATTAACACTGGCAGGAGTTTGATTGCATTAATTCACAGAAAGAAACACCCAAGTGATAAATCCATAGTGGGAGAACTGCCCATATGTTACAGATTGGCTTAACATGGTTGAGGCATTAAATAAAAGAAGTCTGGGAAACAAAAACCTTTATCAGCTTTATTAGCATGGAACTCTGTGGCTTCCACTGGGGCTGACACACTTAATTAAAGATGCTCTGGTCTAATTAGGTTGCACATCAAATATACAAATACAAGCTTTTAAAAAAACTCACTGACTTGAGTTTGGACTCCCTCTGATATGCATGTTTTCTTCATCCCAATACCAGAAACTTCTCCAGTGAGACCTGGACACTGTTAGACTGTCCCACCCAGTCTGGAAGGAGTAGGTGTGATGTTTCTTTTTGCCAAATTTCTGTGCATCTAGAGGAAGCTGGATATTATCTTGCTGCCTGGCCTTCTCTGAAGTTGACAAAGCCTGCTCAGCGCTGTGCGGGTACAACTGAGAGGTGGAGGGAGTTAACCCTCAACCAACAGCAGATGGAAGTCAATAGATAAATGCCCCAGGCTCCCCACCCATGGCTGTTCAGTTCTGAAGTCTATTCTAACTGGTTCCAAAGAGGATCTCTAGGGGGACAAGTCCCAGTAGGCCACAACTTGTTAGCCTTTCTCTATTCTCTGTCTCATTTTCTCACTTCCTTATTTATGCCTCCTGGGATCACCTCCCACGTATGGTGAATCCGTGTCTTTGTCTCAGGGTCTGCCCTCAGAAGAACTCAACTCAAGGCAGTTGAGCATTTGAATGACATCTGACAGGTTACTGGAGCTGGAAAAGGAGGTCAGTACATCTGTCTCAGGGATTGCTGACCAGATATGATGTTTTACAACTCACTGATGCTCCACCTTCAGGCATGTTCCTTCCTTGCACACTTTTCCATAGGTTGTATGTATTATTCTGTAATATCGGAGTGTAGGCAATGTAAACACTGCTCCTGGGTGTTGGCTCTGGAGTCTTATCTGTGTGACTTTGGGAAGAGCTTCTCTCTCTGTCCCTTAGTGTTCTCATTTGTAGAATTAAGGCAATCGTGGGCTATATCTCAGACGGTTGTGGAAGATGATTTGAGAGATGCATGAAAAGCACTCTGCCAAGTTCTTGACCTCCCCCAAATTCCTGACCTATCGTATGTGCTTAATAAAAATATTGGCTCCTATATCTGATTGATTTAGATTTAAGATTTGGACTGAAGAACTGAAAGGCAGAAATCTTGACACTAGCACTATTAGAAGGCAGACACATGACCGGCCGCTGTGGCTCACGCCTGTAATCCCAGCACCTTGGGAGGCCGAGGCGGGCAGATTACGAGGTCAGGAGATCGAGACCATCCTGGCTAACACGGTGAAACCCCGTCTCTACTAAAAATACAAAAAATTAGCCGGGCGAGGTGGCGCATGCCTGTAGTCCCAGCTACTCGGGAGGCTGAGGCAGGAGAATGGCGTGAACCCAGGAGGTGGAGCTTGCAGTGAGCAGAGATCGCGCCATTGCACTCCAGCCTGGGTGATAGAGCGAGACTCCATCTCAAAAAAAAAAAAAAAAAAAAAAAAAGAATGCAGACACGTGTTTTCCAGGAATTCTTGAAGGCTGGAGCAGGGGTTCTCCAAATGTGGTTCCTGGACCAGCAGCATCAGCAACATCTGGGAACTTGTTAGAAATGCAAATTATTGGACCACACCCCAGACCACTGGAATCAGAACCACTGGAGGGTTCTGTGTTTTAACAAACACTCCAGTGGATTCTGATACAAGCTCAAATTTGAGAATCATTAACCTAAAATATTTCTCTTGCCCTCATCCTTTTCGTCATAGATGATCAACTCAAATGGTTTGAGAAGTTGTGATTAAGGATTCTAAGGCTTTATAGTAAAAATAATTTTGGGGATCAAGGTGAAAAGTAAATATATGAAAACCCTTGGGAATACCTTTACATTCATCTAGAAAAAGCCAGAAAACAAAAGTAAATTACATGACTATTAATGGCATTTTGCACTTGGTCCTTTCAAGGAAACTGTATAGTGAAGCAAACACACTGTTTACTGTGGGATATTCTTATTGGTGGAAATCTCAAAGTATGAAGACACAGCTCCTTCTTTCAAAGAGTTTACAACCCAGCTTGAAGATGAAGCTAAAGCACAAATGGGATGATGGTTTAGACAAGGGAGAACAAACCAACCCTAGGAGGCATTTGTTTTCTTTGTGAAGAAATATCACATGGTTAATGCAAGCAGAGTTGGCTTTCTCCTTCCCCAACTGAGAAAGCGTGTGAGGGAGGGGCTCACAAAAGATGGAAGAGGCTGGGTGCTGTGGCTCATGCCTGTAATCCTAGCACTTTGGGAGGCCAAGGCGGGCAAATCACTTGAGGCCAGGAGTTTGAGAGCAGCCTGGTCAACACGGTGAAACACTGTCTCTACTAAAAGTACAAAAAAATAAAAAAAAAAGTCAGATGTGGTGGCACACACTTGTAATCCCAGCTACTCGGGAGGCTGAGGCAGAATCGGTTGAACTCGGGAGACAGAAGTTGCAGTGAGCTGAGATGGAGCCATTGTACTCCAGCCTGGGTGACAGAGCGTGACTCCATCTCAAAACAAATAGAAGAAGGAAGAGCCCAGCAAGGGTGTGTGACTCTGAAGGACATAGAGGGCGCATTTTGGTGTCCTTCTTAGAATCATAAGCTCCAGGGCCTATTTTATGTCTTCAATCAGGATGTTAGGAGGTCGATCAAATGATAGAGAATAAGAGCTAAAGGGCTGAGTAGTGCTGAGTGAGGAGATTGTCTGAGAATGCGAATCAGGAAGGGGAGGGTGCAGAGAGGAGGCATGGGTGGGAGATGTCTGGGAGTTTGCTGTGGAAGTTTATTCCCTACACCAGGGGATGGCCCTAGGGGAGCTGAGTTATGTGGACCCACTGTGATGGTTACTGATGTGGTTCATTCATTCAATGGGCAATTACACGTCAGGTTCCATGCCAGAAAACAGAAATACAGGTATGAATGAAAAGTTATTGCTTCCATCAATTATGTTAAAAATAAAATGTCCCACTAAAATTTGAAAAATACATGCCAATTGCCAGGAAACCAGTGATTTCAGAGACCTTCGTGTCTAAGGTGAACATATACCCTGCTTTGTCTCAGACACCTCAGTTTACTCTCAGTGTCCAGTGGGCACCCCTTTTACTCTCAAAATGATTCCGTGCTACTGACGTCCAAATTTAGTTTGCAATAGGCTGGTGACTAGGCATTTTTATATGCTTGATTTTTCTTAGTAGCAATACAATTTTGGAGAGCTTTATTAAGACACCCTGGAAAGGCAGAGAGAAAATGCCAGGTCTGATGGATTACAAGTGATTTGGTGTTAAATGAGCTGCAGCAGCTTCTCTGGCATCACAGGCCTTGCCATTTTCTCCTGCATTGTACTGACCCACTGCCTGTGAGTGTGCATATGTATGTGTGTGCATGTGTGAGCACGTGTATGCATGTGTGTGTGAGGGTGTGGGATTCTGAACTACCTGGAGATCTCATTTCGGTCCTGAGTGAGCTTGAAAGGAAAATACATGGTACCACTTCTGATCTCTGAGTCACCTGTCTGAGGGCATTGGTTCCAGCAGAGGCTGTGGCAAGATGAATACTGACATGGCTTTTAAGCTGACAGTCCTGGTTTCCAGCCTGACCCAAAAGGATTTTCAGATTCATGGACTGTCCAAAGGTGGCTCTGGCATCATCAGAAGGAGTAAATAGACCTGGGAAAAAGTATTACTCTTTTCTTTCTTTTACTTTTTTGGTGTCACATACTTATTTTTTCTTAGAAGCCACTGGCTATGTGATCTTGAGAAAGTCATTGCAGCTCTGTGCCTGCCATTCATCTATCCATCAATCATCCATCCATCCATCTATTTGTATTATCTGTCCTTCCTTCCATTCATTCACCCATTCATCTTTATCATTCACCCACCCATCCACTTTACTCAGCAATTCAGCCATTCAACACATATTTGTTGAGCATTTATGGTGGCCCAAAGTATGTCCCCTATCCTTAATGACAAATAGTTTAGTAGACATATCAAGTAAACATAAAATTACAGTTCAGAATGACTAGTCTGGGACAGAGGGTGCTATTAGAGTCCACAGAGGCAGCATCCAATCCAGTCCTGCAGAAGAGCTGTCAGAAAGTCTTCCTAGAGGAAGAAACTCTGAGCTGAACCTTGAAGGAAAAATAATAATAATCCAGGTGAAGGAGGGAAGGACAGGCATCGCAGAGAGAGGCCACTGCATGTGCAAAGCTTGGAGACCAGTGAGAACATGGAATGCTTGGGATGACGAAGGCATGTATACAGGTGGGGGAGGGTGAAGCTAGGGCTGAAGGTAGGGAGGCAGGCAGTAAACAGGTCATGCAGGGGCTTGTACACCTTGCTAAGGAACTTGCACTTTGTCCTCAAGACTTGGGGCCAGTGAGGCAGTGAGGAACTTATAGTGGGGTTGTGATCTGAATTGAATTTTAGAAGTAGAAATAGAACGTCTGGTGGCATTTCATATTGGAGTCTATATTAGCAAACATTTTTGTTTTCTTTTCATTAATGACCCTTTAAAGATTCCAGAAGTGAGTTATACTCACCACAGCCAAGAAAATGAGATAAAGATTTTTAAATACCCTCCTCCATCCTCACTTGCTTCTCACCATCAATACCTAAGACAAATTGATATCAACTTCCAGTTGTGTGCATTTCAACATCTTTTGCCATCTCAATCAAGCCTAGACACACACATAAACCTGTGTAATAGGCTTTTTCTATTTGTTTGAAAAAATAGAATCATACTATGAATGCTATTTGGTAACCTTTTTTTCTTACTAACGATATGTCAGAACTAAATCTCCTTATCCGTAGACTTAGCTCTAAGTCATTCTTTTCAATGGCTACATAATATTTCATGAAGGTATAAAAATAATTTACAGTCAACCATTTCTTTCTTAAACATTTAGTTTTTTTTTTACTTTTTTTGTCATCACAAACAAGGCTGCACTAAACATTCCTTACAAACAACCTCGTGTGCTCTTATTATCCTCTAATGATCAAAAACAAGGTTGCTGGTCAAAATATATGTGCATATTTTAAGGTTAATAAGTTCTGCCAAATTACTGTTCTAAGTGGTTGGGTCAATGCTCACTCTCCTGCAATGTATGAGAACTCCTGACAACACAGTCTTCGAGTACTACAGTGTCAGCTTCCTGCTCCCAAGGAGTTTGCTATCTGATATCTCACTGAGTCCAGCCGCAGGGGCAGCTGGGAGCTTGCTAGAAATGCAGAATCTTGGGCCCCTCCCCAGACCACCTGACACTGAACTTCATTTTGACAAGACTCTAGGTGATTCATGTGCACGTTACAGTTTTGAAGCACTGGCCTCCTGTTGTGGGTCTCAGCCTTACCTGCACGTTAGAATCACCTGGGGAAATCAACCTCCTATGCCGAGGCCATACCTGCAGACTCACTCTATAGAAATCTCTGGGAATTAAGCCCAAGTAAAAAGAAATTAACTCATTAGGTTAACTGTAATGTGTATCCAAAAGTGAGAAGCACCCATGTAGTAGGAGGGGAGACTTGATAGTGGTAATACAGTGGATTATCATAGCCAGAGGTAAGTGTTCAGGACTGGGGGCAAAGGAGTGACTACTTTCCTGCGGAAGCCGGGGGTGACTTTGCAGAAGAGGTAACATTTGAGCTGGGTCGTAAGATGCAGCAAGGCTGGGCATGGTGCCTCACGCCTGTAATCCCAGTACTTTGGGAGTCCGAGGCGGGTGGATCACGAGGTCAGGAGATTGAGACCATCCTGGCCAACATGGTGAAACCCCGTCTCTACTGAAAAAAAAAAAAATACAAAAATTAGCTAGGTGTGGTGGCATGTGCCTATAGTCCCAGCTACTTGGGAGGCTGAGGCAGGAGGCAGGAGAATCGCTTGAACCCGGGAGGTGGAGGTTGCAGTGAGCTGAGATGGTGCCACTGCACTCCAGCCTGGCCACAGAGCGAGACTCTGTCTCAAAAACCAACCACCCAAACAAACAAACAAAAAACAAAAATGCCACCAGGTGAAAGGGAAGGCTGTATATAGGGAGGGCATGAAGAGTGTGGTGATGCTGGAGAAAGGAGGCGTGAGAAGGTTGACGGCAAGAGAAAGACTAGAGTGGATGGTGATGGGCCTGTGTCTCCTACACCAAGATGCACCTGCCTATGATTTTTGAGTGTGTCATTAGGATGACACAGCATAGGCATGGGGGGTGGATGTCATCTCCCATTAGGCAGGCCAAGATTGGCTTTCCCTAAAGAATAATTGGTTGCCTTTTGGACAATAATTGGGTCATCCTTTCCTTTGATTTCTTTGATATTTCTCACCCTGGCTCCAATATTGCTCTGCACCAATTCTTAACTAATTGAAAGATTTTCTTTCTCTTAGAGGTGGTTGACCTTTACTCCAGCCTGGCTAATCACCTGTGATGATGAACCAACCTACTAATAAAAGTAATGGGGGTGTGAACAAATAACTGTGAAACCTTGAAATATCCCTTATGACATGATATAGACTTTTCAAATAGATATGTTTTATCTAGGTGAACAGTCATTTTAATTGGAGGCACAGGTAAAAAAGATTGGAATCAATATTTATTGGTTGATTCGTTGGTTGGCTTATTTTAAATTGATACGTTACGATCAACATATTATTTTGTTCCAAGCAGAGCTAAGGAAGAAAAAGATTTGGCCCTATGTAAACCTTCTTAGAAATAAGTATGTTCTGGGGGTTTGTTTACCACCTAGGATCACATTTGCTGTTAAGGTAACTTCTGTACCTATCTCTGCCTTGTGAAATGCTCAGTCTTAGCATAGCTTCTAGGTAGCTTCCTGTGATGCTCAATATAGGATTATTGAATAGACGAGAAATTACCAAGGAATTGCATCTGGGGAGAATATGTAAATGACTAATTTATAGCAACATCATAATCTCGGGACATTGAAACTAAATGCCTTTGAAAATTTGTCCCAGTATTTTGTTCAGTAAATACAACCAAATGAAAGCCTGTTTATTTTAAAAATGTTTATTCATTAAAAAAATTAAAAGCTGTATATATATGTGTGTAATATATATATATCCATAATATTCTAACTATGCAGATAACCCCTACTGATGTATCTGAAAGGAATTTATGTGCTTATTTGAAAAATTCGAGCAATTCAGAAAGACACAAGATAAAACTAAAAGACTTCGCCAAACCCCAGTTCCTCTGCAGCAAATTAACCATTCCACTGTGTATCCTTTTGAAAAAAAAGTTCTATGTGATATATATACACACTATATGCATGTGTGTATATGTACATACACACATACAGTTAGTGTATATAGTGTCTATATACATATATGTTAGTGTATATATAGTTAATATATGTATTATACGTATATGTATATACATATATAATATATGTATTATATACATATATGTATATACATATATAATATATGTATTATATACATATATGTATATACATATATTATATATGTATTATATACATATATGTATATACATATATATATGTATATACATATACAACTAATTCTTTAACTTGCTCTGTTCATTAATATATCTTGAATATCTTCCCAAATCATCATATATGGTTCTACTTCTTTTTTTTAAAAAAAATCAACATTTTTCAGTGGAAGTACAATTTATATACAATGAAACACAATCATTTTAAGTGTACTTTTTGATGATGTCTGACAAATACATGTACTCATGTATTTACTAACATCATAATATAGTATATTTCCATCAGCCTAAAATATTCCCTAATGCCCTAGCTATATTCCTTGATCTGTCTGGAAGTCTCCATTCTCTGATATTAATATGGCCACTCCAATTTTCTTAAGATTAGTGTTTGCGTGGCATTTCTTTTCCTATCCTTTAATTTTTAACTCACTTATGTCTTCACATTTAAAGTGTTCAATATAGATAGTCTACACTTGGAGCTTGCTTTTTACAAAATATAATTTTTTTCATTTAATGGAGTCTATTTTACATTTAATAGAAGTATTCAAATGAGTTTGATTTTACCCGTTTGAACCTTGTTTTCTATTTAAACAATCTATTGTTTTTTCTCTTTTTACTTAAAACTTTAATTGAATAATTTTTAGTTTTCTGTTTTATTTCCACTGTTGAGTGATTAGCTATAGCTCTGTTTCATTTTCTTAGTGATTTCTCTAGGATTCATAATGATCTCTCTCTTCAAATAATATTTTAACACTTTATGAATAATGTTTATCGTACACTTCCATTTCCCTTCTATGTCTTCTGTGCTTTTGTCATACATTCTTTTTCTCTACCTGTTATAAATTTCACAAAACATTGTTTTTGTTTAAACAGGCAATGGCTTTAAAAGAAATTAGTAAAGAAAGTTTTTTTCATATTTACCAACATATTAATCATTTCTGGTTCTCTTCATTCCCTTATGTAGGTCCACATCTCCAGCCACTACCACTCTTTTCAGCATGAGGAGCTTCATTTGAATATTTCTTGTATTGTAGGTCTGCTACTGATTTCCATTTTTTTCTGAAAATGTAGATTTTACTTTTACTTTTAATAATATTTCTGTTGTATATATAATTCTAGGCTGGATTTTAAAAAACCACTTTAAAATGTTGTTCTGTTGTATTCTGGCTTGCATTGGAATTGTTCTTATGTTTGTTTCCTATATAATGTGTCTTTTACTTTCTACTTTTAAGATTTTTCTCTGTATCACCTGTTTTCAGCAAATAGACTACACACACACACACATATTTAGTGGTTTTTGTTTTTATTCTGTCTTGGATTCATTGAGGTTCTTAGATCCATGGATTTACAGTTTTAATTAAATGTGAAGAATGTTCAACTGTTATTTTTAAAAATATATTTTACCTTTCTCTTTCTGGGATACCAATTATTTGTGTGGTAGAAACTCCATATTCTTTAAAGGGTCAGTGAAACTCTGATTTTTTTTTAGTTTTTTTTTCTCTGTGCATCATTTGGATGGTTTCCATTTCTATTTCTTCTGGCTCATTGATATTTTCTTTCATTTATTATGTTAAGCCCATCCCATGACTTTTTCATTTTGGGTAATTTACCATTTAGTTTTAATATATACACACACACACACACACACACACACACACACATATATGTGTATGTGTATATATATACATATATGTGGGTATATATATTATGTATGTGTATATATATTATTGTCTCTTACAGGTTTTTATTTTAATTTTACAGATTATTTATAAAAGCTCTCTTAAAGTCTTTGCTGATAGCATCAGCTCTGTCTCTCCTGAGTGTGGTTCTATATTCTGATTTTTCTCCTGATCATGAGTCACAATATGCTGCTTCTCCATATGATTAGTAATTTTTATTAGATTCTTGGCATTGTGATGATATGTGGTTGAGTGTTTAGATTTTGTTGCTTCTCTTTGAGACCTATCCTTTCAGGCCATGTAAAGATTTTTCTGACCTCACTCTACCCACATTCAAAATTGAACTGACCATTGTTTTAATTTTTCAGGGCTCTTAGAGCTGATGAAAATAAATAGGTGATCTTCCATCTACTTGTTTATTTAATGTCTGTATCCTCTATTAGTTTGGAAGCTCCAACTATGTGGAATATGTGGGATATTGTTCATCACTGTAGCACCGCTGCTCAGTACGGGACTTAGTACATAGTGAGCAGCCAGGAACCATTTGTTGTTTGAGTAAGGGAATAAAAAGATATACTCAGCTGTTCTTCAGTCTTATATTAAGATCTCGCTTGATCTTAGCAGACTTGGGGTCAAATGCCAGCTTGTTAGCTTGGGGATTTTTTAATAGTGATTTTACTTCCCAGGATATGTCAAATAAGAATATGTTTCAATACTCATTGTGGATCTTGTTGCTGTTGCTCTGAGTTTAGAAATGAGAACACGTGTAATAGAAGGCTAGTTATTGATAGGGATATGCTCTGGGTTTAGTAGAAAGTGGTGAAATTTTTATTCTTTAAGTGCCCCATATTGTTATCTCAAAAAAATTAATCATGATATGGTGTGCTCTAAAGTGCCCCAAGTTTGGAATCAGCATATGTCTCGATTTATGTTCTGGCTCAGTCACAGAGATCCACATCTTTGCAAGTTACATGACCTCTTTGAGCCTGTTGTTCCCTTATTTGTAAAATGGGGCTAACATTATGTCTTACTTCATGGAGTTGCAATGAAAATGGGTTAGTAGAATCTGTAGAGAACTTAAAAGCTCTCTAAGTGCATAGTAGGTGCTCATTTAGTGGCAATTACTACTATAGTAGCTAATCTCAAGTGTATCTATCCGTATAGAGAGCCATGTGGTGATTCAATATTAGTGATGGTGATATTAAAATGGTTTAGAATGCAGAAATGACACATAGATTTCTTATTGTGTTCTGATTCTTATTGAGTGATAGTAGCTGCCTGTAGATTTGTGTTGAGAGGAACACTGAGGCTGCTTGCAGGCTCAGAGAAAAGCGTGTTGCGATGGATTAGCAATGACTGCTCTGTTTATAGTGATCGTCCACACTGCATACCCTGGTGATCTCTGAGTCTTCTTAGTGAAACTGTTCTGGCTGTGCAATGTGGAATAAAAGATGAGGCAGCCAGAAACTTAATGGAAAAATAACAGGAAGGGGGGTTTGGGCAGGTCTCCTTTAGGAGATGGTGTGGCCCAGTCCATGCTTACTCTGTCTCACCCATGAAGGCTCACCAGGGTGGCTAAACTCCACAAGTGGGGAGAGGGTCACATCCAATCAGTGTGTTTAATGATCCCCTCTCTTTGCCCTCTGTTTGCCTCTAATGTGGACTCTGAATTTGTTTGCTCAAAGTTTCAAGGCTCATTAGGCAGGCCAACTGTGGCTTTCCCTAAAGAGCAATTGGTTGCTTTTTGGACAATGGTCAGGGAAACTTTCCCTTTGATTTCTTTGATACTCTTCACCCTGGCTCCAAGCATCACTCTTCACTGATTCTTAACTAATTGGAGGATTTTCTGTCTCTCAGAGTTGGTTGACCTTTAAGCTAGCCTTATTGATGACCTACAATTATTAACCAACATACTAACAAAATAGCGATAGGGAAAGTGAACAAATAACTTGAGTCCATCTATGGAAAGGACCCAAAAATGGAATGATTTCCATAGGCTTTTCCCAATCAGAAAAAGTGAAAGAATGCATCCAGAAATGCTTGGAAAATTAAGGATTATCATGGAAACGCTTACTATTTTGTTGTTTTTCTTATAGGGATATAAAAAAAAACCCTTTTCCTCTGGATATTTTTAACCATGACAACCTTCTTAACTTTCAGGTCTTGGCTTAAACATTACCTCTTCAGAGATGCCTTTCCCAACCACCCTATCAAAAGTAGCCCTCTCTACCTGCCCATTCTCTCTCATTCTACCTGTGTTTTACTCCTATAACAGCTATCAATTGCTGAAATAATTATTTATAGATGTGTGTAGTGTTTCATTGCCTATTTGTTTTGTTTCCTCCACTTTAAGATTCATGAAGGGGGCTATGCCTGTCTGATTCACCATTCTATCCCCAATATCTAACGTATGAATGGCACATAAGAGGTTGTCAATAAACATTTGTTGGATAAGGGAATAAAAAGATATACTCAGCTGTTCTTCAGTCTTACATTAAGACCTCACTTGATCTTAGCAGAGCTGGGGTCAAATGCCAGCTTGTTAGCTTGGGGATTTTTTTATAGTGACTTTACGTCCCAGTATGTGTCAAATATGAATATGTTTCAATACTCATTGTGGATGAGAGTTGCTGTTGCTCTGAGTTTAGAAATGAAAACATGCCTATATCAAATGACTATTTGATCTAAAATGTAATATAGCAACAGCATTAGTGTGACACTGAAATAACTGCAATTATGAGTTTGTGTCCTGATTTCATCTCTCACTAGTTCTGTGATATTAGGAAAATTACCTAACCAACAATGAATAAAAAGAGGAAAACAGAAGAGGAAGAGATGAATGTAAATCATTGTGTACCGTGACTGTAACAAGACAAGTCCTTTATAAATATTAGCTATTATTATAATGATTGGATATTAATTCATTTCCTTACTCACTCATTTAACATAATTTACTGAGTGTCTCCCAGATACTGCCAGGGAGATTTTCTTTGGGAGGAAACTGAACAGGCCACAAATGGTGTAGATTCTCTTCTGTTTTTTGTGGACTGTTTTTAGTCCACTCTTCTCACTCCTTTTCTGGATGCAATACCAGCAACTTTAGACTTTCCTCCCAATGCATACTGGTCTCTTAATTCCTTCTTCTCCAAATAAGAGCTACTGGATTCAAAAGAAAAATGGACGACAATAGAAGATAAATCGCAGTCACTACTGAGAAAATATGACCTTGTTAGCCACGAGACTATAGTCTGAAAGTTCAGGTGTGGATGTGAGTGAAGGAGAGCCCCATGACTGAGAAGATGCTAAGCTAAGATTGAGATCCAGGTCAGAGACTCATTGAATGAGTGCTTATTGTTTGCCAGGTACTGTGTGCTTCAACTCTGTTACTTTTTTATTAATACTTCAAAGTTTCCAGCCATCCTCGGATAACGTCTACAGCCTTCTTCTGTAATTAAGTAGATGCCACTCTTCTCTGCATCAAGTCCTGCTTTCCTGCTTGTCTGTCTCATATCCCCCCATATCCCAGATGTAGACAACTTGTGCCTTCTTTGAATTCCCTCAGCATCTTATTTCTACCTCTCTTGTGGTAATTGGTAATTTATGGGACTTAAACTCTGAACTCCCTGTTGAAATTAGAGAGATGGAGAGAGAGGTGCTGGCAGCTGTGTCAAATCCAGAACGAGGGAAGCACAAGAATAAGGTTTCTATAATTGCAGCAATTTCATTCTCCAATCTAATTTTATGAATTTCCCTGAAGTTTGTATGAATGTTTTATGCTAACCAAATTTACAAGAGATTATCTACAGATGAGGGTCAGTTTATAATTTATTGTGGAAGTGTCCTGGCCATGAGGGTAGGAATGCTTGCTTTCAGTGTTCAGAACCATCCCTGGGGCTTTGCACTCCCTGAAACTTGTTACTATGTCCAGACGCCCTTTCCAACAAATGGAACTGTAGCTAACTCAACACTCCATCCTGTAACTGAGACTCATTCTTGACATGTTCCTCTTCTTCATCTCATAGGTCCAAACAATCCCCAAGCCCTACAGATTCAGCCTCCTAAGTATCCCTTGGGCTGGTTCCCTTCCCTTTTTCCTCACCAGCACTCCTTGAATCCCATCACCTCCATGCCTGCATCACCTTCTACATCTCACCTTTCTTCACTCTCACTGGCCCTCCACATACTGGAGGGATTGCCCCAGAACTCAGCTTGAGGGTTAAATCCAGTCATGAACTTCTGCTAAGTCTTTGACATGAACTGTTGCTCCCTATGCCTGAAAGGTGAATGTCCCCTGCAGATGAGTCAAGCATTCCACTTGTGTTCTCATCTTGCCTTTCTAGCTGATCCAGATTCTTCTAGTTTGGGATCTGTTTCCCTCCTACAGATGCCCTTCTGTCTTTTCTCCTTGTCCACCACAGGTTGAACAGTTCATACATACAGGACTCCAGCAATAATATGCTTTTCCTGAATACTCTCTTAAGAGGCAGGTTTCTATCTGGTCTGTCTCTCTGATAGAGGAGAAAGAAAGTGTGCAAGACAGCTTATTATTAATGCCCTTTAGGTTGACTCTTAGTTGAGAAAGACAAAAGGAGGCTCTTTGTTGGGCCCCAGTTTTAGACAAGCTGGAGAATATCCTTCAGCAGAAACATAGGATGAAACATATGTGTCCTCTGGCAAGAATGCTAAGTGAAGACACAATGAGAGGGTTCTTCTCCAGGGGCAGTACTCCCTAGAACAGGACTGTCAGAGAATGTACCCGAGGGGATTGATCTCCCCTTGAATAAAGGAAAAACAGCCTAGAAATGCATCTCTAATTACAGATTTCTGGAAGATCACTGACGCTCTTCTAGGAAACTAACAAATTCTCCCACAAATCTATGATCACCTTACCACCTGGACAAACTCATCAAACTCATTGCAGACTCAACCCTCTTCCCCCCAATCCTATGAGGCTGTTCTTATTTTCCCTATTTTAAAAAATGGTGAATCTGAGATAAGGAAGATTAAGAAAAAATGTTCAAAATGATTTCCGTTAGCACTAGAGCCAAGATTTGAACCGAAGTCTGTGTGGCTATAACACATGGTTTCTTTCTAATTCTCTGACCCTGATTCCAAAATATAAAATGAAAACATTTAATTAATCACTTAAAACAACATGTGAGCATGACCTTTAAGTAACTTTCCTAGTTTCTTCACGCTGGAATGTTTACAAAGAACATTTTCAACTTTTCAGGAGGAATTCAGGCATGGTGTGGGAGACATTGACTCCATTCATACACCAACACAATGTGCCAGGGTCTGTTTCCAGTGGGGAGGGAGTGAACAAGGGAGAAGAATTCAGAGGAGAGGCAGCCACTGAAAGAACGCTGAAAAGCTTTCTGAATTTTTTTAAACTTACAAAACAAGACATGCTCATTGTTTGTATTTTAAATAAAACAAAGGGATAAAAAACATGACATGTTTAATGTCATGTTAAAATGTATAGGGCATCTATTATTTGTCTACCCAGCCCCTCATCCTCACTTTCCCCCAACCCCTTAGGAAACTGAGTCTTTATTTTTCCTGGTAACTTCTTTCCTTGCTCTAACTTTATGAATTCCATAGAAACTTCTGTTTTGTTCCATGCCCTAATACTGCTACCTCGGCCCCATCCTACCACTCTCAGGCCACAGATGATAGATCCAGGAAGAGCACCTGACCCCAGACAGGTTAATCACAGCCTTCCCCTTGGATTTTTAAACCGGAGGCCAGAAAGATCAGCTGTCTTTCTTCAGTGGCAGAAAGTATGAGAAAAACAAAAATATTTGAAATACTCAATACTCAGAGTTATTCAAGGTGGTGAAAGTCAATTTCTAGTGATCAGGAATAAATACACCTGCCTAGGTTTCATCCCCAGCTGTAGGAGTTGTACAGGTAATTTCACTTCTCTGTGCCTCAGTTTCTTTATCCATAATATGGTATTGTTTAGAGGCACTTTTTTAAGTCACAATACCAAATGTTGGAGGTACCACTCAAACACTCCTGATAGATGTGTATTTTGGCAATTTGACAGCATCTAATAATATTAAAGATGCACAACCCTTGCCGATCAGTAACTCTACTTCTCTAAGGTATGTGCTGCAGTGAAATCAGAGGATTCAATTAGTCAATAAACGCAAAGTGCTTAGATTCTTGATGTGCACACCATGAGGACTATGTCAATGCTCATTGCTGCTAGTAGTATCAGCAGCAGCAACAGCAGTTGAAGTTGTGGGATTAGGGTAGTCTTATTTTACGCAGAAAGGCACGGACACCGACGTTGGTGAGAGAGTCCAAGTGGCAGTCCAGAGTCTTGGTTCAAATTCATTTCTAAGATCTACTCCAAATCGGTCCTACTCACGGTTTGGTCTTTCGATCTTTCTTTGGGTTCTGTGAGTCAGTGCATTCCCTTTTTGTCTAACCTGGCTGAGTTGAGTTTCTTAAACTTGCCACTGATAGTCCAATAGCTGAATTAATTAAGCACTTAGCATATTTAATATAAATGAGTTCACCATAAAAGTAATATAACAAATACTTCCGATGGTTAATTAGAAATAACAAAGTTTAACATTTTGACATTTTGCTTTGGATTTTCATTTTTGTAATTATTATGACATAAAATATGGTAGATAGATATCATTGAAGCCTCCTTCATACCCCTTACTGGCCCTACCTATTTCCCTTCCCACCTCCTCAGAGAAAATGAATGTCTTGATGAGTATCCTTCACTTCCATAATTGTACACATTGACTTCATGGGCATGTACGGAGAGATAACATTGCATAAAATGCGTTAGTGGCATATTATGTAGTGCTGTCCTGCAACTTGCTTTTATAAATCAACATACATGTAAATTAAGTTCTTTCATTTTAGGTGTTGAATTTTTCATTATTTGAATATGACATATTTTGTCTTTTCCTCTCCTGATGAACATGTATGTGTTTCCTTTATGTATCTATTTATTTTGATCTCTCAAAACTCTAATACATTTGTGAATTTCTTCTTGTGTATGTGTGTGAGCATTTCAACTATAGCACATACATTAGAGAAGTAGAGTTACTGATTGGCAAGGCTTCTGTATTTTTAGTATTATTAGATGCTGTCAAATTGCCGAAATGCACATCCATCAGTAGTGTATGTTGGTCCCTCCAACATTTCGCATTGTCACTTTAAAAAAAGTGCCTAGGCCAGGCACGGTGGCTCACGCCTGTAATCCCAGCACTTTGAGAGGCTGAGGTGGGCAGGGGTCAGGAGTTCGAGATCAGCCTGGGCAACATGGCGAAACCCCATCTCTATTACAAATACAAAAATTAGCCAGACCTGGTGGTGCGTGCTTATACTCCCAGCTACTCGGGAGGCTGAGGCAGGAGAATCACTTGAACCCAGGAGGCAGAGGTTGCAGTGAGCTAAGATTGCACCACTGTGCTCCAGCCTGGGCAAAAGAGCGAGACTCCATCTCAAAAAAAAAAAAAAAAAAAAACAGAAACAGAAACAAACAAACAAACAAACAAAAAAAACAAAAGGGCCAGGCTGGGTGTAGTGGCTTAAGACTGTAATCCTAACACTTTGGGAGGCTGAGATGGGAGGATCACTTGAAGCCAGAGTTCAAGACTGGCCTGGGCAACATAATGAGACCCCCATCTCTGAAAAAAACCCATACATTATCTGGGCGTGGTGGCAGAGACCTGTAGTCTCAGCCATTTTGGAAGGCTGAAGTGGGAGGATTGCTTGAGCTCAGGAGTTCAAGGCTGCAGTGAGCTAGCATTGCTCCAATGCACTCCAGCCTGGACCACAGAGCAAGATCCTGTCTCAAAAAAAAAAAAAAAAGAAAGAAAAATGCACACCTTTGGGATGTGAAATGGTATGTTAGAGTTGTTTCAATGACATCTCCTTGATAAATAAAAAGGTTAAGGAACATTTTATGTTTCTTGATCATTTGTATGTCCTTTTCTATGAATTAAATGCATGTAGCTTTTGCTAATTTTTCTATTGCATTATTTGTCTCTTCCTTATTGAATATTAAACATCGTTTATAGATTCTGATACTAACCAGTTAAACTGATAACTAATCAGTTAAATGGTTTCTCTAACTCTGTGGCTGATCTTTCAAAATTTTATCATGTCTTTAGTTATATAGAAACTAGAAACTGGATTGTAGTCAAAATTCACAATTTCTTTATGATTTGGTGCATTTTAAAAAAATCCTAATTTTTAATGTTTGTGGGTACTAGTAGATGCATGTATTTATGGGGTACAGGAGATATTTTGATATAGGCATGCGGTACATAACACATATCACATCAGGGTAAATGGGGTGTCCGTTCCCTCAAGCATTTATGTTTTGTGTTACAAACAATTCAATGGTACTCTTTTAGTTATTTTAAAATGTACAATTAGCCTGGGGTGGTGGCTCATGCCTGTAATCCCAGCACTTTGGGAGGCTGCGGCCGGGGGCGGATCACTTGAGGCTAGGAGTTCGAGACCAGCCTGGCCAACATGGCAAAACCCTGTTTCTACTAAAAGTACAAAAAATAGCTGAGTGTGGTGGCACATGCCTGTAATCCCAGCTACTTGGTAAACTGAGACACAAGAATAGTTTGAACCTGGGAGGTGGAGGTTGCGGTGAGCCGAGATCACGCCACTGCACTCCAGCCTGGGCAACAGAGTGAGACTCTGACTCAAAAAATAAAATAAAATAAATTGTACAATTGAATTATTATTGACTTTCATCACCCTGCTGTGCTTCTCCATAGTAGTTGTACTAATTTACATTCCCACCAACAGTATACAAGGGTTCTTTTTTCTTCATAATCTCACCAGCATTTATCATTGCCTGTCTTTTGGATAAACGCGTATTTTACATGGGTGAAATGATATCTCATTGTAGTTTTGATTTGCATTTCTCTGATGATCGTGATGCTGAGCACCTTTTCATAGATCGGTTTACCATTTGTTTATCTTCTTTTGAGAAATGTCTATTCGGATCTTTTGCCCATTTTAAAATCAGATTATTGGATTTATTTTCCTATAGAGTTGTTTGAGCTCCTTACATATTCTGGTTATTCATCTCTTGTCAGTTGGGAAGTTTGCAAATACTTTCTCCCATTATGTTAGTTGTCTCTTCACTCTGTTGATTGTATCCTTTGCTGTGCAAAAGCTTTTTAACTTGACGTGATCTCATTTGTTCATTTTTGCTTTGTTGCTTGTGCTTGTGGGATGTTACTCGAGAAAATCTTTGCCCAGTAAAATGTCCTAGAGAGTTTCCCCAATGTTTTCTTATAGTAGTTTCTTAGTTTGAGGTCTTACATTTAAGTCTTTAGTCCATTCTGATTTGATTTTTTTATATGGCGAGAGATAGGGGTCTAGTTTTATTCTTTTGTATATGAATATTCAGCTTCCCCAGCACCATTTACTGAAGAGACTGTCCTTTCCCCAATGTACGTTTTTGGCACTTCTGTTGAAAATGAGTTCACTTTACATGTATGGATTTGTTTCTGCATTCTCTATTCTGTTCCATTGGTCTGTGTTTTTATGCCAGTACCCTGCTCTTTTGATTACTATAGCTCTAGTATAATTTGAAGTCAGATAATGTGATTCCTCCAGTTATGTTCTTTTTCCTTAGGATAGCTTTGGGTATTCTGGGTCTTTTGTGGTTCCACATACATTTTAGGATTGTTTTTCCTATTTCTGTGAAGAATGTTATTGATGTTTTGATAGAGATTGCATTGAATATGTGGATTGCTTTGGGTAGTATGGATATCTTAACAATGTTGACTTTTCTAAACCATGAACGTGGAATATCTTTCCATTATTTTTTTGGTGTCCTCTTCAACTTCTTGCATCAATATTTTGTAATTTTCATTGTAGAGATCTTTCTCCTCTTTGTTTAATTCCTAGGTATTTAATTTTATTTGTAGCTATTGTAAATGGGATTACTTTCTTGACTGCTTTTTCAGATTGTTCGCTATTGGCTTATAGAAATGTTACTGCTTTTCGTATGCTGATTTTATATCCTGCAGCTTTGCTGAATTTGTTGATCAGTTCTAACAGATTTTTGGTGGAGTCTTTAGGTTTTCTCAAATATAGGATCATATCATCTGCAAACAAGGATAATTTGACTTCTTCCTTTACACTTTGGATGCCCTTTATTTCTTTCTTTCGCTTGATTGCTTTAGGATTTTCAGTGCTTTGTTGAATGATGGTAAAAGTGGGCATCCTTTTTGTGTTCCAGATCTCAGAGGAAAGGCTTTTAGTTTTACTCCATTCCATATGATACTAGCTGTGGGTCTATCATATGTGGTTTTTGTTAGGGTATATTCTTTCTATACTGTTTTTTGATGGTTTTTTTATTATGAAGGGATGTTGAATTTTATCAAATGTTTTCCAGCATCAATCCAAATGATCATATGGTTTTTGTCCTTCATTCTGTTGATATGATGTATCGCATAGATTGATTTGCGCATGTTGAACCATCCTTGGATCCCAGGGGTAAATATCACTTGATCGTGATGAATTATCTTTTTAATGTGTTGAATTTGGTTTGCTAGTATTTTGTTGCCGATTTTTGCATCAGTGTTCATCAGTGATACTGGCCTGTAGTTTTCATGTGTCTTTGGTTTTGCTATCAAGGTAATACTGGCCTCATATAATAAATTTGGAAGTATTCCCTCCTCCTCTGTTTTTCAGAATAGTTTGAGTATGATTGATATTGGTTCTTATTTAAATGTTTGGTAGAATTCAGCAGTGAAGTCTTAGTGTCCTGGGCTTTTCTATGCTGGGAGGCTTTTTCTTTTGGATTCAATCTCATTACTTGTCAGGCTGCTCAGGTTTGGGATTTATTCATGTTTTAATCTTGGTAGGTTTTATACGTCTAGGAATTTATTCATTTCTTCTAGATTTTCTAACTTATTGGCATATAGGTGCTCATAGTAGCTATTAATGATCCTCTGAATTTCTGAGGTATGGGTTGTAATGTCTCCTTTTTCATCTCTGATTTTGTTTATTTGGGCCTTATTTTTTTCTCTGTTAGTCTGGTTAAGGATTTGTCCATTTTGTTTAACTTTTCAAAAAACCAACTTTTTGTTTTGTTGATCTTTTTTATTTTGTTCGTGTCAATTTCATTTATTTCTGCTCTGGTGTTTGTTAATTATTATCTTCTAATAATTTTGTGTTTGATTTGCCCTTGTTTTTCTAGTTCTTTGACATGCATTGTTAGGTCCTTTATTTACAGTTTTTCTTCTTTTTTGATATAGGTGCTTATAGATATAAACTTCCCTCCTAGTGCAGCTTTTGATGTATCCCATAAGTTTGGTATATTGGGTTTCCATTATCATTTGTTTCAAGAAATTTTTTCTATTTCCTTCTTAATGTCTTCATTGACCCACTGCTCATTCAGGAGTATATTGTTTAATTTCCGTATGTTTGTATAGTTTCCAAAATTCCTCTTGTTGTTGATTTCTAGTTTTATTCCATTGTGGTTAGAAAAGATGCTTGATATTATTTCAATTTTTTTGGATGTTTTAAGACTTGTTTTGTGACCTAACATATGGTCTATCCTTGAGAATGATCCCTGTGCTGAGGAGAAGAAGGTGTATTCTGAAGTTGTTGGAGTTAATGTTCTGTAAATATCTAGTAGGTCCATTTGGTCTATAGTGATGACTAAGTCCTATTTTTTTTGTGTCTGGAAGATCTGTGCAATGGGTGTTGAAATCTTCAGCTATTATCATATCATATATCTTTCTTTACCTTTAATAATATTTGCTTTATATATATCTGAGTGCTCCGGTGTTGAGTGCATATATGTTAACTACTGCCAGGCTACTGCTGATGTTTCCTTAAGGCCCCAAAGCTCTTCTGTTAGGTTATGCTGAATGCTGCCAGGCCTAGGAGTCACCCTTCAGGGCAGTGGGCTCCTCTCTGGCTGAGGGCAGGTTCAGAAATGCTGTCCAAAAGCGACGTCCTGGAACTGGGGACTCCAAGGGCCTGCTTCGTGCTCTACCCAACCATGGCCAAGTTGATAGCTGATTTTTGGTTCTTATGAAGGTGGGGTGTGTGTGTGTGAGTGTGTGTGTGTTTGCGTGTGTATGTGTGTGTGTAGATATTAATAATTGTTAAATTTGGTGTTCCTGTATGTGTGGCAGGGTGTGATTGGTGGAGGCTTCTATTTGGCTATCTTGCTCTACCTAACTTCTCAATCTGATTGGTGCTTTTTTGAGAAATAATTCCTTATTACTGAGTCATAGCTATATTCTCTTATATTTCTTTCTTGTAAAAGTTTTGATTTTGATTTTTATGTTTTATATATTTATTTAATCTAGAATTAATTTCTCTGTGGTTTAAAGTTAGAATCTAATTTTAACTTCCTATATGAAAATCATTTGTGGTAGCACATTTAATAAATAGTTCATAGTTTCCTTATACATTGGTAATGTAAATCCTTTTTAAATCAAGTGTTCATGTGACTCTGTTTCTTGGTTCTTCATTCCATGTCGTTCTATCTCGCCCTACCCAGTCCTAGCTGATTTCATGCCATTCCACTCCACTTCCATTCTATTCCACTCTACTTCTTCCTTCATTCTACTTCCATTCCATTCTGTTCCATTCCATTCCACTTCCGTTCCATTCTATTCCACTCCCATTCATACTACTTCCATTTCATTCCACTTCCATTCCATTCCACTTCCATGCCATGCCATATCATGCCATGCCATTCCATTCCACTTCCATTCATTCTACCTCCATTCCATTCCTATTTGGCTACCTATTCCTGGGTCATTCTTAGTTGCTATTAAGTATTATATTTTATGGGGATGTACTTTTGGTGGTTTTTAAATGTATCTGTCAATTTTTTAACATTTTTTTCATCAAAATGTCTAGTTCCCTACCCCTTGATTCTGGGAAGGCTTTAGAGATGATTTCTTTCTTTTTCTTTTTTTCTTTTTTCTTTTTTTTTGAGATAGAGTCTCGCTGTTGTCGCCCAGGCTGGAGTGCAATGGCACAATCTCGGCTCACTGCAACCTCTGCCTCCAAGGTTCAAGTGATTCTCCTGCCTCAGCTTCCGGAGTGGCTGGGATTACAGGCACCTGCCACTATGCTTGGCTAATTTTTGTATTTTTAGTAGAGATGGGGTTTCACCATGTTATCCAAGCTGGTCTCGAACTCCCAACCTCAGGTGATCCACCCTCCTCGGTCTCCCAAAGTGCTAGGATTACAGGCCTGAGCCACCGTGCCCAGCCTAGAGACAATTTCTAACTAATAGAACGCAGTGAAGGTGATGTTGTGTGACTTTCAAGACTACATCATAAAATGTGATGCAGCTTCTGCCTGGCTCTTTGTGGCTACTTTTGGAAACCAGCCACCATGTTGTGAGGAAGCCAGGCAGCCACGTGGAGGGTGGTGGGGGGGCATGTGTAGATGTTGCAGCCAACATCTCCTCTGCAGTCCCAGCCAATAGTCAATGTCAACCACTGTGCAGATGAGTAGATGATCTGTTAGAAGATTCCAGCCCTGAGCAGCATTTCCAGCTTCTCCTGCTTCTTGGAGTAGAGATAAGAGATTCCCACAGAGAACTGTCCAAATTGTTGATTTATGAACAAAATAAATCGTTGTTGTTTTAAACAACTTAGATTTGAGGTGGTTTGTCACATAGCAATATGTATTGAAACAGTTTTCTCTTCTTATTCTTTTTCATAATTGTCTTCACTATTTTTTTGTTTTTTTTTGATACAGAGTCTGGCTCTGTTGCCCACGCTGGAGTGCAGTGGCACAGTCTCTGCTCACTGGAATTCCACCTCCCAGGTTCAAGCAATTCTTCTGTGTCAGCTACCCAAGTAGCTGGGGCTGTAGGAATGTGCCACCACACCCAGCTGTTTTGTGTGTGTGTGTGTGTGTGTGTGTGTATATTTTTGGTAGAGACGAGGTTTTGCCATGTTGGCCAGGCTGGTCTCAGATTCCTGGTCTCAAGCTGTCCTCCTGCCTTGGCCTCCCAAAGTGTTGGGACTACAGGTGTGAACCACTGAGCCTGGAGTTTGTTTGCCGTTCTGGAATCTTTCTCCCTTGGTATAAATTTTAGGACCTGTTTGCCAGCTTCCATGAAAAATTCTGTTGGGATTTTAATGGTAACTGTATTACAATTACCTATTAATTTGGAGGGGCTTAAATTCTTAATGTTATTAATTTTCTCCCTTCTAAATGTAATATATCTTTCCCTTTATAAATATTAGTGTCTTTCAATGATTTTTACTATATTTTTTCACATTTTAATAATTCACAAGTCTTTCACATTTTAATAATTTCATCCCTTGATAACAGTAAAGTATCTTGAACTTTTTCTATAGTATTTTCTAATTGGTGAGTGCTGGTTTGTAGCAATGTTATTTATATATTTTTATTTTGAAACTGTATTCAGGAATTTTTCTAAATTATCCTTTTAGATCTAATAGTTTTGCTTTCCCATATGAATTTTAGAGAATTATATAATTTGTATAATTACAAATAATTATATTTTTAATTATTATATGTATATAATTATTACAAGTAATTATAATTACAATTTATAGAAGCAATTTATGTATAGTCTTTTATTTTTATTTCTGGGACAAAGGAATAAAAGTGATTATAGGACATTTGTGTTTTTTTGACTTTGAAAACCATGTTTCTAATATTTCACAGTTGATGAATTTTATCATCGGTTTTTAGAAACCATTTGGTATTAGGTTTAAAAACTTCATTTTATTGCTGGTTCTCTAACACTTTCTGTCATAAATGGCTATGAAATTTGTAAAATATTATATCTATATCATTTGAAATGATTGTTTACTATTATTGAACCATCCTTGCATTTCTAGAATAAATATCTGCTTGATAATATTATTGTTTTCTGATACATAGGGCCATGAAATTCATCAAAGAACTAGAAGTCTATTTATAATATCTGAGTTAGACAGAGTTTCGATGGCATTTGATGAATCAATCACCAGTGGCTTGATGATTCTTTTTGATTCCCCCTTTAAATCTAAATCTTATAGATGGCATTGAGTACTTCTAACAGCAGGTACATAAGGTCTCCTCGTATCTCTTTCAGTGATGTTAAAATTGGTCAGATTTAACTGGCTACTGATAATCATTGACCAGAGCCATTATTTCAGTGTTTCAAAGTGGTTTCTATTTTTTTAACTTGCAATTTTTCAAAAAAAATTCTTCTTCTCCTCTTTCTCGCCCTCTCTTCCTTTCTTTTCTTCTAGATTTAAATTTGCTCTGAAGTAGAATTTATTTAGGAAATGGAGGGCAAATTCTTGATTGTTTTTTCCTCTTTATTTTACAGTTTCCAAATAATGACTTACTTCCCTAGCATTCTCCAAAGGTCACTAATATTTTTAAAAATATTATAAATTTTTTATGGATTTTTAACATGATCTATATGTTGCAATCAATGGCAAGAGAGGATTCTTTTTGTGCTCAAATTGTCCTGTCGTTGGCCAGTGGAAGTTCCTTCACCTTAGCTCCTGAGACCTCTTGATGTAACTCTAGGAGACTTGGTATGTCTCTTTTCTGCTTGTTCCAGGAGCATCTTGCACATTTTCTGTGCTCAGTCTGGAACCAGACATTTCTCCAAAAAGCAGGTACTTTCTACAAGTGAGAAAAGGTATTTTGCGGCCAGAGTCTGGGCACTGGGATGTTCTTTGTGTTGGGTTATCATTGTGCACAGATGTTTTCAGTAGAAAATCTTGGAAAAGCATATTTTTAAGAAAAAATACATTATAAGTTGATGCCAACAGTATAAATGCTGAAAACAAAGATTTATTTGTGGAACTTTTTGACCTTAGGATATATCCATTTGGAATTCATTGTCAAATTATTGTGTTTTAAAGCCCCTTGAAATAATTGATTAAGACTTGAGTTTCCCTCTGTCACCCAGGCTAGAGTGCAATGGCATGATCTCGGCTCACTGTAACTTCTGCCTCCCAGGTTCAAGCGATTCTCCTGCCTCGGCCTCCCAGGTGGCTGGGGCTATAGGCACATGCCACCATGCCTGGCTAATTTTTGTATTTTTCGTAGAGACAGGGATTCACCAAGTTGGCCAGGCTAGTCTCAAACTCCTGACTTCAAGTGATCTTCCCGCCTCAGCCTCTCAAAGTGCTGGGATTACAGGTGTGAGCCACTGCACCAGGCTGAAATAAGTTACTTTTGATGATATTACATTTTATAGTTATATTTATTTGTTTCACTTAGTTTTTAAAGTACTTTATCTTATTCTGATTTAAATTTTGATACAATTTGGTTAAACATTTGCTTGTTATGAAAGGCATAGCTGAAAAGCAAAGCATATTTAAGAAGTCTAGCCTTTCACACTACTGCTTTATGTACCTGTTTTTGTAGATATAAACAAATACACACACTCTTTTTCTCTCTCTCATCAGTTTCCTAAATAAAAGGTAATATACTACACATGCTTTCTGCTCCTTGCATTTTTAAAATTAATATTTTCTGATAATCACTTTGGAGCAGTATCAGATATAATTTTGTTCATTTTTATAGCTGCATAATACTCCGCTTGGAGCAGGGTACCATAGTTTATGTAATTAACTACATACAGATGGACATTTGCATTTTTTTATAGTCTTTTACTATTACAAATAGAGCTTCAATAACTACTTTGTTCATATCATCTTATTTTTTTTTCCAGTGTGTCTTTGGCATTTCTAAGTAAAAGGCATATATAATTTTGCTAGACATTTAAATATTTCTCACCATAGGAGTTGTACAATTGAAATATATACCAACAAGTTTTAAAGTCCCTGTTTTTACCTCACCAGTATAGTATATATTTATTTGTTTGTATGGTATATTAAATATATCCATGTATATTTAATAATTATATATGTAATGTCTCTGGGTGTGTTTGTATGTATATATTTTTCAAACTTTGGGGGGTTTTCTTTTCCAATATAATAGGTGAGAAATTCTGTTTAGCTGTAGTTTTACTTTTTTTTTTTTTAGCAAAGATGAATGACTTTTTACACATTTAAGAACCATTATGGTTTTTCTGTGAACTCCTGTATCTCTTGTTCCTTTTGCTATAAAATCATTGTGCTTTTCTTTATTTATAGGAGTCTTTTACATCTTTGGGTTATTAACTTTGTTGTGATATAGGTTGCAAATATTTGCCCCTGTTTGTCATTTGCTTTTTAGTTTGCTTAGGCTGATTTTGCTATTTTTTTTTAAACATTACCTCTGGTCTTTAAGTTGTCCCCCTCATCATTCTGCCATTCTAGCCTTATGAATGGAAACCATTTCATTTACTTCTCACCTCAGCAATCATGATCACCAGCAAAGGAAGATTTTTTAAAGTGCCGAGTATAGAAAAGGCAGGGAAGAGCTCATTTTTATCAAGCAGCTGTGCATTGGGCCTAGTATCTTCAGGTCCAGTAAGAAACCTACTTTCTCGTGATCACTGGGGGCTCTGGAGAATCCATGCTGGGCATTCAGCTTCAGAGGAGGGCCACTGATATTGGACTTCTTATTGGTTGGAAATCCCAAACATCCGCATGGTGGCCCACTGTTATCACCTTGTCTCTGCACTGTCTGCTGTATCTAGTCATCACATGTGAACTGTTCAGAGCAGCTAATGGGTGTTCCACCTTACAGATGAGGACACTGTGCTAAACCCCTTGCTGAATGTCCCGCTGTGGCTGAGGCAGGCTACCAGCTCATGGCTTCTGGCGTCCAGGGCACCATTTGTCTCTATTACCTCCCTCCTGCTCTGAACTGCAGGCAGGGAAAGTGAAGATGAAACAAAGTGAGTGGTTTCTTCAGAGTGTCCTACCCAAGGAGTAAGTTTTCCAGAGGCTTAAAATAAAACAAATGCAAAGACCAACTTCAAATTGAGATTAGCACAGAAAAGAAAGCAAAAAGCTCATTGGAAAGAATTTTTTTTTTTTTAATGTCATGGTTAGAAGAGGGAGGGAGAAATGCTGCCCAGCTGTGGCCCAACAGTACTTCCAATGCTCCGTCCTGGAGCTATTCCTTTAACTGCAGCTTATCACACTGATCTGGCAAGTGAGACGGGGTTGCAGTGTGGCATAGGCTCTTGGTGTTTAAAAAAATAAGTCACTTCAAGTGAAGTTTACAGAGAATTGGGGCTTCTTCCAGTCTGTTTCTTGATTCTTCCCTTTCAGCTCAGGGCGGAATGAAGACAAGTAGGCAGCTCCTGGGTAACAGAATTCTCTGCCTTGGGAGGAAGGTGAGCAGGGCACTGGTGTCCCAGAAAATGCCCCTGGCTGGCCAGCTCCTCCTCGTAGAACAAACAGCATTCCCAAGGCCTTCATTAAACCACCTTTGTTCTAAGCTCTCTGGCTATTTCTGGCTTTATCCACGCAGAACCAGTGACAGAATAAAATGAAGCAAAACTTAACTCCTTGTCCAACATACTTGTATAGAATAGATTTTGGGGATGAAAGTGGTAAAATTCAGTCAAACTGACCTGTAAGCATGTATTCTTAAGTCGCTAGTTTAACTAACTTCTTCCCTAAAATCTCTGCGTTTCCCTCCATAGATAGTCGAGTTGAAGAAACCATTTTATGTGCACTTTATCATTTTATGATGTTCTTAAAATGTTTATCTCAATAGCTTTTGGAACTGAAAACAAAATCTGTGATTCTTTCTCTCTTTCACAACCCCACCCCTGGGAGATATTTTCAGCTTTCTGATTTATTTTCCTTTTAATAAAATATTGAATGCCATTTTCCCTAATTATTTCTCATTGAATGTACTCCTTAAGTCCCCTTTTTTCAAATAAAAAGAATAAAACCGACCATGTAATACGACAATGGTTCTATCACTACTGATAATTATACATTTTGTTCTCATTGTAATTGCCCTGGTTTGAACTGTGCTTATTTTAGCAGAAAGCGTTCATTATTTTATCAACAACTGGCAGACCCCGCTGGTATTTACTGACTTTTCTTTAACCAAAACAAGGATTATAGCTCCTATCCATGGCTCAGCTGCTAAATCTTTGCTAAGAAATTTGGGAACCCCTTTTGAATGAAACACTGTACAAAGCTTTAAGCACTCTTTGCAACTGAGTTGTATTAAATGATAGACAAAAAAAGCCCTCTGAAGAATTGGTGCTTAATTACAACTTAATTAGCATAATTATGCATGCTAATAGCATCTCAAATGAATAGCAGTTGTCAGGAGGTTGGGACCATCTGTAAGAATGTCGGATTAATACATCATTTTTTATTTCTAACAACGCTGTAACTCTTTCCCTGAAAGTGATTTTCATTAATCAAGTTCATTTTTATTATATAGAAAATTTGGCATTTTTCATTATGGGCCATTATCTGTTTCCCCATGCAGCCCTAATACAATACTAATGAGCCCCCGTGTGGCTGGCCCACATTGACAACGGTGGTACAGGTGTATTATTATAATTGTTACAAACAGCACATTGTACCTCTGGAGTAGTGGAGTTCTAATCTCTGGGCACCCGTGTTTCCACTTGGTACGTCCCCAGGGCCTAGTACAATTTTCAGAGCTTTATGAAAAACATACATGTTTGTGGTTACAAAGAAGCTATTTAAAGAGAAAGTGGCCCGTGATTACCTGCAGCACAGGGTGCTGTTTAGCTGAGAATCCCTTGTGTGGAAACAGAAAGCTTTGGGGGCCAGGAGGCTGTCCGTACCTCCACCAAGCCCTGCTCTGGGAAGGAGGGAGGCCGTGGCTGTGAGGCCGGGGTCTCCTCTGCACAACGTCCCAGCAGGTGAGCAGATCCAGGCAGCATCACTCATTGCTAAGCATTGTCATAAAACCGCAGGGGGGATGCGCGTCTTCATGGTTCTTAGCCCCAAGAAACACCCCAAATGGCAATCTTGAAATTCACATCTGGATCCACCCCCACGTGCTACAGCAGGCCCCATAGATGTCTGGAAAATCTGTCTTGTCTCTGAGCTGCCTTTTACTCTTAACTTTGGCTCTAGATTTGTTTTGAGGGTTTAATCCATGCTTCCCTTACCAAACAAAACAAAAACCCTCTGCTCACTCTCTCCCCTGATAACACATCCCTATGGGCTCTTTTTGTTATTTGCAGAGGGGTCTCATCTGTTCCGATATTTTCATCCCAGACTGAAGCCCAGAATTGATGCCTGGGACTCTGTGAGGGGTAGGAGGGTTCTTCAATTCTTTTTACCCATTTTGAAGCTCATACATGTCGTGTAAATGCGAAACAAAATGACTTCAGCTTTCTTCCAAACCTCAGTTTGGGGAGAGCAGAAACAAGCCACTGGGCTTGTAACCAAGATCCATGGTCCAGTGGTGAAAAAAGAGCCCTCCCCCTTTAGCATCTGAAGCCACTGGCAGGTTAGGGATGAGGGCTCTATTGGAGGCCAGCAATGTGTGTTTATACCTTGCACCTGCAGGTGGGAAGAGGGGTGTGTGGGAGGGAGGGTCTCCTGGCTTTGGTGGGGTCAGAGAGGATAGGGAAGGCTGTCAGTATCTTCCCCACTCAAAATCTACACTGAAGATGAGTCTATGAAACACCGTGCCAACCCCCCATGATGGTGTGAATCAGGCAGCCTACAGACTGGAGACTTGCATGGGCCATTCTTAATGAAAACAATTACTCATCATTCATCTGAAATTCACATTTAACTGGGCATCTCCTGTATATTTATTTAAACTTGGTAAGTGAGGCAATGGTACTCTGGAGCTAGATTGCCTGGCCTAGAATCCTGGCCCTGCCCTTCAAGCTGTGTGACTTAGGTAACTTACTCAACTTCTCTGTACCTTGTCTATTCTCTAAAGTAAAGACAGTACTATCTCCTTTGGAAGGTGGTTGTGAGCAATAAATGATTTTAAAAGGGTCAAGCACCTAGCACAGTATCTAGCAATAAGTGCTCACAAAATAATATCTATTAGTATTGTCTGTTGATGACTGTTGATGACCTCTGTTTCTTTGCCAAGTGTATTGTGTTTGGGATCCCCTGCCTATGTCTCTATAGTGTCAGACATTGAAAATTTCTAAAACCAAAAGATTTTACCAGCCCTTTAGTTTGGCTGATGTTTTCCAAGGTCCTCAGAACGTGTGCAAAGTGTCACTTGCAGTTTAAATGTAAAACAAGAAGGCAGATGTGGCTTGTGTGCCCAGCAGGAGCAGAGGCCTTGCAGAGCAATGATGCTGAGCAGCCACCGGCTTTGGGGCCCAAGGGGTGCCCAAGCCCTCTAATTATTAGCAGAGAGATATTGCACACACTGAGGTGACCACTTGTGGCCTCATTGACAGATGGAGTTGTTCACGGTCCCTGCCTCACTGCGCTGCTGGGAAGACCACGTGAGATAGGCGTGGATTGCTCAGTGCCATGCCTGCGGTGTGCACAGACTCCCCAGCCCTGGGGGGAAGAAGCCATGCACTCTGGAGCTGTGGCCTAGATGGCTACTGTGTCCCCACTGCACGCTGACATACAAATTGTGTGACTTTAAACACACTTTACCTCTCTACCTTGGTTTCCTCTTCTTTAAATGCAGGTCATGGTAGCTTTGTACCACTGGGTGGTGATCAGATGTACTACTGCGTGCAAAGCACTTAGGACATCACCTACCACTGTTCTGGTTTTCATTGCCATGGTTCCTTATTTTCTGCAAGCTCTCCCCTTCCTTGGAGGAGGGGGCCCCAGGCTGCTTGCGACCGTGAATTCCTGGCCAGGGCATCTGTAGGAGAGCTTCCTGCTCTTTCGCCTGGCTTACAGCGAGCTGCCGCTGGGAGATGCACTCCGTCCGTCTGTGACAGCTCCAATCAGCCTGGAACAAAAGAGCACCAGCAGTCCCCTGGCAGCCTTTGCTGGGGGTAATGTGGGGTTCTCCGGAAGGTCACGGGCAGTCTGTTCTAGTTGTTTAGGGAATGGCCTGCTTTGTGGTCAGGTATGCGCGCACACACACACGCAGCATGGACACTGCTCTGTGAGGATTCGGTCTGCTTTTTACCCCTTCAGCAAAAGCAGTGTCACCTTGAAGAATATGGGCAAGACCTGAAAGGAAGACATCTCCCACCCCACTCAAGGAAGAAGAGACCTGGCATGTTCCTATTGAAAGGGTTGAGTGTACAACCCATTGAAAAAACCTGAGCCCCTTGTTAATTGCCTGCTGTTCACACCATCCTCCATTCAGGCATCATGAATTATTCTAGCAAACATTTAATGAGAGTCCCTTTTCTCTGAAAACTGGCTCATGGGGTGGCACTCAGAGGGGATTGGGGATTTGGTCCTCAGTGGAGCTGTCACCTAGTGGAGGAGACACACAGTGCCTGAATGACGTGGAGGAGGAGGGAAGGTTCGAGGGGCTGGAGGAAGCCGGGAAAAGTGGCAGGCCGAGGGAGTTATTGAGATGGACAGTTGGTTTTGTACAGAGGGCCTTGATGACTGTGATCCTGTCCTTGATTTTGAAATGCACACATCCTTCAAGCCAGCATGTCCACTCCTGGAAATTTATCCTTCAGACCTGTATATGACTCTATTTGTTCAGCACAGATTTGTAGAACCAAAAGACTGGGAATAACCGGGATGTTAATTAATAAGAGAAAGGTAAGTAAATGATTGTATATTTGAACCACAGGACATTTTGAAAAAAAGAATAAAATGGATCCCATGTGGAAAAAATGGAAAGAATAAAGTAGATCTCTCTACAGTGACATGAAAAGATCTCAAAGATCTTTCATTGAGTGAAAAATACCACAGGCAATATAATGAGTATGGAATGTTCCCTTTGGTGGGAAAAAATGAAGATATAGGAAATCCAGTTAACAGTGCTTACATTTGAGGACAGGCCCTGGGGTTTGGGAGTGTGATGGAGTAATGTGCATACTCTATTGATGTGTTTTTATATTTTCCCCATCTGTGTGTATTAATTTTTCAACTGAAGTGAAAGAAGAACAGAAAAAGAAATCCTTCCTCTGCATTGTGGCATAGAGAAGGTATCCCTGGTTCGTGGCCAGGTCGGGGGTGTCGGGGCACACATTCACAGCCCTACACCCTGAAAGAATCCTTCCACACCTCTTCTGGAAGATGCTATAATCTGTCAAATCCCATAGCTAGTAGGACCACCTTATGGCTTCTTTTCCAGTATCATTTTGTCTCATAGGAAAAGTTGACTGAGAGCCTCATTTGAATGAAATTCGCACCTCTCTGTCTTGTTACTAGAACCGAAATCGATTGAGGTAGAAGAAAACAAACTGGATTTCTTAAAAGGGCCATATCGATTAGAACCAAGAAGCATTTCTTCTTAAGATTCCCTAATCAGAAGAAATGAGCCCATTACAATCAGTTCTCATGAATAAGAATCCTTCATTTTTCTATGACCCCTGTGAGCCTGGATGCAGTGAGTATTGAATTTGTTCTTTTGAATTGCTGGAAGAAAACTGAATAAAAACTCAGGAGTCCTGGGTTCCTGTCCCAGCTAGGGGAACGTGTGTGCAATTTGGTGTGGGTCACCTTCCCTCTTGGCCTCAGTTTCCTCATTTGTGAAGGGGAGGGCTTCAGGTCTGATATCTCATAGTTTTACAACACTAAATGAAGACAGAGAGAAGAGGTGGAGGAGAAAATTCCCTCGCCATGGAAAACAAGATGGCGCTGCTGGCTATGTCTGCCTGAGTATATCTCCTAGACCATACGAGGAGATATGGGGGGAGATCATAAATATTAGGATAATTTAAACAACACTGAATTCAAACAACTCTTGAAGGTTTTCCAGCTCCTCAATGTTTTTGTTCTCCCCTATTCCCCAACCCCACACTGGCGTTTCCACCCAGGTGGGTGTAGTTGCTCCAGAGCCCCATCCTCTGAGTTGTCCTAGTTATACCCATTCAATACTGGTTCTAAGTCCTGCAGAGAATCACTGACTTCCTCTTAGGTAAGCAGCCTCTTTCTACTTTTCTGATAATGTTCTTTGGCTCCTGCTGCCAGGGCTGACTTCTAAGGACCAGGATCTTCTAGCTCCAGAGCCCAGAAGTTTCCTAGCTGGTGTTTGCCTACTTTATATCATACTACCTAAAAAAAAAAAAAAAAAAAAAAAAGGAAGAAAAACTTCTTTAAAGTACTTAGAGAAGGCAGTGGTGGGGATGGGGGAGTGGCAGTGCTATTCATTAGAATTCCTATAGAGTAATCAAGTCTCTTCATTCCAAAGAGTGTTATTGCCTAGGAATTAATATTAGATCTGATTTTGAAATAAGCCTAATGATGATGACTTTTGGGGGGCCTATATTTTTTGCTGTATTTGCATAAAACCCTTTACTCAGCTTGGCACATGGAAGTTAAAAATATGAATTCTACCCTTAAAATCATAGTCATACCCTTCTTGTTAGCTTATTATTAGGCAGAAAAGGTAATTGTACATAGGGACTACAATTAGACAGGCTAACTTAATGTCATTTCAAATGTTGCTTTTGAAATTAAATAGCCATCCATGCATAGATGTAGATATTTTCAGGAGGCCTTGGGTTCATCAGCAATAGGAGAGCTTGGAAGCACGGACTCTCTTGAGCTTTTAGAGGTTTTTCTGAGAGGCTAGCACTGGGTGCGATGAGGTGGACATCTTGGCTCATGTACATTTTTTGTAGATCTTTCTTTCTGTCTCTCCTTTCTTTCCTCCTTCCTTCCTTCCTTCCTTCCCTTCTCTCTCTCTCTCTCTCTCTCTTTCTTTCTCTCTCTCTCCCTCCCTCCCTTCCTTCTTTCCTTCCTTCCTTCCTTCCAAGCTACAGCATCCCCTCTGATAGTTTCTGCACCCCGTCACTATTTAGACATGATGAAGTTAGCAACACACACACACACACACAATGTGGTATACCCTATATTTATTATCTATTGCTGTGTAACAAATCACTCAAAAATAGGAAACATTTATGATCTCAGTTTCTGTGGGTCGGGAATTTGGGAGTGGCTTAACTAAGTGGTTCTGTTTTAGGATCTCTCCTGACTCTCATTTTTCTCCTTTTTTCTATGCCCACAATTTTCCCTCTGCTTGAAATGCTTTCCCTTGTCTTCCTTTATCAAGTGGCAAGCTTCTCTTCATCTCACAAAACCCTGATTAAAAACCCATCTTCTTTTTTTTTAATCTCTCTTGCTCTCCCTGGCAGTTAGATTCTACCTCTAGAGTCCCATGACATTTGGACATCCCTCTATTAAGATGTTATCTGCTGATTTTTTAAATGTGTATGCATGATGGCCAAACCTGTGGGGACCAATATGGTAGCCAGTAGCTCCATGTGGCTATTTAAATATAAGTTGAAATTAATTAAAATAAAATAATAAATTCAGCTCCTCAGTCACACTAGCCACAATTCAAGTACCCAGTATTCACACATGGCTGGTGGCTACTGTAATGGACAGCACAGGTTGAGAACCTTTCTATCATCATAGAAAGTTCTATTGGACTGTGCTGGTCTAGAATGTTAGTTCTTTCAAGTTAGGGGGTGATATAGATTGGCTGTGCCCTCCCCCCCCGCAAATCTCATCTTGAATTGTAATCCCCATGATCCCCACTTGTCGAGGGAGGGACCCAGTGGGAGGAGGTGATTGGATGATGGGGGTGGTTTCTCCCTTGCTGTTCTCATGATAGTGAGTGACTTCTCACGAGAGCGGATGGTTTTATAAGGCAGTTCTCCCTGCTCTTGCTCGCTCTCACTTGCCTGCCTCCATGTAAGAGGTGATTCTTCACCTTCTGCGATAATTATAAATTTCTTGAGACCTCCCCAGCCATGCAGAACTGTGAGTCGATTAAACTGCTTTTCTTTATAAATTACCCAGTCTCACGTATGTCTTTATCACTGTGTGAAAAAGGACTAAGAGAGAGAGCCCGTTTTCTTCATTCAAAAATCTTATTTTTTTTTCTGGCTTAAAATAGCAAATGTTTGACTTGTTCACCTCTGTATTGCCTGGATCTGGCATAGTGTCTGGCTGAATAAATAAACTAGAAAAATGGTTTCTGGAGGGTCTCAGAGCCTTTATTTGATTGTTCATTTATTTGACAAATGCTGAGTTTTCACTCTATGCCAAACATTGCGTATCTGGTCACTGGGCCTGAATGAGAGAGGGGTAACATGGCAGACAGCATTAGTTAATTGGTTTCACCTCCATTATAATACCCTTCTTAGTGCCACCTTCCAGCTAGAGGTGAAAAGGTAACATAACACAATGGCCACCAAGAAGTGTAGGTATACATTGGCTATGAAATTGCTGGGAGTTCTTTCATTTTTCCAATACTAGTCTTGTCACAATGACCTTTCTTTTTGCCAGATGATAAAATGTTCCCTTTTCTCCTTATCCCTACTGAAGTGTAGGTATGATGGCCAGAACTGCAGCTCCTATTTTATTTCATTAGGTGATAAATAAACACAATGAAATAACCATGCAAATGATAGAGAAAGGTGCGGTATAATGTCGTGGAGACTTTCATGGGCTGTAGACCACATTTCTCCAGGTTTTTGTAGTGTGAGGAACAAGTACACTCCTGCTGTTAAAGATATTAGTAGCTGGGTTTTATATTACTTGCAGTCAAATGCAATTCTAACACACAGCAGAATGAGTAGAAACCCTAGTCCTTCCTAATCTGAAGGTATGGAGGATTCTTCTAGAAAGCATAGGCTTAGAACCTCCAGCTGTCTGCAATGCAGCAATGAAAAGCAGAAACACTTCTGAACAAATTGTGAAATGAAGAATTGGAGACTGGGCCCCCAGAAGGCACTGGAACACAGCTCTCAGGCTTCACCTGCACGGTGCTCCACCTGATTGCTCCAGTCTCAGAGTCTTCCAGTGCTTGTGAAGTGACATCACTGGAGTTGTTTCTGAAGGGTACCCCAGAGCACCTGTACCCATGTTGACCAATGGGATGTGTGGGATTTGTGAAACATGCCATCACCGTGGGGAGGGTCAGGCCAGCTCTGGACACCAGACAGTCGTTTCTAGCTCTAACCTGTTGCAGAGGCTAGAAACGAGTTGGAAAGTTTCTGGAATAACTTTTGACTCCTTCACTTTGCATATTTTTCATGTATATTTTTGACTTAAAGTGAGCCAGAAAAAAAAATAGTGTATTCTGATTAAACATAGTGAAGTTTGTCAATTGGTGAGGATTCCAAATATAACATTGCTTTTATCTCATCCGGGTCTCCTGTGGACCACATTTTAATGTGTCAATTAAGTATTTAAGTAACGAGTATGGTGTGCTTATCATCCTGGGTATACAAACACTTGTTGAGATGGAATGGAAAGGACAAACGGTGGAAGCTGACAAACTCTATGCTTGGCAACCCTGTTCTTTGGCCACTGGTTTGTAAGGCTTTGAACCTTTAATTGGCCTCTAACAGCAGATTGACAACAAGCTAGATTTCCATCAACATACTCCTGAGTTGCCAGTATTTTGAGCAATAAATTGCTAGCTAATAAATTTCCCTTAGCTTCCTTTGTAAATGCCAGCGAAAGCCCTAAACATTCCGTGCAGATTTAATTACACATTTAATGTTTCTGTAATTTTGAATTAATTACATGCCAAGCAGATTTATGTTCTATGTACTTAATAAACCTCCGTGAGTGCCCTTTTAGCAATCAATTGGTATTTAGGACCTGGTTTGGTTTTTAAAAATAATGGTTCATGTCGCTGGGTCTTGTTGTTCCTTCCATATGTTTGGGTGTTGATAGAATTAGAGGCACCAGACGGTGGTACTGAAATGAAAACAGAGTCGTTGTTGGATAGTGGGGTTCGGGATATTGGGTGAGGAAGGGGGATGAGATCATATTTGGATGTCAGAAAGCCAGATCATCAACTTAATCAGCAGGTTGGAGTTTGGGCATTTGTCTGGGACCATGGGGTGGTAGGAGCAGATGCTGCACTTTGGGAGCAGTGACAAGTCTAGAGAGTCAAAATGTCTTTCCCATTTCCAGGTGGTCGGTACCTTGATGGTCACTAGGGAAATTTTTTTTTCTGAAGGTAACTGTCAGGTAACTGAAGCCAGCTTGTTGTATTCTTTCTAAGGGCAATCTTCTTTCCAAGCTCATTGGGAATCTTATTATATTTATTGGGGTACCCAGCATTGTGCTAAATGTATATGAGTCTTGTCTTGATGGATTTTCATGGAAGCCCTCTGGGGTGGGCAGTAAGGTGAGGGGATGTTTTACAGATGAGGAAACTGAGATCCAGAGAAGCCAAGTCACTTACACGATGAGGAAAGGGTGGAGTTGGGCTCCAGAAGGGGCCAGATGGGCCTTGCTCACTTTGTCGTGAAGCATTTGTTCCTGTGAAAAGAATACCAGATGTTTGTCGTTCTTAATTACATTTTTATCTGAAGCTGTTTTTTTTAACCCCTTGTCTTAGTCTGCTCAGGCTGCTATAACAAGCAACCATAGACTGAGTGGCTAAATAACAACACACATTTATTTCTTCCATTTGGGGAGGTAGAAGTTCGAGGTTAGGAGGCCAGCATGGGCAGACTCTTGGTGAGGACTCTTTTGCTGGTTTGCAGACAGCCACTACCTTCTTGCTCTGTCTGCTTACAGCAGAGCAGGAGCAACTGAGCTCTCTAGTCTCTTCTTATAAAGGCACCACTCCCATCCGGGGAACTCCACCCACATGGCTGCATCTAAACCTAATTAACTCCCAAGGGCTCCATTTCCAAATACCATCACTGTGGGGATTAGGGCTTCAGCATATGAATTGGGGCAGGAGGTAGGAGCACGATTCAGCCCACAACACTCCTGAATGGACTGATGAAACTCAAGTTCAGGGGAGAAACCAGAGTCTTTCTGGTTTGCGTGACCATCACACTGGCAAGCATTGCAGTATGTACTATGGAGCCACCTCTCAGTACGGAAACAGCCACCTCATTTCATAGAAGCCTGCAGGAGAACCGCTCCTTTGGAACACAACTAGAAGAGGCAGCCCTGTCCTCTGTGTGTGAAGATACAAGTTGAGTGACCGGGGAATGGAGGCAGGTCAGGGTGACGTGGAAAGGGCCCGTGTGAAATGAAAAAGCAGTTCCTCGGGGTAGGATTGAAATTCCACATGTAACAGAGTCACGTCAGTTCTCCCTCTGCATGGCCAGCGTCTGATTTCCCTTGTTGTCAGAGGTCATGAGGCTGGTTTACCGGTGCGGGATAAGGGCCACTGCACTGTCACGAGGATGTTCTTTCTCGGTTTGGGTGAATGTCTTGCAGGCAGATTGTATTCACCTGAGCTCCACTCTCTACATCCTGCTGAAAAATGCAGTCAGCTCCTCTCCCAGACCACCTTTACCATTACTAATGGCAACTCTGAAATGGAGCTATGTTAAATAAAAGGAGAAACTTCCCATTTTTGTCTGTATTCTCTCCTTATCTGAAAACATAGCCAAGCCTGTGAAATTAAGCAGTAACGTAGCACACAGCCATCATTATTGCTAAATAATTGACTACATATCGTGAGTGAAACAAGGGTGGTTACAGAATGGTAAATTCAGTCATCATTTATTAATGGTGGTTACAGAGCATAGCAGAGCAATTTATAAATTGAAATTTTAAATTGAACAGCTTTCTATTTATATTTTTAAAGGCAAGAGGCAGGGGATATGGGGTAAAACGTGACATTTAGCTGGTGACGCTGTGTGCATGATTTTGAGATTTTGTTTTTAAATGAGTTCTTCATTAGGTCAACTTTATAATGCACCTTTATTGTGAACCTTGTTCCTTTGAGTGAAAGCTGCTAAATATGCTAATTATCCCCAATCTGATTTGGGTGAGTGGATATAGCAACTATTAGTGGCTTTATGTGTTCCATAAGGTGCATTTTATCCACATATATGTGTGTGCCTTTAAACATCAGAAGAGTACATGTTCAGATACATGAAAAGAGATGTAAGAAATATCTGGAGGAAGACCAGAGCCATGCACGCTAAGCTCATGAGACATCTAAATCACGACGTGGGTCATTTTCACTGGTCCTGAACTGAAAAGAGAGAGATTACTGAAAAATAAGGAAAAAGATGACTGATATCAGTAGTCTATCAGTAATCTCATCAGAGGATGGTTTTAGGCTTTGCTAATTTTTGAATGCATTTAAAATTTTTTTTCTATTTTTAATTTTTGTGGGTACATTGTAGGTGTATTAGTCCATTTTCACACTGTTATAAAAGATACTACCTGAGACAGGGTAATTTATAAATAAAAGAGATCTAATTGACTCACAGTTCTGCATGGCTGGGGAGGCCTCAGGAAACTTACACTCATGGCAGAAGGCAAAGGAGAAGCAAGCACCTTCTTCACAAAGTGCCAGGGGAGAGAGAGAGAGAGAGAGAGAGATATCAAGAAGATGGAACTGCCAAACACTTTTAAAACCATCAGTTCTCACGAGAACTCACTCATTATCAGAAAAACAGCATGGGGGAAACTGTCCCCATGCTCCAATCACCTCTCACCAGGTCTCTCCTCTGACACATGAGGATTACAACTGGAGATGAGATTTGGGTGGGGACACAGAGCTAAACCATATCAGTAGGTGTACATATTTATGAGATACAATGAGATGATATGATATAGGCATGCAATGCAATGTGAAATAATCACATCATGGAGAATAGGGTATCATTACCCTCAGCCTTTTAGTCTTTGAGTTACAAACAATCAAATTAGACTATTTAAAAATGTACAGTTAAGTTATTACTGACTGTAGTCACCCTGTTGTGCTATTAAATAGCAGGCCTTGTTCATTCTTTCTATTTTTTTGAATGCATTTTTACCTTTAAGTTGGAGGTTTAACTTCATGCCATCAGTTAGCTACAATCATTTAATTTATTGGAGGCCAAGTGAATTTAATCATTTATTTATTTTCAGATTAAAAAGTTCCTAACGGGATTACTGAGTGGACTAAGACAGAACCATTTACAAGCTTAAGAACCCTCTGGTTTTTTCCATTTGTCCTGTTGGCACACCCTTGCACAGTTGTGGGTGATCCTGTTTCTTCCGTGACTTCATACCACTTGAGACCCTTGATCATTTGCATTCCAAGTCACATTTTTACGTATAAGATTCCTCACTAACTGATCTAGAAGTAAAAATGACCTCTGTGGTAGTGCACTTTTCCCTGGTTTGCTTGTGTTGTTTTGTTTTTACCACCATGTGGCTTAGCTAGTTCTCACTAGATGTGCTCTGCTCTATGGAACTGCCTGAAAGACACAAAGCTAGAATCACAGTGTTTCCTCTCACCCCCTTTGAATAGTTCTTCACAGCTACTTGCAGGCAGTACAAACCATTTTGCTATTTCACCTTCTTCCCCAAATACCCTTTATTTGCCTGATGTTTGGGTCCCACAAATGCTTGGTGTTTTATGCAGATGCTGCCTCGTGCATGATAAATACAATGGGTGACTGCACATCTGGATTCCTGCAGATCCTCTGCTCAGAGACCATGCCCTTCCATCAGCTACTCCTCTCTGCTATGAAATCAGCAGCGAGCCCTTCCCTTTCTGTGTTTCCATTACTTTTTCCTTCAGCACATCTGATTTCGATTGCAGAGTCTCTGGGTAGAGCTCTGATTAGCTTTTCTCTTGGAGTCGGTCCTCTCGTTGCTTACAAAAACTAGTGCAAATCATGAAAACGATCCTAAACCAAATCCACCAGCGGGAAATGGTGTGTGTGGGGGGGGTGAATATTGTGGTGGGGTGATACATATTTGAAAACTCGCTGAGTTGGATGCTGTTTGCCAGAGATTCTGCATAAACAGTGGTGATTGTCAGGACGTATCTTCCTTGCAGTATTTCTGCTGGGAACTATTGGACAGGCCGTATCTGGAAGATTTCTTCTCTTTCCTAAACAACAAAAAAAAAAAAAAAAAAAAAGAAAAAGGAAACGCATCATCTCTCTGCAGCATCCTACTTCTAGCTTCTCCTGCCCACTCAGCATGGACTTGGAATTTTGGCCCCAATCAAACCTTTTGTGTCTTTTAACACAATGGCTGGGCCCGTCTGAGGAGGGATGGGATGAGAGACAATTTTATGCATTGTGTCAGTGTTCCATGATTGGGTCAAGAGTACATCCCTTAGAATAATAAAAATAGCTTATGGATGAGAACAAAACCATCATTTCAAATCCCCACACAGTCACCCCCACCCACCGTGGTTGGGGCTGACATTTGGGAGCGCCCGGTCTTGGGAAGGAGCACAGTGCTGAACGTGCACTCTGCTAACATCCCGGGTTGGAGGGAAACAGATCTCCCCACCAGCTCTTCTCTGCTCCAGCCAAACTTGCTGCATTGGTCATAAATATTTAAAGCTACAGTCAACAAAGTTTACAGATGGGGAAGTAAGGAAACCCAATCCTGTCTGCAATGCCTTCTGTGTCCCGGGGTCTGCCTGGTCTATCCTTCAGAATAAGGTCAGCGGCTCATGGCTAAGGAGGAACAGATGGAAGCCTTCAGAGCAGGTCGTCATTCCTAAGGAAAGTTTTTAGCCCCTGTGAGGTGCATGAACCTTTCATTTTACTATTCTGACTCTGCTGAGAGAGGGGAGGGGAATAGATCCTCAGAAGGAAAGATTTGGAAGCAGCTATTTTACATCCATGCTTTGGAAACCTTGGGTCCACAAGCCTATTCTGAGCGCCTGGGCTCTGCCCAGCTCTGTGCAGGAGTTGGGGGATGTCGAACTCAAAAGGTACAAGCCCTCCCCTCCAATAACTCACTTTCATAGTACAAGGTGGTATATGCTCCAACACAGGGCACTGGAGGCTTATCAAGATATGTGCAAAGTGCTATGGGGGCTTAAAAGACTGATTCATTCATCCAACCAACCAGGATAAGCAGCTACTATGTGTAAGGCATTGGGCTGGCCTCTGCAGGCGGGGGTCAAAGCTGAGGAAAAAAGATAGGTTCCTGCCTTCATTGGTCTTACAATAAAGTAAGGGTGGTGGTGAAAAACTTATGGGAGAAATAAGGCTTCATCTAGGGAACTACCTTTGTTGGATCTTGAAGGATGCACAGGAGCTTTTCAGGTAAAATGGATGGTGATGAAGAGAGGACATTCCTGGCAGAGGGAAATCAAGAACAAATGTTTGCAAGTGGCCTGCATGACTAAAGTGGGTAGGAATTTCATGACTTTCCCCAGGCACATGGGTACCCAACAGGCAAGAACCTTGTAGACCAAAGAAAACACTTTGGATCTTATCCAAGCTGGGGACTGGTCCAGGACTGTGTTTACTCAGAGATCAGGACATGTTTTCCTAATTTTTCCACCCAGTGGAAACCCCTTTTTCTAATTCTCACAAATACCCTGTATGTTATTCACCATGTTATGAAAACAATGGGCTCTGCTCCATCCTAACACAGAAGGCAGAACTCCTCATTGGGGTGGGGAAGGGAATTGTCTCCGGTCTTGCCTTGTCTATGGAGCTGATACTACCTTACCCAACTGTCTAGGTGGTTAGTGGCAAGGGGTCTTCTGGCACAGGGGCTGTTGTCTGAATTCTGCAAGAACAAGGCCCAGCAATTAAAGTTGCCTAAGTCCTGGCTCTGGGGTAAAAAAAAATGGATGAAATTGCAAGCTAGTAGATTGTAGATGTCATTGTTGGATATGGGTGAGAGGCAGGCTTTATGGTGTGAGCATATATGCTGACTCAGAAGGTCCAACTCTAGCTGAGATGGGTGGCTCACTTTCACAGATAAAATTGTCCTCTGAATATAGGGATGAGTCTGAGACTTAATTTTAAAAATCCCCTTTATTGAACTCCAATGAAACTATACTAGAATAGCAAATACGTGTTTTTATGACATGTGAAATTGGTTTTAGAGATAATCTTTTTTCTGCTATTTATCCTTTTCTTGTTTGAAAAATCTATAGTCTAAGTGCATTGTAGTTTACACAGCATTCTCATATATGTATTTTTCCTAAGAACTTTTTTTTTAACATTTTATTTTAGCGATGGAGTCTCACTATGTTTCCCAGGCTGGTCTCAAACCCCTGGCTTCAAGCAATCCTCTTTCTTTGGCCTCCCAAGGTGCTGGGATTGCAGGCAAAAACCACCACGCCTGGCCCCAGGAACTTCTTAAAGATCGAGGTGGAGATTCGTATGCCCATTGCATGGGTTAGAAAACTCGAAATCAGAAAGATTCCATAACATACTGTGGCATGTGATTCATTTCATTTCTGTTTTGGCTACCCTGGTTCCTCAGAAGGCATGGGGTCTGTAAGAGGCTGTTAGGGATGTGAACCCTGATCTCGAATCCTAATCCATTATTTTACTGGGTGCCTTGCCCACAGCTTTTGGTGCTGACAGGGCTTCATTCCACTGTTGAGATGCTGTGGCTTCCAGGAACACATTTGTACTTTGGGGAAAGCATGTGACTCCCGTCCCACAAACAATGACTGACTCTGCAGTGGCCCCAGCTCCTGTAGGTGATCACTCGGCAGAGTAGAGGAGTGTGTTGCTGTGATTTAGTTTTATTCTTTGAAGTCATCTGTAGTAACTCAGTATAGCCTGAAAAAGACTCCTTGAGACTTTGTAAATTGGCTTTTTGATTCTTGGGTGTGTAACATTCATCCAAAACATGAATACATGGTCCTCTGGCCATGGAGAGAAAACTCTGAAATAATTATTTCTCTCCTTACTCACATTTTCTCCAGACTTGTTTTTGAGCCCCTACCAATCCATTGCCTTATTTCTTGCCCTCACCCAATGTTCCAGTTCCCCATTTACCTTTCTGAGATGCCATTCCTATAGACCATTGTGCACACACTGGGCTACTGATGGCTCAGCTATATTTGGAAATTCAAGATGAGCTGTTGCCAGTTGAAGTCGATCGTGCAGGACCTGAGACCTGAAGTTGAGTCAATACACATGCTCATTCCATTTTTAACTATCACTTTCATGTGTGTTGTACCTAGGTCCATAGTGAAGAAGTGGAAAGGAAATCACTTCCTTTCTGAGACAGTGTCAAAGGGTGTGGTCTCCTAGGTTCCCGTCAATCCTGAGTGTGTCATTCTGTCTTTTCTCACCTCTGTCCACACATACATTGGTTCTTAGTTGGGTGCAAACTTCTAGAAGCTGTTGCAAAGTTGGGTCACCCTTGGATTCCCATGACCAGTTTGGACCTGAAGTGGAAATGATTGTATTAGAGTTGTGGGACTTTGTATATATAGATCCCTCATGAATGGCTTATTGCCATCCCCTTGGTGATAAGTGAGAGTTCATATGAGATCTGGTTGTTTAAAAGTGTGTGGACCTCCCTCTCTCTCTCTTTTGCTTTTACTCTTGCCGTGTGATATGCCAGCTCCCCCTTAGCCTTCCGCCATGACTGTAAGCTCCCTAAGCTTGTAGCAAAGAAGCTCCAAAGCAAAATTATTTCTCTTCATGTGGGAATCATAAACACCCAGCCTCTCCTTGGCCTGTTCTACTAGAATGGAGATTGCTCCCTGAACCTCTGCTGGATCAAAGCACCTGGATGTTGGGGGTTGAGGCAAGGGGACCAGCCCATGCCTTAGAGTGGTTCCTTGGAAAACAAGATATGGTTCCCAAGATGAGAACCTCTCAGACGTGGCTTATTTAAAGCCAGATGAGTGATTCTGCCTAAAATCTCTGTGGATAGGAGACCACATTCTAGGACTAAGGCCCACTTCCTAGACACCATACTTCACTGGGCCGTAACCACAGCTAATTGCAAATCTAATGCCAAGGGGAAAATATTCAGACCCTCTTTGGAGTTGTCTTTTATTCTGTTTCTTCAAAATGATTGCCCCAGTTATGGGCAAGTTAGGAAGACAGTACAGCTTAGCAGACCCCAGTGTCAGAGTGACTGGGTTGCAGTCCTAGTTTTACCTGTACTAGTTGTGTGACCTTAGGCTTGTGATTTCATCTCTCCATGCCTCAGTTTCCTCTTTCTGCAAAGTGGAGAATATCAACATTACCTACTTGTGATGGGCTGAAAATGGTACCCCAAAGATATCCATGTTAATTCCCTGGAACTTGCAAATGTTAGCTTATTTGGAAAAAGTCTTTGCAGATGTGATTAAGAATCTTGAGATGGAGAGATTATCTTGGATTGTCAGGGTGGGCTGTTAATGGCATCACAGGGGTCCTTACGTGAGGGAGGCAGAGTGAAGGAATGTAAAGATGAAGGTAAAACAGAGAAATTTGAAGATACTAGCCCTGGAGATTGGAGTGATGTGGCCACAAGCCAAGGAATGCCAGCAGCCCCCAGAAATTGAAAGAGGCAAATAAAAGATTTTTCCTGGAGTCTCCAGAAGGAACTAGCCCTGCTGACATTCTGATTTCAGCCCAGTGAAACTGATTTTGGACTTCTGTTGCTTGAGGCAACCATGTTTGTGACAATTTGTTGTAGCTGCTACATGAACCTAATACATACCTTCAGAATCCTATTGATAGGATTTAATAAATTAATGCATGTAAAACATTTTTATATAGTCCTTGTCATTATGTCATGACATAATAAGCCCTCAGTAAATATCAGCTAGTATTATGATTTTATTTTGAAACTAGGAGGAAGATTTGCATGAGACAATAGAAACTGATAGGGGGCAGGGGTGGTCAAAAGAGTAGGTGTCAAGCCCTGACTGGGTCACTGCCACTAGAAAGCTGAGCTTTTATTTTCTCCTTTAACGAAAGAGGCCGAGTAAGCCCTGCCCTGCTCACCTCCCCCAGTTATGAGGATCAAATGAGTTAATGAATGTGAAAGTGCCTTGCACGTCACCCGCGTAAACCGTTAAGCTTTGGTTACAAAGGCTGGGACCAAACTGAAGCAACATCCTAGGGGGCTGGGTGGGAGCTTTGTTCCTTTGGCGCTATGAGGTGAGATCATCTCTTTCAGCTTTTGTTCCTGCCTTTCTGAGCTCATTTGCTGGTTTTTCCCCTAATCCCAGCCCCTTCAGCCCCGAGTGGAGCCTCCGATGACAAAGCTCCAATGGTCCCAGTCGGCCCTGTGAGCCTTCCCTGAGGCATATTTCTTCTTGTTTCTATTTTTAAGAGGCACAAACAAAAATAAAAACAAAAACAAAAACAAACATAGTAATCTTAAAAATGATTTATAATGCCCATGATAGAGATTAGGTCGATGGATTCCAATTTAATTTTCAGAAGGATTTGAGATGTTTCCAGTGTATTTTTTTTTTTTTAGGCCAGAGACCTATGAGATCCAGCATCAGGGTGTCAACTGAGATGAGAACAAGTCAACCCTTGTCAAATGCTTGAAAGTGGTGAATTCATCTGTAAAGATACCCAGCCTCCCAGGAAATGTGCTGTTTTAGCCTGAGTAGGCAAAGGAAAACACAGAGGAGGAAAATGGGCCAGTTCTGCCCAAGATTTGCTTTGATCATTGCTGTTGTTTCCTCTGCTTTGCATTCCCCAAGATGGTCAAAGGTGTGCACTGTGAAGACATCTCATTGCTGGAGGACTTGACAAATTCCTCCAGTGCATTTATTCTGATCTAGTTGCCCACTGGAAAATAAAGGACCTCATTCATCAGCATTTATTCATTTAAAAAATATGTATTGAAAACCCACTGCATTCCAGGCACTGTGTTAGACACTGGGGAAACAATGATGAATGTGATGCATGTGGGTATCTGAAGTTTACAGCCTTGGAGGATGAGTCTTGACCAAACAGCAACAGGGCACTGACAGACTGCAACAGTGCAGAAGGGATGCCTGGTGCTGGGAGCACCTCCAGTGGTCGGGAGATTTCACTGTGGCAGCATGATGGAGCCAGGCCTGAGGGATGGGTAGGGATCGATTGAACCAAAAAGGAGAGGGAAACACACTAGATCCAGAGAGAGCAGCGTGTGTAGAGGCCTAGGGGTGGGAAAAATCGCGATATATGGGAGGAGCCAAGAGGAAGCCAGTGGGCTAGAAAGCAGAGGAAAGAGAAGAGTTTATGATGAGGCCAAAGGAGTCATTCCAGGGACTAAGATGGTGGCCCTGTTGGCCGTCTGAGAGCACACACCACTTGGGGAAGAAACAGTTACCTTCCCAGTCCTGTTTTCCCGTAGATGCATTGTGTGGGCCATCTCTGAGCTTGTCTGATTTCCAAGATGATCTTGACTGAGCATAGAGCCCTTAGAAAGTTGAACCTCAAAGGCAGATGATCTGTAACTTGGGCCTATTCTAGGTCTCCTTTTGGCCTCCTTCAGAAATAGGGGTTTGTCTCTCTTTCCCTTCAGGTCTAGGTTTCTGTTCTGAACCGGGATGTCTTGCTCTGGTGTTGAACTTCTCTCTGTCTCTAGTTTCTTCATTCATTCAACAATGAATATATATATATATATATACACACACACACAATAATATATAATATATAATATATGTATGTAATATATAAACATAAATATGTGTAATTATATATTATAATTATATATTATATAAATTATATATATATATATATATATATGTATGTATATTTTGAGACTGGTCTTGCTCTGTCACCCAGGCTGGAATGCAGTGGCATGATCTCGGCTCACTGCATCATTGCAACCTGTGCCTCCTGGATTCAGGTGACTCTTGTGCCTCAGCCTTCCCACGAGCTGGGATTATAGGCACACACCACCACGACTGTCTAATTTTTGTATTTTTAGTAAAGACAAGGTTTTGCCATGTTGGCCAGGCTGGTCTCGAACTCCTGGGCTCACACAGTCTGCCTGCCTCAGCCTCTCAAAGTGCTGGGATTACAGGTGTGAGCCACCGTGCCTAGGCCTCATGCAACACATACTTATTGAGCACTTATCACATGACAGCACTGGTCTAGGCCTTGGAGATGCTTTGGTGAGGAGAAGAAGGCCTGCTGCCAGCTCTCATGAAGCTCAAGTCCTGTGCTGGAGAGAGGGCTATTGGTCTTTACAATCAGATTATCACTTTCCCCATTCATTGTTCAAACCTCCTGCTATCATCCTCCATGGATCCTCACCTTCCCTTATCACAGGAGCTTGGAGATAGGGCAGACTCTAGACCATTTGCAGTAGACAGCACAGTCCTCTCTGGGTTAGCTCTCAGCTCTGTTGTCTTGCTTCTTGGCTTTCTTGCCACAGCTTAAGGCTGGAGCTGAGATATTACAAGTATCTTGCTGACATCCACCACCCTGCACTGTGACTCCAAGTGCTCAGAAAAGCTACCTTCATTGTTATTTTCCTCTGGGCACATGTCCCTGCTCACCATCGGCAAATCTTCTGAAGGCAGCATCAGTACCGTCCAACAATGGCTTCCCACTCGCCAGCAGTTAATGAACTATTGCTAGGGATGGTTAATGCCCTGTGAAATCAGTCATTAATTGTAGAAACAACTGATTTCAGAGAGTTTGAGGCAATTATTAAAGCCGTTTATGATGGTGTTGGCATAACAAAACACACTGCCATGCTGCCCATTCATCATAAGGAGAAAAGCCAGCACCATGGCTTTGAAGTTTTTCCCTAACAGGGAGTGGTCATGGCTGCGGAGCTCCGTCAGCCCCTGCAGCCACACTCCTAAAACCCTGGCTACATACACTGGAAGTCAGCAATAGTGCTCCTTTGGGGGAAAAAAGGTTCACCTGCTAATGGCCGGCAGAAGGAGGCAGCATCGGATAATGGATGAAGCTGTTCTCTGGCGGTGGCTGTTCCTGATTCTGGTGGTTTCTAAGCAGCAGGCTAGGGAACTGCTGAGAGACAGTGAGGTTTCTCCAGGTGGTCTCTGAGCTGGCATCTGAAAGTGATGATTCTGAGACTTTATCTTTATTTGTTTTGTTTCTGGGGAGAATTTAAAATAAGCCGGTCCCTTTGTTAGTAGTGCATCCAAAACGCATTTATTCATTTGCTCTAAAATGCAAGCTTGCCTCCTGACAGCTCAGAAGTCAGTTACATTAATAGAAACCAATAATAGTCTTTCTCTGAGCTACCTTTATCAAGACAGGGAAGATTTTCAGCTTCCCACCCTCCAGTCTCCCAGCTATTTCTGGAGCCCTAGGGAGTGTTTTGTATAAACACTTGAAGAAATCCTTAAAGGCCCTGATCCTATTGCTCTTGACATCCTCAGCCAAGGTGGTGTGTAGGAATGTCTCTCCTTTAGTCACCCTGCATTCACAGCTACTGGGTCTGCATCAGGCACTGTCACCCATAATATCCAGAGAGAATGGTGACCATGAAAGGTTTATTAACAGGCAGAACTGAAGAACTATTATTGTGATTTTGCAAAAATCATCTAGGCCACAAATGGGTAAGGATGCCAGGTGTATGCTCATAGCAGGCTGGTTTATAATATTGAAATACTGGAATTGCTCTATGTGATCAATCACATAAGGCTAGAAAAGTACATTTTGGTACATCAATATGGTGGAATATTGTGCAGTATTTAATACAGTTATTGAAATCTATGCTTACTGACATAGAAAAAAAATGACCGTGGTATATTATTGAGTGGAAAAAAGCAAGGAATCATATATGCTTGATCCTATTTTACTGAAAATACACGTGTGGGTACATGCATGTGAAAGGGTCTCTGTTGAGACACCCTAATATGTTAACAGTGGTTATTCCGGGAGATTGAAGATGACTTTGAAATTCCTCCTTATACTTTTGAATGCTGTCTGAATTTATTGCAATGAGCATGTCTTGATTTTATAATAAGAAAAAAATCTTTTTGTTAACATTTAATTGAAACCTGTTCTATTTTATTCATTGTGATAAAATGATATTCTGTCAGGATTTCCTAAAGCTCTTTATGTTACTTGCCTTTATTGGCCAAATTAATATGGAATACTATTAGGAAAAAACAATTTTAAATTTAGAAAATTATGAAATCGCCAAAGAATTTTAAAGATTAAGTTGTAGAAGTAGAAAAAAAAATGACTTGCAATTTCTTATCGATTATGTTATAAATCAAAACCAAAGACTGGTTGGGCAACATCAGAGCAAGTAGGTGGGGGCGCGGTGGGGGCATATGCTGACTTGAAGCAAGGATATAGGGGAGGGCTGGGGAGCAACAGCCCTACAAAGGTAATGTTTGTGCAGCGATGGTGGGTGCCGATGATGTATAAGGGTCTGTAGGTCACAGGAGTGATTCTTGGCCACATGAGTCTGAGAATTTGTGATGACTGAATTTTTCACTCTGCCATTAATTTTGAGTTTTCTTAATTTGCCCGTAATTCCAGATTCAGCCATGCCTTTCCCTGGTAATCTTCTGTCCTGTCTCTAAATGTTGGAGGACTTCTGCTTGGCCCCTTTGCTGAGAATTAGCTGTAACAGATACCCAAGAAAATGATCATTTCCGAGTCTCCTTAAATGAGCTCTTTCTCTTGTTAAACATCATTGCATACACCTCTTATTTTAAAATACTGCAGCACAGTTGAGATTTCCCTGAGTGGTGTTTTCAAATTCCAATGCAGGGAGTTGTTTCTTTAACAAAATTTGATGCAAAGTGCAAAACCTGAAACTTGAAATAAAGACCGTGAATCAAGTTTTTATCTAACTTATGAAGCAGCTGGAGGAAGACAGCAGAAATTATTTAAAACACATTGTACAAAATTAAATATGTTAGAAGAATTACCTTTGGGGATGAATATAAACAACAACAAATATACAGTACACCTAAAATTATCTTTGTCATCATGGCCTGAGGAGAATTCTGGGAAAACAAAAACAAAAACAAACAAAACAAAACAAAAAAGCTACAACACAGTAAACACTAATATCATCCTATTAATGACTGAGCAAAAAGAGTATTCCACAAATTATATTTTTTTCTATTAAAGAAAAAGCCTGTATATTGTCAGAAGTTTTCTAGCTTTGAGCAGACAGGTTATGAATAGAATAATAAAGTGAAATCAATGCAAGACATTTCCTAGTGGGTAGTAGAGGTATTCCTAATAAGAATGTTGCAAGACCCAGGTCAAAAACCAAAACGAAACCAAACCAAACCGGTTAACTCCCAAATTATCCCTTTAGAGTGTATCTCTTTACCAATGGTGTAGAGAATTTGTTCTTTATTATCTGCCCTAGTGCAGTTTTAAAATAAGTTCCTTCATTGTTTCATGTATCTATATTTTGTTTCTCCAGCAAGATTTCAGCCTGTTCAGGGGAGAGGCCATTTACTCTGCTTCTCTTGTATTTCCAACCACTTTTGTTGTCAGGAGAGCTGAAGGCATGGCAGGTGCTTCCCAATTATTGATTCACTGGGCAAGAAGGAGTCTGAATCAGAAAAGAATAGCTTTAGCATGGCTTGCTAATTCCAGTTGGTTGACTATAGCTTCTTAAAGCCTCTAGTTAAGAAAGGTTCTGAAGATGAGTTTGGGCTGAACAGAAAGAAGATTGTGGTTGATGGATAATGTCTCCCAAGGGCACAAGAGTGGTGATACTGATGCTGTGTGCAGTCCCTGTCCCTGAGTCAACCAGCCCTGGAGCCACCACACTTCTGGACTCTGTTATATTAGGTAGACACATCTCATGATTTAATACACTATTAATACGTTTTTCTTACTTGTAGTTAAAAGCTTCCTATATCATAGAATCTCCTAGTCACCAGTCCCAAAACTTCAACAGAAGTTTGACTCAGAAATTATAATTTTATTTCTACAAATAAATTAGAATATTTTAACGAAAAGCCACATACAATATATGATTAGAAAAAATTCTCAAATATTAATTTTTTTTTTTTTGAGACGGAGTTTTGCTCTTGTTGCCCAGGCTAGAGTGCAATGGTGTGATCTCGGCTCACCACAACCTCCGCCTCCCAGGTTCAAGTGATTCTCCTGCCTCAGCCTCCCAAGTAGCTGGGATTACAGGCATGCACCACCACGCCTAGCTAATTTTTTATTTTTAGTAGAGACAAGGTTTCTCCATGTTGGTCAGGCTGGTCTCGAATTCCTGACCTGAGGTGATACGCCTGCCTCGGCATCCCAAAGTGCTGGGATTACAGGCATGAGGCACCATGCCCGGCCTCAAATATTAATTCTTGTTCTTACTAGTTGAGTAACCCCTGCCTAAGTTTCCTTAAAACTCTGCAAACCTCTGTTTTCTAATTTGTAACAATGGAACAAGATATGTCTCACAGAATGATGGTAAAATTTAAATAAGATACCTCAAGCACACAGGCACTGAACACAGCTGGCATGCAGGTGACTCATAGTAGCTGTGTCGCCCACACCAGGCTTCTTTCCTTCTCCTGACCTCGCTAAGGAGGTCCAACCTCGATCACTTGGTAAAAACATTCACTGTGAGGCCGGGCGTGGTAGCTCACGCCTGTAATCCCAGAACTTTGGGAGGCTGAGGCAGGTGTATCACTTGAGGTTAGGAGTTCGAGACCAGCCTGGCCGAAGTGGTGAAACCCCGTCTCTACTAAAAATATAAAAATTAGCTGGGCGTGGTGTTGTGTGCCTGTAATCCCAGCTACTCAGGAGGCTGAGGCAGGAGAATCGCTTGAATCCCAGAGGTGGAGGTTGCAGTGAGCTGAGGTCGCGCCACTGCACTCCAGCCTGGGCGACAGAGTGAGACTCCATCTCAAAAACAAACAAACAAACAAACTTCACTGTGAAGTCCTGGAATGAGAGAGTACACAGTCTTTCCTTTTGGACTGATGGATTTCTTTGCAAAATTGCCTGGTGATTCTGGCATCATATCCCTCTAGGACTGGTGTAGCTAAAAGGCAATCTAATCAGGAAAATAAATTCAATGCAAACTAATATACAATTTGGAAACCTGAGAGTAGATGCATTTTACACTTTGGAAGATTTTTGTCTTATTTTATTACAGTACTGTATCTTCTGATAAATTAAAGGGAGATGAGTTGTTTCTGAGCCAAAGAAACCCTTACAGTGAAATTAAAATTTAAATCCTTTCTGTGTTTGCTCTGTCAGACCGATGGGGCTTTGTCAGAAGGGACTTGAGCTATGTGACTCTGTTTTATATTTTTATTTTTTTCTTTGTCTAAGAGGCCCTTATTGACTTTTTCTGTAATTTTGTTAGTCTGTTGTTAGGATGTTGTTCTCTAATGTAGAGGAAAAGGTGGAAGCTGTAGGGAGAATGATTTAAACTTCAAGAATTGATTCAACACAAGTAGAATTTCATAATAACTAAGAGAATGGGTTTGAAATGCAGCTAGATTTGGGTGTTAATCCTGTCCTCGCCACTTAACAGCTGATTTACCTTGGGCAAATTCTCTATGTCTTTAAGCCTCTGTTTCCACATCTGGAAAATGGAGATGATGCTTGTAATGTTTAACCATTGCTTTGTAAAAACCTCCCTAAATGTAGTGGCTTAAAACAAAACTCACTTAAAAAAAATTCTCAAATATCCGTGTGTCAGATGAACTAGTCTGCTCTTAGTCAGGAGACTGCAGATCTTTGCTGGACTCCCCTACGTGACTGCAGGCTGCTGGGAGGCAGCTACTCTACATGCCCCTTATCCTCTTGGAGCAGCGGGCTAGCTGAAGCATGTCCCTCTCATGGTGACGGCAGAGGGAAAAGAGCATGAGCCCAATCAACCAAGCGTTCATCAAGCCCTTTTTCAATCCTGCTAACATTTCATTGGCCAAAGTAAGCTACATGGACAACCCCACAGTCAAGGGGCAAGGATTATGCTTCTCCCATAGGGCTGGTTACTGGGGTGGTAAACAATCACCAACCTGTTACCTGGTAAATACCAGGCTCATGAGGTTGTTGTTAGGATTGAATGAAATAACAAACTAAAGTATTTTGCAGAGTTAATGGAGCTTCCTGAGTGCTAAAACAGGACAGCTATTAATTCTACCTACTATTGCTACCATAACAAGGTATATTGCATGCTCCTAGTTAGTACAAGTAATGACTTCAGGTGAAAAGGACATTATCAAAGCATACAAACAATTGGTAAATATGGTGGTTTAAAATATGTCTACAAAATTTTTGATCCTTGTCCATTCAGAAAGTGGGGTCTAATTTCTTCCTTTTGAGTGAGGATTAGATTTAGTGACTCTTTACAGGAAACAATAGAAAAAAACAGTGGAAATGCAATGCCAGAGACTAGGTCCATGTAACCAAGGTCCAGTTTTGGTCAATGGAACATGAGGCACATTTTTCTGGGAGGGTATCTGGGAAACCTTTGGCTTTCCTAATAAAACATAAAAAGATGAGGTTGGTGTTACCCCTGTACCACTTCTTGCCTTTGAGGTAGACATTGTTTACAGCGACAGGTGTCATTTTGTGACCAGAAGGGTAGGGTCAAGAGAATTACAGAGGTGCCTGTGTTGACATGATTACATAAAGCCAACGTTACCTACTTCCAGCTTTATTTTTACGTGAAAAAATTAGTTGGGGTTGGCCAGATTTTCTGTTGTTTACACCTAAAAACATTCCAAACAAATGTAGAACCTGAGTGGAATAGGCTGAATAATGGCCCTCAAAGATGTTTATTATCTTCACATCCAGAACCTGTGAATGTTACCTTCTATGGTAAGAGGGACTTTGCAGCCATGATTAAATTAAGGATCTTGATATGGAGAGATTATCTCAAGTTAACTGGGTGGCCTCTAAATGTAGCCAAAAATGCCTTTATAGATGAAGGGAGAGGGAAATTTGTCCATAGATGAGGAGAAGGCAAAGGGCTGGTGGAAGTAGAGATTGGAGTAACACAGCCACAGCCAGGGAAGGCAGGTGGCCACCAAACATCAGAAAAAGTGAGGAAAGGATTCTTCACCAGAGCCTCCAGAAGGAACCAGCCCTGCCCACACCTCGGTGCTTCACCAGACTGAGGCGGGGAACACAGAGATGATCTGGGTGAGGTCAGGGAAGGCTTTCCTGAGGGAGACATAAAAAGAGTGAACTGGTGATAGCTTGACAAAGAGTAAGGAGGCAAAGAACGAAGCACATTATCTGATGCTTCTTATGGGCCAATCACTACATATGCCATTCAATGAATTCTCACAGTTATCTTGTGAAGAAGATGCCATTGTTATTTCCATTTTGCACATGAGGAGAATGAGGTGGCTTCTCCCCCTCTTCCTGGTCTCCTCCTTCCCTCCTCTTTTCTCCTTCCTCATCCTCTTTCTGTCCCTCCTCCTCCCCTCTCTCTCTCCCTCCTCTCCTCTCTCTCCCTACTTCTCTTCCTTGTCTTTCTCCTTCCTCTGTCCCTCCTTCTCCTCCTCCTTCTCTCCCTTCTTCTCCTTCTCCCCCTCCATCTGTCCTTCTCTTCCCCTCATCACTTTTCCCCTGGCCCCTACCCTTCCCCTCCTCTTTCTCCTCCTCCTCTTCTTTCTTCCTCCTCCTCCTCTTCCTTCTTCCTCCTCATTTTCTCCTTTTCCTCTTCCTTCCTCCTCCTCCTCCTTCTCTTCCTCTTCCTCTTGATCTCCTTGTGGCAAATAGAGAGAAAAAACATGTGCCATTAACCTCTATCCACCTGACGCTGTGTAGGCACCTGATGCATGCTGACTTACACGTCATACGGGAGTCTGCAATGAGCTCATGTAAAAGTTTGTGCTCATGCACACACACACCCTCACCCCCACATACACACACATGATTTCAGGACTTGGACACTTTTTGCTTCTGACATAAATGACCACAGTCTTGTCAAATGCTTCAGGAGAGAAAAACATTTCTCTTTCGTGCCATCATTTGCTCAAAGGCAGATGCAGAGTGTTCGTTCGAATGCTTCCTCTCCCCTGATGATCTTGTGCAAAGCTCTCCATTTGGGAATAGTTGCAAGTTTCCTTGTCATTCTCCGGCTCTGGTTTATAGAAAAATGGATCATTTGTTGAGGCAAACTTCAAAGCCAGAGAGTGCCCTCAGTTAGAAATGGTTCCGTCTTTTAATTCAGGCATAATCCTATTAGAGACACAGCTCTCAGGGCTGAGGAATCCTTGTAGGATTCTTTGATCAAGGGAGCACTTTTGAGTTCAGTGGCTTCAGCTGTCCAAGCCCTAAAAATAACAGTGGGCCCATTTACTATCTGGAATTGTCGATTTCTGTCATTTACAGTGAAGGAAGCATATACCTGTACCTGTGTTTGAGTTCAGGGGAAAAAGAGGGAACAGGAATAGGGTTGTGGTGTATCTCCAACATATGGCAATGCGACCCTTGCTCGTATGCCAATAACTTTAGGTGGCGTTAAATTACATCTGAAAGCATTTGACACCCTGTTCATTCATTAGCCATCTTAGAACTATCTTTCTGATTCTATGAGATGAAAGTTTCATTTTGGTATTTTATGCTTCTCAAACTCTTGTAAACTTTTCTGTTTAACAGAGAGATTTAGTCAGTCTTTACCTAAGACTGAAAAGCCGTCTGCTCTGCCAGCCTCGCCTTCCTCACTCCCCTATCCCTACTCATTCCCACTTCTCTCTCCTTGTCTCCCTCAATCTTTTGCTGCCACCACTCCTTGCTGTTTGTTACACACACAGCACATTCCCACCTCAGAAACTCAGCATACTTCATCCCCTAGGTCCTGGAGTGTTCTTCCCACAGAAATCCATGCGCTTCAATCTCTCAGCTCCCTCTAATCTTTAATCAAACACGGCCTTTTCTGTGAGGGTGGCTCTGTCCACCCTATTTAAGACAGTGCCACCCCTTTCCCCCCATCTCCAACATTCTCTCTCTTCTTACTCTGCTTTATTTTGGAGCACTTTTTACCATCCAAAATATTACACAGTTATTCGTTTATTGGATGTCTCCTCTAGGAGTTTATAAGCTTCATAAATTCAAGGGGTTTTGTCAGGTTGGCTCACTGCCATATTCCCAGAACTTGAAGAACAGTGCCTGGCAAACAGAAGATGCACATGAAAAATTTTGTTGAATGGATGCATGAGAGAGTTGGTTTTTGACTTTGGCAAGTGGGAGCATTAAGTTAGAGTTTAGTAACACTGCTGTGTTCCATTGTGGCTATTGTTACCTGTCCCTTTTATTTTAGGCAAGCGACATTAACATCTGAGATTCCCGGCCTGAGATTCCTTTAAAAGTCCACATTTTGATTCCCCAACAATCTGTTGAAGCTGTGTTGTTCATGGCATTATTTAACATGCTTTTGGGATTGTTCACAGTCCAGATGAAATATGGATTTCATTGTGTTTTGAAATGTATATTTTGAGGCCTTATATCCATATAGGCTTTTCATTTTTTAAAATGAGTTTTTCATGTACAGTCCACATTTTTCATGATCTGGGGGATAAAATTTGTTGACAAGAGAGCTGTGTGCTTTTTATTTCTGACTTGCCTGAAATGTAACCAACAGATTTACCAATAAAATTTAGATTTGAACTGTACCCCAAGCACCATCTTGGAAGTTGGAGTTCAACAATGGGCTTGACTAAGATCTGGCCTGTGAGGCTTGGGCAGACACTCAGAGAATTGATTTTGAAGAAACAACAGTGTCAAAAAAATGGAGAATGGTGGAAAAATCCTTAGGAAGGCAAGCAATCTGAGGCCTGAGTTTCAGAATGGTTTGGAGGAAGAAGGCTGTAATTCTAATTAAACAAATTCTCAGATGCATCTGAACTGTCCACACCCAACTAGGTGCAGCTACCCAATTAATTCATTATGCAACACATTTATTGAGCTGCTACTATGTGCCAGGTATGTGCTGAGTGCCAAGCTCCCAGTGATGGAGAAACAGATAAGGTTCCTACCTTCTTAGAGCTTAACTTTTGGAGGGTCAGATGACAAACACATCAACATACACAAGTAATCATTTGTAACGGCTAATTACAAACTGGGATGAGATGGTTGAAGGAAAAGTTCGGAAGAGTCAGTAGAGATTAACAACATGGGTGAAGAACTGCGACTCAGCTTGGTGGTGAGGACATCCAAGAGGCAAGCTCAAAGTCCCACCAGGCCACATTGTCCCTTCCCCTTCCCCCAGCAGCCCTTCATGTCTCTCTTCCACCAGCAGTTCCTTCCTATCCATTACTCATTTTCTTCTTCTAAGCCAGAGGTTTCCCAGCTTCTTTTTTCTTTCTTTCTTTCTTTTTTTTTTTTTGTGAGAGAGAGTCTCACTGTGTTGCCCAGGTTGGAGTGCAGTGGCGTGATCTTGGCTCACTGCAACCTCCGCCTCCCAAGTTCAAGCGATTCTCCTGCCTCAGCCTCCTGAGTAGCTGGGATTACAGGTGTGCACCACCATGTCCAGCTAATTTTTGTATTTTTAGTAGAGATGGGGTTCTACCGTGTGGTCAGGCTGTTCTGGATCTCCTGACCTCATGATCCACCTGCCTCGGCCTCCAAAAATGCTGGGATTGCAGGCGTGAGCCACCGTGCTTGGCCTCTCAGCCTCTTTAACATCCAGGGGAGTTTCTGAGATACTCCCATTTTCCCCAACAAATAACTCCCTAGAGCCATCTGGCTCCAGTGCCAGCTTCTGCATCCCCTCTGTCTTTATTTCCTGTCATTGTTCCGGGCCCTGCCACACTGGACCACACTCATTGGCTCACCTGTCATTTTTCTGGGCCTTGCCACACTGGACCACACTCATTGGCTCACCTGCCTATCTACTGTACCTGCCTGAAAGCCCCTTGAGGGCATTATTTCTACATTCTCAGCATGTAGCACAGGGCCGCTGCTTATGAAAAACTAAGTGATAGTAGCTAGGATGTATAGGTGCATACTCCGTGCCTGACGGTGTTCTGATACTTACGCACCTTGTTAAATCCACCCAAATTCTCCAGGAGTTAGTGTTACTACCCCTACTTTATGGAGCAGAAAACTGAGAACAAAGGGATGAAGCGATAGAAATGTGTAACTGGAAGTGGCAGAATCAGGCAGCGCAATCCCAGACTCCAGACTGTCAACCACCATGCCCTCAATGAACGAATTAATGAGCGAGTGAATGAATACTTTTTATGTTATCCCATTTTATTTTTAAATATTAATGGATATTATGATGGAGAGGCCCTGAAAATGATAGAAAGCTTTGCACTCTACTCATTCAAACCCTGTTTTCCAGTCATCCTTGGTTTTTGAAGATTTCATTACAAATTCCCTGAGATGGTCACAGGGCAAGTTTTTGCACGTGGGAATTCCTAGTAAATAATCCCTCCCTTTCTACTTCCAGCCCCAATGCAACTGTTCTCATCAGGCATGTTGTTAAATTGCTGGTATCCACAGTTGGTTCTACCATGAGATTGAGAAGGTATGGGAACTAGTCACAGTTTACCAAACCAATGCAGAGAGGCATCTCTGTGGGCCTTTCCTGCAGTCCTAAAGTGCCCGAAATAGCCTTCTCTTTCCCCTCGTGCCATGTAAATAAGATAAAATTATCATTTAGTCAATACCTCCTGCGTGCCAGGTACTGCACAGGTGATGTCCCTTACCTCAAGGAGCACCTTCCCCAGAAGAGTGGATGCTCCACCCCTAGACAGCTCCTCACCTATTGGTTTTCACACTTGGCTCCTATTGTGATCATTTGGAGAACCTGGTGTTCAGACGGAGACCCAGTTACTGTTCTCTTTCGAAGACCCTGGGCCTCTGTTCTTTAGTAGCTCCCCAGGTGGTTCTGCCACACATTTAAGTTTGAGACCTTCTGCACTGCATAGATTAGGGCACATCAGAATCACCTGGTGGTGCCTTGCACTGCTGAGCGTCTGGTGTCCAGGTGATCTGGGTTCAGAATCCCCATATCTGCTGAGTGCCCTGGTCATAGGAAGATGGTAAGCTGGCTGCTCGCCCTTCCTTCCCAGATCTTCAGGTGCCTGTGGGAAGACCTGGAGGCACCCAAAATCCAGGGAACAAAAACCTTGGAACAGAGGCTTTTGTGCAGGTAGGAGGCCTTTGCTTTTCATTTTGATTACAGTGTGTTTTTGTTCTGGGTGGCTTGGGGTTTGGTTTGTTGTTTAAAACCCAGGTTAATATAGCTCGCTAAGACCTTTAAAACCCAACACAGGATTTCTTTTCTGTGCCTGTTGTTGTAGGGTCGGAGATAGCATGAGTGGAGCCTGTTTCAGTGTTAAATTTTCCTAAGCTTATTCACATCCAGCCTCTCCTCTAAGTTCAGCAAGATTGGGGCAGCTCTTTTTACAAAAGAGGAGATTGAGGCACAAGAGAGATGAGGTGAAGCGGCCTGGTCGGGGATGCAAGGTTATGTGAGCTATGTGGCTGGGGCAATAGCCAATGCTGTCTGACTCCCAGATCGTCTGAAAAAGAGCAGCAGGTGTGGCTTGGACAAAATCTCCTAAAACTATACCTAACAAGGCACTCACAGACTGCCTGCTGCTTCTACAAGAAACCACGGCGACACTAGTTAGACTTAGGGTTCTGGTGATAAATTGGCATTAATGAAATCTCAATATCTACCCATAAAGAGAAAAACAAAAAAATCTATAACAGGCCCTGATGGGCCATTAGATCTTAATAGGAATAATACAAATTCCTGGCAGAGCACATTACTGAACTAGGTGAGCCTGGCCCGGCCCATCCTGATCTGTAGCATCTCCATATTCTTACTGTACCTGTATATGTTGGATTAAGGTAACAGTAGCAAAGATCAGGGAGGCAAGATTATAATTGAATGATAGAGCACTTTCACTTAAGGACTGAAGGAATGAACTTGGACAAATTATTGAAACACTCTGAGCCTCTGTTTCTAATCTGAAAAATGGAAACAACCATTCTCGCGTCAGGTTGCTGGAAAGAGGTCATGACATCTCACTGTTTTCACTTGAATTCCCCGGATTTCTGGGTGGATTAGATACCTGCTAAATGTAGACAGATATCTGTAGTTCTTTTGTACACTCCCTGTTTACCTGCTTAGTCCAGTCTTCTTTTGAGTTGTTGACCTATGTTTATTTTATTTTATTTTATTTTTTGAGATGGAGTTTTGCTCTGTCGTCCAGGCTGGAGTGCAGTGGCGTGGTCTCGGCTCACTGCAACCTCTGTCTCCCAGGTTCAAGTGATTCACATGCCTCAGCCCCCACCGAGTAGCTGTGATTACAGACGTGCGCCACCATGGCTGGCTAATTTTGGATTTCTAGTAGAAATGGGGTCTTGCCATGTAGCCAGGCTAGTCTCAAAATCCTGACCTCAAGTGATATGCCTGCCTCAGCCTCCCAAAGTGCTGGGATTACAGGCATGAGCCACTGCACCCGGCCTGACCTGCGTTTTAACAATATCGCTCTTTTTGTGACAGATACACATGTATTGTCTTCCTATCTCTTTTTTTTAGACAATTATATTGAGGTATAATTAACTTACCATAAAATTCAACCATTTTAAATATACAATTCAGGGATTTTTTTGGGTGAATTTATGGAGTTCTGCATCCATCGTCACAATACAGTTCTGGACCTTTTCCACCAACCCAGAAATTTCCCTTGTGCCCATTTTCAGTGTATCCATGCTCCCACCCCTAGCCCTAGGCAGCCACTTATCTGTTTCTGTCTCAATCAGTTTGCCTTCTTTGGGCATTTCATATGAAATAGAATCAGACCATATGTAATCTTTTCTGTCTGGCTTCTTCCACTTACCATCATGGGTCTTAGGTTTGTCTGTGTTGTAGCATTATTTAATATCAGGACTGCAGTTCTTTTTACTGTTTAATAGTATTCCAGTGTTGGGATGTACCACGTTGTGTTCTCTCCGGTCCTCACTGTGCATGTGGGCAGACTCAGCCAATAGTATTCCAGTGTTGGGATGTACCACGTTGTGTTCTCTCCGGTCCTCACTGTGCATGTGGGCAGACTCAGCCAGGAATACACTGCCCCCAAAACATGATTGTAACCTCAGACATGTAGAACCAAGGGGCCCTCCTCACCTCCATGATCTTTGTCTCTATTGATAACGCCACCGGGCTTGGGCATTGCTCCTTTAACTGTGGCAGAGAAGCTGCTGGTCTACCCCCCACTGGGCAGAGCCTGTGACAGTATTAACTGTTAGAGGGGCAATAATCTAGTGATGGTGGTGGTGGTGTTGCTGGTGACGGTGACGGTGACGGTGACGGTGACGGTGGTGGTGATAGTAGTAGTGCTGCTGCTGGTAGTGATGGTGGTGGGGTGAGCATGGTGGATTTTGCAGTCCTCCTCCTCTTACCTAAAGTCCAGCAGTTTCACAGGTACACATACTTCTCAGACAGCTGTATACCTTTGGTGATTTCCAGAGCACGGAAATGGTTGGCTTTGTTAATTTTGTCCGGCTGTAGAGTTGCTCTTGGGGAAATTATTTGTTCATCTGCTTGTTCAGCCATAGCTGGAAGGCTCATCCTGCCTCACGATCTTTTGATTGCCTTTTAACTTAGCTAGGGGTTCTATTGCCATATAATTTTGATTTTGACTTGTGTGTCATTATCTCTGTTTTAGCATTTATTTTTGTCTTATTCAGAAAGCCTATCTTAAGATCATTAACATATTCTCTGATGCTTTCCTCTAATATTTTACAGCTTTGTGGCTTATATTTAGAGACTCCTGAATCATGTGCAGTTGCTTCTTGGAAGGGTCGTACACATTTATAATTCCACCAAAAAAGTATACAAATTCTTTTAACCATACTTAGCCAGTGTTGAAATTTGCATATATTTCCTCACCATTGAAATAGATTATTTTATTATTAGTTGTTTCTGTAGTTTTATGTATTCATGTTATTTGCCAAATACTTCTTTTCATAAGTCTTGCTATGTGGCAGATGCTGAGCCCTCTTTTCTCACATTTGCTACAAATATTTCACCATGCTGTCTATTAATTAAGTAACTATATTTTATTGTAATAGCATTACAAAATAATTTTAGAGAAACAGGAAAATAAAAGCAAAATAAATTTTAAAGTACAGTTTTTTATTTACATCTTAGTATTTGTGTTTTTCAGTTGGTGTACACATTCACACAAAAAGATCTGACAAATAGTGTTTTTTTTCCCGAATATTATGTAATAAACCTATCAGTTAATCCCCAACATAATTTTAATGATCAAAAAGTATTCTATTACATGGATGTATTGTACTTTGCTTAATTCACTTCCTTCAGTTGATCCTTAGGTTCTTTGCAGTGTTTTACTGTTATATATGACATTCTAAAAAACTTGTAGCTAAATTGTTACACATGGCTGATTTTTTCCTAGTATGCTTTGCCAGAGAACATACTGATTGCTGAAGCTTTTGATACAGGTTGACAAACTGGCATCCAGAAAACTTAATACAAACTACATTCTTACTAGTTGTATATAAGAGTAACTCTACTCCTAGGACAGCAAGTATTACCATTTTAAGAAAATGGGCCGGGTGCAGTGGCTCACGCATCCCAGCACTTTTGGAGGCCAAGGCGGGTGGATCACGAGGTTAGGAGATTGAGACCATCTTGGCTAACACGGTGAAACCCCGTCTCTACTGAAAATACAAAAAATTAGCCGGGCGCGGTGGCAGGCGCCTGTAATCCCAGTTACTCAGGAGGCTGAGGCAGGAGAATGGTGTGAACCCGGGAGGCGGAGCTTGCAGTGAGCCGAGATCGCGCCACTGCAGTCTGGCCTGGGCGAAAGAGCTAGAGTCCATCTCAAAAAAAAAAAAAAAAAAAAAAAAAAAAAGTCTGCAAATTTGGAAGGCAAAACTGCATCTTTTCAGACAAGATGGGGTACATTCAAGGTGGTATGGCTGTAGACTAAAACTGCATCCTTTCAATATGTTTAGCATACCTTCATAAATGTATATATTTTTATAAAAAGTGTGTAAATATATGTATATGTGTGTGCATATATACACTTCTACATGTGTGTATGCACATATATGCATTTTTTAAAGTGGCCGTTTGGTTGCTAATGAGGTTGGACATTTTTTCAGATTAAGCAATTACGTTTCTGCTTTCATGAATTGCCTCATGTCAATTTTTTTTTTTTTTTTTTGACAGAGCTTCACTGTGTCACTAGGATGCATTGCAGTGGCGTGATCTCGGCTCACTGCAGTCTCTGTCTCCCAGGTTCAAGTGATTCCCCTGCCTCAGCCTCCTGAGTAACTGGGATTACAGGTGCCCACCACCACCCTAGGCTAATTTTTTATATTAGTAGAGATGGGGTTTCACCATGTTGGCCAGGATGGTCTCAATGTCCTGACCTCGTGATGCCCCTGCCTTGGCCTCCCAAAGTACTGGGATTACAGGCGTGAGCCACCACGACTGGCTTTTTAAATTAAGAGTATTGATCCTTTTATTACTTACTTACGAGTTCTTTATATAATTTTTACTTTACAGATAGGAGACCACAATGTTTTATAGTGTACTTTTCTGAATTTAGACTATGTCATCAATATAATTCCATACCAATAATATAATTTTTATATCACTATCAAGAAGATGGTACCATTTTACTTCCTCCCATTATCCTCTCCCTAACCATGTTAGATTGATTGCAAAAATCAGTGGAAAAAGTTCTCATTTCTTTCCCCTTCCTTGTGTCTGTGCGCTTTGCAATATGGCTTTGCAGCTCCTCCTGTAGGTGATGGAGTCTGGTGTCTGTGCCAGCTCCGACACTTGATTTGCCAATGGCATAAGGTGGAGTGACAGTGGCCGCGTCAGGGTTTGTGTGCTTCTGCTGTCTCTTGGAAACCTGCAGCCATCCTGTAAGCAAGCATGGGTGACCCTGCAGGTTGCTGAGAGACATTTGGCCCTATCACCCAATGGCCTTAGACGATGACAAGCCAGCCGCCAGACTGGTAAGTGAGGTTGTTCATGACTACCAGGCCCAGATGAACTGCCCGCCAACCACAGATGCATGAGCCAGTGTGGCCGAGGAGATCAGTTCCGGCAGCCCAGATTGACAGAGCCATTCAGGCGTCCTATGGGGTCATCAGTCACAATACACCATGGTCGATTTAAGCCACTAAGTTTTGGATTGTTGTGTAGTAATGGATATATAAATATTATATTATATATATGTTATATATATTTATATATATTTTAAGAAGGTAATGTAGTGCAGAATCTGGATTTTATTTTTACTCTGTATAGGACTGTGATTTTGTATGTGTTACATCTTTCCATGGTTATCTTCATATTATTGTATTTGTACTTTATCATCATGGAGAAGTTTTTACTATTTACCACCAATCATTTTACACACTGTGCTAATGTTCGAGTTCTTTGTTTTATCTCTTGTCCATGTATTCTGCATGTTGAGGGAAAAAAGTCATGACACAGTGCTATTTAAAAATGTGTTCCTTGTAGTCACCACTGAGTTTCGCTTGAATCATAATTTGTACAAAGTGGAGGAGAGGTGTTTTCTGTTGGTTTGTTTTATTTCATAACTTGATGAGATAGGAACTGTTTTTATGTTGGTTAATTATAACTTCAGTACATTCATGGTTAGGTTTGAGTAAATTAAAATTGTTTCCTAAAACAAAAGTGCAATGAGCAAATAAAAATTCCCCTTTATAAAAAAGTTATTACTGTCTCAATTTTAAAATTATATAACAATTAAACAATGTAGAATCTGACATTAGAGCTTCAAATAAACTAGTCAGAATTCAAATTTTGAAAGATTAAAAACATAGAAAGAGCTTTTACTACACTGGCTCATATTTGTATTCTTAGTAGGTTTTAAAGCATCTGAGTATTCCCTATCTTATACCCTTATTTACATTATATATGCAGTATAAATAATTTATATGTGATAACATTTTGCCCAGGGCATTATATTCTCACAGCTTTGTATCAATAATCAAAATCTGAGAATCTCTCAAAAGTTAACTATGAGATTGTTTTAAATCTGATTTTAATCAAAGCAGAATTAACAATGTAGAGATTTTGGTTTTCCATTTTACTAATATTTTAGTAATTTTCTCCCCTAAAATCTAAAATGCTTGTTATAATTTATATGTCACTACGTATCTATCACTGAATCATTTTCAGATATGCCTGTCTATTTGGCTGGGTATAACATTCACAGGGTAGCCATTTTTTTCCTCCTTTAAAACACCATTAACATGGACGTTACTCAGTTTTCTTCTGGGATGTGTTGTTGGAAGGCCAGCATGCATTCTCTTCTTTTATAGGTAATATGAATTTTCTGCCTGAGTACTCTTAGTAGTCTTTTATTTTTGAATTTAAAAAAAAAACAGCAATAAAAGAGGTTATGTCTAGGTATTACTTCTTGTGTTAATGTTGCTTGCCTTTTCACTTTCAGAATAAATTATTCAGCTTCATTGTAGCTCCCATTTTACTTTTGTTTCATTTGTTTTGGTTTCCTGCAACACCAGTTATCCATATGTTGGAGCTGGAACTTTGCCATGTGTTTCTTACCTATTAACTTCCCTCTCAACATTTGTTTTTTTTTTTTACTTGGTGTTCTAGGAAAAGCATATTGAGATTGTTGTCCACATTTTTTGGTTTTATGTCAATTTTAGTCCACCATTTTAAATGCTGTTTTATCTTTAATTCACTTATGGGGTTGTGCTTTGTTTCATTTTTCCTTACCTATGTTGGGAACCACTATAAGTTTCTAGGTTGTCTTATCTACATGTCTTATTTGAGTTCCCCATCCTAGAAGCAGACCCAACCAAGGGCCCAGCACCTGTACAGGGGAGGGCAGGCAGCCAGTAAGAGGTGAGGTAGTAAGCCAAGTGCTGTAGTGGGCAGCTCAAGCTAAATCCTGAATGGAAACTCAGGGAAGTGGTGTAAACAAAAGCTCCAAATTTTCCCACTCAAGGTGTGAGGAGTTTGGGACATTTATATCCTATACCTGCCAATCACTGGTTAAGGGTTGTCTGCAGGGAGAAGTTGACCATGACCATGGGCAAATGGAGTTCTGGCAACCTAGAGGCAGATCCACAAAAACCATGGAGATTGTTTCCCTCATAAATCAGGTTGGTGTGCCGTGCCCATAAATTGTAAGAAGGGACTATGGGAATAATGTAAGTTTTGGCTACATAAGATAAAAAGAAAATCAACAAAACTGGATGCCTCCCTGAAAAAGCTATGATAACCAGGATGAACAGTGATTGAGGAACAGAGGTTTTGCACTATGAAGCTTTGATTTAAATTCGGTTTATTTCTACCACTTCTTGTGTCTGTTTAACATTTCTAAGACTTCTATTTTCCTAAGTGTAAATGAGTTATAATAGTAGGGTAGATTTGAGAATCAAATATGATAACGCTTAGTATCCAGTAATGGCTCTCATATATAAGCTTTTAAAAATATTCAGCTATGAATTTACCTTTGAGTGCCTCACTGGTCATATCCCTTAGTTTTATGATGTAGTGGCTTTTGTAATGTTCTAAATAATGTGGTGTGTTTGTATCCTGTCTCACTTCGAGTCAATTTAAATAAAGCTGTCTAGCTGGCAGATCCCTAAAAAAGAAAAAGTATCTGAAAAAACCGGATCTTGTGCTTGTTTTGTGTCCTGGTATTTAAAAGTGCTTTTCTGTTGAATATAAATCTTTCTATACTCCTAAGTAACCCCATGAGCTTCCATAGACAAAGAAAATTATGCTCAGAGAGGTTAAACAATTTCCCCAGGATCACACAGGAGGCAGTAACAGCGTCAGAACTAGGGCCCAGATCCCTCCAAGTACTGCATCAGTGCTTTACCACAGTCTCATGCTCCCTTCATGTTTTAGACAGAATAATAGCCCCACAGGTGTTCATGTCCTAATCCTCTGAACCAGTGAATATGTTGCCTTATATGGCAAAAAGGGACTTTGCAGATGGGATCAGGGATCTTGATATGGGGACATTATCCCGCATTATCTGAGATATAATCAAGAGGGTCTTTATAAGAGGGAGGCAGGAGGGTCAGAGTCAGAAAAGGAGTTGCGTGGCCAGGCATAGTGGTCACGCCTATAATCCCAGCACCTTGGGACGCTGAGGCGGACAGATCACTTGAGGTCAGGAGTTTGAGACCACCCTGGCCAATATGGTGAAACCCTGTCTCTACTAAAAACACAAAAATTAGCTGGGTGTGTTGGCGCATGTCTGTAATCCCAGCTGCTTGGGAGGCTGAGGCAGGAAAATCACTTGAATCTGGGAGGCAGAGGTTGCAGTGAACCAAGATCATGCCACTGCACTCCAGCCTGGGCCACAGAGGGAGACTGTGTCTCAAAAAAAAAAAGGAGTTGGGCAATGGAAGCAGGTGTGCATGAGAGGGAGGGGAGAGAGAAAGATTTAAAGATGCTATGCTATGCTACTGCCTTTGAAGTGGAGGCAGGTGGGGCATGAGTCAATGAATGTGCATGGCCTTCTAGGAGCTGGAAAAGATAACAAATTCTCCCCTAGAGGTTTCAGAAGGAATGCAGTCCTTCTTTTATCCCCATAAGACCCGTTTCAGACTTTGGCCGCCAGAACTGTAAGATAACAAATGTATGTTGTTCTCAAATCATGAAGTTTGTGGCACTTTGCTACATCAGCCACAGGAAACTGATACACTTTGTAACGGTTAACAGATTTACACACCTATGTGTGTGCTTTAGACGTGAAAATTGTTTATTCATTTTTTATGCAAGGAACAGCGCTTAGAAGGACATGCAGAGATGAAGAAAGGTTCTTGTTCTGAGGATCTGAGAGTCTGTGTGCAAAACTTCAAATAAGTAGGAGGCTTTGTCTGGGGGTTAAAATAGAGGCCAGCTTAGGGTTCTCCCAGTATGCAGAGTGAGAATTCAGACAAGTTTTCTTGATCAAGGTGCAATTGGAGCAGAGTCTTTCAGAATGACTATTCTGTAGGAAGAGATGTGCAAAGATTACCCTGGGCCAAGGGAATCACATATGCAGTGGCATCAGAGAAATACCTGGTGGGTCAGGGAGTGGAGGGAGCAGCCTTACATGTGGGGGATGATGGGAGCAGTGACAGCTGTGGCTTTGTATGTGGTTTTCCTTAATGCCCCCAATGTCTCCCAACAATGGCTGGCTCTGTGACTGCTCAACATGGCATCGTGGGCTTGCCTCGGGTGTTCCGGAGTCTGGGTTCTGTCTGTAGGGAAAAGGACTCACGTTAGCATCTGCCCAGAGTTTGGCTCCAGGGGTGCCATCAATCTGCTGATTCTTAAGCACCAGGCGTCAATAAAAATAATCAAAGGAAACTAACAGCCCATAAACAATATTAACTCCAGGACTGGTAGGCGAGGGGCTGGAGAATATTGGAGCAACCCACATTTGAATACTTGGACAAAGCCCCAGTGCAAAATGTGCTTTCTGTATAAGGAACAGATGCTGATCAAACCGTCAAGATGGTAATGGTTTAATTTGATGTTTTGAGAAGAAGACCATGTTCTTTCCCCCTTTCGATGCATCTCATCATTGGAGACGTGTCTTCTCTCCAGAGTTTAGATCCTGGGCCTTTTTTTTTTTTTTTTGAGACGGAGTCTCACTCTGTCGCCGAGGCTGGAGTGCAGTGGCACGATCTTGGCTCACTGCAAGCTCCGCCTCCTGGGTTCATGCCATTCTCCTGCCTCAGCCTCCCTAGTAGCTGAGACTACAGGCGCCCACCACCATGCGATCCTGGGCCTGGTTTTCCAGGTGAGCTCTGGACCTCACATTTGGTCTGAGTCTAGTCATCCTTATACCCTCAATTCTATGAATCTTTGACACAAAAACTGTTTCCCTTCTACCTGGTCCGTGGCAATACAATTCAAATAGCAAACCCTTTGAGCTCTAGCTCATGTATAAGGTCTGAACTGATTCGTTTTCAACTGTATTATGGAACAAGGTACCATCAATTTTATGAAAACTATGATAACAATGATTCAGGCACTGATGTAGCATGCTTGGTGCATAGCATTCTTGACCTGGTTTAATTAACCAGGTTAACTAGTAGTGGCTTCTAACTCTTCGCTTCATCTTGTGTTGTGTGGACAGGGCCTAACATCCAAAGTCCAGGTAAACTGGAAGGTCTAGGCTTATCTGTTCCCTGATGTTTTAGTGAATTATCTCACTTCATTGTTTATATTTTATATAGATAGCATGCCCTATATGCCAGGCATTCTTGTAAGCACTTAAAGATATTAACTCATTTAATCTTCATAACAACCTAACATGGCAGGTATTATTATCCCAGTTTTGGTGATGAAAAAACCGAGGTGCAGAGAGGTTAATAAATCCCCCAAGGCTCCGTATCTTCTACATGGCAGAGCTAGGATTCAAACACAGGGTTTGGCTCTGCCCCAAGGCTGCCTCTTTGGGACTGAGAAGATGTGGTCATTCTGTGGCATCTTCCCACCTGCTCACCTCTGCACTGGGTTGGATTGGAAGCCACACCTCTCATACTCCAGGGTTTTCTCGCTGCCCTGAAGCCGTCTGCAGCCCCAGGCCAGCCTGGCCCGTTGCTTTCAGAGAGTTGGTTTCTGTTTGCTTGCCTTGTCTGGGCCTTTGCAGGATTGTGAGGCCAGGAGTGAGGAGGGGAAAATGGCTCTCCCCACCCTGTTCCTCTTGACTTGCCAAGAGCTACTAGGCCCTGAGCCAGCTCCCTGGGCCTGCTGCCACCACAGATGTGTCCTGCCCCCAGCAGCAGAACCAGGCCCTTTCTTGGAAACTGACCAGGGGGTGCCAATGGAGAAAAAGATGAAACCTCCTTCTCTGTCTACCCTGATGGTCACCTACACCCCACCACAATCTCAGAGTGTAGGTTAGTTGTGCCCATGTTCTTCTAACAGCTTCTCTGAAGTCCCGTCATAATCTCTGGGCCCTAAAGAATGTGTTAATCTCTTGGAGTTTGGCAGGTAGGAGCCATTCTCTAGTATTCTAGATGAGGTCCCTGCAATGCACATCTGCAGAACTGGGCTCCCCACCTGTGCCTTGGTAAAGGCAGGTCTGGTCTCTCTCACTGAATCCATGCCCCATGCATAGGGGTTTGGTTTTTTGAGCTTAGGATGGCACCTGGACAATTCTCTTTTGTTGTTCAGTCAAGAGACACAGAGGAACAGGCCCTGGGTAAAGCACAGGACATCCAGAGACCAACAAATCACAGTTCCTGTCTCATCCAGCTCACAATGTCCTGAGTAAAGCAGGTAAACACACAATTATATGGAGGAATGAGAAAAGCTTTGATGGTAGGGAACAAAATGAGACAGACAGGGTAGACTACTCCAGGGTGGATAACAGTCAGGGTGGACAAGGTCTTTCAGGAGCTGACACTTGTGTTAAGTCCTAAGAAATGGATAGGTGTTAACTGAGCACAGAAAAGGAGGAACCTTTGTTAAGGTGCTGGGAACTACGTATGCAAATGTATTAACAGGGAAGAAAACATTTCTGATGCCTAATGTGACCATTGAGACTTGTCACATGAATACTCTTGTTCGAGGAAGTGATGTCTGGTGTCACAGCAGCCACTTCGTGATGGTGAGGCTGTTCAGCTAGTATTTGAGTCAACACCTTTGGGCTGTTGGGTAGAATATTAAATATCCTTAGGATTTAAGCATGCTTTTGTTTTAGTTACTTTCAGATAAAAAGATATTAACTGATACAGCTATGATAAGAAATAGTGTTTACAAGCAAAGAAAGGCATAAAATGCTGTTTTATGCAGTTTGTTGTGTGTAGACATGGCTCTGCCCGTAGTGGATGGATGTGTGTGTACACGTGCACGAATTTGCCTGTGTGAGTTTTTCCAATATTACACATTATAATTGTGTCCCATCTTATTAGTCTAAATAAATATCTTTCCAAATGGAGGAGTAGATGCAGGTACCTCTTCACACCATACCAGCTCCCCGAGCGGAAACCTCATGAACGGTCACCTCCAAAAGAAACCACACTCACGCACTTGTTCACAAGGAGTATGCCAGCTCTCCTCATGCCTGCCCCACAGCTTTGGAAAATTTTTTAAAGTTCATTATTTATAAAGTTAATGCCTATAATGAAAAGGTTTCTCTTTGATGTGGGAGTGCTTTCGAAGCCTGGGTGACCTATATTGCCAATGTACTCTGTGTATGAGGTGAGGCAGGGACCGGCTGGGGAATTACCCGTGTTTAATGAACACTAAAATTAGAATTTGACTGAAATCCACAGAAATGGCTTGACAGCAAGTTCGAGATGCCCCTGGGGAGCTGTGGGCAGCTCAAATTTACCCACAGGCATTTTTGAAAAAAAAATTTTTTTTTTTTTTTTTGAGTCAGCACAGTTGGCTCTTTTGAGCCTAGAATGCTGCTTGCACTCAAAGGCCTCTCTCCCCTTCCCCCACCCCAGCCCCCTGACACCGATGCTTTGGGGACAGCTAGGCACCTCTGCAGGCTTTTGTTGTGTTGCTCATGCCCGGATGAGCATAGTGCATGAAGCCTGGTGATGTTCTGTTTTGCCTGTTGCCAGTGACCACACTCTTCACAGGAAGTTCTAAGAAAAATCACAGCATCAGGAGTGTTTATGCTGTTGACTGAAAAAGGCCCTAGATATATATCCTCTTGTTCAGTCGTCCCCTTAAAAAGGGATTTGGTTGAATTTTGACAGTCTAAAAAGCCCAACAGAAATTTGATATTTTACTGACCACTGTGGAAAGAGAGGCCTGAGTATATAATAAGCTTAGTTTAGGGATCGTTTCTCTAAACCCAGGAACCATAAAGACAAAAAAACTTAAAAAAATGGTAATGAAGGACAAGTATGGGGGTCCAGCTTTAGTACAGCTGTCTCATCTCACAGAGGCTCAAGGAGGGGAAGCAGCCAGGAATCAGGGCAGAACCCAGTTTAGAAGGCAAATCTCTCGATTCCTAGGCCAGTGTGCTTTCTGCTGGGGCCCCTCACCCAGCGTGTGCATGACTGCTGTATTAGTTGCATTTTAATTATTGAGGAGTATATTTATATACTTGTATAATTCAAAACTTTTGTTTTAGTTTTAAGTTATAAAAGCATTTACAAAGTTGCTTGTTTTTAACAACAAAAAAAGAAAAACTATATATAAAAATGAAAATAATCACTTTCAATCCTTCTCTACTCCCTGCCTACTAGGGCACTGATGTTAACATTTTGATATATGGTATTCTGTAGCTTTTTATATTCTTACATAAACATACAAATATATACACATATGGGCTAGAGGCATGTCTTCCTATTTTTAATAAACTATTAAACTCTTTCTCCAGCATTTTCCTTTTTCATGTAATAGTACATCAAAAGTATCTTTCTGTATGTGTATACATCATCTAATTCTTAATAGTGCCATAATATTCTATATTATAGATTTATCAAAATGTACTCATATTTCTTATCGATCCACTTACTTTTTCAAGATACGTCTTCATACGGTGTTTCTCAGGGCCACTGCTACCCTGGTCTAGTGTTTCTCAAACTTGAGAGTTACAAGAATCACCTGAAGATCACATTCCTGGGCCCCACTCCTAGCAATTTTGATGCAGTGGGTTTAGGTAGGAGCTGGGAATTTGCATTTTTGAAGCTCCCAGGTGTGGTGATACTGCTGGGCTGAAAACTAGGGTTTGAATAGCTCTTCCCTAGTCCAAACTCAATTAGCCCCTGGTGTAATGGGTGAATTTGTCTCTTAATTCACTGGCTTTTACTGCAACCACTCATTTTACCCTCTGATCTCTTCATGGTACAGCTAGAATGATATTTTGGAAACAAAGCTGGTTGAACTTATGGCTGCTGAAAACTCTTCAGTGTAATCTCACTGTGCATGGGATGGCCTACCTGGCTCTGCCCATTCTCTCCCCTCTCCTCTCAAGGATTTCCCTCCTTGGCTGTCTCCCACAATGGCCTTCTTAAGGTCTGTCCTACTTGCCGTGCTCCTTGCAGCCTCAGGGCCTTTGCACATGCAGTTCCTGCTTCCTCTCATGTCTTCCCTCCTACCCTCTCCTAGCACGGTGCCTTGCCCATAGCAGCCACTCAGAAAGTAACTGTGGAATGAATGATGGAATGAACAGTGAGACCTAACCATCTTCATGGACTTCACAGTCTCTAAAATGCTTTGATGGATTTTTTGGGGAGCCAAAGTGTGCAAATGCCACCTACTCGGTGTTCATGTTCTCCAAGGTCCAGTTGAGACCACCCGTGCTTTTCAGGAGCTGAGAAGAATGGCACTACTCTGAGCTGCTCTCCAAAGTGGAATATTAATCATTTCCAGATACAAAGTCATCAGTGTTACCTTGTGCTTTATGCTGCCTGTCCTTGAATGCAGACTACATGGAGGCCTTTGCTGGCCACAGCCAGACAGCACTGGTACAAATGGGCTAAGCCACAGCCACTGTAGAAACTGCCTCTCTTTATGTCTGGTTTTTCATCAACAGCCTCCCTTCCTATGCCTCTCACTTACCTCTCTGCTCTATTTGTCTCAAACACATCTCTTATGGCTCCTTGGCAACCCATTTTTGCCTTCTGGATGTTAAAACCTGAAAAAAATGGATAAATGGGAAATAGTTCCCATACACAACCAAACCAGAACTCATTTGAAACATTCAAAGGATTCAGTATCCTATCCTAATAAGCTGGGACCCGACCTTCAGAGTCCAGCTTAAAAAAAAATTATCAGGGAAATTGCCTGTGATCATCAAAACCACTTTAGGTCTCTCCCCACATTATATAACGTTAAGCACCATCTGTGTTCATTTGTTTAATGTCTTTCTCCCCTACTGAGTGTTCAGCTATTTTAGGGAAGAGATCATGATGATGAATTTTTTGGTTTGTCTGTTTTCTTTCTGTATCTTCAGTGCCTTGAACAGTGCCTGGCACATAGCAGATGCTCATTAAACACATGGTGAATGCATGCATGAATGAATGAATGCATGACCTACCCATCCCTCTTTTTCCACTCTCCTTCCTTCCTTCCTTCCTTCCTTCCTTTCTTTTCTTTTCTTTTCTTTTCTTTTCTTTTCTTTTCTTTTCTTTTCTTTTCTTTTCTTTTCTTCCTTTCTTCTTTCCTTCCTTCCTTTCTTCTTTCCTGCCTTTCTTTCTTTCCTTCCTTCCTTCCTTCCTTCCCTCCCTCCCTCACTCCTTCCTTCCCTCCCTCCTTCCTTCCTTCTTTCCTTCTTTCTTTCCTTCTTTCTTTCTGTCTTGCTCTGTCGCCCAGGCTGGAATGCCGTGGGGCTATCCTGGTTCACTACAACCTGTGCCTCCTGGGTTCAAGCCATTCTCCTGCCTCAGCCTCCTGAATAGCTGGGACTACAGGTGTGCACCGCCAAGCCTGGCTAATTTTTTTATATTTAGTAGAGATGGGGGTTTCACCATGTTGGCTAGACTGGTATCGAACTCATGACCTCAGATGATCCACCCGCCTCAGCCTTCCAAATTGCTGGCATTACAGGTGTGAGCCACCATGCCCGGCCTCCAGTCTCCTTTCTTCTCAGCTCTTCACATGCACTTTAAGTTCCAGATACACAAAGTCAGATTCTCTAGCTAGTACCAAGCTCTTTCAAACATCTCTGCTTTCTCGTGGAATTCTTTCTCCTCCTAAAATTTTATCTCCTTTCCTCTTTCCATTTTCCAGCCTGGAAAACACCTCACCATCTGCTGAGGCCTAGTGCCATTTTCACGGGCCTCACAGTGGTTTCTCAGGGGCACACAGGTAGAGTGGGTCTCCCCCTGTGCTGAATATTGCTCCTAGCAGCTGCAAGGACCACATTAGACTTGAATTATAGTCATCTCCCACTTAGCGTCAATAATTTATGCCCCAACCTCACACATTCTGTCTGAAACGGTTAACTTGGCACCTGTAACTAGTTATTTTAGATAGGAACAATTATATGGCATTAACCAGTAGCCCCGAACCCTTAACAAATTTCTTAAATCATAACTAAGACAAGGTAAAATACCTATATATGGAACAAGATATGTTAGAATGTAAAATGTTTAAAACTTTGCTTGCAAAATGTCAGACAATTAATATGGATGCTAGGAATCAGCCACCTCTTCTGCAGTGATGCTACGGTATACTTCTTAGCGCCGGCCACATTTGGAGACTCAAGTTCTGTTTTTGACCCTCAGCTTTCAAATAGCTACATATTATTCTGACGTTGTACTGATTTTATTTGGAAGGACACTCAATTCTTTATTTGCATATTGTATTAAAAACTATATTGCACTGAGGATTGGGGATGTAAATATATGTTTTCCTTTACCAACATTAGTGCAGTGATGTTATATTGGGAAATATTTGCATCCTATGAAGCTTGTGTATTAAAGACCCAAGGTGTTGAGCTAGAAAAATGTTAAGAAGGGAGATGTTCTCTCTGAAAAAATGTTGCATATTTTCCTAAATCCAGGTAATCCCTAGCACAACCTGGAGAACTTTCTCTTTCAAGTGGTTCTTAGGCTCCTCTAGCAGAGATTCAGATTCAATAGGTCTGGGGATCTGCAGATGGGGCCCCGGAATTGATTTCCAACTGTTTCATATGAAGAACCAGGTTGAGAGTCGCTGGTTTAGGTTATGCATGGTCTCTGCCAAATAGCTCATGAGCTTTTCAGTGACAGGCATTCTTTTGTTTCTTTATGCCCATGTGCTTGGGATGAAGTTGAGGTGTCGCTGAAGTGAACAGTACTGATGCTGTGCATACAGCAGGCCTACCATAAATGCTTATCCAGAAGTGTTTGTGTGGGGCCAGGCTTTTTTGAAGACTTTGTTTGCTGTGTCTGCTACAGGGCCTTGCCTATAAGGAATCATTTGGAGTTTTTTTCTCGATGAGGGATCTGGAATTGTATTTTGTGTAAAGCGTTCTCTTTCCTTCTGTCTTTCCTGAGTCAGGCAGGTTTTGTGGTTTTGCAAGAGTAAGAGTTTCTCACAGCATCGGAGACCACTGAGTGAAGCCTGATCCTTGTTAAAATCATTATTGTCATCTAGTTCTCCTAGCCTTTTGTCCACCCCGGGGCCAGGTCAAGAGGCCCCTTCCTAAGCTCTCACCTGCAATAATGCTTCCTGCCCTTGACCTTGGGGTCCACCAGATTGCACTGTGCTTTGCCTCTCCAGCAAATCCAGGGTTGCCTCTGGGGCTCTCAGGTTTCATTTTATTTTCACTAAATCCTTCTGGGGCTTCTATTTTTATCCTTGTGTTTGAGTTGTCGAGGCTGTTTAAGATGACGCCTTTGCTATGGTAGTAGTTCTCCTCCCAGGGACAGAGACTACTGTCCCCCTGTGGCCACCTTGTAGCATTTACCTGCACACACGGGGGTGAATCCTCTTCTATTCCTCCTCCTCTTCCTGCCACACTCACAACCATGCAGGCACAAAGTTTCTCAAGCAGTTAAGAGGGAAAAAAGTTGATTGGTATAGTTTGTGTAGTTGATTTGCATAGTCTGTACAGTTGATTTCCATAGTTGTCTATATTTTCTGCATTGGTCACTTTTTCCCTTTATCCATAGCTCTTTTCAGCAATTGTCATTTTCTGCTTAATGTCAATAATTCAGTCTTTTCTCTGCAATATTCTGTAACTGCAGTAGGACTTTTAAATTCTTTGAGATCAGGAGTTTGTCTCATCTATCTCTGCAACACTGAGGGCACATGGCACCCAGGAGAGCTTGGTGACTGCTTGCTAAATGAAATATTATCTTCCAGAACTCTGAAGACACAGCCATTGATGCATAGCAAATTAAAAAGAAAAACCCTAAACAAAATTGGAATAGTTTATTTTTAAAAATGTCACAGTGTTGCCTATTTACAACTATATATAAACAACCTGAACAGCACAGTTCACTTTCAGGTTCGGAAGAGAGGTTGTTGAATGTGTCATGGCCCTGCCACGCCTATCTCCATGGTGATGTCTTCTCACTTTGCCTTCCTCCTGAGAAATGGCAGTGCCCATCTGAATGAAAATCTGATTACAGAGGAGGAGAGAACTCTGGGCAATGGTTCCATTCTCTAGTGCTGGTTGGGCTAAATCAACACTGAACAGTAACCTACATCTGTGTCTGCAGCCTAATCTTGTTCTTTTTTGTAACAACCCTTTAGACCCTAAGCTTCAGTGCTTCCTTCTGCCTGAAACATTATTTCCCTATCCTCTTTGCATGATTACGGTCTGCTAATTTCTTAGATCTCAGCTTTGAAGTCACCTCCTCCAAGAAGCCTACTCTGACTTCCTGGCCCCTTAGGCCGGCACGAGGGGTACCTTCTCTGTTGCAATGGCACCATTTTTCTTCTTCAGAGTGTTGTTATTCTCTCTAGCGATTTTCCACTGTGGCAGACATAGAGCTGCACAGCCCAAATCCTCTTTCAGGGAAGAACTGGATGCCCAGCTGGAGGAAGTGTAGACAGCCCACCATGGGCTTCTTCCTGGTCTCCCTCAGCTGCAGGGAGCCCTCTCCACCAGGGCAGCCCACTTCCAGTGCCTGAGCAAGGTGGGGTGTCAAAGCCACCATTTCCACCTGGTTCGGGCTAATTCTGACAGGTATGCTTGCCCTAGAGCCCCACACCAGGTGGGCTGAGGCTTTGTGAAGCCTGCATCACACCCTACCTTCTCCCTCTGCCCAGTCATGCTCCTTCCCTTCCTTTCACAGGTGCTGAACCCTAATAAGCATCTTGCACATCACACTCCATCTCGGTATCTGTTTTTAGGAAACCCTCTTGATGACTAGTTAGTTGTCTACCTGACTCAGTGAGAACCCAGAAGATGCTCATTCATTATTGCAGCCCCAAGTACCTATTACACAGCAGAAAGCAAATATCTGTTGATGGATCTGTTGAATGAATGAATGAATTTGGATGACTCCAAAAGAGGTTCCCATGCTTGTTTTCCCCTGACCTCGGGTGGGCTAGATGCCCCTCTCTGACCATCATCCTCATAACCTGAGCCCTGTCAGTCCCTCTCCCAGTGGAGAAGTGCATGTTAATTGTATCTTTTCCCCTTTGTTCTCCATCCTTCCCTGCCCCTGGGAGGATTGGATAGGGGTACTGAGCAGCTGAGGACAGACAACCCCTTTTATTCCTTTTGACGGCCTCAGGGAAGTTTGATGGGGATATTTCCATAATCGATGAGGGAGCCCTGTCACCCCAACCATGGAGTCTTTAAAGAGAATAGGTTTATGCAAATTAGATATTGATGGAGTAATGATTAATTGGCCCTGAGCCTTTGTTAATATGCAACTGTAGTAACAGAGATACATTTATAATTATTTCAGTTAATTGTTCAAACAAGCACTCAGGACTTAATTGCACAGAGTAATTGAAGAGTCTTGGTATTAGGATTATTTCTTTCTAGAGTAAAATCAGAGTCATTTAACTAGTTGGATTCCTGTGCTGGGGTGGGTAGGTGAAGTCTAGTTCCTCAAAGTCTACTTTAGATCTACAAATGTGAAGGTACAGTCACATATTCTCATATCTTGTGTTATTAAAGGTGTTAGGGATATAGGCATTGAATTTGGACAGATAAGAGTTCCAATTTTGTCACTTCAATAGCTGTGTGGTTTGGGGAAAGTTATTTAGCTTCTCTGAGCTACAGTTCCCTAATCTGTAAAATGAGAAAAATAATATTTAAAGAGTGGTGGGGAAAATAAATGTAGCAGTCCATGGTACATGGTAAACAGTCCTAATGAGAACTGCTGCAATGATATTTATCATCGCTGCCTCGCAGAGGCTAGATTAGTAGACAGGAGTACATGGTGTCAAATACCTCTGATCTCATGCACGAGAAGCATGTGGCAGAGGAAGGGCATAAAAGGCCTGACTTAGTTTATTTAAATACACAGAAATGGGAGCAGATTGGAGGCACATGTGCAGGTTCTGCTACTGAACTGCAAAAGGTGATGACAGGGCTTTGCAGAATAGCTGGTTTGACTTCCCACCTTGAGGTGACCCAATTCTGAAGGATCTTGTGAATTCCAATTTTCTCTTATTTACCTTTGTTCAAATTCTAAAATCTGTCTCTGTCACTGTCTGTCTCTGTCACACACTCACACACCCATTTACAAATATTGTGATGGGGAGAAGAAGAGTGGTTGTGTCTGGTAAGGGGACAGTTCTTTTCAATGGTCCTTGGGATTGTTTCTGGTCCTTGCTGAAAGTGGACACTTTCCAGCCATGCACGGCAAGAGTTTGCAGGATGAGCTGGTCATAGTGGAGAAAGGTGCTAGCAGCATCTGAATTTCAGGCTCAGAGAGAAAGAAGAGAACATATTGTGGTTTCAGAGTATGGGCTCTTATGCCAGGCAAATGTAGTTGTAGTCCAGGCTTTGCTTCTTCTAAGTCTATCATCTGGAACTGAATATCTAAGCTGTCTCTGACTCAATTTCCCCACTGAACTATGAGTTCAGAATCCATAGACAATAATAGTTCGGACATCGTTGAGTTGCAGTAAGGCATAAATGGAGCCAGTGAGTAAAGTATTTAGCACAGTGCTTGGGCACCTGAGTACTCAACAGGTACATTGTGATGATGATGATGGAGACTGAGAGCTGTGGGTGGGGCTCTGGCAGCCTTTCAGGCAGTTGTAGAGGTGCTACCGAGGGGATCACCCATTCATTCCCAAATTACTCCATAAACCTCAACCATCAACAAAGATACCCAGTGAGAAAAATGGACTGGCTGGGCGTGGGGTGTGTTTCCCTGTTCCCCTGTCAGGTTGGCCACTTTTCCTGGAGGACAGCTGGTGATTCCTTTGGCTGGAACCCTCCCCTCAGCAGGGCCGATCATGCTGCTGCTGGTTTGTTTGTTTGTTTTTTTATCACCTCCAGCTAAAATCTCAGAACAGAAGGAGGCTGGGCACATAGACATTCTCTTCGTGGTAGGCGGGCCACCAGGAACACTAGATTATTGTTTAGGTAACAAATGCTATTTGATAAATAATTGTTATGGAGTGAGTAGTGAGAACTCTCAACCCTGTTGGCATGGGTCTCAAGAAAAATGGCAAGAGTGTCTGCGAAAAGCTGTAGCCCTTCACAGGGTCATCTGGTTCAATCTCCCCATCAACCTACAAAGTGAGTTCCCATTTTACAGATAAGCAGGCTAGGCATAGAGTGGCAAAGTGTGTGCCATTTGTTTTTATGGGGCAGTTTTTTTCAATTTCCTCGTGCACTGGGGAGGCCCTTTTCTTGAAATATTCTACAACCTACTCAGGCTTAGAATTTTGCCATCAAAGCTCCACTGAAGACTTTTGTCCCTTTTAAGCTAATAATCTTGGAGATAAGGTGGGATGTGTGCAAAATCTTCTGGCAGCCATTCCAGGCAGTGGAAACTCCCAGTCAATTGATTTTGTTACTGTAGCGTGGACAATCAGTGCCTGCCTGTGCAGTGGGGGCTGAATTCACGCCCAGGCTTCCCTTTACCTAGGTGTTTGTTTTCTTTGATTATTGGTTACTTCATCTTAAAGGTGCTCATCATGGAACCTCTGTCTCATCAACATCTTTCTTTCCCTGTCAACTCTACCATCCTGTGGTGTCTGCTAGATTCAGTGCTGCCAGGCTGCACTGAGGAAGCCAGATCCATCATTACACTTCTGAAAACACCGCTCTGACCACTTCGCTGCTACCTGCACCCTCAGATTCTGCTTGGGGTGCCACCTACTCTGCCTTGACCCCATCCCGTAACAGGGAGTCTGGCCCAAACTCACTTCCCCTCAGCATTTTCTTCCCATCCATACAGTCTGCACCTCCCTGACTGCTCCTCAGGAATTCTGGAGCAGGAGATTTAAGATCCTTTATATCTCTGAAATTCTCAACCTGTTCTTATTTATTTTACTCTTTTCCCACCTAAAGGAGACGGAACCAGGAAGCAAAGGACTGCTTCTCGTGACAGACGCAATCCAGGCATTTCATAGGCAGCAGCGATTCTCAGCATCACTCCCTACCCCACCCCAAGGGATTGACTGTCATCTCATCCATCACATAGATTCACTTTCAAAGCAGATTTTCAACTGTGGAGCTTATCCTTGGGGACAAGGTGTATAGAGTGTTGGTATGTGTGTCTGTGGGTGGGGGTTAATGTGATATATTAATTGCAACTCTCTGGTTTGAAGAAAAGTGCTCTCAACTTAAACCAGCTGATAGAGTTGGATGTTTGTCCGTGCTCAGATCTCATGTTGAATTGTAATCCCCAGTGTTGGAGGTGGGGCCTAGTGGGAGGTGTTTAGGTCATGGGGATGGATCTCACATAGCTTGTTGCTATCCTTCTGATTGTGAGTTTTTGCAAGATCTGGTTGTTTAAAGGTGTGTGGCACTTACCCTCAGTCTCTCTCTTGTTCCTGCCCTGGCCATGTCATGTGCCTGCTCCTGCTTCGCTTTCTGCCATGAGTAAATGCTTCCTCAGGTCTCCCCAGAAGCCAAGCAGATGCTGGCACCATGCTTCCTCTACAGCCTACAGAACCATGAGCCAATTCAACCTCTTTTCTGTATAAGTTACCCAGCTTTAGGTATTTTTAATAGCCATGTAAGAATGGCCCAATACACCAGCTTAAACCAAAAAGGGAGTTTATTAGCTAACAGGACAGAAAAGTCCAGGGGTTATGACTTCAGGCATGGCTGGATTCAGAGACTTAAACAATGGTGTCAAGGACTTCTTTCCTCTGCTCTGCTTCCCTTGATCTCGGCCCCTTTCTCATAAAGGAAGGATGGCTGCTAGTAGCATCGTTCCAGTTCTCAGCTCCCCTGGAGCAGCACTACATTGATTTTCTCTATGGTTCAAAAAACATTTTAAGCCCTCGATTGAATCTCATTGACTCTGCATGGGTCACATGCTGGTTGCAAAGGCCTGGGGTACAGGTCTGCCCAGGAGCCACATGTGAAGTCAGCTCTGGCCAAAACCACCTGGAGACAGATAATGTAGTCAGGCCGTAGGCGTGATAGTAACCAACATACTCATTTTTTATTTTTTGGAAACAAGGACTTTCTAATAATTTTTCACTCCATGTACTTTGAGGCTCTGTTATTAAGCACATATATATTTATGATTCATATGTCTTCTTGATGAATTGATCCTTTTATTTTATTAATTGATCCTTTTATTTTATTAATTATGAATTGATCTTTATATTTCCAGAGATAGAAATGCTCCCTTTCTATCTGTGGAAATATTATTTGTCTATTTTGTCTGACATCACTGTAGTTGCAACAGCTTTCTTGTGCTTACTGATTGACTGGGGTACCTTTTTGCATCTATTCTGTTTTACCCTATCTATATCTTTATATTTAAAGCTCATTTCTTATAGATAGCACAGGTTTGGGTCCTGATTTTTTGGATCCGTTCTATCATTTGTGGTGCATTTCTTCCTAGATAGGTGATAAGCTTGCAGAGTGTATGTGTGAGATCTTTCCTGTCTGGGGCAACCTTCATAGGCCCAGATCCTTGTACTGCCCATAGCATGTGTCTGATCTTACAAGTGTTGGGAGGCAGTGCTGATGGCAACTGTCTGGCATAAGGCAGATATTCAACGTGGAAAATGAGTGAAGGGTTAGAGAATTAGAAGACTGTAGGGAGGTGAATGTTAAATGTTAGGCTGAGTGAGACGGGGGGCCAGGGAGGACTGGGCTGGGTTCTGGGCAGGGCTACATACTAGAAATGTAAATGAGAAAGGGCAAAGTTGTCTATAACAGGCAGAAATGATGAGGGACAGAAATATGTGCCCCAGAGAATAAAAGGGATGGGCTTTAGGAGCAGGATGAAGATGGAGGAAATCCAGAAAAGTGTTTGGATGATGCTAACATACTTTTTGAGGTGCAGAATCGGCTGCCCCTTTTTCAGCCAAATGCGTGAAAATGCACTCCCCAACAGTTTCAGCTCCTGGAGTGTAGTCCCAACAGCAGGTGCATAGTAAATCTTTTTTGAATTAAATGGAAATGTTTAAGGAGCCATTTCCTTAGCCAGGGCTTTCTTTGCTGTCAAGGAAGAATTTATTTAACAAGACCTAGACTTTGGCAAACGAGATTCTCCTTCTCTTGGCTGGTCTTTGGCCATGATTTAAGATGCCGATATTTGCAGTCCAGTGTTGGGAAATAGGTTCTTGGTTGGGGGAGGAGTGTAGCTTTAAGGTTTGGGAAGCAGATAATTTAAAGAAACTCTGAAAATACATTTGGTTTTCACTCTGCTTCCCCCAAATGCTTCCAGATCTTTGAAGTATATACTTAGTTCTCCAAAGTCACAAATCTCTAAGGATAGTTTTTGTTGCAAATACAATGACTTTTTGTATCAGCACAATCAACTCCAGATCATCACTATGTAAGAGGCAGGGAATATTCATTGAATTGGTGCAGCATTTGGTGCAAGTTTTCTTTTTTTCTTTTTTGAGATGCAGCTTCGCTCTTGTCACCCAGGCTGGAGTGCAATGGCGTGATCTTGGCTCACTGCAACCTCCACCTCCCAGGTTCAAGAAATTCTCCTGCCTCAGCCTCCCGAGTAGCTGGGACTACAGGCGTGTGCCACTACGCTTGGCTAATTTTTGTCTTTTTAGTAGAGATGAGGTTTTGCCATGTTGGCCAGGCTGGTGTCAAACTCCTGAGCTCAGGTGACCTGCCTGCCTCGGCTTCCCAAAGTGCTGGGATTACAGGCGTGAACCACCACCTGGACATTTTCTTTCTTTTCCCTGCTGTGGATATTGTCAGTTGCAAGCATTATTTTCAATCTAACATGTATATTCTATAAGAATCTGAGTGCCTGGGATCAACAATTAGCGATCAGAAGAAGTTGGTGTCTGGTCATCGGTTTACGGTGTGTCTTTTCTCCTTCTATTTCATTACCAACAACAAAACATTTCTTTCTGTGAACAGAAGAGGCACCTTTCTTTTGCAGACACCCAGAGCTAAGGTGCAGCATCCATGCCAGGCCTTAATGATCACTTGTTTCTCAAGAAGACAGCTACAGTAGCTAGAATGAGCCCTGTGATTCAGGGAGGTAAAAAGGAGAGGAGATATTTTAATGTTAGTGGAGTGCTGTGTAGCTTCTCAGAATCCATCACCCCTCAGCCAACATCCCCATATCGGACCACTGTGAGAGCCAGACCTTCCTGCCAGGAGGTGGCCACAAAGCACCTCCTACTTCTACAGCAGGGACTAGGGAGTGGCAAAGAGGGAAGAAGCCCCCCTAGGTACTAGTTTGGTCCCATATCTCTCTCAACGTGGAAGCAGTGTTGCAAAGTGCTCAGGAAGCTGTTAAATTCATCCAGATATCGGGCACTTGGTCACAGCAGGGGAGAAGATCCACCAGCCAACCCCCAAGTTGTAACCTTCCTTAATGGTTTCATAAGCGGGACATTCAAATCCCTCCAGGTATAATTACAGGAGAAGTAGGTTCTGTCTGCTTAATTACGTGGGATTCTCTGCTAATACAAAATGACTCCTTTTGCAGAGGTGATGTGAATGATAAAGTTTCAAAGATGCCAAACACTTAGGCAAATTGGAGACATCATTGTCCCCCCATCAGTAAGTGCTGAAGGTAACAATGGAGAAGGCCATTTCCATTTAATTCATCTTGAATATCGTAATGTGGATTCAGATGTAATCTCATTCTGAGCACAGTGCTATGTTTCTGTTCAGTTTTACATCAAAGCCTCTTTCGGAAGGCATTTTTCTTCTTACAGTGCTACTTTCACAGATATTACTTCTGCATATTTTAAATGAATAGACAAAACAAAAATATTAATGGCTTTAAAGATTGAAAATCTGTGACCTCACTATGTAACTCAGTGACTTCATTTTTATCTCCATATATAACTTACACAGATAAAGCAATACCAAACCTACTCTTTTGTACTTTATTTTCACTTCAACATTTTCCCTTGTGGTACTATGAAGTCATTTTAATAATTACCCAGTATTTGCATCCTGTTACTTTACAAATATTTATTAAAATTTTCCCCAAATAATGAACATTTATGTTTTTTTCAAAGATGAGCTTTTGGAGAAAATCATCATTGAATAAATGCCTGCATATAATTTTATTTTTTCTATGTGTTTGTTAAATTAGATCCTTGGATAAAATTCATAGAAGAAGAATCACTCCCATAAGGAATAGGACTATTTTCCTGAATCTTGTTATAATAATTTCCAATGTGGTTGTGTCAGTTTAGAATGAATGAATGAATAATGAATGTAGGGCTCACTGAAAACTCATGAGGATTTGGTGTTAAAATCTGTAAAACTTAGGTTTCAGAGAGTATCTCATTCTTGCTCAGTATTCCATATATTTGGTTTCTCTCCAAGTTTTTGATCCTCTTTCTAGCAAAAGATACCTGGCTGTTTCCAAGCTAATCAAAGGCAGTGTTTCTTTGGCTTTAAAGCATATACAATCATTTCTCTGAATGCTAAGATTTCCTGCAGCTTTTCCTTCCATGAGCCAAATGCAGAAAAAGAAGGAACAAGTTTATCTAGCAACATGATGATGCTAGTCTCTCTAAAACCCAGAGTTATCTTTCCTTAAATGGAAAAAAATATTCTACCTATTTCTTTTCTCACAATTGAGACCGACATGAACTTTGTTATCTGCTAATAATCCAGTGGAAAGTTTTCAGTCTTTAGGCAAGCACACCTCCTCAGCAGCACTTGACTTTGGCCCACTCGCTCATAGAAACCCCGTCTTTCGTTGGGGCCTGTGTCCTCTTTTCCTCATGTTTCCATCCACTTGTCTTGCTGTTCTGTAGGGTCCTTTATTGCCTCTGTCTTAGTCACCTGGCCACTGAACGTGGAATGTCTGTGGCTCCTAGTCTTAGGCCCTCTTGTCTTCTGCTCTGCTCCCTGAACAGTCTCATCCCCATCTGAGACTTCCATTGACATCTCAGTGCCGTGATTCATACATTTAAATCTTCATCCCACATCTCTGAGTGCCAAACATGTGAATTGGAGTGTCAGCCAGGTATATCCATTTGACTGTTATGAGTATAATTTGGCTGATTCTAATGTGAGTTTCCTCCTCTAGCCATCTTCCCAAACCTAGTCCTCTTTTGGAAGTCTCCATCCCAGCACAGGGACCTCTGTTTGTTTGTTTGGGAAGATCAGGAACCAAGCAGTGTCTGTGATGCCTCTTCTCCTTGCTGCCCACATCTGTGTCATATCAAGTCCTGTTGACTTACTGTCTAAACACCTCTCACCTTCATTCACTTCTTCTCACCTGCTTAGCTGCTTGTTAAATACACACAAGCCAGACTTCTCATATCTGCACAGCCTCTCTTTTCCCCACTCTGCTCAATTCTGTTCTCTTCATTGAAGCAGGTGGCTTCCTTTGCTTAAAACCTCTGTGACTTCACATTACTGTTAGGATGAGGATAAAAGCTCTAATCATGGCCTATGAGGGTCCATGATCGCGTCCTGGCCTGTTCTCAGCTTCCTCTCATTCCACACTTGTTTTAATACTTGCTCCCCAGGCCCCTGCCATGTGTGGGTCTTCTTCACACTGCTCACATGTTCCATGCCCCCCTCTAACCACAAGGCCTTTGCACGTGCTTTTCCCCCCTGTTTGGCAGAGCTGCCCTTCCTTTTTAGCTGCCTTTTTAGGGATGCTGGAGGGGAGGAGGGAAGTGCTCACTTTGTAAAGCATTCATTTGTAAAACTGCCATGACTGTCATTGGCTGACAGCTGAGTCTTTTCCCCATGGATTGTCCTAAACTGAAGGGAGCTACTGCATATCAGTTTATGACTGGTTGATGTAAGGGTACAAAGTCCCAGGCTTCTTGCCTTGTCGGGGACATTTCTGCCAAGTTTGCTCAGCTCCAGAGTTCTTGTGGGCTTGGCTGAGGCCTCTGTTGCCACTTTTCCCTTTGCTTGATGCAGTTTCCCTCACCGAGGAGATGTTCCTGAGGATGCCGTCCACTGCACCCCTGTGCTCAGATCTACAGCTCAGAGCTTCTTTCCCAGGTGTTTGAGCTGTAGAACTCCCATTCATTCTTTAGGTCTCGGTTGGCACTTCACATCCTTAGGGCATCTTCCTTGACTTGCCTGAAACTGCACATTCATTAGTGTCATTAATTAATGCATGCCTCCCTCACTAAACTTTAAGCTCCCTGAAAGCAGGAGTTCACCAAACACCCAGCTGTAGGCATGGCACTTGGCAGAAGAAGGAGCTCGATGAATACAGCTGATTCTCGATATGCGTGGTAGCTAAGTCTATTCTGTAGTGTCACTGTGAACATTCACTTAGCAAATACTGAACCATTGCTCCTGGGAAATAAAAGGGTTTAGGGTCTTTTGAGCTTCTGGCCACAACATTTTTGTCAACGGATCCAATACATAACTTTGTTTTATGTGTGTTTCTGTTTAAAGACTGCTTAATTCATCAACATTGAACTCATAGCCGACACTGCTGTAACTCATGTCTGTGCAAGGCTTGTGCATTTTCTCCATAAGGCACAGCTCAGCCTTCTTGTGGTCAGGGCCAGCACTTCATTACTATCCTTGGGGGCCATTTTAAGCAGTGAAATCAGCAGCAAACAGTATAAAAATGCAAAAACCGTGGCACTAAAGAGATTGCAAGGAGGCTACTAGTTTGCAATATGAGAGCTGAAACAGAAGGCAGAACCTGAGGCCGGGCACGGTGGCTCATGCCTGTCATCCCAGCACTTGTGGAGACCGAGGCGGGCGGATCACCTGAGGTCAGGAGTTTGAGACCAGCCTGGCCAACATGGTGAAACCCCATCTCTACTAAAAATATAAAAATTAGCTGTGTGTGTGGCAGGCTCCTGTAATCCCAGCTACTCAGGAGGCTGAGGAAGGAGAATTGCTTGAACCTGGGAGGCAGATGTTGAAGTGAGCTGAGATCAAGTGATGGCACTCCAGCCTGGGTGACAGAGTAAGACTCTATCTCAAAAAAGGAAGGCAGAGGATGGCCTTGTTTGACTGCAGCTGGGAACGTGCCTGCGGGGCGGCTGTTTTTTCACTGTCATATGCATGTCTGCAAATGACCATCAAAGTGCTGAGAGTGTTGATTTTGGGGTTAGAAATACATTTGGTTAGTAGGCAAATTTGCAAATATGAAATCTGTGGATTATGAGGATCAACAGTATTTAATGTGATAATTGACAATATTTGTTAAATGTGATAAATGATTTAAAATGGCCACAAATGATTTGTCTTCTCCTAGCACAGCCTTTGGGTAGTGACCTCCTGTACTGACTCTGAACTGGCCTCAGGACTTGCTCTGGCCAATGGGCCAACAGCAGACCTAAAGCAAGCAGAGGCCTGGAAACTACATTGAGACTGTCCTCTTGGTGTTCTCTAGAGTCCTGAGGCAACACCACGTGAGAGAACCCCGGTGTGCCTGATGCATGTTGACATGTGGCCAAATGCATGCCCATCCTGTTGCCCCATCTGACATTGAGCCAACTTCTAGAGATATGAATGAGGCCAGCCTGGATCACTCACCCCATATGAGCTGGCCTGGATTAGAAGAACCACCATCAACCCATAGAACCAAGAGAAATAAAGTATGTGGAACAAGCTCCTCTAACCTACTCAGTTTGGGATGATGGTTACTCATCAGTAGAGAACTTGCTTCTTGCCAATTAGGTGAGAACCTGGGCAATCAAGGAAGGACAGAAGTGTGTGTAAGTGTGTGGGTTGGCTTATAGAAATAGTTAGAAGGCCCTAAGTTTATTCAACCAAGGCACTTTAACTTATTAAGTAGAGTCCTGACCTTCTCCACTTCTAAGCAAAGAGGAGAGAGTGAAGCAAAGTGGATACAGGAGGAAATGATGCTTGCTGGCTTGGGGAGAATAAGGATATCTTTGGTGGACATTTAAGCCACTAGACCAGTCCATATGGAGTCTTGAGTCAAGTGTAAAAGTGAGATATAGAATGGTGCTTTCTACACTGTTGTTGTTGTTTTTTTTTTTTAATCTGCTCATCTGTAGACTGACAAATCTCCTTCTACAACAGGCTGCTTGCTGACACCTTTGCCTCTGATGTTCATAGTCTTCATGTTTAGATTTCTTAATGGCATGCTTAAAAGTACTTTCAAAATCCCCGAATATCATTTATCTCAGGCAGCAGAACATCTTCAGGAGAAAGAAATCTTTGCCTCAAAAATCAGAGTAGCAATTAAAAGCACAGAGGTCTATGAGGGTAAAAGCAAATTGAATTGGGAACAGGATGTACGACAAACTTTTCAAAAAACCAAGAACTAGTCATTCAGTAAACCAACGAAATTATTTTTTAAAGCAAGCCCTTTCAAATGCTTCCACTGTATTTATTTTTTTTAATGCTTCAGTGACTAAAAATGGCAAAAAACATTTTATGTAAAAAGAAATCACTTGTATGTAAAGTTGCAGCTGCTTCTTATAGGTATACAAATGAATAAAAGCCTGGGTACATGCTGGGTTTTCTGTTTTTTTTTAATGGAAATCTTGATGCGTTCTTCAGTGTTGACTTGAGAATCGTTCATTCAGTGGTATTTTGGAGTTTCCACTGGATTGACGACAAGAAGTGAAATACTGAGAAGACGTCCATATCCTGGTTGTATCTCGTTAGATGCAGTCGATTGCCTCTTATGCTTTTGAGAATTGTGACTCTCTTGATGAAGCTAGAAAATAAAAATTATGATGATGATAATGACAATAATTAGTAAATTTCTAATAAATGATTGTTCAATATTATTTGGGGTACCTTTTCCATCCCCCACAACTTCATGTTAAAAATAACCACCTTTTCCTAATGTTCAAAAATAGAAAAAATTACTTGAAAATTCCTAAGAGAAGATACCAGAAAATAGTCTTCAATTAACTAGTTTTTGATGACTCAGGAAAACACAAAAGAAGTTTATTGTGTATCCTGCAGACAGGAATGATACTTTTATAAAAAATAGCAAGTAATCACTTATTTTTTTAGGGCCCCATCCAGGCTTGTTTATTTTTGTTTGAAGCCAATAAGGCCATCTCTGGAGGCAGCCTTCGTGGAGCTTAAAGACCATACATTGGCTTGAGAACTAGATAGAGTCAAGATTAGAACTTTATCTCTGGGCCCCTTCCCTGAGGAGGGATGGTCTGGGTAGAGTGGGCTCAAGAGGAGGTTGCAAGAGAGATTTTCCCTGTGATCTGACAAAAAGGAAGTCAAGCTGTTGCTGTTTGCTGATGACATGATCATATACCCAGAAAACCCTGAAGACTCATCCATAAAGCTTCTAGAACTGGTAAATGAATTCAGCAAAGTTTCAGGGTGCAAAAATAAATGTACACAAATCAGTAGCTCTGCTATACACAAACAGCGACCAAGCTTAGAATCAAATCAAGAACTCGACATCTTTACAATAGCTGCAAATAAAGTAAAATAAAATAAACTTAGGAATATGCCTAACCAAGGAGGTGAAAGACCTCTACAAGTAAAACTACAAAACATTGCTGAAAAAAATTATAGACGACAAGAACACATAGAAACACATCCCATGCTCATGGATGGTAGAATCAACATTGTGAAAATGACCATGCAGCCAAAAGCAATCTACAAATTCAATGCAATTCCCATCAAAATACCACCATCATTCTTCACAAAATGGAAAAAAAGATCCTAAAATTTATATGGAACCAAAAAAGAGCCCACACAGTCAAAGCAAGACTAAGCAAAAAGAACAAATCTGGAAGCATCGCAGTCTTAGGCAGTTCTGAACTAAGAGGGGCAGTGCTCCCCAGGTGACATTTAACAATGCCTGAAGACATTTTTAATTATCACAATTGGGGAAGGTGCTATTTGGCATCCTGGAGGCCAGGAATGATGATAATTACCTGACAATGCCCAGAACAACCCCCAGTAATTCTCACAAATTATTTGGTCCCCACACTCCAGTGAGACTGTGTTTGGAATTGCTATAAAGGGTCTCATGTTTAGAAAAGATGTGGACATGCTGGGGGTGTTTGTGAAGCATAGTGTGGATATAGGCCCACCCTCAGGGCAATTTGTCAGAAACAGAATCACAGAGAAAGTCAGAAGAACCAAGGATAGAACTCAGGTCCTCAAACAAGAGCAAGTGACACAGGGAACTAAACTCCCAGTTCTTGTATATGGTTTCCACTGGACGAACCCTTGAGTTTTTGCAATAGACATGGCTCCAACAAGGACTTCCAAAGGATAAGTGGGGACATGGCTGTGCCATACAGTGGTGAAAGGACTAGGACCTAGAGACCCAAAATTCTAGTTTTAATCCTCCTGTGGTGTGACCTTGGCCCTGTCACTAACCTCTTGGAGTGAGATTCTTGATTAAATGAGAGCATCTGCACTGTCTCTTAGGTTCTTTCCATTTGGAAATTCTAAGGCTCTTAATAAGTGCACTAATTTCCTGCCTTGTCAGGAAATGATTTTAGGTGGCTGGTCCTCTTATGTGCATTTCCTTTTTCCAGAGTTGCTCAGCACCTAAGAAGAGTTTCTAAACTGTTTCCAACAAATGCTTCTCAAAGAATTTTTTCATTGTGTCTTCTCAGACATGTTGGGAGAGAAGAAGTGTTAGTTCCATCTCGCGGTGAGCAGACTGAGAATCAGAGCACAAGTTCACAGAGCTTCTGAGTGGTTGCGATGCGTAACCCCACATGGGTTCTTCCAAGCAGGATGCATTCAGTGGTCCTCACTGAACTACCTGGGAAGTAGAAGCATTAGATCATCATTTGTTGCCCCATGTACACCTGTATTGGACAATTGCTGCAAAACATAGTACTAAACTTGTTCATGTTTAGGGAATGGTGAATCTGAGAGTGAATCCCCCAAAGGTGAAAGGTTAAGCGGACCATTTGGAGTTAGGCAATATTATTACAGTGTCCCTTGCACGACGGCATTGTCTCAAATCAGTGTGCACAGAAGCTTTGTTTCCAGGCTGTCTGCAGAGGATGTCGTCCGAGGGAATCCTCCTCAGGATGTCCAGCTGGCTCGTTAGCTGAGCGTGTGTCAAGGGGAGCATTTGACTGCTGCCTGCAGCCTTCACACCAGATGTCAGGATGAGCAGAGACAGTGATGGAGACAGCCTTGGTGGGTCATGACAGCCCCCTAATTCAATGGTGCAGAATTAGACAGTGTGGCAGCAAAGAGCTCAGCCTATTCAGGCCTGGAAACAGGATGCAGAAAGGACAGGAGCTGGTTTGGGCACCTGTGGCTTTTTGGAAATGATTTCTCACTTTCCAGCTAATCCGGCTAAAATGTGGGCTGAGAGCATTTCCAACGATGAGGATGGGGACTTTTTATCATGCCTACAGCAAGTTTTCTGTCCTTTTGCTGTTTTGCCCAGCAATTCTGCCTCTGAGTTGGCATATGTGGCTCTGTAATGGGCTGCGGTTTCCTCCAGGGCAAGGACTTTATATTTGTCTTAATTTTATCAACAGCCGGAACAGTGCCTGGCAGGTACAAGGCATCCCAAACTTGCAGTAACAGAGGGGGTAAGTCCCTCTGTTATAATGGACATTGAATAAGCCTCACCATGTACCAGACGTTGTTCTAAGTACTTAGCATGGAGTCATTCATTCAGTTCTTAGAGCAGCCCACAGAAGTTTGAAGTTTGTTATTACCAACTTACAGATGAGGCAACTGAAGCGCTGAAAGATTAAGAGACCTGTCCACTGTCCAGGGTGTTGGAGCCAAGATTTGAATGCGGAGCTCCTGAAAGAAAACCAGCACATTGTAAGGAGTTCTGTGTTTCCTTAGCTCCTGGGAAGTCAAGATGTCTAACCTCCACCTGGCTGACTCTGCCTCAATCTTCTTCCCCAGCCCCAAGTCCCACTCTCAACTCCATTTTATGACAGTTGGAGAACTTGATGACTCCTCCAGATCCTGACCCATCCCCAGCTGGAAGAGCTTGCTCCTATTGTATAGATAACGGAGGAAAGTGAGGAGGATATGGGTGTGTGCTCCTGCCTGTGATACACCAGCTTCCACACCTTTCCTGGAATTCCCTCCTCCACTTTTGATCTTCCTCAACACTAGACATCTCCTGCCCTCAGGACCTTCAGCCATCTATAACGTCCTCTCTTTTTGCAGTTGAAACCCCTCTCATGAAAGCTTTCAGCAGCTGAGCACATACAAATTATTCCCATCTCCCAAATAAACAAGCTGGGAACCTCCATTCCTTTGCCTGCCTGCTGCTGCATTCATTATGTCTCTGGCATCCCCATTAGAAGCCAGACTTCCAAAGAATGGCCTCACTCACTCACTCTCCTGACTCCCTCCCATACATTCCATGCCCCCTGCAGGAGTTCCTTTTTCTACGTTTCACTTATTTGCTTATCGATTGCTGGTCTCCTTTTACTAGAATATGAGCACCATGGTTAGACATTTGTCTTACTCCCCACCACCCCATCTTCAGTGCCTAGAGCAGTGTAGACACTTAGCAAATATGTTTTGAAATAAATATATCATGGACAGTATTTAATTGCTGAAGTCAAGAGGACCCATCTGACATCTGGGTCCCTCTTGGGATCAAAAAGTGGTCTTCTCCAGGACTCCGGGAAATTGTAGCACCTGGATTTTCCAGTTTTGCAGAACTGCCCCGCTTTCTGCCTTTTCCTTCTTTAAATCACCTACACATGTGGCATTTGGCATTGCCTAAGCTCTTAGACCCAATCATGATTCAGGTATTCGGCAAGGTAGCTGAAGGGTCTGGAAACAATGTCTGTGTCTTCTGCCAGTGTCAGCTTCACTTCCACTGAGTTTCACGCTGGGGGAAACCAGCTGTGAAGCAACCTTGGGAATTGAAGGTGTCATGCATTAAACTGTGTCCCCTCTGAGAGGTATGTGCAAGTCCTAATGCCTGGCACCTGTGAATGTGACCTTATTTGGAAGTGGGGTTGGCCGGGGTGGGGGTTGGGGGATTCTTGCAGTTGTAATGAAGTTAAGAGGAGATGATGCTGGATTAGGGTGAGTCCTAATTCAGTGACTGTGTCCTCATTAGAAGAGGGAAATGTGGGTGCAGAGACGTAGAGTCACACAGGGAGAACATGGTACGATGACAGAGGCAGAGATCCAAGTAATGTGTCGAGAGGCCAAGGAGCGCCCAGGATGGCTAGCCACCCCCCAGAAGCTGGGTGTACCTGGAGCAGATTCTTTTCTAGAGTCCTCAGCGGGAGCACGGCCCTATCAATGCCTGGGTGTTGGACTTCTGGCCTCCAGACTGTGAGAGGACATGTTTTTGTTGTTTTAGGCCACCCAGCTTGTGCCACTTTTCTTAAGGCAGCTCTAGTAAACTAACACACAAGGCAAACAGTCTCAGAGTGTTCCTCTCCCTTCAGCCAGTCCTTGCAGCTCAGGAAATTCGTGACTGAAATAAATCCAGGCACAAACTGGCCAGCTCAGCACTGCCAGACAAAGGGTGTCAGTGCAGTGAGGCGGCTAATTCTTCACGCCCGCAGAGAGGGATGTGATAGGAGGTGGCTCTGGGAGCCATGGGCCCAAGCCCTGCAGGACAGACCCCTCAGAGGCCGCCGGTTCGGGAACTCTGAGATGCCCAGGACCCAGGCAAGTGGGGACCTGAGCCAGCTTCCAGATTAGACAAAACCACCTGAAAATCATGAGCTGACTTGAGAGATGGCCCCAAAGTGAACCAGAACATCAGAGTTCTTTGCTTCAGCCGAGGCTAGGAAGCCGGTGATAGCATTTCCTCACTTTGTGTGCTAGATTCTTGAAGCCTCTATGTGCCCTTTCAAAGGAAAGCCTACTTGTAATGACTTACTGAATATTCATCTTTGTCATTAAACTTTAAGTTTTGTGAGGAAAAAGACTGTTTCTCTCTTTTCCAGTACTATGTACTCAGCACCCACTACACAGTAAGTGCTCCAGAATGTACGTGTAATTGGATTGAATCAATCAGAAGTGTTTGTTCACAATGATGTATCCTTAGGTAACTGTAAAAGGAGTCTAGTTACTGCTTACAAATGTGCTTGCCTTAGTACATTAAAGAAAAATTTAAGGAGTCCTTAGGTGCTAAAAAAATGTAGGGAAAAAGTAACCTAAAAACAAAACTCAAAATCCACACAACTATCCAATACACAGAGTAAACTCTAATGTAAACGGTGGATTTTAGTGAATAATAATGTGTTATTATTGATTCATCAATTGTAATAAATGTACCACACTAGTGCAAGGTGGTAATAATAGGGGAAATTGAGGGGGAGAAGGGAAGAGATGGAGTGGATGGAACCCACTATACTTCTATACTTTCTGCTCAATTCTTCTTCTTCTTCTTTTTTTTTTTTTGTTTTGAGACAGAGTCTCGCTGTCGCCCAGGCTGGAGTCGAGTGGCGTGATCTCGGCTTACTGGAAGCTCCGCCTCCCGAGTTCACACCATTCTCCAGCCTCAGCCTCCCCAGTAGCTGGGACTACAGGCGCCCATCACCACGCCTGGCTAACTTTTTGTATTTTTAGTAGAGATGGGGTTTCACCATGTTAGCCAGGATGGTCTCAATTTCCTGACCTTGTGATCCACCTGCCTTGGCCTCCCAAAGTGCTGGGATTCTAGGCTTCAGCCACTGTGCTTGGCCAATTCTTCTATAAACATAAAATTGCTCTAAAAAATAAAGTCTATTGGTTAAAAAAAAAAATCTAAACACCCAAAAGATAATCTCATTTTCTTGTTTTCTGAAGACCTGCGCTTAACGTCTAGGATTAATAGCAAGACATCCTCCATATGCCCGTGAAAGCCCCCCAGATAGATGAGTGTATGTGACCTTGGTTAGAGAGGGTGTTTTTGGGATGACTGTTGAATTTCATGCCCCATTGGACAGCTTCAGTGACACAAATTTTTCCCCATATTCATTCCATAGATGAGTTTTTACACGTGGAGGCCCAAGTACCAAAGGATCCAGATGAAATTAATCACAAATTACATAATCAATGCCCCAAATCTTGTGTTATTTCTGACATGTATACCTTCTGCTTTGATGGTGGAGACAAAGACAAAACCTGCTGCAGAATTTCAAGATCTTCTTGACAAAGCCTCTCGCAGCCTTTGTATCCAGCTACTTAAATCTTTATTTCCACTGGAAAGTAATGTTCTGGCCAATACCATGGTCTATATTTTTATTCCTATCTCAGCCTTTTAGGAGAAATCTCAAAACTTAGTCTGGCAAACATAAGCTGATTAATAGGTTGTTTGTGGCATGAGAGTGTTCACAGGCACCCTGTTCCTAAAAGTCCATCTGGGAGGAAACTCTAAATGCAAGCAGTGGAGTTTGTTTCTTCTGGGGCCATTTTTAGATTTTTGAGATGGAAAATCAGGTAATGAGTCAAATACTGAAGAACTAACCAGTTAATGATAGGAATGCATTAAAATATTCTATGTTTATTGTGCATTTGTTCATTTTTTTCTGTAATTCTGTTTTTGCTTTGTCTTTGAGGCTATATTATCAGGTGTATGCTAGTATAAGGCAGATGCAAGGAAAACATTCCTTGAATCATGTCATAAAACTCTTTATCATTAACAATGTTTTTTGTTATATTAGAGTCTGATATATTTAGTCTGACATTAATATTGTTACACTGCTTACTGTTAGCTAATATTTGTCTATTATATGAACATGACAATACATATATTCCCTTTGCTTTTGATAATTCTGGTCTAATTTTATGAATTTTCTATTCCAATATGTATCTGTCTTTTTTAACTAGTTAAAGTTTATTTACCATTATGACTACCAATATGTTTCAATTTATATATGCTATCTTACTTTGTTGTTGCTATTTACCATACTTGTTTCTTGTTGTTTTCACCCATACTCTTTCATTGGAACTGGTTTTCTTCTTTCCTTTTTCCATCCTACTAATTTGGAAATTAGTACTGTATTTGAACTATATTAGTATCCTATTGGATGTTAATACTCTATTATTGTGGACACTCTATTATTTTAACACTCTATTATTACACTTTACTGTTAATATGGTGTGATGGTTAATTTTATGTGTCATCTTGCTGGACTAAGGGAGGCCCATAAAGCTGGAATAACAAGATGAGAAAGGCCGGGTTGTGGATGCACTTGGTGATGAAAGTCAAACTGAGCTGTATAGAAGTTTAACAAAAGAGAGAAGGGGGAGGATGGAGGGAGACTGAGCAGACTGCTTTGGGAGGAGTTGTATCAGATAAAAGGCTAAAAGGCTCTGGAGAATGTTGGAGGTGAGAACTAGGAGAGGAAAAACGGTCAGGAAGTTTCTGGTCAATGCTAGATGTCCTTCAAGGAAAAGGAGTAAAGGCTAGGATTCCTCCAGGTCACTTGTTGGTTCTTTAATTGTTGGCTTATTTTTTTTTTTAACATACTTCTCTGGGACTGAAATGCACATTTTGTACCTTCGGGACCGCTTGGGGGTATGTGAGACCTTGGGCAATAATTGTGTCTATATAAACAATTTGATTTTAAAATGTATTATAGAATTTATGGGTCCATATGAGATATAGCAATTTACTGATGAATACGTAGAACAGTGGGCAGAGAACATAAATTTATTTACTGTCCAATCAATACATTTGCAGAGTTCAGGCACCATTAATTCCGGAAACCACCTCTTCATGTTCTTTATTATCCCATATGCCATTCCTGGCTAATTTCATATCTTCTACCATGAGCAAAAGGTAGCAACACTGCTTTTACTCCCAATGTGATGGCTTTCTGTAACCTATTTATATTGAAACAACACAGTTCATCTTGCTCTACAAATCCCAAGGCCATTTATTTAATGCTAGTTCTGTCATTATTCATCAGCTGCATCATGCTTCATGTTGCCTTTGAATACTGGTTTCTGGTGATTCTCTCAAAGGTTGTGCTTCATTGATGATGACCATAAATGCAGTCTTATCAAGAGGATGCAGGAGAATGGGAACCATGAGTCGTTTTCTGGTCATACTAAATCTACCATTCAGAATTTTGTTGTTTCAACATAGGACATGTAGACGTGTGGACTTACGAACTTTTGAGGCTGTAATCACAGTGCTCCCAGCACGTGACCTCTTTTGATGATGGCAGCCGGCCTTCCACACAGTGGGAAGCACAGGGGAGGATGACAAGGGCCCATGGATAGAGAAAGAAGAGTAATCTGTTTGTGCAAAGAGTATCTTCTTCTCTTCCACCATGACATTAACATAGGAGAGCAGGACATCAGCACATGGACAGAGGCAGGAGAGGACGTCGATTAAAAAGCCATCTGACATTGTAGAGCCCTCAGAGGAGATAGGCATGGTCAATCCCACTATCCATGGAGCCTTCAGAGGAGGTGAGTAGCCCCCCTGAGTATCAGCAGCAGACTAAGAGGAACACAGGATAAAGGACACCTGCCACCATCCAGTTGCCCTTGGGTGTTATATCCTGCAGGTGGCACTGCTGTCAGAACATGGCAAAAGCCAATACCGGTGCCCACCCAACAGACCCAAGGATTGACAATGATCTGTCAACAGACAAAGCCCCAAACTCAGCGTGTGTCTGGCATGAGTAATAGTCATCCTAAACTCCACCTGGCAGCAGCATTTTAGTGGTGCAATCTCACATAATTCCGTGAGATAAAACCCATGCCAGCCAATGGGAGCCTGTTGCTTGCTAGGTCATCCTCCTAGAACTGGGGCTCGGCCAGGGGGGCCCAGGATGACCCCATAGGCATTGTTCTAGAGCTCCCTGGGGCATCTGTTTGACTCCATACATGGGGTAAACAGCCTAAGAGTGCCCCAGATGGAAGAAATGGAGGCCAAGTTCCATTTTAAAGAAGATACTCCAAAGTATGGGGGCACTCTGTGCAGTTCCACTGACTTCATCCTGAGGGTATGCATGCTGCCTGTCTTCAATAAGATTATAAATGCAAGTCTTTATGGTGACCCTCTTCCCTTTGACTTGACCCAGACTCCTCCGTTCCACCATCTTTCTTTTCCTCAAATTTGCCATCCTGTTTCATGCCCCTGCATTGTAAATATGACAAGTGAATTTTCTTCTTCCAGAAAACATTTTCCCCTCTTCCTCTTTTGGTAGATACTTTATTCCTCAACATCCAGCATATGTATTACCTCCTTCGCCAAGCTTTCTAAAAACCTTTCCATCTACCCATTCCCCTACCCATCAGAGTATCTGTTCTTTGGCTTATCTAGCCAAGGAAAACTCTTTGGTGAGCACCTATTCTGTGCCAAACACTGTTCCAGGCATTGTGGCAACAACAGTGAACAAATCAGACCTCACAAAGCCAACCAGGCTCCCTCTGGACACTATATATTGCTATTTCCACTTACCCTGTTGTATTGAAATAATCTGTCAGCAAACTTTTTCTGTAAAGGGCCAGATAGTAAATATTGTAGACTTTGCAGGACATATGTTCTCTGTTCCAACTACTTAGCTCTGCGGTTGTAGCACAAAAGCAGCCATAGACAATATGCAGACAAATGCATGTGACTGTGTTCCAATAAAACTTTATTTACAAAAACAGATGGTGAGCTGGATTTTTCCTGCTAGCCCTAGTTTGCTGACCCCTGCAATAGAATGAGAACAGCTCTTTTGAATTATTTTTTCTTAATTTGTTTTTCACTGGTATATCCTTAGAATAGTGCTCAGAAGGCTTAGAATAGTGCTTTGTAGATAGAAGGTCCTTGGTATGGATTTGCTGAACAAGAGACATGAATGGATGTCATCCATGAAACAAGAAGTTCCTGAAAGGTAGGGCCTTATGCACACGGTGATCAGATTGGAGAACGTGTTAGGTGAATGCCTGTTGAATAGATGGAGGAATGATTGGAAAGCCTCTTGCTTGCGCCCTTCCTCTTCTGCAGTGCCTCTGGTGGCTGAAGGCAGGAACTGGGAAGGTCCAAGCCAGCCTGATTATCCTGTCCTGGTTGCAGCTGCCTCCTCTCCTCGGCAGCTCCTCTGATGAGGAACCAGCATCAGAACTCCAGGCAGCCTTGCCCACACTGGCGCCTGCCCCCGACTCAGCCACAGCCTGCTGCAGTCTTGTAAGGCAGCAGCTCCTTTCTAGGGAACCTGACAGCGGAAATGGCCATTAAAGTTAAACATGACTAACTGTCAGAGGGAAGTAGTGACAACAGGAGCCCCAACCGCCACCATCAAGCCATCTGTCAACACTGGCCTGTTGGGTTTCTCAGGGTGCGCCTTCCTAAGTGAGGGTCAGCGGATTGGCTCAGACAGGCAGGGCTCTGGCATTTGGCGGGGCCTGTCAGCTGAAATGCAGAGGTGAGGCTGTTGTCACTTTGGAAATTGGGGCATGACAAGTGCAGGCAGATAAACACAAGAGGAGGAAGAGAGGGTGGGGGTGCTAGGCTGGGGGACAGGATGGTGTAGCTGGCCAGAGGGACCCTCGGCTGCTGGGGCCGCACGGAGAAAGGAAGTAGCTCTTCATCTGTTTCATGTCAACTTCGCTGTCATTGGATAGTCGGTAAGATTTCAAACAGATAAACGCCCCTTTGGGAAGCTGGAATGCCTTGGCAGACAATTTTAGGCCTTGATCTGATTGATAAATCCTTTGTGACAAGAGGGGATGAGAGAGGCCTCCGGTTTGGTACATATAAATAGGAAATTAGCTGGCAAAGTTGTCAAAGATAATTAACTTTCCGATTCTGCGGGTCTATTCAGGTTGACATCCTGAAATTATTTAGAAATGCACATGTCAACGCTCTGACAGAATTTGGGGCTGATCACATAAACAGATTTGGAGATGCTTGATTGTAAAATGATGTAAGCGCTTAGCTGGTGTTTTATCGCTGTGTGCTTCTGTGAGCTGTAGTGGAAGTTGCAGGGAGAAGGGTTTTGTTATGGGGGGATGGGAGGGTGGGGATAGGGAGATTGAAATGAATGTGCAAGACACAACACATTTGCTTTCTTCCTTCTTTTAATCATTTGAGAAATTCCGAACCCTGAATTTAACTGAAATTAACCTTGGATTCAAACCCGGGACTGTCCCTCAAGTCTCACCCTCCAGTACGAAGGGAAGCATTCTGAGGGACTCAGCAGCAGATGCCTTCTCTCTGTCCAGCCCAGTTTCATTAAGGCCAGTGCAGTGTGCAAAATTGGTGAGAGCCGCTGCTGTTCCTGATGCATCGTTTCTTTGGGTAAATCACCAGGCCTGGTGCTCTATTAAGAGGGGAGAAAGCCGCCTTGGGCATTTACATCTTGTTACTAGGAATTGTCTCTTTAAAAAGCCAGACTCTTCCATGAAGAAACATCCTTTCTCCAGGGTAGATTACAAGGGATGAAAACCCACATTGACTGAGTCGCAGAGGCCACTATGGACACTGCGTTGTGTGATTTGCTCATTTTAATCTCCATAATTTTCATATGAGGTATGTGTTTCTCATTTGGCTAATGAGAAAACAGATACTTAAAGAGTTTAAATGAGCTGGTGAAGGTAATCCAGCCATTTAAGGGGAGAAATTTAAGAGGCAAGTCCTTGCCTCCAAACTGCTCATAGTCTAGTAAGAGACTCGCCCATCACCTGAAGTTGATTTCAAAGGAACATCTTTGCTGTAGTTGTTAAAAATAAAGTTAACTAACATATTAAGAGCAGGATCAGCCTCAAACTCTTTCCTAAATAAGGCAGTTAGGGGCTTGTTATACTGCAAAGCTATGTCCTAAATGAGATCCCTTCTTCATATCAGTTTCTGGGGGTGTTTGCTGGCATCTTCCAGGACTAGCCACAGAGCATAAGGAAACTGAATACAAGGTTCAGAGGCACATTCCCTAGAGCTTAGGTTTAACTGTCTCCGCTTTCCCCCACTTCCCAACATCTTATTCTTTTTCACATGATCATAGACTCTTGGATAAAAGGGAGTTTGGAAGTCACCTAGTCTAGGGGTCAGCAACCCATGACCCATGGGCTGAATCCATTCCGTTACCTGTTTTTGAGTGGCCCACAGGGCAAGAATGTTTTCATATTTTTAAGTGGGAAAAAATCAAAAGAAAAACGTTTCATGACATGTGAAAACTAGCATTCAAATTTGAATTTTCATAAAGTTTTATTGGAACACAGCTTTGCTTGTTCGTTCATGTACTCTCTCGGGCTGCTTTTGTGCTACTGTTGAAGAGCTGTGTAGCTGTGACACACTCTATGGCCTTCAAAGCTGAAGACATTTACTCTTTTGTCCTTCAGAGGAAACCTTTGTTGACTCCTGGTTTAATTCTGTGTTTCAGTGAGAGCTTATTGAGCTTGGATTGTGACGAACATTGGGAAAAACTCTGTCAACCAGTATTATCTAATGTTTGCCATCAACGACTCAAAGTGGGTACTATTAGCTATCCTTTTAAACAGGTGAGGAAACTGCGATTCAGAGGGGTTCGGGAAGCTGGTTGGCTAACAGTTGAGCCAGGATTCATAACCCAGCCTGCCTGATTTCACACACAAGTCACATGCTCCAAATGCCCTCACTACGTTGCTATTTTACTATATTCCATGTTACCTGGATGTGGCTTTTCTGGTCTAGGTGCTCAGGACATAGTGGTGATTACCACTGTAATGGGAAGAAGAGCACCAACAAAGGTATCTATGCTTTAATCCCCAGAACCTGTGAATATGTACCTCAGTGCCAAAAGGGACTTTGTAGACATGACTAAGGGCTTCTTTTTTTAAAAAAAATTTTTTTAATTTATTTTTGGACAGTCTTGCTCTGTCACCCAGGCTGGAGTGCAGCAGCATGATTTTTGGCTCACTGCAAACTCTGCCTCCTAGGTTCAAGAGATTCTCCTGCCTCAGCCTCCAAGTAGCTGTGATTACAGGCACGTGCCACTACACCCGGTTAGTTTTTGTATTTTTAGTAGAGATGGGGTTTCGCCATGTTGGCCAGGCTGGCCTTGAACTCCTGACCTCAAGTGATCCACCTGCCTCGACCTCCCTACTTGCCAGGATTATAGGTATGAGCCACTGCGGCTGGCCTAAGGGTCTTGAAATGGGAAGATGATTCTAGGTTTTTCAGAGGGACCCAAGGATAGGGTCCTTCTAAGAGAGAGGAAAGAAGTTCAAAAGAGAAAGAGATGGAATGATGGAAGCAGATATTGGAGTGTTACGGGGCCACAAGCCAAGGAATGTTCTTGGTGTCTAGAAACTGGAAAAGACAAGGAAATTGATTTTTCTCCAGCCTCTAGAACTGCAAGAGACTAAATTAGTGTTGCTTTAAGCCACCAAGTTTGTGATAATATGTTCTACAGTAGCCATTGGAAATAAATACACCAGTCCTTGCCTTCAAACTTCTCATAGTGTAGTAAGTCTCATTTGCCACCTGAAGTAGATTTCAGAGGAATATCTTTGCTGTAAGTGTTAAAAATAAAGTTAAGGAACATATTAACACCAGGATCAGCTTCGAACCCCTAAATAAGGGGCTTAGGGGCTTGTAATACTGCAGAGCCATTCCAGTTTCTGGAGCTGGATGCTGGCATCTTCCAGGACCAGCCATAGACCATAAGGAAACGGAATACAAAGAGGCAAATTTCCTCCAAAGTTGTGCTCCAACTTTCAAAACTTGCACATATCTTGGGTTAAACTCAGGCTTCCTGGCACGTAGCATGCAGCTGACCTCGTGCTCCTTAGCGAGTTTGCTTTTCCTGGTTACTGAGGAGCTGGACTTTTACAAAAGGGAAATCACAGTCTTGCCTGCATTTTATTAGTATTGTGGCCATTTGCAAATTAATTTGGAAGGCAATATAATTTACCTCTTGTATAGAATTCAGTTTTGATTACTGCCTTGCCACTGAAGTGCCAGATTTCCCAAAAGCTCTTATTATAAGAAATTAAGATACCTTTCTCCCTCATCCAAATAAAATAAACATATGGCTGTGGGATACAATCGAATTAAAAAAGTATCATTTAATCCAGGGAACATAATTATTTGAATGAAACTGGAGAGGAGAAACTCAATCTAGGGTTTGAATGTTGACATGAGAATTTGAAGACTATTTTCACTCATCACTGAGTTTTAATAGCTCTTTGTAGAGAATAATTTGCAGCATAAACCATGTTCATATGATATTAGTTGTTTCAAAATCATGTTGAATCCCAAGCAAGAGCCATTCTTGGACCACTGTTGGGGGTTGGGGGAGTGTCAGTGTGTTTGAGCAGATGTCCTAGGAGTAGTATTTAACCATATATTGCTGTGACTCTTTAATGGTAAACAGAATGGTTTTGTTTTCTTGGGTCCTATTTTATTTAAGATGTCACTTGAGAAGAGAGCAGAAAAGTTAGCTGCTGTGTGTACCATGTATGTACTCCTCTCTGTATCCTTTATGTGTGTTTGCAGCATGGTTCATGGACTCGAGAAAATGGCCCTAATTTTCAGTGCTGGAATGTTTGTTTTGAGTTTAGTTGGAACAGTTAAGATTGCTGTCACGTATCCCCTTGGAGCTTAGCACTTGGTGTACAACCTGTCTGCTTTCCAACTGCCAGCCTCTGCTCCTTTTTGAGTGCTTTCTCTGGCTGCCGGAGCCCACTCTGCCTGCATTTTGGAGTAAGATTGGAATGTTTAGAAATTAGTAGTCCTCAATCAAAAACTTAAGTGAGCTGGTGGATAGAAACAGACATATCTCTCCTGGAGTGGGAGTGGGGAGTGTGTGTAACCACAAGTCCTTTCTTCTCCTAGCATCTTCTAGCAAGAGCTCCAGTTTTCCCATGGTGGTTACTCATTGGCATATTCACCTTTTCCCAGTTTCCTTTTCTTCCCCATCTCATTCTTCTACTTCTTGTTGGCTTTTCCTAAACTATCTCCCAAGTAAACCACTTGCACCCACATCCTTGTTTTGTTGTCCTTTTGGAGAAAAAATCGAAACAATCACTATACAAGTTTGTTTGCTTGCTTATCCATTAAATACTTGTTGGGAGCCTGTTCTGAGCCAGTGGCAGAGAAGTAGGTAAGATCCCTCTTGGTAGGAGCATACATCCTAGTGAGCAGGCAGATGTTAAACTAGCAAACAGACATGCAAAGGACAGGTTTGGGTTGAACCTATGTGCCCTGCTGGAAATAAACAGGGTGACGGGGAAGAGGGTGGGAGAATATTTATATTGAGCAGCCATGGAGTGTCCCCCTGTGAGCTGGTGACCTTTTAGCTCAGGCTAGAAAATGAGAAGGAGCCAGACATAAAAAATCCAGGGGAACATTGAAATGTTTAAAAGAAAAAAAAATTGCATTTAGAGTGTTGAGCACAAGGGGGATGAAGGGGATTTGATATGGGAATTGAGGTAGGAAAGGGAGGCAGGATCCGAATTATCCGGTACCTTATGAGCTGTGTTAAAACTTTTTATTTTGGGGCTGGGCATGGTGGCTCACACCTGTAATCCCAGCACTTTGGGAGGCCGAGGTGGGTGGATCACGAGGTCAGGAGTTAGAGACCATACTCCACACTGGCCAGTATGGTGAAACCCCGTCTCTACTAAAAATGCAAAAAATTAGCCGGCATGGTGGCGTCTGCCTGTAGTCCCAGCTACTTTGGAGGCTGAGGCAGGAGAATTGCTTACACCCAGCAGGCGGAGTTTGCAGTGAGCTGAGATCACACTACTGCACTCCAGCCTGGGCGACAGAATGAGACTCCTTCTCCAGAAAAAAAAAAACAAAAAAACTTTAAGAGGAAACAACAACTCATGTTAAAATCCTTCTGGAGAAACCAGACCATTTGCAAGTGAATCTAACCATCTGAAATGATTGGATGTTATATCGATAGTTATTAGACTAATTATCTGTAGCTATTAGGTTAAATAATCATCATTGCTGATAATGTCTTGATTCAGGGCTGAAATAATAATACATATAGATATAACAGAGAAGGACGTAATACTGCTGTGAACTTTCTTAAGGCTACCTATTTGGCAAAATTCTTTCTGCCTCGTAACATCGCACTTTAATATTTTCGGCAGCTTGCAAAGCCAGAATAGTTTCTCATCCCTGCTTCACAAAATGAGAAAGTGGAAGTTCAAGGAGTTTGGGTTACTTACTGTCTTCATCTGTTTGTGTTGCTGTAAAGGAATTCCTAAGGCGGGGTAACTTAGGAAGAAAAAGGGTTTATTTGGCTCACAATTCTGATGTCTGGAAAAGTTCAAGTGAAGATTGGTATCTTCATTTGGTAAGGGCCTCAGGCTGCTTCCGCTCGTGGTGGAGGGCAAAGGGGAGCTGCTGTGTGCAGAGGTCATATGGTGAGAGGGGGAGGCCAGTGGCAGAGCCTGGAGGTGCCAGGCTATTTTTAACAACCAGCTCTCATGGGAACCAGTAGAGGGAAAACCCACTTATTCCCATAAGGATAACACCAAGCCATTTATGAGAGATCCATACCCATAACCCAAACACCTCCTCCACCTCCAATTCCAATGCTGGAGGTGGAGTAGGCCTCACTTCTAGCACTGGGGATTGTATTAATCTGTTCTCACCCTGCTAATAAAGACATACTGGAGACTGGGTAATTTACAAAGGAAAGAGGTTTAATGAACTCACAGTTCCACATGGCTGGGGAGGCCTCACAGTCATGACATCTTACATGGCAGCAGGCAAGAAGCTTGTGCAGGGGAACTGCCCTTTATAAAGCAATCAGATCTCATGAGACTTATTCACTATCGCAAGAATAGCATGGGAAAAACCCGCCCCCATGATTCAATTATCTCCCACTGTGTCCCTCCCATGACACATGGGATTATGGGAGCTGCAATTCAAGATGAGATTTGGGCGGAGACACAGCCAAACCATATCAGGGATCAAATTTCAATGTGAGATTTAGAGGGAACCCACATACAAACCATGGCACTTATCTAAAGCTAAGAGGGTTAGAAGAAGTTAAGTTGGGATTTGAACCTAGATCTATCTCCTGAATGAGTGATCTTCCAGTGATTAAACCTCATTCTCATTGCCATCTTTGCTTTGTTCAAAACACTGTTTAAAAGATTTAATAAGCAGTGAGTTACAATAAGAATATTCATCTGAGATCTTGATTTAGTAAAGTAAATGAGAATCATGTTATTAATTGCTATTTAACTCGCAGGTTTTCTGTTCAATAAAAATATTAACACATTTTGATTCTACTTTGTTAAGCTTAGAGTCAGGCTTTTTCTCTACTTCTATCTTTTATGCTTGATGATTACATATTTTTATGCTATGATGATTGACTGGACTTGGCATGTTCCTAGGCGAAGACCAAAAAAAGCTGGAGAAATGCTTATCTCAGTTATGGCTGCCCAACATGAGAAATGAAAAGCTTTCCTTAGCTGACTTGTACCTGTAGGATTTGTTTAATTAGAAAAAGCTTTGCCATCAAATGCAGATGGTTAAAGTGGTTTCATCTCTTAACAACACTTCTCATTTGCCAATAGAGGGAGGGAAATCGCGTGAATATAAACAGGAATATTTTTGTTACTAATACCCCCTACTATTGATAAACAGTTTAGTCCTTTTTTTTTAAGCTTGTTTAAACAAATGGCCGTATACTCCCAAAGAAAGCCTTTGGCTGGGGTGCTGAGGTGCTGTGTGGAGTAGTAGGGATGGTGGTGGGGCCCATTAGCGTCTGGGATACTTAATGGATGGATTAATATTAGTGATTCTGTTTGGATTCAGTTTAAATTTAATATTAATGTTAATTTCATTAGCTGAGTTAGATCAACTCAGCTGATTTTAGTATTTTGATTGGCATGGTCAATTAACTCATTCATTTAAAAAATAATTATTGAGTGCTGAATATGTGCCAAGCACAGAGGATGTAGCTGTGAACACATTGTAGAAGATCCCTTTTCCGATGAAGTTTCAAGCCAGAGGGAATTTCAAAGAAATCCCCAAACATCAGGTGTTACGATGATGCTGAAACAGAGCGAAGTGATAGAGACCGGGGCATAGGGTGGGGCAAGTCTTCAGAGAGGTAGGGGGCGCGGGTTGCAGCTGAAATCTGAGTGTTGAGGCTGACACCATGTAAAGATGTGGGAGAAGGGCTTTTCAGAAAAGGAGAAGAGCAGATACAAAAGTCCCGGTAGGAATAAACTTCATGTATTTAAAAAAATAAAAATATAGTCACATGACTGAAGTCAAGGAACCAAGTGGGAGAGAGGCTGAAAGAGATGTGGGTGAGGTAGGGAGGGTGAGCATTTTACACTAACTTGTGTTGGGAGACCATGGGAAAATTTCCTTAGACACATTATAGTATCTGATATTCATTTTTAAGATCGTTACGATTCTTTACGGGAGCAAGACCAGAAACAGCTACACCAGTCAAGGAGCTATGGCAGCTGTCAAGGGGAAGATCCCTGGGGGCTGGCATCAGGCAGTGGGGACTACGGAGGGGAAAGTGGATGGATTTGTGAGAAGCTTTGCAGATATCAACAGGACTTGCTGCTGAGTCAGATGACAGGAGGGAAAGAGAAGGAACAAGGGCGTCTTCGGCAGATGGGTCAGAACAACAGTGTGGGTGGTGATAGCATTTCCAGGGAGGAAGATCACTGAGGGAGGAGCTGGTTTAAACAATAAATCAAGAGTTTTATTTTGGCCTTTGGTTTTAGAATCACAATTGGAAAAGTCATGAAGGGAGCTCTGTATATCATTCTAGACTAGTTGTTATTTTATTCTAGATGTTTAAAGGTCAAAATTTAAAACTCAGCCTTGTTAAAATGACTCTATAGCCTGACAAGATTCAAACCCTCCCATGTGTAATGTTTATTCTTTGAGTCTTCATCAAAGGAAGAAAAAAATCCATGTTTTTTTCTTACATATAAAATGAATTTTTAAATAATTCTTTAACCTTGAAATATGTGGTATGTGTATTGGGTGGAGGGGGCAGTGTATGTGTGAAAGAAAGGGAAAAATCTTACATTCTTGTAGTTTTTCCAGGTATTTTGCATTCATGTTAGCTTTGTAAGACTCACAGCAAATCTATATATTTGGTACTTGTATCATTATGATTAAGTTTGACTTCATATTAAAAATATACTCTCCCATAGTGGTTTAAACACTAAGGTTTTATTCTTGCAAATAAAAAAAGTCAGAGACAGACAATTTAAAGTTGATAAGACAGCTTCCTAAAATCCTTAGGGATGTTCATAGGCTCTGTCTATTTTGCTGCTCTGCAATTTTTAGCATGCTACCTCATGGTGCAATATGGCTGCTCAAGCTCTAGCCATTATGTATGCATCCCAGGCCATGAGAAAGTAGAAGTGAAAGGGCATACTACTTCTTCTTAGAGGCCATTTTTCAAAGTTAATTATCACATTTCAGCTTAAAGCTCATTGTTACATGGCTACACCTAGCTACAAGGAAGGCCAGGAAAATGGTCGTTAGCAAAGTGACATTTACTATGCCAGAAAGAGAAGGGATATTAGCAAGCATCTAGTAGCCTTGCCACAGTCCTAGCATTGCTGCTTTACTTGTCCAAGACCACATAACTTGAAACAGAAGGGTGAGGCTGAGACTTAACTTTTACTATTCTCTTACTTTCTGTCTTTCCTACTCTCAGCTCTTCTATTATCTTCAAAGTTGAGAAAATGGCTAGTTTTTCTTAAACATCCTTTCAGAGCTATTTATTTTCCCATTTTGAGTGCTGGGATCATTCTCCGAGTTCTGCAAAGTGCTCTGGGCAGCAGAAGAAGGAGAGAGGGAGCTTTGTGCCACTGATTTCAACCTTGCAATGCAATCTCTCCCAGTTTCCATAAATCAGCAGGTTTACAGGAGACGGTGAGAAGAGTGCCCTCTGATTTTTACACCTGATTCTCTCTAAAATCTGCCCAGGGGCTTCTGGAGGTGCTTATTTTCCCAAAAGGCAGAGGCTGCAGAAACCCACTACTATGTCAGGGTAGAAGAATTTACCTATTTTGGAAGTAACTGGTGATTCTGAGAAACAGCATTATAACTTTTAGTATCCATTTATAATATGACTCAGTGAATGTCTTTGCACGTGTCCTGAGACCCTCGCAGAGAAACTCTGATGGCTTTTGAGCTGCCAGCGAAAGCTTCGTTTTAGAGGTGAACACTTAGCATCTGGATCCCAGCTGTTTCATCGGAATGGATGTGTGGCTTTGTGAGGTCCCACGGTGGTGACTTTTCTCGCTCTGCAGGCGTCGTCTGCCTCCCTTCACTGGGATGGTCATTTCCGCTTGATCACATGGCTCAGCATCAGTGCCTGTGCTATATGGGGTCATATGTCAACGTAAAGGCAGAATATGGCTGACCTCGTAACAGAGGCACTAATTAGCCTGATGTTGGGGAAGCTACTTGCTGTGGCCTGAATATTCCTCCCCATCACCAAATTCATATGTTGAAATTTTAACTGTCAGGGTGATGGTCTTAGGGGGTGGGGCCTTTTGAGAGGTGATAAGGGCATAAGGCCAGAGCCCTCATAAATGGCATTGATGCCCTTATTAAAAAGGCCCAAGGGGGTTTGCTCATTGCTTCCACTATGTCAGACACAGTGAGAAGATGGCTGCCTATGAACCAGAAAATACGGGCTTACCAGACACCAAATCTGTCAGTGCCTTTATCTTAGAGTTAGTAGCCTCCATAACTGTGAGAAATAAATATCTGTTGTTCACAAGCCACCCGGTCTACAGTATTTTGTTACAGCAGTCTGAACAGACTAAGGCATCACTTCAAGTCTCAGGGTCTCAGGTTTCCTCACCTCTAAGAGGTCAGCTAAGCCCATTTGGGGCTCCCTGTGTTCCTGAACTGGGTAAGAGGGGATCGTAAGGGGTGTGCTGGAGTATCTCAAGTGTGTGATCTCGTGGCTGAGCTTTCAGTATGTTGACAAAAAAGCCAAACTCTGTCAGATATTTTAAAGAGGCTTATTCTGAGCCAAAATGAGTGATCGTGGCCTGGGGTACGGTCGCAGGAATTCCTGAGAAAGCATGTCCAAGGAGGTTGGGTTACACTTTGCTTTTATACATTTTAGGGACACAGAAGTTATAGGCAAAGGCATAAATCAACACATGTAACTGCTCTGGCCTGGAAAAGTCGAACATTTTTTAGGAGAGGAGGAGGCTTTCAGGTTATAGGTAGATTCAAAAATTTTGTGAATTGGCAGTTGGTTGAAAGAGTTAAAGTTTATCTAATGACTTCAAGTAAATGCTTGAGTTAAGATAAGCGGGATAGCGGAAGCTGAGGTTCTGATTGTATACATGAAACCTCCAGGTAGCATGCCTTAGAAAGAATATGGGAAATGTCTTTTTTTAGAACTTAAAGGCATCAGACTCTCATTTAATCTCTCCTAGGTCCAGAAAAGGCCTAGCTGCACTAATGGAGATTCTCTGCAGATAAAATTTCCCCCACAAAAGACGGCTTTGCAGGGCCATTTCAAAATATGTCAAATACGTATATTTTGGGGTGAAACATTTTGATTTCCTTCAGAATCTGCTTTCTGTCATGTGAGGTCCTATCAGAGTCAAGGTGGAATTTGCTAAGTTGTTGCCAAAGAGTCTGTGTTTTCAGTCTTGTGATCTCTATTTTAATGTTAATGCTGGTCAGTTGTCCCTAAAAGGGAGCGAATATAACCAGGTTTCTCTGACCTCCCTTCCCATCATGGTCCAGAATTCAATTTCTCAGGTTTCCCTTGGTTCAGAGGGGGCCTGTTCAGTCAGTGGGGGAGGCTTAGGGTTTTATTTTTGGTTTACAAGTAGAAGTCCATTAAGGGAGACAGCTTTGATCAAACACCTTCTTATGTACGTTGCACCAGGCAGGCACTTTGCCTGCAAGTTCTCTGCTATCTGTTCAGCAGCCTGATGACATAGATGCTGTCATACATGTTTTACTGCTGAGGAAATTGAGGCTGAGAGAGACAAAGACTTGGCTTATATTCTGTATCTCATGAGAAGTGGTGGATTCTGGATTGGAAGTCAGAGCTATGGCACTGATATGTGGGTCTTCTCTTAGTAAAGTGAATTTGTGACACATCTATTCAAGGTAAATGAAGTTTGAGAACTTAGCAGCACTTGGCACATACAGGTTGAGCCATAGGAAATGGCTAAATGGCTAATACGTGATTGTATTTGTGCTACAGAAGGGTTGATTCCATATGGCTCAACCCAGTAGATAAAATAATAACTTGCCAGCTCATTTTACTTCTCTTGTAGCTGGGCAAATACAGTTACTACAGGACTCCTTTGTGCTATGATTCTAGAATATTAAATTCTAGCTCAAATGGGCATAGTGTCGTCATTTTAAGCAAGTAGACATTACAAATAGGCTTAGTCATTATTCCTTGATAAATATCTATCATCTGTTCTTTCTGCATCCACCCATGAACTACTATCTTACCAGAATAGGAATAGTACTGATTAAGTGATGGGCCTTTTGTGTAACGTACACAGTTACATTAAAAAATAACAAACAAAACCTTTATTGCTACAATTACAAGCATAAAAAAGATAAACCCAAAGGAGTTTATTGCAGCAAGAGTCTCAGTAGGGATGTGATCTGTCAACCAGTACAAAAAAATGTGATGAGACTATCCCGGGATTACGTTCATGATGATAAGGAGGAGTTGAGTATTGATTTATATTCTTTTTGTTGCTTCATACTTCTACAGGCTTTCTAATTTTCCCATGTGTTATATTACTTTATACAAAAAGAAAAGTATAATCCTCAAAAATGAAACAAAACTCTTCAAAATTTAAGTATAATAGCACAAAAAATATCCACGTGCAAAGGAAGTCTTCTGTTTTTAAAGAGGAAAGAGTTTGACTTGCTGAGAGAGAAGGTGAGTGGATCTACAAAAAGAATGAAGATAGTTGGAAAAAGAAGGACAAGGAAAGACGTGGAACACAGTGGTCATGAGGTGGAAGGCCAAAAAAAAAAAAAAAAAAGGAAAACAGCAGTTATAGGGTGTAGATCTCTCCCTGTGCTGTCACGTCCTCCCTGAGCCTCCATGCTAACTTAGGGTCCCTTGGTACATGCTCACACATGATCACCCTATAAACTCAGCCTGTTTAACCAGGACTTCTTGGTTTTAGCATTGAATATTTCACTTCCTGGGAAACCAACTAGGAAGGTTAGTCACCTAACTCATCGTAACCTCTCCTTTTCTTTCCCTATACTGAGCACAAAGGTATCACAGTGTTATAATTGTAACAATTTAGCACAATTGTCACAAGATGCACAATTTGCTGTCATATCAGTTTTCTTATATCTCTCCTCCCCTGTTAGGCTGTAAATTCCACTAGGGCTGGAAACTATACCAGTGACTAGCAATGGGTAGTGGATAGTGGCTACTCAGGTATTTATTGAATGAAGGAATTCACTGGATAGGACTGGGCAGCCTACGCTGAGCATGTGCAAAGATAGAGATGGAGGAGAGAGCCTGTTGTACACTACAGTTGAGAGCCATCCAGCATGGTCTGTGAAGGGTTGGAAGGCTAGGTGAACACGTCTGGAAGAATGACCTCCCCAATTAGCACTTGGGGGGTTACTAAACCCTTTGGCTGTTTGCTGAAAGCTACCAACCTACTCCCCAGAAATGCACACTGGAACATCATTTTGCTTATAGATTTAGAAAGTATAGAGCAGGCTGTTAGTCAAATCCAGCTAGCAGCATGCTTTTGGTGAATAACGTTTTATTGGAACACAGCCACAGCCATTGATTTGCACATTACCTATGGCTGCTTTCTCACCCAAGGGCAGAACTGAGTAGCTGTGACAGAGACTGCATGATGGCCTGCAAAACTGCAAATTTTTATTCTCTGGCCCTTTACAGAAAATGCTTGCTGGCCTCTGGCTAGAGAGCACTGAGGGCCTGGGAGTGCCTAGACTCAGGTTAAATCCCTGCTGGAGACATGAGAGAGCCAGTGAAGGATTTTAAGGATGAGAATAAAGTGGTCAGTTCCCTTTGGGAAAGACGTCTCTGTCTGCAGTGTGGTGATGTGAGACTGGCTGCGGGGAAACTTTGTGGCAGTTGTCCAGGGAGGGATGCCAGAGTTTGAAGGAGGGCAGGGGGATGAAGAGAGCACACAATTTCAAGTGCCTGCCTTTCCAGATCTGCTCTGCTTCTTAATCTGCTCAACTCTGCTCTGATAGGAATGCAAAGCAAAGAAGCCACCAGCGGCTACAGTCTTCACTTGACCACATGCTGCTGGGTTCCACACAGATACAGTCAAAATCAGCCCTTCGAAAGCTCACCATTGGCAATGTGCAGAGCTCTAATCGGGAATTCAATCATATACTTCTGCTCTGTGTAGTGCTGACTTTAAAAGATCTAAACCCTAAAACTGAAAAAGAAAAAAAAAATCTAAAACCCTGTGGGGCTCACAGAGCGAGTCAAAGAGCAAGAGTTTATTGTTGGCATTCAAAACAATCATCGCCTTTGAAATGTGAGGTCTTGACAATTCCACATCAGGACAAAATCAGGATGCAATGAGATCTAGCTCCTCAACCTCTTGGCCAATACCCTGGCTGTTGCCTATGGTGCTGAAAGGTAACAAGAAGTAGAGAAAACAATTTGTACCCTCAGATCTATTTCACCCAGGGAGTCCCCATCTTCTTGCTCACAATGGCCATCAGGGCACAGTGGCCACGTCTGGAGACAAAATATTGAATGTGGGTGCTCATTTCTACCCTTACCCATAATTTTGTTCCTCTGCTTAGAAGAGTTTATGCTACTATTTGTTGTATTAGTTCATTCTCACGCTGCTAATAAAGATATAACAGACTGAGTAATTTATAAAGGAAAGAGGTTTAATTGACTCAGTTCCAAATGTCTGGGGAGGCCTCACAATTATGGTGGAAGAGCAAGGGACTTCCATGATGGCAGGTGAGAGACAGCTTGTGCAGGGGAATTCCCCTTTTTAAAGCCATCACATCTCCTGAGACTTACTATCATGAGAACAGCATGGAAAAGACCTGCCCCACCATGATTCAGTCACCTCCCACGGGGTCCCTCTCATGACACGTGGGAACTGTGGGAGCTACAATTCAAGATGAGATTTGGGTGGGGACACAACCAAACCATATCATTTGTCATGAACAGTGCCCTGAAGAAATGGTTTTGGCCAGTGCTCAGTAATTGCAGTGTCTAAGAACATTCTGGGGGATGATAACAGATAGAACTGTGAGGGGAAATTGTATTGAGTTGTGGTGGAGAGGAGGTGAGAGGCAGAATTGTGGGGTGAGCATGTGTGAGCAAACAGAATGGACAAGCAGGCTGGGCATGGTGGCTCACACCTGTCATCCCAGAACTTTGGGAGGCTGAGGCAGATGGATCACCTGAGGTCAGGAGTTCGAAACCAGCCTAGCCAACATGGTGAAAACCCATCTCTACTGAAAAAGATACAAAAATTAGCCAGGCATGGTGGCACACGCCTGTAGTGCCAGCAACTGGGGAAGCTGAGGCAGTAGAATCGCTTGAACCCAGGAGGTGGAGATTGCAGTGAGCCAAGATCACGCCAGTACTGCAGCCTGGGCAACAGAGCAGGACTCTGCCTTGAAAAAAAAAAAAAAAAAAAGGAATGGACAAGCTGATAGAAACCGGGGTGCGGATGGCTACTGTGGTGTGTGTTCACTGTCTTCCCAGTTCCACAACTCTCATTCTATGACAATCTTCAGCACAGATGCAGTCTCAGAATCCTTCTAAACACAGCCAATCTAGGCAGCCAACACCATCAGAGCTGGTTTATAAGATGAAACTGATTTGATATCCTCACGTTAGAGAATTCAGCTAGTCCAAGAGAATGGTCCTGAGCAGTTACAGTGCATCCTGCTAGGGAGGGCTAAGGAGTGAGGTTGTGGAGGAGGATTGGGTTTAGCAGATTTATTGGGACTGAAGGGAATGCACAAAAATGGCATGAGGGTGAGACTGTGGCTGCTCAAGGTGAGGGCGGGCTGGGAAGAATGCTGATTTGCAGAGTGGGCTAATTGGAAGTAAATGAAGTGGCATGCTAAGTTCAAGGGCACGTAGCCTGACCTCCCACTGTTGGGCAGGAAGGGACATTGTCGATGAAGCAGCAGTGCAGAAATTGGAACCCTCATACATTTGTGGTGAGAGTGTAAAATGGTGCAGCCACTGTGGAAAATAGGTGAGAATTTCTCAACAAGTTAAACATTGAATTACCAGGTGGCCCAGCAATTCCATGCCTAGGTTTGTACCAAGAAGGATGGAAAACAGGGACTGAAACAATAGAATGTACATACATGTTCATAGAGGCGCTATTCACATTAGTCAAAAGGAGAAAACAACCCAAATGCCCATCACTGGATGAGTGGGTAAACAAATTGTGAGCCAGGTGCGGTGGCTCATGCCTGTAATCCCAGCAGTTTGGGAGGCCAAGGCAGGTGGATGACTTGAGGTCAGAAGTTCGAGACCAGCCTGGTCAACATGGTGAAACCCCATCTCTACTAAAAATACAAAAATTAGCTGGGGATGGTGGCATGTGCCTGTAATCCCAGCTACTTGGGGGACTGAGGCAGGTGAATCACTTGAGCCTGGGAGATGGAGGTTGCAATGAGCCTAGATTGTGCCACTGGGTGACAAAGTGAGACTCTGTCTCAAAAGAAAACAAAAATAAAAACAAAACAAAAAAAAACTGTGGCCTATCCACACTAGAGGTTATAATTTAGCCATCAAAAAGAATGACATATTTATACATGCTCCAGTGTGGATGAACCTCAAAAACATGCTGAGTGAAAGAAGTCAGCCACAGGGACCACATATAATTCCACAGATCTGAAATAATCAGAATAGGTAAATCCATGGAGACAGAAGTCAGACTGTTGGGTGCCAGGAGCTGGAGGGAATGAAAACTGAGAAAAGAGTGCCTCATGGGTAAAGAATTTTGCTCTGGAATGATAACAATGTTTTGGAACTAGATGGAGGTGGTGGCTGCATAACTTTGTGAATGGACTAAGTGTCACTGAGTTGTTTTTACTTAAAATAGTTAATTTTATTTTATGTGACTCTCATCTCAAAAAATTATCCCAAAGAAGCAGCAGGAGGATGAGAAAGAGGAGAAGGAAGAGGAGGGCCTGGTCCTTGAAGGTCTGCAATTCTTGTGGAACTCCAAGTGCGCAGGTTTGTCCAGACAGCCACATGGAACTATCTCCTGTACATAGGTGATTATTTTAATTCTTCCCTTTTTTTTTCTGTGTTTCCTGCCACCACATGCATTGACTCACCCCCTGAATCTCTTGAATGCACCACTTCCTTTATTGTCTATTACCACTTTTCTATAGGACCTTCATATCCCTAGACTTGGAAGTTGCCTTTCTCCTGGCACACAGTGCTCTGCAATTTCAACCCATCCTCCACCGTAGTGCCAGAGAAATCGCCATAAAGTACTTCTTGCAAGTGCCGTGCTGCCTTGCTTCAAGTCATTCCTGGCCCCTGCTGGAGCCAGGTGGAGAGTTCTAGCTCCAGAGCCTGGTGTGTGAAACTGAAGAGGACCCTGGCCTTGTGGTTGGATACTCCAGCATATCTGGACACTGGCGTACCATCCTAGCCAAATCCTGAGTGTGTTTATTAACACAGACTTGGTTTTGTTTTTTCTTTGTTTGGTTTGTCCTCTGTTTGGTTTTTCCTCTTGCTGCTTGCTGGTAATGACAGTCTGTCCTGGGGGCTTAGTGGGAATCAAATGAGAATACACATGGCTGACAGCTATTGAGCATTTGTCCTGGCAGACCCTGGACAAAAGCATCATTTGAATTTTCTTAGGTAAGAGAAGGTGGCATTAAAACTAAGGCTCTATCTATATTTGATACAACATCATCATCAATTTTCAAAATCCTCTTCAATGTGGCTCAATGCTTTAACTCACTGATTCTGTTTTGTATGTGATAGATCAATTTCACCACCCCAGAACGTGCCCTGTGCATGATGGCCTCCACACCATTGCCTAGGCTGTCCCCTCTGCCTGGCATTCCCTTGCTTTTCCTAGAGTCAGGCTACTTGTAGGATCTCCAGATAATAGCACCTTCTTCTAGGGGAGGAGGACCCCTGCTTTTGGAGGACTGAGTTCATTTTCCCCACAATTTCTCATGCTCGAGCTGCATCTCTGATACCTAAGATGATGCTGGGGAGTCGAGAGAGGCAGAGACCCTCATGTCTTCCCTGACTCTTCCCTGACTGCTGAACTGCCAACAGAAATTCACAGCCACACACACAGCCATGGGTCCCGGAGTTGGCCCAAGAAACCGTACATCCTAGTTTGCTAAATTTTATTCATGCAAATATTTGCATTTCGATGTCCTAGAAAGCCCTTAATCCCTGGGCGCAATGCCAGGCTTGGGTGGGAATACCATCTCTGATGGAGGCCAGATGCCTGCCTGTCTTTATCGTGGCTGATCCAGGCTCTTGGTTCCCTGTCTTGGGGTGGCCCTGCTTCTTGCATGTGGTCAGGGACTTGGTTGCTGCTGAGCAATGTTTGCTTTTCCTTTGATAATTCTGGTCATTTCCTGGAGGTCTGATGAAGGATAAGGTCTCTACGGAGGCAGGAATCTAACAATTGATTCTTTTGTGATTACTTGACAAATAATGCAACTTTCTGAATATCCAAGCAAAATCAAAGTCTTTATCTCCCTCTTTCCCTCCTGCCCCGTTGTCTTATTCTAATTCCACACTTTACTGTGGCTGAAAGGGAGCATATAAGCCCAAACCTTAGCTTGGGTGCTGTGCGCAGCATTTGGCTTATTCATTCCTTGAATAAATGTTTATTCAGCACACACTCTGGGCCAGGGATTATGGTAGATATTTTGGGATATGAGGTGAAGCAGGTGAACATGGCCACTGCCTCTCCCCTCCCCCATCCCCCCACCAAAAGCCTGCCACACTGTAGCAATGACAAGTAAGAAGTTATCATCAGGCAGTGTTGTGAGTGCAGTGGTAGAAGTTGGAGTGTATTGCAGGGATGTGAAACAGAGTTGTCTCCCTGGTGAGGAGTGTTTTGGGAAGGCTTCCTGTAGGACATGAAGAATGAACCATGGGAGAGTATTGCAGACCACTGCAACAGCATGTGTGACAGCTCAGAGGCAAGAGGGAATGTGACACATTTAAGGAAGTAAAAAGAGGTCAGTGTGGCTGGGAGGATGGAGAGCTCTATTGGGTTAGAAGCAGTGAGAAGGGAGGAGAAAAGTACAAAATGAGGCTGGAAAGCAGCTGGGCCTGAGATCCAAAGTGTTTCCTTGAGCCCAGGGCACCTGGAGAGACTTCTCTCTATGCCCGATTATTGGTAGGGCTGGCACCACAGAGTCCTTCTGAATTCTAGCTCCCCTAACACTTACGAGCTAGTAGCTCATGTGAACTTCAGTGTCCTTATCTATAAAGAGACATACTTGGCCTGGCCACACAGGAAGATGGGAGGCTTGTTGGAGGTGGACTACGGGCTTACTGCTCCTGTGTAGTGGAGGCTCACCTTGGAGAGTGATGCTCCAGTTGCTCCCTAGACCTGGACCTCGGCACCCGCTGGGCCTCAGAGAGCAGTCACCAGGCCTGGAAGGCCAGTCATTGAGCAGTCAGGAGGAGCACCAAGTGCACTAAGGCACAGATAGAACACCTGTACTGTTTTTCCGACTTTCTCAGTGGTGTTTGCTGAATTGGGGCTTGGCACCAGGCACACATAGGTTGCATTCTTTATTCTGTTGTCTGTGCATTTTGTTCATCCATTCCTTTGTTATATCATGGCTTGTTTGCTATGTGCAAGATGGAATTCTAAGCACTGGGGAGATACACAGCCCTGGGGAGCCAGTCGAATATTGTCCTTGCCCTCAGAGACCTCAGCATCTAATCAGGAAGACAGAAATTAAAGAAATACACAAATAATGGTCACAGTTGTCAGAGGTATTAGAAAAGGCAAATAGAGTGCTAACTAGGATATTTTTACTATGCATGTTTAAGGTATAAGTCTTGGCTCTACTGATTTCCAGAAGGGAAAGTTCCTGGACCCTTCTGCACCTCAGTTTCTCCATCTGCAAAATATGAGGATTAGGGCTAAACTATGGGAGGAATGGTGGTTTTAAACTTGGCTGCATCAGAATCACCTGGGAAGGTCTTAAATATCCCAGCATGCGGGTTGTACTTACACCAATTCAATCAGAGTTTCTGGGGGTGGGGCCCAGACACAAGAATTATCTTAAATATTCCTGGGTGATTCCACTAGGCAGCCAAGTTTGCGCACCAGCCCTCGAGCCCAGTGCTTCTTGCACTTTAATGTGTCTGGGAATCACCTGGGTTTTTATTAAAATGCAGATTGTGACCCATGAGCTCTCTGCTAGGGCTGGAGCGTTTACAGTGCAATCAAGGCCATGGGCATTGGTTTTCAACTGGGGAGACTTCTGTCTTTCATGATGCTTGCAGATATTTTTAATTGTCACAACTGGTGGATGAGGGTGCTACTTGCCTCCAGTGGGTAGAAGTCACAGATGCTTCTAAACATCCTCTGATGCACGGGACAGCCCCCACCATAGAGGGCTTTCTGGCCCCAAATGTCAATAGTGCCAAGGTTGAGGAACCCCTTTCCAGGGCAAACCTGACGATGCTAGCCTGAGGGTGGAAGTGACACTGCTGGCCCACGAGTGACATTCTGAGTAGCAATGGAATCCCCATCTCTAGTTTAGCCCTAATTATTCTGGGCAAAATGATCCATGTGAAACAAAACTTGTCAGAAAATGAGCTGACAAAATTAGCAGAGATCGTTAAAAAATATTCCTTATTGGAGTTTTGGTGGAAGATAAAGAGAATTTTACCAGTCCCACATCATGGGCATTAAAGATGTGGCCATTTGAATGTTTGTAAGGATGGGGCATTCAGAAAGCCAAACGAGAACCTCCCCTTTTCCACTGGGTTTAAGCAGCAAAGACAGATGAACTAAAGAAGGCAAATGCATGAATTATTAACAAGCCCGGGTGGGAAAAGTGTAGTGCAAGGCTTTTTAACACTGTTGGAGATCAGGATAAGGAAAAATGGGCAGAGACTTAATTGTTTCATTGACTTTTGCTGAGGAAACACAGAGTCATCAAATATACACACAGAGGGCAGAGGAAGAATTCACGTGAAACACTTTCTCTCTCTCTTTTTTTAAAGATTAATTTGTAATTTATTGCTCTAATGACCTGCCTGGTGAAGAAATTGAGGTCTGGACATAGGATTCATAACACAATCACCCCTGAATAGCTCTCCTAAGCTTTCCTTCCACCCCACATCCCCTGCCTGACTTCAAACCCCGATAACTTCTCATCTAGATGAATGTAGTGAGCTCCCATTTGGTTTTCCTCTGTTTACTCCATCACGCTTCCCTTCAGGACATCCCTGGCCGGGCGTGGTGGCTCACGCCTGTAACCCAGCACTTTAGGAGGCCGAGGCGGGCAGATCACCTGAGGTCAGGAGTTCGAGACCAGCCTGGCCAACATGAAATACTAAAATATAGTATTTATTTTAGTAAAATAAAAAAAATACTAAAGATATAAAAAATTAGCCAGGTTTGGTGGTGCGTGCCTGAAATCCCAGCTACTTGTGAGGCTGAGGCATGAGAATCGCTTGAACCTGGGAGGCGGAGGTTGCCGTGAGCCAAAATTATACCACTGCATTCCAGCCTCGGTGACGGAGTGAGACTCTTGTCTCAAAAACAACAACAACAACAACAACAACAAAACAAAACAAACAAAAACAACAACAACAACAAAAAAGACATCCCCATAGTGTGGCCAAAAGGAGAGTTCTTGATATAACAACTGATCACCCCACTATGGGGAAAACCATCCATCAGTGCTCTCAGTGTAAAGGCCAAAACCCTTATCATGGCCTTTGGTTACATATCTCTCATTGCCTCCTCCATCTTATCTCTTACCTCTGTCTTCGCTGCCTTTCCTCCCCTCCACCATACTCAGACAGTTAATTTACACTCATCCAGCAGATGCCAGGCTGTTTCCCTCACCACCATACCTTTTCAGCTGCTTTTCAGTTTCCTCTCCCCTCCACCTGTGTTCTCAACATGTTCTCATCCAGTAAAACCTATCTTTAGCCTCATTTCTTCTGTGAAGCCTTCCTTGGTACCTTCTTCCTGCCTTCTGTCCAAAGAGTACAGATGCTTGCTTCTCCTCTGGGCTTCTAAGGTGACTTTCACTTGTGTCTGTTACAACAATGCTGTTAAACATGCCTTTCAGCGGGAGGGTGAGGATTGTCTCACTGTATCCCCAGCGCCAAGGACAGTGACCAGCAGATTGCAGGGGCTCAGGGGCTGTTTGATGAGTGAATATATGAGCCCCAGTGCGTTTTCCTATTCCTGAAGGGATTCCCCGTTTGGGGTATCACCTGCAATAGGCACAGAAACAAGATCCATTGATTTGGATCCTTGCCCTCAAGAGATTTAGAGTTGAAAAATGAAGATGGAAAAGTTAACAGATAAATTAACATAAGGGTTGATAGTTACTTTGATAATAATAGTGATGATCACTTCATTTATGGAGCATCTATGAAGTACCAGACAATGAACAAACCTTTTGCCTACATTTATTTAATTCCTCACTATGCCCTTCTGAGGGAAGTAGGATGATCTCTATTTTGTAGTGAAGGAATCTCAGGCTCACAGAGGTTAAATTATTTGCCCACAGTTACACAGTAAACACAGGACTAAGACCTGAACTCAGGTGTTGGCTTCCAAGCCTTAAGGCTTACCAGTAACATCCCAGAGAAGCACAGAATGAGCTGTGGGCACAGTCAGGGAGAGAGGAAGGAGGGGTTAGAGTGGCCTCCTGGAGGAGGTAGAACCTGAGTTATCTTTTGAGCTATGAGAAGGGATCAGACAGAGGTCGTGGGGTGAGGGGAAGTAGACTCCAGGTAGTTTCTCTTGTCTGCTAGGTCCCCTACTCCCTGGTCTCCATTCTATGAACTGGCCTTGGCTCCCAGGACTGTCTCAGAATGGCTCCTGAAGACTTGCTTTGTGTGTCTCCCAGAAGAATCTGGGGAAAAACGGCGACTCCCCAAAGATGTCCACGGCCTCATCTCTGAAACTTGTGAATATATTACCTTTCATGGCAAAGGAAACTTTTCATATGTGATAAAAATAAGGATCTTAGATGGGGGATTATCCAGATGGACGCTCTCTATAAAGGTCTTTGTAAGAGGAAGGCAGGAGGGTCAGGTAAATGAAGGAAAAGGAGATGTGATGATGGAACCATCAAAGACTTGGGATGACTCACTTTGAAGATAGAGGAATAGGGTCACGAGCCAAGGAATATAACTGTCCTCTAGAAGCTGGAGAAAGTAAGAAAACAAATTTTTTCCTGAAACTAGAAGAAATGCAGCTCTGTGGACACTGTAACTTTAGCCTTCCAAGACTCACTTCAGACTTCTGACTTCCAGAGCTGTAAAGAATAAATTTGTGTTGTTTGAAGCCATGAAGTTTGTGGTCATTTGTTATAGCAGCAAGAGGAAACTGACACACCCTAAAAGACTGCCTTCCAGTCCATGGGGAAGGAAAGGACAGGCATGCTGATAAAAATAGGCACTTCCTGGGCTGCGTCTCAGAGAAAACCCCAGCAGGGCCTTGCTGCCACTTCCTGGCTGCCTCCCGTAGAAGAACAACATTCCAACCCCGCATCTGGGGCCTGGAATGATGGTAATGAAATTGCATCTCTGCCCTAAGTGGAATTCTTACTCTGCATCCATCAGATGATAATGAGATAGAACGACAAGTGTTGTCATGAACTGGGGTTTAAGGGATACTGTTAAATGATAGCAGCAAAACAAAGATCAGCATACCTGGCATAATCCATCTTTTTGTTATATATATCCATTTACATATATAATCAATATATATACAATATAATGAATAGCTAATATACTATATAATTAATATCTAATTTATAATATCTGTTTTGTTATATATATAAAACAAAAAATGGAATATATATATATATATATATATATATATATATATATATATATTTCATCCCATGTCCATCTGTCTATCTACCTCATACACACTGAAAATAATTTGGGGAAAGCTGTATCGCAATCCAAAATCTTGACTGTGATTATAGAGAATTTTACTATCAACATCATATATGTCTGCACTGCTTTCATCTTTACAGGAAGTGTACTCTTTTTGAAATACAAATATAGATAAATTGAACAACTGAGATCTGAGTAGGCTCTCCTCATAAGCCCTTACAAGCAGAGGTAAGATCCTTGTCTCTACTGGGGTCAGCAAAGCTTCTTAGGTCCCCACAGTCCCTAGATTGACGGTCCTCTAAGTGCGGTCCATGGGCCTCAGGGAGTCCCCAAGTCTCTTTCAGGGAGTCTTTGAGGTCAGAACTACTTTCTTAATAATAGTAAGATCTTATTTGCCTAGTTGACAGTTGCCCCAATGGTGAGAAGGCAGTGGTGAATAAAATGGTGGTGAATAAAAATTCCTTAGAAGGAATCAAAGTGACAGTGTCCAATCGTACAAGTCGTCATTGCGTTCTTCACTGCTGGGTGCTTACGATAAAAAAACAAATGAATGAAGCCAGCTTATCTTAAGATTGCTCTTGATAGATTAGTAAAAATGATTAATTTCATTAAATCTCAACTCCTGAGTTCATATCTTTTAATATTTTGTGTGATAAGTCGGAAATATGTAGAAAGTACTTCTGTTACATAGCAAAGCACAGTGGTTGGCTCAGAGAAAACCACTTGTGTGATTGCTTGAGTTGTGAGCTGAACTAGTCTCTTTTTTTTCATGGAATGCCATTTTTGCTTGGAGGAGCAATGCATCAATTATGATTATGGTGGACATTTTCTTGAAAATGAGTAAAGTGAGCCTGTCATTTTAAGGAAAACAATTGACAGTATCTGTTGCCAATGGTACCAGTCAAGGTTTCAAGTGAAAAACTTGTATCTGCAACTGTGAGCTTGATGGCTTCCGAATATTTGAATACTTTTGGGATGAGATTGGTGGTATTTACAAATGTGTTTTTAAAAATAATGTAAAAATGAAATGTAAAAATACTGGAGAAAAATATCTTTGTAACTCAGGGAATCCATGTGATCTAAATGACCAATGCATCATGTATAGTCAGACAGTCAATATGCAAAATGGAGCAATGAATTTTTATTAAATGGAATACAAAAATTTTCACTGATATGATTTCAGATTCTACATTGCAACTAATCTTTCAAAGAATACCCCTTGTTGAGTTTTGGTGTAGTATCAAAAAGCTACCCGCAAATATCTAAAAAGGCTATTAAAATAAGTTTATTTTTTCTACAGGGATATCTATGTGAGATTGAATTTTCTTTATATATTTCAACCCAGATAATAAGTTACAAAAGATTAAATGCAGGATCGGATGTGAGAATCTAGCTGTTTTCTATTAACTCAGACATTAGAAGGATTTGCAAAAAAAATGTTAGACAATGCCAGTCATCTTGCTAAATTGTTTTTTGTTTTGGAAACTTTGGTTATTTTTTAATAAATTTACATTATTTATGCTAACATGTAATGGATTTATGGTTGTTATTTTAAGTGCATTGATAAATAAGCATTTAAAATTGTATTGGTTTTTGTATTGGTTTGAATTTCTAAAATATAAATGTTGACATAACCTACAAAAGCAGAAACTGTCTGGGGGCCTAGATGGGTTGTAAGTGTGTAATGGGTCCTAGAACGAAAAGTTTAAGAACTATCATGCTAAATTTTTTGCCACTGTTACCTTTTTTTTTTTTTCCACTGTTATTTTAAAGTCGCCTGTGCTTACAGCGATATGCTACTCTTGGCTTTTCCTATAAATGCGCATCATCCCAGAGAATGTTGTATTTCAGAGAATGATCGTATTAAAATATTAGCTAACGTTTTGCAGGGCTAAGGAATTTGGGATTTTGGAAGCTTAATGACTTGCGGCATGGAAAGCCATGCTGTGAAAAATGATACCAGCTCGTGGGAATTGAATGTCCACTGAGACTTGCCCTTGGATGTTGTCAGTCTTTCACCTGAACTCATAGAATCTGGAACTGTCAACTTTTCGTTATGCAGGAGCCAGGCTGGGACACATGTGGGTTGCATGCATGGGCCTTCCACCATCCATGAAGGGTAGATCAGATTTATGGACCATCTCTTCAGACAGAGCTGCATTTTCTTTCTTCTTTCCCAGTGATGGGCCATTGGTCACCATAAAGAAGAACATCAGCTCCTACAAACTCCTGCCCCCGCAGAGCTGCAGGCATTATCAGGCTTCATCTAGCCTCTTCATGGGGTAAGTTGTTACAGCCTGGACCAGATGGACTCCCCCAGGAGGTTTGGCTAAAACAACTTTCTCCCCTGAGTATCTGAAACCCTCATGCTCACAAGCACCCATCTGTTCCTCTTGAAAATGTGTCTCAGTCATTGAGTTTGGGATGATCTGAAATTTTCATTGCAAATGAAATATCTCTGACCCATTTCCTCTGACACCCAATTCCCAATTTCACAGGTGATGGTTTGCTGGAAAGACAGACTTAAACATGATGCTAGCATTTTGGAGTTCTATGTCACATTTTGGCACGTAAGTCCTGCCATCCTCCCTATTATTCTCTGGTCTCCTGAGTTAAGAGAGCTGTATAAAAAGGGGCAAACACTGAATGAAAAACAACACAGGAAGGCTTGCGCAGAAATCCATTTGCCATGAAATGCATGACTTCTATAATCGGCAGAGATTAGGCTGGGGGCTTTAGGAAGCTACCTGCTTCTCCTTCCTGAATCCCTGCCTATTTTGCCTTTAAACTAAAGGGAGGGGTATTGTAATTGTAATTCCAGGAAGAGCCAAATCAAATGCACAAACCAGTGCTGAAATAGAATAGCTAGACACAGTACTCTCAGGTGCTATACTGGAGTGAGCAGGTCTATGCAAACCTACTCCCAAAGGCTGAGGGAGTTGAGAGGCCAAAGAAAGACATTGAAAAATCCAGTTTCTCCGAAGGAAAATATTTGATAGGGACTTTCATACAAAAGTGATGTCTCAGGTGGCTTTGAGAAAGTGGATTCCCACAACCACTTTCCAGAAGCCATCCTTTATAATAGCAAGCTTTTAGACTAAAGACATGTGCAGCTGGCCACATCTTTGGACTTTCTTGCTGAAACTCAGGACCACTGGGGAGGTGAGAAAGGCATGTTTATGTGGGGCAATAATCTATGCTGCATGCATTGTTTAAAGACCTTGCTACAGAACACCTTGGTATTCAGGACTCAAACATTGGCCATCATGATGGTTTCAATTCAAGATGTTACCACTCTTGCCATGCAGCAGGCTACTTTTCTCCAGAGACTGACAAGGACCTGGCTTAGGCAACCCCTTCCTGGATGGTCCAGGTTACTTGGTCTGTAACTGGGAAAGGGAGAAAGTAAAATGGAGATGGGGAGGCTGATTCTCCTCCCACGTCGGAAATAGTGCTTTGTCTGAGCAGGGGCTTGAAGAAGAAGTAAGAATGGGTCATTTCTGAGCAGGGTTTACTCAATGTCAGCACTATTGAATTTTGGTTGGGATGATTCTTTGTCGTGGGAAGCTGTCCTGTACATTGTAGTATGTTTAGAAGCAGCCCTGACCCACTGGCTTCCAGTAGAACAGTCCCCCACCCCCAAGTTAAGAAAACCCACAATGTCTCCAGACGTTACCTAGGGACAAAATCCTCCCAGTTGAGAAGCCATGTTACAGGGTCACTCTACAAGTGGGGCCCTGGTTCTTGCCTGTGAGACCCAGGCACTGGTGGCACGCAGCCCAGTGAATATCTTTCTCTCTGGAAAGCCAGCTTAGAAGGTCGTCCTCTGAAGGGGAAGAATTTGCGAAAGGAGTGAGCAGAGGATTTGATCCACATGACTCTCATAGAAATACAGATGGCACAACTCCCCCTTCTTTGCAAATAAAAGTAGAAATTTAACCTCCATCAACCACAGTCTCCATAGGGAGAAGAAAATGCAGTTAGTGGAAATTACAGAGTTCAGTGCTATCAGGTTTGGTTTATCGGTTGCTAACACAGGTACTGTTCCCTGTACTGTTCATCAGTCAGGACTCAGCTTCCTAGCCAGCTTCCTTCCCTTTAACATTTGGCCAAAGGTCATCTTGTATTTTCCAATAATTTTAACAGACGTTTTTGTGTGTTGTTTATACCCAAAAGACGTAAGGTTGCCAGATATCTCATGTGTGTAATGCTTTCTCCTATCAGGTACAGAAAAGGTATTTATTGGTTTGCATCCATTCCACTTCATGGTTTTGCAGTGTGGGGTCATGGATAAGGGCTAAACTGTGGATTTCAGTCTGGAAAAATGTCAACATATGTCAGTTTCCCTATACTGTAAGACAAGGAACTTTGGCTAAAGGAGATTGGCAAGAAGGAAGCATAGTGTTGCACAAAAAGAGATGTTGGAGATTCATCGAACAGTAAAGAATCACAGACCCTTTGGCTCCACTTATCAACTGTGTGACCTTGGCATGTCACTTTACTACTTGGAACCTTAGTTTTTTAGTCTTTAAAATGCAAATATAATAATATATATATTAGAAAGCTTTCATGTAGATTAAATAAGGAACATAGAAGGACTGAGCAAGGAAGGAACTCAGGTGACACCCAAATTCCTGGGGCTGAGTTTGGGTGCAGTGAGGAGACAGGAGTGGGGGTGTGATATGGAGAGATGGTTCCGGAGAATATCTGGGCTGCTGTGACACTCTGGGGAGAAGCAGAAATAACTAAAGGTAATTTTAAAAAAGGAACTTGTGTGTGTTATCTAAATTTGTTTCACTTCTTTAAAAATACCTAAGTAATAGTTTATTCATAGAAGCTTTAAAAGTCAGGTTTGTACCTCCTTCCAATGGCATACTTGATGGAAAGATCCATGAGGAAGTCCACCCATGTCTTTAGAGATTATGTACAAAAATTGGCTATAACCCCCCCGCCCCACCCTTACGTTATCAAAGAACACTGTTTCTTCCATTCCTCTCTAATGGGATCCTGTGTAGAGTCTCTGTGTCCTCTATCTACGATTTTCCAAGTGTGCAGAGATGTTGTGAAAGTTGGCTAGGAATGGGTGGGTGGGAGGCTGGATAAAGTTTGGGATGCATTTTTTAGTGAGAAATAAGCTTTGTGCTCTTTGGCCTAAACAAGAAGAAATCAGAGATGAACTAGAACAGCAAGGCATGATTCTATCATTAAAAAATGTATTTACTGCAACAGCTGTAGTGTGGAACAGCTCTACAAGTTGGAAAACAGACTTTGCTAAAGGTGCATTACAATTACTTCTGAGGCAGTAACCTAAAATTATTCATTATGAACGTATTCAAAGTTGAACTTCCTAGAATGAAACCTTCCGAATGAATGTGTGGCAGGAATTGGGAGGGGGTATTTGTCCCCCATTTACTTCCCAGCTCCCAGGAGAGATTTGGGTGGAAGAAGCAGGCACGTGGCCCCTGAAGAGGCGCTACTGCCTAATAGAGCAGCCTAGTGTATGGGAAGGAGTCTGGGTATTTTGGAGTCAGACAAGCTCCAGCACTTTATGCATTTTTTTAAAAAAATAACAACTTTACAGAGATGTTATTCACATAAGATTCACCATTTTTAAAAAGTGACCTTATTTTTATTTAGAGGGGTTTTAGATTTACAGCAAAATTGAGCAGAAGCAAAAGGATTTGCCATATACCTCCTGCATTCACGCAATCATAGCTTGCCCCAGTATCAACGTCCCCCACCAAAGTGGTACCTTTGTTACAATCGATGAGTCTTTTACATTGACACAATCACCTAGGGCTCAGAGTTTACATTAGTGCTCACTCCCACATGTTCTGTGTATGTGGACAAAAGTGTCATGGCATCTATCCCCCAATGCAGTATCAAACAGGGTATGTCCACTGCCCTAAAACCCTTTGTACTCAGATTTATCATTTTAAAGTACACAATTCAGTGATTTTTAAATAGCATATTCACATGGTGTATAACCATCACCACTGTCTAATTCCAGAACATTTTTATCACCCCAAAGAGAAATTCCTTATCCCTTCACAGCCACTCCTCATTCTCTCTTCCCCTAGCTTCTGGAGGCCACGAATCTAGTCTACATTTCTGTGGTCTGCCTATTCTGGACATTTCATATAAATGGAATCATACAATATACTACTTTTTGTGGCTGGGTTATCTCACTTAGTATAATATCTTCAAGGTTCATCCATACTGTGACATGTGTCAAGTTTTTTAAAATTATTTTTACAGTCAAATACTATTTCATTGTGTGAATAGAGTACATTTTGTTTATCCATTCATTAGTTGATGAGAATTTGGGATTTTTATTTTTTTGGCTGTTATGTACAGTACTACTGTGAACATTCCTGCAGAAGTTTGTGTGGAGAAATATGTTTTCAAATTTCTTGAATCTGTACCTAGAAGCAGAATTGCTGGGTCATATGGTAACTTAGTCTATATTTAACAACTTGAAGAACTGCCAAACTGTTATCTAAAGTGGCTGTACCATTTTACAGTTCCTCCAAGAATGTGTAAGTGTTCCAGTGTCTCCATATCCTTGTCAACACTTGTTATTGTTAGTATTTTTGATTCATCCATTTATCCTTTCATTTATTCAATAATTAACTACTGGCTGGGTGTGGTGGCTAACACTTTAATCCTAGATCTTTGGGAGGCTGAAGGGGAAGGATCACTTGAGCCCAGGAATTTGAGGTTGCAGTGAGGTATGATTGCACCACTGCACTTCAGCCTGGGTGACAGAGCAAGACTCTGTCTCTAAAAAACAAAACATGAAATTATTGATTACCTATGTGTGCCAAGAACTGGGGTATAACAGTAAGCAAAATGATATAAGGAGCTTACAGTGTTATGGCACAAACAGATAGTAGTCAAACAATAATAGAAATAAAAATAAACATGCAATTGTGAGAATTACAAAGCTGGTGGGTGCATGATACGAAAAGATTACATACCAGGAAGATTTGATTGTCCAGGGCTTCAGGGAAGGTTTCCCTGGGTAGCTGATGATTGGGCTGAGATGTGCAGGGTGAATGAGAGTTAAAGATATATTCATAAGCAATACTGTTAACATATCTATCGCTCAGTTCTTCCTTTGTACCATTGAGATCACATTGACTTTGGGTACTCAGTGAAAGCAATTGTTAGGCACCGGTTAGATTTCTCCTTGTTGCTCTGGTTTTCACCTGTAACCTTCTACCCTTCCTCACCAAAAGAGAGGGTCTCAGACAAATGGCATTAATGGTGATGGTGCCACGATGATGACGATGACAATGATGATTATGTTGATAATGCATGTCAATGTTGGTTATGATTTAGTGGACACCTTCTATGTGCCAGGTAGTGTGCTAAGTAACTTATGACATTCATTCTTTACAATGACGTCGCAATGGAAGGAGATCAGCATGAGATTCGAAAGGAAGAGAAAATGAAAAGGACAATGAGAGAATAGTCACTGGGCTTATGTATGAAGGAATTGGGCTTATGGTTGCGGAAATAATTCCAAAGCAAATATTTCTAATTCCTGAAATAGGTACTTGGTTTCAAAAAACAGATTTTTAATTTGTAATTCTGTTTTTACTTAGATACTTTATTTCTTGAATATGGAATGCAATTTCTTTTATTTCAAATTAAACTAAGCGGTTTAGCTTAATCATATATAACAAACCTTGCAGTATAAGGGCCCTGATCCCAAATCTTGCTACACATTAGTTTCTAGCCCATGCAGTAAATGGATACCTGGAGCAAATCCAAAAAGAGAAACCACTTTAATTAGGTTTGAAAGTGTCTCCAGTCAGTTCCAGAATAGCCATCACTGGATTTACGGTGCACCTTCCAAACTGTAACTCTTTGCATATCCAGCTGAAGCAAGAAGGCTCCAGAGAAATCGAGTATGATTTCTTCAAACCTAAATGTTTGTCTCTCCAAATAAGCGTCCCTAGAAAATATGGCCAAGATAGATGGAAGGAAAGTCGGTCTCACCTTAGCTAAGCCTGTCAGCCTTTGTTATTGCTTCCATTTAATTGCGAGGTTTCTAGAAGAATCAGTTCGGTAAAACCCTCCTTGGAATGTTTCCATAAATATAGACTCTCCCCAAAATCTGTCACATAGCAGTTACATTCACTCTCACCTTTATGCCCAAATGACAGTGACTTGGGACTTTACCCCAGCAGGAACTGGCACTGAGGTTAGGAGAGGTCATAACTTGTTGAATATCACTGTAATTTCAGAACCAGAATTCAAACCCAGGTCAGCCCAACTCTAGCATTTCGAGCCCAAGGAACTTACATACATACATATACGTATATATACATATGTATATGTATATGTATATGAAAGTACCTGAGTGTGGTGCTCATTTATCACTCATGACTTGCTGCCCACACTCACACTATGTATATACATATATATGTATACACACACATATACATATACATACATATATATACACACACATATACATATACACACATGTATGTATATGTGTGTGTATATATGTATAATAAGCAGTGTAGGATTGTTTTGAATCAGCGGCTGTTTTAAAGTTGAGTCACCTGTTAATTTCTTTTGGATTCCTTGTCCTTATTTTCCCAGCCATAAAACATAAGTGTGACACATTGCAAACAAATGTGCAGGCAGCATGACACAGTGGAAAGGCGTGAGGTTTGGAGTTGGAAAAGCAAGACTAGAGCCTGACTTTCTGCTTATTAAGTGCCTTGACTTTGTGCTTGACCACTCTGATTCTCAGTCTCCTCTTCTGGGGAGAAATAATTAACACATCTGGGTAGAGAGCTATGGTGAAGAAGAAGGGAGAAAATTCTCCTAGAAATGTAAATTTAGAAATGTAGATTTTAAATTGCCATCCACCTTAGTTACTACTTTTAAAATCTAAAATAATACGAGTAAGTCTGGCAAGAGAATTCGGCAAGGTCTTCTCTGTGAGTTAATTGGAGATGCTGTGTAGGTCGGCAAGTCACAATGACACTTATCCTTGAGTATTCATCAACTGGTCCCTTTCTTCTTACATGAATGATGTAGTAATTGCAAAGAAGGTGGAGCCTCAGGGTGAGAATTTTAGTATATCCATGATGTTCTGGCCACTGTGCCAAATGCTTTGAGAATATCACCTCATTTAATCCCTACAGTAAATCTATTTCATTGGTAACATGGTAATCCTCACTTTACAGATGGAAACTGAGCACAGATTGATTCAACTTGCTTAAGTCAGCTGAGCTAAATAATGATTTCCTTTAATCGCAATTTTGTCCTTTCTTTTGCATTTCCTTGTTATCATCAAAGTGAGTTGCCAGTGGAGGTTGTAACTTTTTCTCCTGGGTATTTGTCATGTAATTTTAATCTGACTGACTGTAAGAAGGTATGATAGGCAGAAAAATGTCCCCTGCCCCCAACCACCAAAAGATGCCCATGTTCTAATCCCAGGACCTGTGATTATGTTGCCTGACACAGCAAAAGAGACTTTGCAGATGTAATTAAGGCAAGGGTTGGGGAGATTACTCTGAATTTGTGAATGGGACCCATGTAATCACAAGCGTTCTCATAAAAGCCAGAGAAGGAGATGTGAGAATCAAGCAAACCCTGAAGCAATGTACTCTGCAGATGGAGCAAGAGGCCAGAGCCAAGGATACAGGGAACCTCTAGAATCTGGAAAAGGCCATGAAATGAATTCTACCCCAGAACACCCAGAAGGAACCCAGACCTGCTGACAATGCAATTTTAGTCCAGTGAGATACATTTTGGACTTCTGACCTAAAGAGCTGTAAGGCATTGGGTTTTTAGCAACTAAACTTGTGTTGGTTTAAGCCACTATGTAGTCATCTGTTACAGCAGCAGTGGGAAATTAATATGGGGGGGGTCAGATCAAATGATTTTTCATGGCAAACAAACTAACCAAAACACAATCATAAACATTCAAATAAGCATAGCACTGATGTGGAATATGGAGAGACATTCAGAGTTGTAATGGGTTGTGAAGCCAACCTGTGAGGTCAAGGCCACACAGCTAGGCTAAGGCTTGCAGTACTGTGTTTAATAGGAGTGGTGACAGTGGGCATTTTTGTGTTGTTCCAATTCTCAAGGGGGAATGCTTCCAGTTTTTGCCCATTCAGTATGATGTTGACTGTTTCTTGAGTGTTTTTTTTTTTAATCATGAAAGGATGTTGGATTTTGTTGAAGGCTCTTGCTGTGTCTATGGAGATGATCATATGGTTTTGGTTTTTAATTCTGTTTATCTGGTGAATCGTGTTTATTGATTTTCATATGGTGACTCAACCTTGCATGGCAGGAATGAAGCCTACTTGATCATGTTGAATTAACTTTTTGATGTGGTGCTGGATTCAGTTTGCTAGTATTTTGTTGAGGATTTTTGCATCTATGTTCATCTGGGATATTGGCCTATCCTTTTCTTTTTTGGTTTTGTAAGGTCACACAACTAGGAAGTTCAGTGCTGGAATCTACAGCTAGGTCTTCCTGACTGTGTCCACCCTTCTTCGTAAGTATGGCCAGCATAGTGGCTTACGCAAGGTCACACAGCTGGTTATCAGCAGAGCTGGGCTTGAATGCAGTTCTCCTTCTCCATATACATTTTCTCAAAAGCAAATAAAGAGACCTGGATGTGAACAGAGACTTATCAAAGGATGGGGATGCCGAGCCTGGTCCTCCTGCCTCCTCCACATGGCTTAATTATGAAAGTACCTGAGTGCGGTGCTCATTTATCACTCATGACTTGCTGCCCACTCTCACTGTGATGAATTGGCATACAATGGAACTCAAAGTGAAATGATCACTAATGAAGTAGTTAATGTTTGCTGAATGTTCCAAGACTGCACTTTGATTCCTTGTCACCACCACCCATCATTGATGAAGAGTCCTTGACAGAGGAATCACTTTCTCTGTAAAGAAGGGCTGGGGTTACTCACGGTTCAGAGTATACCCAACAGAACATCATGTCCTCCCTAGTGCTGAAATTGGGACACAGCTGGATGACAAAGTTGTGTTTTGGGGAAAGAGAAGTAAAGCAAATGTGGATGGCTAATCATTGTGTGTGTAGAATTACACTTAGTACTTTCGGACGACTGCTCACAATGTCATTATGAGATGTTATGATTCTGCTTTCCAAAATACGGAAACCGAGGCACAAGTCCAGCGGGAGACGGGACTATAAGCAATGTTTGGAAGCTTAGACATCTATGTGGAGTGTGTAGCGGAAAAAACAAAGTTCTGATTAATACCCTTGGATAACCAAAAAACATTTACTGCCCCCTGTTTCCACATGTGAACAAGTCCCATTATTGGTTCATACATAACATGTAGTTTATTTTGAGCTGATCTAAATCTAGTTGTGTGATGATCAGTGAGAGTGAGTGTTGGTGGAAACCATACTTGCATGGAATTCAAAGATTTAAATCGTAGTAGGCCTATTCTTTTTTTAAGCTTGTGCACATTATTCTCTCTCTTTGAACTTTCTTACCTATTGAAGCAGCACATTATATGTTTTGAAGACAGGCAAATCTAAGTTAAAATTCTCTTTCAGCCACGTGTTAACTATGGCTTTAAGCAAGTCAGTTACACTCTCCCTAAAAGTGCTCTATCAGAAAATTGTAGATAATAATATGCAGCTTGTAGGTCTCTTTAAAGAACTGTAAATAATAACATACATCCAGAAAACAAGTTAGCACGTAGTGGTTCCAAGTAAGAGGCAGATCTACCATGAAGAATATTTGACCAGGTACTCTTTAGATCCACTTCTGGTCTATAATTTTGCAGTTTCAAAACCTTTAACTACTATTTGTGGGGAACTTACCACATACTAGGTACTAGGCCAAGGATTATGCTTGCATTGTCTCATTAAATCTTTACAATTTTAGGAGGTAGATGCTATCAAAATTCATGCAAGTACAGACACCTGGGTACAGAGATGAAAAATAAACTTCCCTGGCCACAGAAAATAATGCGATAAAGTCAAGATTTGACTAAATATGACTGACTGCCGAGCTCCTACTCTTAAAATTAAGCCCTTGTTAATTATATGTATCCATATATATTTTATTGCTTTTGTAGAAAAGGCTGGATGTTGATTGCCTCTTCTTCCTCTAATGCAGGTAGACAAACCAGTGATGTTCTGAGCCCTTGTGGGTCCCTTGATGGCACTGAGAAAAGTAAAACCCAATACAAATTATACTAATAGTTTGATTCAAAAGTTATGTTATAACTGAGACAAATTCTGAATGCTATGAAGAAAGTGAGACTCAGAAGTGTGATGATCTGTGTTCTCAGTGAGTGGAAGAGTCACTTCTGAAGGCAGATAGGACTCTGCTTCTCTGGGAACCAGCTAGGAAAATCAAGATGTTCAGGCTATCAGCCCAGGGTTTGGTCCCTTCCTCTGTTCTGTAGGTTAGACAGTTGGTTGAGAAGGCAGATTACCGAATTCTGTGGCTATCTATCTCCAGCTCACTTCCCAGAAAATTCACATTTACTGAGCTTTTATAATACGCTATTCAGACTGCTACGAACAAGAGTGCAAGTAAGAAAATAAGGTCCTTGTGCTTTTTTAAGAAAGTCCTGATTTGTAGCATTTGTCAATTTTTGTGGTGTAAATACTCACACCAATGTCAATTTCCAGCTACAAACGTGATGACATCGATCACAGAGTTGATAAGAGTTGAATATGATTGGCTCTGGTGAGCCATTGCAAGCTGACTGCAGCACCACACCAGTCCTCCTACTGGGTTCTTAAATATGCTCTTTGCTGGTAATATGGTTTTGCTCTGTCCCCACCCAAACCTCATCTTGAATTGTAGCTCCCATAATTCCCACGTGTCATGGGAGAAACTTGGTGGGAAGTAATTGGATCATGGGAGTGGGTCTTTCCTGTACTGTTCTTGTGGTAGTCTCACGAGATCTAATGGTTTTAAAAATGGGAGTTTCCCTGGACAAGCTTTTTTTGCCTGCTACCATGTAAGATGTCCCTTTGCTCTTCCTTCGTCTTCCACCGTGATTGTGAGGCCTTTCCATTCACGTGGAACTGTGACTCCTCTAAACCTTTTTCCTTGTGAATTACCCAGTATATGTCTTCATTAGCAGCATGAGAACTGACTAATACAGCTGGGATGCATGCCTCTCCTTTGCTTAGTTAATGTCCATTCTCCACTTATGTCGTCATATGTCCACTCAAATGTGACGTCCTCAGAAGCTTTAAATGGACTCTGTCCGTTATGAAATGCCTTCTGAGAGCTTGGGAGCCCTTTCCAACTTCTTCCATTGTTTTAGGTGATATCAGAAAGCACCTTCAGAAAGAAATTTTGGCTATGACTACCCATGAGTGTCCCCGAGCAGGTGCCAGAGACCAGTGTGATGTGCACACAACCGTGAAGCAATTTGAGATGGAACTGTTCTGTCAAAACAATGCAGAAGAAAACTTCTGCATCAAATCAAATCCAGTCTTTCCCTAAAACAACGAAACCTGTTGTCAGACCTGCTGACACGAGTATCACATAATACTGAAACCTCCCATTTCATGTATTTATTGTTGAAAACTGAAATGGTAATACTCTTATTTTAAGCTACTTAAGGTTCTAACTTCCAGTGACATTTTAGGTGTTTCAGGGCAGAGTAAAGACATTGATTTAGCCAAGGGCATTGGAAATACTATAGCAGCACCCTTGTCTTCTCTCTAGAGGTTGCTGAACTGATTTGGGTAAAATAAGAAATGATCCCTCAGCCTTGAACAAAATCAGGACAAAATTAAATGTTTGAACTTTTAAGGAGTTCATCCAACTTCTCCCCTGTTGGTTGTACTTGCCTTTGGTGTCTGCTTCTAATCCCCACTTGTGGCCAGCTTGGGGGAACATCCTGCTAGAAGGCAGCTCTGCCTGGGGTAATTCTGGCCTCATTCAAAATAGGAAGAGCCCCAGGTCTCTTGAGATTCTCCTCTCCAAAGATTTCCCATCTGATTGTGCAGTCCTGAGAGAGGAGCATTTGCAAGCCTTGCTATCCAGTGGCTGAACTTCTGCCTGCTGATCGCACTAAGGAGAGCCATCAGCTGTCCACAGGGTCTCATGTTCCTGCTTGTTAGCATTGCTGAGGAAATTGATACTTCTCATCATCTTCCCTGACACCAAATGGCTTTCTGGTGCCTCCTCTTGGGTCTGGGTGGCCTTTATTCTACAGGCTTAACCAGGGACAATTTTACTAAACTCTCCTGTGCAAGCCGAGCGAAGGGAAGCACGGTTATGAGGAACTGCCCCTGTCTTCTCCATCTTTACAACCATCACTGCTGACATTCCCAGAGCTCCCACAGTGAACCAGGGTCACGAACCTCACAAGGACCTAGGTATTATTGCTTTCCACTTCACAGCTGGGGATCTGAGGATTCAGAGAGGTTAGGAAAATTGCCTAGGAGGGAAAAGCAGACTTAGCGAACACAGGGCAGAGTTGAGACTCAGACAACTCAAACATTGGTCCGATGATAAGCGTAGAACTCTACCAAAATCCCACCTCTCAGAAACTGATGGATTGAGGTCATTTCATTCAAGGAAGAACAAATTCTTGATAAGCAGATCACATAGAGGCTGGATGTCCTTGCTGTCACTAAGTCACCCTCAAGAAACATTGTTGAATGCTCTCTTCCTCTTGTAGACAGACAGAAGCCACAGCCACATCAGACATGCCTGGAGACCTCCAGCCCAGACTTCTTTAGCATCAATGGCAGATGTGGTTTTTAACCCATGGCCGCATTTCTTGCCCCCACCCCCACCTCAAAAGGACATAATTGGTTCTTTCTCCCATTTCTCTGTAAAGAGCCAAACCAGACGGTAGGTAAGTCATATATAAACAGTGAAAAAATGTTCTTAATAACTTTATTCTCGCTGCACATATGCATGCCTTGGACTTAACAGCAGGAAATATTTGAGTCTTTCATAACTAATTTCAGCAGTTTTTTCTTTTCCACACATAATAGTGCTATCTCCAAGGCCTTTTGTCTTCTCTCCCCATGTAGGTGGGGGCTGGTCAACTGCTGCTGGTGCAGGGCAGATGCCATGAAGGTGGAGTTTCCTAAACACAGCTTGAATGGCAAATTCTGCCTTAAGGCTGCTTTTGCTGTTTGCACTGGATAAACCATGCTCAAGGTGCTGAGTGGATTCTGCATTTAGCATTTTATGGTGCAGACAGTTTCATTGTAGGTGAGGGAAGCTGGCCTACTGGGATCTCTAGGGAACCTGAGTAGGAGGAGGAAGAGGAAGAGAAAGAGGAGGAAGAGAAGGAGGAGAAGGAGGCCAGAGTCAGTGTCTGGTTCAGTCAAGAATTGGATGGCCTCAAAACTGGCCCAGGAAAGTTCAGCCAAGTAGACCAGAGTGCTCTGTCCAAATGATGGGAAAAATATAGGGTGATTCTGGCCTAGTGAATTGAATCTGGAAGGTGCTAGGTAGATTTCCAAGGTAGATTGGGTAGGCATCTACATCAGGAGACCTGACCACATAAAAGAGAGGATGGATACAGTTATGAGAAGGAAATGACAACTGGTGAGTGTTTACTTTGTGCTATGTTTTTTACATATCTTTTGTGTAATATGGGGTTGTAGCATCCTATGGATGTGGTTTCAGTTTCTGGACTATCCCAAATGTATCTCTTCTAAAATGATTGGTCAGGCAGAATCACCTGCTCCATTCTTTCTTTTTGGGGCACTATGACTCAATCCCACTCACCTAGACCCCATAGAATGGGTTTCCTGCAGCAAGGAAGTGTCCAGTTACCAGAAGCAAAGATTAGAGCAGCTCAAAACCAACAGGTGCACAGTTCAATAACTGAGTTCCAAGTCCTCTCTGATACTGGTGCTGGGTGTTTTATTTCTGCACTGAGGGCAGGATGAGTCTCTTGAAGAGAGAGGGCCTCAGGAGTTCCAGTTTTAAAAATCTGGGGAAGACTGAAATGAACCACAAAGCAGAATGTTTTAATCTAATTACTGACTAATTCCTGCTGGGTACAGTAGTATGCACTTGTAGTCTCAGCTACTGGGATCACTTGAGCCCAGGAGTTCAAGTCCAGTTTGGGTAACACAGTGAGATATACCAACTTTAAAAAAGAGGCTAATTCCTAGTTCTTAAGAGGGAACTAAAAGGTGGTTCTTTCCCTCAAACTGAATGGGCCACCAGGACTCACCTGCCAGGTATGAATAAGACAAAAACAAGATGGAAAAGGAGAGGAGGATCATAGTCTTAGCGGGAACAGGAGTGACCATCTCTCCATCCCAGGTGCATTAACAGAGAAGAGAGGTACAGCTGCCTCAACCCAGTATCCTGAGAGCCTTTGCGGAAGGTGGGTTAACCTTGGGCTGGTTGGGGGCAGGGGCTGTGGTTTCTAACAGGCACGATGGCAGTGGCGAAGGTCAGACTGTCCTGAAGCCCCTAACTCCAGGGAGGAAGATGGATCAGGGCCCAGCTGCTGTACTGTGAAGCCATGACAGTGGTTGTGCCCGGGCCACTCTTCCTGCAGGCAGCTCCCAGCCAATGACAGAGCAAGACAGGCCCGGTCCAGAGAGACACAAGAGTTCCCCCTACAGGTGTCTTTGGTTTGAGGACTCCCCGATGACCCTGCTGAGCTTTTCTTACACCATACAGTGGTCTAGGACATTTGTCTTTGCATGTGTTGTTCTTCTAGTGAATTCCTGGTAAACCCCTGTGTGTGTGTATGTTAGTTTCCTATTGATACTAAACTTAGTGGCTTAAAACAACACACATTTATTTTCTTACAATTCTGGAGGTCAGGACCCCAAAATGGGTCTAAAATCAAGGTGTTGGCTGTCCTCCTTCTGGAGGCTCTAGGGGAGAATGTCTTTCCTTGCCTTTTTCAGTCTCTGAATTTCAGCTGCCTGAATCCTTGGCTCCTGGTCCCTTCTTTATCTTGAAAGTCATCCTCACAGCATCTTCAAATCTTTATCTCTTACACTCACTCTCTTGTCTTCCTCTTATAAGGTCCCTTGTGCTTACATTGGGCCCACCCAGAAATCCAGGATAATCTCCCCATCTCAATCTTCTTAATCACATCTGCAAAGTCCCTTTTGCCTAGCAGGGCTGTTCATAGATTCTGGGACTAGGCAGTGGGCATCTTTGGGGGCTTTTATTCTGTGTACCACAATCTACTGAAATCTTACCCAGGAATCAGGTATTCTATGGGAATTGTCTTACCCCTGAGTCAAAAGCAACCACTCATTCCCATGAACACTTAATTTTAGTTGAATCCTGTAGTGTTCTCTTGTTTAATACATCACATTGCTCTGTCTCTATTTTCTTATCTATGTCCCCTGAACTAGATAGAATCCAGGATAATTACTCATCTCTGTGGCCCCCAAAGCAAACACAGAACCTGTCACAGGTTAGGTCTGAGTAAGTATACAGCCAAACTCAAGAATACACTTTGCCACATGTAGACTGCATTTTGGAAATTTCCAATGTGGAGTAATCTAAAAGATCATTTTAATGGTGTCTAATATGTAGGACCAATCAGACAGAAGCCTATGAAATAGGTAGAAATCTGGGTAGACATCACAAGCCAGTCTCACTTAAAATGCTGAGCAGAAGCATCAAGACAAGCATATGCTCTCCAACATAGTGACCTGGGGACAGTAGCGTCTATTGGAGTTTCTGGAACATAAAGTTAAAGCAGGGGTGGAGCTTAAAGATGAGGCTGGAGGGAAACAATAAAAATTGGTGCCAACCCTCCCTTCTGCATTCTACTAAGGAGCTGGGACTTTGTAGGCAACGGGGAATCATGGATTTCTAAGTGGAGTGATGTGATCAGGGTTACACTTTCTGAGGCTGGAGCGTGCAGGGAGAAGGGGGAGGCAGTGCACTGATGGGAGGGAGATGGGGTTGGTTCATGAGGAATGTTCACGTTTTGAATTAATGTGGCGAGAACCCAAATGGACAGGGAGGACTCCTGAGACACTGAGTTTAATGTGGTAGGACTATGCCAATTTTTCCTCATCATTTTACCCCAGGGTCTACAAAGGGTCATCTAGTCTCTCTTATTCTCTCTAGACTGATAGATACACGCATAGAGAGATATCTGTTCTCTCTCTCCATATATATATATGCACATATACACATACGTCTGTATATACACACATACGTGTGTATATACACACATACACGCACATATATGTGCGTATATATACACATACACACATATATATACACACACATATATACATATGTACACACAAATATTATGTGCAAGAGGTAGCTGCCATACCTCCAGCACACACACACACACACACACACACACACACACACACACACTCACTTACTCACTCTGAGTCAGTTATCGGATAGTTGGAGCACATTCAGATACTCAGTTTAGGCTATCTGGTTAAGACTAACTTCACAGCAAGTTCCCCTCCTCTAGGAAGTGAATATAATTTTATATGATTATAATTCTGTCACAGTTGGGAGAATATGAATAGCATAATTGACTAAATATATTCTTCATCTCTGAGTTATACCCCTGATATATCAATATTTCCAGAAAAGAAAGAAACAAACATTTATGGAGCACCTACTGTGTGCCAGATACTGAGCTGAATACCTTTTTGATCCATTCATATATATATATATATGTGTGTGTGTGTGTGTATTTATGTATAAATATATATACATATATATTTTCAGCATATGTGTGCTTAAGAAGTGACAGAAGTGTTTTAACTGTTTTTCTAATGTTAAGGGTTGTTGGAACTCAGTGATTGGGGCATGTAAAAATATTCTAAGTTTATTGTCCCTTCCTCTAGGATGGGATCTTGCTGTGAAGTTAGTCTTAATTGGATATCCTTAACTGAGTATGCTCTGGCTATGAAATAACTGACTCAGAGTGTGCATGTGTGTGTGTATGTGTGTGTATATATGTGTGTGCATGTATGTGAATGTGTGTGTGGGTGTGTTGGAGGTGGGGGCAGCTGTATGTAGCTCATGATTTCCAGGCATTCAGCCTTCTGTGCTCCCTGGCCTTTGGCCTTTGAGGTGCCTCTTCCCTGGCCCATGCCTGCCTCTGTACATCTCTCTGGGCTAATTCTCGGCTACTCAGGTTTCTGGTCCTAGCTTACCACAAAGGGCGGCAGGCACAGCATTCCTTCTCCAGCCCACTCAGGGATTCTTCGGTGTTGCCTCATTTCCATACCCCCAGCATTTGCCAGCAAATTCATTTGGACTCATTTTTAATAAGCTCCTTGGCGCTTGGCTCACACCTTGTATTTCACTTGATTTGTGTTTGAGAGAGGAAGAAAAACCACAAACAAACAAAAAATGATGGCCTTATTTAAAGTGACAAATATTTATTTGACTTTTCAAAACACACCCAATACTTTCAAAGACCTCTGGGAAAATATTAAATTAAAAACTGTCTGGGCATTAAACAATCTGTGAAATCAACCACTCTTGGTACATAAAGCTTAAATTTCCCCATTGGTACATATGGGTTTAGACCATTTGGCCACAACTGTCTTTATAAACAGAGAGAAAAGGGTGATGAAACATTTCCAGCATCTCAGTGATTCTTCCTTGTGGGCCAATTAAAAAAAAAACTCCCACCCACCACATTCTTTGTTCCCTTTTGCTTCAGTATGTGAGTGGCCTCTCTGTAATTCAATAGTCGTAGAGAAATTGATCCACAAAGAGATTTTTAAATCCATAATTTTGCCACAGTTAGGAGAATATGAATAACCTAATTGACCACATGTACTCTTCATCTCTGAGTCATGCCCGTGATATGTCAATATTTCCAGAAAAGAAAAAAACCTAACATTTATCAAGCACCTACTGTATGCCAGGTACTATGTTAAATGCCTTTTTGATGCATTTTCATTTAATCTTTATGGTAACCCTGTAGCAGAAGTTTTATCTCTGTCTTATAGATTAAAGAAAGGTAGCTCAGAAGAGCTAAATAACTTGTTCATACTTAACACAAGAAGTAGAAGAAGGGGGATTCAAGACTTCAGACTGATGCTTGTCTGATATTTTTTGCTTCGAGGAGGGGCTGTTGCTTCAAGACTAGTACCAACAGGTTAGAATCAGCTTTGTGACTCACCCCTGGCCCCTGTTCAGTTCTGTGTAAATCTGACTTAGTGGTTAGGAAGTTAGACTCTATACCCAGAAGACTCGAACTTGTAGTCCTGCCCCTGTCTGTTACCAGCTATGTGATTTCAAGCAAGTAACTTAATTTTCCAGCCTCACTTTACTAGAATGGAAGATGGAGTTTATCACAGTAATTACCTGAACAGAGGGTTGTTCTAAGGATTACAGTACATGCTGTCTAGAAAGAGTAAATACTTGGCCTATAGTAAGTATTCAATAAATATCAAGTCTTTATTCTTCTTGAGTGAATTACTTCCCAGAACCTCTGCTATTTCATTTGTAAACTGTGGAGATTTTGTAGTCAAAATCAAATTTTAATTGGAGAGATTAAAGGAACTACTTTACCAACCTTAGGGTTCATGAAGGGTTAAATTAAATGGTAATATATATTAAATAGCTTTGTAAAGTATAAAAAGTATCACTCAATTCCCCCCTTCTCTCTCTCCTTACCTATTAACATTTATTGTTACTATGTCTGTACAATTTCTGATGGCCTTGAGTTCAGTCTGCACCCAGGGCTCTGTTTAACTAGGAATTGGTGCTTTTCCGACTGCTTAGGGTGTGTTAGAGTCTTATGGCTACTGTAGTAAATTACCACAGTCTCAATGGCTTAATACAACACACCTGATTCTCTTCAGATCTGAAGGTCAGACATTTGAAATCTGTATCACAGGCTGAAATTGCAGTGTCAGTAGCACCAAGCTCCCTCTGGAGGCTCTTGGGGAGGACATGGTCCTGGCCCCTTCCATCTTCTGGTGGGCAGCATTTTTTGGCTTGTGACCACATCACTCTAATTGCTGCCTCTGTGGTCACATAACCTTCTCTTTTTCTGTGTAATCAAATCTCCCTTTACCTCTCTCTTATGAAGGTGATTGTGACAATATTGAGCCTGCCCAAATAATCTAATATAGTCCCCTGATCTCAAGGTTTTTAACTTAATCACATCTGCAAAGTCCCTTCTGCCATGTAAGGTAAGATATCCACAGTTTCCCAGGATTAGGATGTGGACATCTTTGCGGATCATTTTCCAGCCTAGCACAGGGCATGTTCATAGATCACGAGGAAAAAGCCATCAGCCTGGGAGGAAAAGGAGCTGTTCTTTATGGGAAGTGTGAGTTTACATTGTGTTCAACCCAAATTCTCTGTCTTCTTCCCTCCTTCCTTCTTTCCCTACTTTCCTTTCCCTTTCTTCCTTCCTTCTTCCAGGCAATCTTTCATTCATTCTGTATAAAATGAATTCATTGTGATAGTGTAGGTATAGAGATGAAAGCAGGTTCCCTGTTCTGAAGGAATTTACAGTTACAGGTGTGAATGGGAAGTACATGGTCATTGGCATGGTTTGGTTGTGTCCCCACCCAAATCTCTTCTTGAATTGTAATCCCCACATGTCACGGGAGAGACCCAGTGGGAGGTGATTGAATTGTGGGTGTGTTTTCCCCCAAGCTGTTCTCATGTTAGTTCTCATGAGATCTGATGGTTTTATAAGCATCTGGCATTTCCCCTCCTGGCTCTCATTCTCTCTCTTGCGGCTCACTGAAGAGGTGCCTTCCACCATGATTGTAAGTTTCTTGAGGTCTCCCCAGCCATGTGGAACTGTGAGTCAACTAAACCTCTTTTCTGTACAAATTATCCAGTCTTGGGTATTTCTTCATAGTAACATGAGAATGGATTAATACAGTGATTAATAGGAAGCCTGGAAAGAAGCATCAAACTTAGGCCAGGGAGGGATCTTGGGGTAGTGGGAACACCAAGGCATTGGCGTCAGGCAGCTTTGTGCTCAATCCTATCTAACCTCCCAGCAGCCTGCCAGCCCTGCCAGGAGCAAGTTCTTGAGCCTTCTTTTCTTCACGTGCAGGAGGAGTAGTAACAGGAGTAAATGCAGTGACCAATGTGAAACACCTCAATCTGTGGCTGAATCATTAATAAGCCTTCCCTCACTCTCCTGGTCTTCAGAGCATCATCTCAGGCACCCTACAGGCCAGTTAAATGAAATCAAAGTTGCCTTGCGCCTTCTCTTTAGTAGCCACACTTTCAGTTATAATAGTCTTTCAGGAATTATTGTCCTATCGCTGAATTTCACGGGAATGTTTTTGGTGTTTCACAGGGAAGTGCGATGTTGGCTCGTGATTTAAGATGGTGTTTCCTAGGCCTGCTGTAACTAGTATCATAAACTGGGTGGCTTAAAACCATGGAAATGTATTTTATCACAGTACTGGTGGAGGCCAGAAATTAGAAATCAAGGTGTCTGCCAGATCGGAGCCCTCTGGGGGCTCAGAGGGATAAAGTGTCCCAGGCCTCTTTCCCAACTTCTGGTGGTGGCTAGCAATCCTCGGCATTCCTTCTCTTGCAGATACGTCACTTCAGTCTCTCTCTCCATCTTCATGTCACCTCCTTTTCTGTGCCTCTGTCCGTTACTGTCTTTTAAAAAGGATGCTCTCATTGGATGTAGGGCCCACCTTAGCCCAGTGTGATCTTATCTCTGTCCTTACCATAATTATACCTGCAAAGATTATATTTCCTAAAATCCTTTAAAAAAAAAAGCAGGAAAAAGAAAACAAAAGTAAAAAGTATAAGTGTAAAACAAAAAGGTAAAAAAAAAGGAAAAAAGAATAAAACAGTAAAAAGTAAAAATAAAATACAATTTTAAACAATTTTTTAAAAATTAAAAAGAGTCCTCATTTCCAAATAAGGTTGTATTCTGATGTTCCAGGTGGACATAAACTTTTGCAGAAGCACTATTCAACCTATTATAGATGGATACTATTTATGTTGTTAAGAAAGTATTTAGATAAAATGCTCTCAGCATTTGGTGCTTAATATTATTAAATATCTTTTTGGCTTCTTTGAGGTAAAAAAATTTCCTTTTCTTTGACAGATTGAAGAGGATCACTCGTGATTTATCTCCCTAATTATTAACTGATACTTTTATTATGATATGAGTATTCCTTAGTATGTAGTATTCTTTAAATACACTGTAAGATTATGTTTGAAAATCCATTATTTAGAATTTTTACATTTATGTTCTTAAATGAGAGTGAATTGCAGTTTGTCCTTGGGAAGATTTTCAGTGCAGTTACAGAGTCACATTCACTTCTTAAAACAAATTGGGAAATTGTCTATCCTTTTTATGTGTTCTGGATAAGGTTATACATTGTGAAAATTAGTTAATTCTTGAAATCACTTGCCTATTAATCCATTGAACCCAGGGCCATTTTATGTAAGTGACTGCATAAAACTTAAAGATTCTATTCAAATAAATAGTTACTGATCTAGGCAGATAGATCAATTTTAATAGCGTACTAGAAAATGCTTTAACATTTCACTGTATTTTTTAATTTTTCAAATTAGTAGAATTTCTTAGACGATTCTGTTTTAAAAACTCTGCCTTGCCCCTCGTATATACATTGTACTTTTGTGCTCTCTTTCCCTTTCACTCCATTTTTGTGGAGGATTACTTGACTTCGTGGAGTCCATTTTATTTTCTGCCGTGCCACATAAAGGTGTCAGTTATTCCATACACTGATTAGTTGTGTGCTTTTTCTCTTTATTAATTTACTAAGTTATTGTTACCCGTATTTTCCCCTTCACCTGCCTTCACCATGACTTTCATAGGCTTTATTTTGCAACTTAAGAGAAAAAAAGATAACAAACATGTTTGTTGATAAAAATAATATAAATAATATAAATATATGTATACTATATACAACATAATATACATATATAATATTTAAAGTTTAGAAACTTATTTTTATTTTTATTTTTTTGAGACAGAGGTTTGCTCTTGTTGCCCAGGCTGGAGTGCAATGGTGCAATCTCAGCTCACTGCAACCTCCACCTCCCGGGTTCAAACAATTCTCCTGTGTCAGCCTCCCGAGTAGCTGAGACTACAGGCATGTGCCACCACGTCCGGCTAATTTTGTATTTTTAGTAGAGATGTGGTTTCACCATGTTGGTCAGGCTGGTCTCAAACTCCTGACCTCAGGTGATCCACCTACCTCGGCCTCCCAAAGTGCTGGGATTACAGGTGTGAGCCACCACGCCCGGCCTAGAAACATTTTATATACCTAATATTTAAACACGCTTCACATACATATGTGTAAGTGTATAAAATATTTAAAGCTTTAAACTTGCTTCCAGCTACAGTGTTTAACACATCACATGTGGATTTATTTGTCATATACTGGCACTTTATATTGTATAATACCTATATATTTATAAGTATAGATACAAATTTTAATTTTGGTCTTTCTCTGACCCATGAAATATTTAAAAGTGTACTTGCTCAAAATGATTGCAAGTTTTGCTTTAATCTTTTGCTCTACACTTCTAATCTCATTGCTTTTTAAAAATTAAACTATGGTATTTGCAGGAATTGTGATTTTGGAACTTTATTTAAATAATCAATTTTTGTAGATATGCCAGGGACATTTGAAAAAAAAAAGGTATTCTCTATAAGTAAGACATAAAATTATTATATACCTTTTAAATCATTCTTACATATTAAAATGTTCTATATCTTAATTAAATGTTTATCTACCGGAACTCTCAAAGAGTATTACTTAATATTGTTTTATTTAGCTAGCTATTTGATGAATCATTAGTTAGAGGCCAAGTTGGTTAGTCTCCTTAAGTTGTTTCTAGGAGGCATTTACGGCTGCAGACAATAACATCAGTGGTGAATTCATATCATGCAGATATTTTGGTTAATTTCTACTTCTATTTCTAATGATTTTGATTTTCTGTATTTTGAGTCTATTTTGCCTATAGAGCTGCATGACTCTTATGTATCAAATTTGGATAATTGAATTGCCTATGGAAAATGAGACTGTTGCCTCTGCTCTTTAATGCATTTTATTTTTAACTGTACTTTGTCAATCTGATATTTAACTTCATCCCGTTTTGCACTCCTTTGTGATATCAGCATTCTATCGTGGAGGTATCATACGCTAACATTTCCTCAACCCCTCACGCTCAGTGTTGGAAACTTTCTAACAGAGCAATGATTGAAGGCAGGACAACACACAACAGTGGTTTCCATCTTTTACATGATGGACAATTCATCCCCTCCTATGTTTTTCTGAAGAAGCTCTTAGTGAGATAAGGGGATCCCGATGACTGCTCTTCTCAAAGTTGGTCTCTCATGCCCTGGTTCTGTGGGTCTTTCTGCATTGGGCTGCAGTGCTTTGAGGTGTACACAACCCAAAAGAAAATTACTATAGGACCCACGGAGAATGCATTGTTAACATCTGTTTGCAATCTGGCCCCGGTGGCCAAATGTGATTTCTTTGGAACTCATTGCATTTGGGAAAACTTTTCCTAGAAAAAAGAAATAATAAATCATCCCACCTCACCACTCATTATTCATTCATCAAACTTTTACTGAGAATCTTATATGGATCTATGAATAATCCAGGCCTAAATAGAGAACAGTCAGTAAGACAGATAGGGCCCATGCCCTTCCTCATGGGATGGATAGCCCATCCCACTGGAAGATGAAAGAGGAAAAACTGCAGTTGTAGGCCACCTGTTTCCTAGAAGCACACTCCCGATGGGGAGAGGAGGTGGAAATGGACTGCTACAGTTCCCTCGCATCTTGGAGAAGACAGTATGAAGAGATGATTTTTGTGATGAGGAACCGCTTGTGAGGAAAGCGATGTGACAGAAAGTGTCATAGCCTTGGGCTAAGAGAAAATCAGCAATTAGCCAGAGAGAGACGTGCCCCACCCCCCAGCCCCCCACACACAAAATTGAAGATGGAAAAAAAATTTCCTTAATTTTTATATATATGCAAGGAAAGGGGAAGCTGTGGGGAGTGACGTCCCTTGCCCTGGGTACAAATAAGACTACAATCCATTGACACGTCCTGGCAGACTGAATTGAGAGCACTGGGAAAGTCCTGAGGTTACATTTTTCTTTTTGAAGAATGCTGCCAAATTGCTAATTTGGACTCACGTTCTTTTTCTGCAACATAGCTTTCTCTGACCTCGAAGGAGCTTGAGTGTAGGCAGCTGAGTGTCTTAATGTCTGAGAATTGCCAGCTCTGCTTCTCCTCCTGTAAGCTCTTGGGTGGGTTAGTCCATAGGGTTAAATGGCTCACTGCAATTCAGCAAAGTGGGTTTTACATGCAATTAATGTTTGTTAATTTTGTTAAATGTCAAAGTATACATTTTTTTTGGGGAAAAAAAAAGTTCCTGCAATACAACCTTCACCCCCAGCCCCTTTAAATATCGAAGAGCAAGATGTTATTCTCAAACAAATGCAGAGGCCATCATATTCAGAGTCTGCCTGAAACTGAATGGAAGATACCTTAGTTTGATGTCCCTCTTGGGAGAAGAGACAATAATATGTCAGCACATCTGAGTTTAGAGTCAAAATTAAGGGGACAGTGAAATTGCCTTTACTACCTGGCCCCTGAAGAAGAAAGAAGAACTTTGACTCAACTATTGTACCCCTTGTTTGAGTCTGCATCTTTTTTTTCTAATATTTTGATAGTTCTCCTTTATGCATCATGTGTACTCTGGGATTTTTGCTTTTTTATTTTTTTCTGATCTTGGTTGTGTCCATATCTATATATTCTGGTTCTGTTTTTTAGGTGCTAAAGGTTCAGAGATTATTACTGTATCCTCTTTATAATGACCTTTTTTATTACATAAAGTTTATGTATTTAACGTAAAATATACACTTAATGTAACATATACATAGTAAATATACACCGTGGTAAAAATATAAAGAAGCTAAAGCACTTGATTCTTCAGTCTTGACATATATCTGCTACTAAACTGAAAAATGATTGTCTTTTCCAAATTCATAGGGTAAAAGTAGATTTAGGAATCTCCATCTTAGAATTTCATCAATAGTCTTACTTTTCTCCTTAAGAGTTGAATCTCTGCTACAGCTCTGGGCTGGTTAAACTGTGTTTTATCCATGCACCTGGTAGAGCTTAGGTGTGGATGTCCTAGGCATTTTTAATTCCATGTCTTGTCCTCTTTTAAGAAAATAATTTTCTTCGTACAACTGCTCTCTCTTGCATTTCTGTGATACAGTGCTGTGATCAAGTTCTGTCTGCCTCACTCACTGCCTGCTCTCCCTGCTGGATGGAGGAGGTTAGCTGAATTTTTTCTAAGCCACAGCCATTTATTCCCTCTTCCTTCTGTTGCATCAGTTGCCTTGTACACATCACCCCTTTCTTTTAACCTAAGAAAGGAAAGACCTCCAGGACCAAGATGTTGTATCTATGGAGACCTGTTTTAGTTTGCTCCTTAGGTGAGAGAGACACAGTTCATCCTGACGGCTCTTCCATACCATGAAGGATTCTGAAAAGCCAGCTGATCATAAAATAAACCTCTTATCTTTTCTTGACATGTTCTCTGTTCAGTTCATTATTAGAAATCTATGACAACGGCTTCTTGGTGATTGTGAGCAGGGCCAGCTACATGGGTATGTGGCTTGACCAGTTGCACAGGGCCCCATGCTTAGGAGGGTCCCACACTGAGTTTAATGTTCTGTTATCACTGTCTTAAAACTCCTTAATAATCTTTGACCAAGAAGTCTCATGTTTTTTATTTTGTTTTGCCCTGGGTCCCACAAATAATGGAGCTGGTCCTGATTTTTGGGATAGGATTCTGACCAATCCTCTTTGCACATCATCAACCTAGCAAATGTACTTGGCTAATACATGGGAGTTTCCATCCTCCTCATTTTGAGAGGGTCAAAGACACATATGTTCCTCCCTGGCCCTTGGGAGGACATGTTAATATTCCCCAGGGTTCAAAGGGAAGAGTTGAGTTCAACAATGATTTAACTTAACGTGCCAAAGAGCTTACAGTTGCAATGGGTGGTGAGCTCATTCACTGATAACAATGTTTTTATGAATGGAAAGGAGCAAGGTCCAAGGTACTTTTCAGTTCCGTGAAAATCAGTAATGGCTTGTTTGGGAAGCTCTCTGAATTTTATGGCCTTGAGGTCCTTGAGAGTGACATCATTTGAGGTTGCTATGAAGTTTTATGTCTCACTTTTACTTATGCAACTGTTTGCAGTCCTTTGGTTGCTCCTTCTCTCAGTGTCATGCAAAACTTTGCAGAAATGACCTGTGAATTTGATCCAAAGAATGTATCATTGCTACTCAAGGGACATGCTATGTACAGAAACAAGACTATGGTAAGCCAACGGAAGAATATTTTTCTTTTGTTTTCCCTTTATCTATCTCTGTCCTGAACTTTAGTTGGATCTCCATTGCCTATAGGAAAGAAATATGCAGCAACCCCTTCCTCAGCTAGGCATTCAAAACAAAATTTGTTTTTCTATGGAAGTCGCTAACTTCAGGGACCAGGGAGAACACTTTGCCAGAACTGAAGAATATAAGTTATACATTCTCTGGGAAATGTGGTCAACTTGGAAATATGGCCAGTTGGACTTACATTTAAGCATGAGCAGAGAGGTTAGTGGAGAGAAAGAATAAGCTAGCTTTTCATCTTAGAGGCATAATCCACAGTCTCTCTCTCTATGTCTTTGATTTTGTTTTGTGTGTGATGAGATTTTAATTGGGCTGATGAAGGAAAGAGGGTAAATGATCTCCCTCCAGCAGAATGCACCACTGTAGTATTTCTATTTAGTGGGTTTCACTCTGGGCAGGATTGTGTGTGTTTGTTTACACTTTTTGCTTTTGTTCAGTTCTTGAATTGGTGGAAGAGAAATTCCTTTTAAAACATGCTACACTGGTCTAGATGCACTGTCTGTCCTAGCAATGATTTTCCCTTTCCAAGGATGGTATTGTGGAAAGAACCTTGGGGATGAAGTTGGGAAGTCAGGATTCAAGTCCCAACTCTGCAAGTAGCTGCCAACCTTTCTGCATCTCATTTTCACCATCCTCAAGAAGAGCTGGGGTGAAGTTTACGAATCCCGTAGTGGCTGTGATGACTATAGGATAGTCTGTGAAAACTCCCTAACCTAGTGTCTAGCACACAAGAGCTGTTCAAATTGTGCTGAGTTGAACCAGAGCAGAGGTATAACTCTGTGTTGGTGTTCTGGTTGTTATTAAATGTCCTTTTAGTAGGAAACTAAATTTGATCAGATTAATCTCCATTTGCCTAGTCATCCTCCCTGTGAATTTTGTAAAAGAGATATAGGTGAAAATAATTGTGAGAAAGAAACCACAAACTAACGTAATTAGTATTTGCACCTAAACCTCAATGCAAGGAAATGTGGTGAGATGGAACATGCAGAAATCCATTTTACTAATGTGGTTAGGCTAAAACATGTTCTAGAACAATATAACACACTCACCAATCCTAGAAGAACGTCAACAGAGAGCAAGAAAAAAATCTGCTTGCCCCAGCCTGCAGCGGAGTAGCACTTTTAAGACTAGTTGACAAATAGACAGGGCAAGATACCACCAGCCAGCCTTCAGTATGGGACTTAGCCTTGCCATATGTGAAGGACAGAAGACAGAGAGAGAGAGGGAGAGGCAGAGTTAGAAGAGGAGGAAAGGCCGGGCATGGGGGCTCATGCCTACAATCTCAACACTTATGGAGGTAGAGGTGGCAGGATCGCTTGAGTCCAGGAGATTGAGAGCAGCCTGGGCAACATAGGGAGACCCCATCTCTTTTTGAAAAAAAAATAAAAAAATTTTATTTTTTAAAATGGGAGGGGACATAGTACATATATGGAACACTCAAGTGCATAGTGACCTTGCAAACAAACAAACAGAGCTAAGTCAAATATTGGTTCAGATTCTGGCAAATCCATAGCAAAGCTTTTCCCTGGAGGAAAGGGACATTTCAAAGAGCAGAGTTAGAAGAACTTTACCTTCATCCTAATGGTGTTCCGGAGGCCACTCCTTGAGATTTGATTTGGTGTCTCTCAAGGGAAACTTAGATGTTGATCTTCATGGAAGACTCTTGTAGGTCACACTCATTGGGGGTCTTTCTTTTTCCTCCTGAATAGAAAAGGGACACATTTAGGCTTTCATGGAATTCCAAGCTCAGATTCCAAGAAGAAAATTGCATTTGTTCATGTAATAAATAATAATACATTTGGACCTGGCAAACACTAGGCAGAGCTGCAGAAGATATATAATACAATTAGCCCTTGCTAGGGTTGCCCGCCAACAATGAGGCAAGATTTATGTGTTTGCTTTTTCCATAAGTACAATTTTATTTGATAAGTGCAGTCTAAAGATATAAAGAATTAATCCAGGGTCTGCATTGTGGGATATTTCCTCTGTAATATTAAAATAAATATTACCCTTCTATCCAATTACATGAAATTATGTTAATAATATCTTCTTTGTTGCTGTTGTCTGCCTGTTTCATCTTTGTAGCCAAAGAGTTTATTAAAAGCAGTGACTGGCTTCCTTTCAGAAAGAGGTAGACTTTTTTTTTTTTTTTATCATCCTAGTCAGAAGAGCACAATTATTTCTTTTTAAAAGAAACACTCTCGACTGGCACGGAGGGTCTGGTGACTCCCAGGGCTGGCTTTCATGAGACAGCCTTTGTTCTAAACTCCTATATCTGCTAGCTCTGCCCTTATGGCAAACCTGAACTTTTAGGAATAGCAAAGTCATATTCTGCGTTGAATGGGTGTGTGGGGTTGAGGGTATACAGATGTGGGTGGGGGTGGGTCTCTGATCAATTTAAAGGATTCAGTCCATACCAACTATCGAGACTAAGCATTGCAGGATGAGGGGGCAAAGTTTAGGGGTGAGTTATTTTCTCAAAAGTCCAACGTTACACCCAGCCATTAGTTGTCTTTACTGGAGGCTGCTTATTAAGAATTTATTCTAGACTAGGGATGGCATATACAGTCTCTGCCAAGAAACATAGTGCCTGGAAGAGAAAGCAACAAATGAGCTAAAAATTAAAGTGCTCAAAGGATTCAGATAGAGATAATATGGTCTCCTCATTCACATAGACGAATGCACACTTGCCGATTGCTGGATTTCAATCAGAGCTGCTAACAGTGTGGTCCTTTGTCCAGTGCCTGTCTGCAAACTACTGGCTACCCATCCATGGTAAGAAAAGCACAGAAATTGAGAGCAAACATTTAGAAACTTCTAGAGCAATTTGACATTGACATCTTATATCCGTGTAATCTAATAGTAATAAAAAGCTAGGGCTAGGTGTGGTGGCTCACGCCTGTAATCCCAGCACTTTGGGAGACTGAGGTGGGCAGATCACCTGAGGTCAGGAGTTCGAGACCAGCGTAGCCAACATGGTGAAACCCTGTCTCTACTAAAAAAAAAAAAAAAAAAAAAAAAAGCAAAACAAACAATAACAACAACAACAACAACAGAAAACAAAAATTAGCCAGGCATGGTGGCGGGCTAATGGGTGTAGTCCCAATTACTTGGGAGGCTGAGGCATGAGAAGTGCTTAAACCCAGGAGGCAGAGGTTGCAGTGAGTTGAGATCACACCACTGTACCCCAGCCTGGGCGACAGAGTGAAACTCTGCCTCAAAAAAAAAAAAAAAAAAAAAAAAAAAAAAAAAAAAAGGCTGGGCTTGCATCTTGCATTTTATTCTTTTTGTCATATCACATTCTCATAATTAGTATTCATTGGAAATACAATGAGCTGGGAAAAAAAGAAAAAGAAAATTCGGTGTTTTATCAGATCATTTGAGAAGCACAAGTCCTAGCAGATACTTTGTCTCCTTTATTTTGGTATTCACAGAGCCCATGAAAAATACTTAAAACACTGCAAAACCTCAGTAAGTCCTGGTTACCCTGACATGAGCTTTGAACATCACCACAAAGCCTTCTCTCACCCCTAGCTTCTGCTGTTGGGGAGAAGAAGAGTGAAAAGAAATGAGGATTTAATGCAGCATCCTGTGTTATTTGCATATATGTGTATACTGAGCCTTCACAAAAATCTCTTGAGGAAGCGTAATTAGAGCCATTTTACAGACGAGAAGAAACCAAGGACACACAGCCTGCCCAATTCAAAAAGGGCAGAGCCAGATTTCAAAGGCAGGTTTCAATCCAAAGGCAGGTTTTTCTCTTTCCAGACTCCCCTTGCTGAGCTGAGGCGTTCAGAGAACATGTATGTGTGCCTGCTACACTCCAGGTATGGTGTGCAGCACCTTGCAGGCACTATGTCGGTGATTCCCCCGGAAGCCCTCTGAGTGTATCTAGCTCTTCTACAGATGAGAACTTGAAGTCATGGAGAGGTTAAATGATGGAAGAAAAACCAAGCCAAGCAGGGTCTGACGTCGATTCTGTTCGGTGAGAGGAACTATGGCTTAGCAGTTTATTTCTAAGGTTTTAGAGTTGAACAAACTGTGTTCATTTCCAGCAAGTGTAAGGGATGGAGTGACCGTTATGTACAGCTGTACAGGCTGTGCACCACACAACATCAAGGGTCACCATTTACATTGTTGTGCATGTAATGGAGCTTGTGCATGGCACAACCTGCGTGGCTGAATCAATAGGCCCAGCTGGGAAAAGCTACTGAGTCTGAACCCTGCTGTTCAAAATTGTCCCAAAGCACAGGCCCCAGAGGCACTCTCTGGAAAGCATGGAGCTCTGCCCTGCTCTTAGCAGTGAGAATGCTTCTACACACCCCATGTTGCCCTATTGTCCTGCCCTGGGCGCAGGTCACTGATCAGAAACAAAGCGAGATGAGCTTGTGATATACCCTTTGTTGGACCTTTAATCTCTGGCCCATTGTGCTTTTATAACATGTGAAAGTAGATTATGGGCTGTGAACCACTGTAGAACTCCGTTAGGTAATGATTGAAATGTAACAAACGCTGCCAATTGTAATAAAGGAAGAATGAGGTCATAGGAAAACTTACTCACATTTCAGCTACTAGTTGCAAAAGATCCATATTCCCTTAGAAGAACAAGCATTGGTTCTTACTGATAACTCTGTTGCCTTCTCTTAGCAAGACTTAGTATAGAAATGACAATAAATGCTAACAAATGAAGGAAAGGAGGAAGAAATAAAAAGGAGGCAAAATGATTGAATAAACGAGGTTGCAGGGATAGTAGAACTGGGAGCTTGCCGCCTGGCTGTCATATGTTTGGAGTGGGAGGTAGCTATCGATGTGTGATGGTGCCTCTTTATGTGTAAATTACTTGTCATGGAAGCCAGTGTTGATTGTGCCCAATGATGTGCCAATCATCTTGTTTCATTTAATGCTATTCATTTAATTGCTGTTCAACCTCACAATGTAATAACTGGTCTTCATTTTACAAGTTAAGTAAATGGCTGTAGGTTCATACTTTTAAGTGACAAATACAACATTTGAACACAGACCTGTATGACTCCAGAAACTACACCTTTCTGTCATATCAGTTAAGGCAAGCAATACTTCGGGGCATAAGTGTCTCTATGCCCCAAACTTACATAGAGATACTTAAACTTCCTTTTTTTTTTTTTTTTTTGGAATTCTGGGCTTTTCAGGGGGATTGGGGTTTTCTCCTTGTACCTGTGTTTAGGTTCTTATCTTTCCTGAGATACCCTCTTCTCCACATACCTGGGGAGGTTCTTGCTGCAGGAGGGGGAAGGGAAAGCAGAATTAAGGGTGGGTTTTGTGATGCAGCTGGCTCAGGTCCAGGTTTTATTCCAGCATCAAAGTATTTCTGCTGCCTGTAGGGTCTTATTCTTTGATACAAGGGCTGAGTTGGCTGAGAAGAGCTATTGATAAATCAAGGTATGCAAGTCAGAAGATTCAAATGAGAACTCTCTTAGAAACAAAGAAAAGGGAAGGAAGGAAGGAAAGGAAGGAGGGAGGGAGGCAGGGAAAGATAGTGAGAAGAAACCTTCCTGAGTTTATCACTGAATTATTGGATTCATCTTTTCCTTCAGTGATCAATGGTAGAAAATACTTGGGACAATTAAGATTCAGGGTAATTCAATAAGAGAAGGAGTATCATGTTCTCGTCCTGTGATTTGATGCCATTGGATAGTGAGTTGGGGTCACCAACAGCTGTCTTGTGTTTTGTTGATGTGGTTAATTTTATTTCAAACTTTTGGAATTCCAGGGAATGGGTTTAGAGAGGGAAGTGGCTTTGGGGAGGAGGGGAGGCAGGCACGGTATGCAGGTCAAGGAGGTCAAGGGGAGAGGAGACTTGTCGAGTGTCAGCTTTGTTCAATTGCAACCTGTCAGCTAAGTGCCACGGCTTCTGCCAAGGCCTGGAGCTTTCCCAGTGGCCCACATGTCACCTCTAATTTGACTTTATGTTTCTGAGGGATGGCTTATTGGCCCCCTCCCCCTATTCTCTTGCTTCTACACAGGTTACTGAGTCATCAGCATCCATCCCTTTCACTGCCGGAATGGCGGGATAAGGGCAGACCTCCTGGCCTCTGTGGCCACACGGCATAGAGGGCCCTGTGCTGAGTCCACAAATGGGGCAGATTGACAGTCATATAGAGCACCCCTCCTCCCTGCACTGCTGAAAGAAGGCAAGGCCCTGGGTGTGGGATATTTTCAGAGGTGTTTATTTACCCAACAGTCAATAATTTTAGGATTTTAAAACAATCAAAAGAAAGTAGCCCGTTATGATGAGCAGGTCTCTTAGTCACTGATGCCGCATTTACCCAGTGTTGTCAGAGAGCCTGGAAGACCCAGGTATCTCAATTTCCCATGCTCAGTATGGACGGGGGATTTGAACATAATGGTATTATGGTTCATTTTCTCAGACTACGTTTTAAAAATGTCTCTTAGAGTTTTGTAATGTTTAGCCACATGACAATGTCATCTGAGATTTTGACGGTGTGCTCTTAATCCTGAGTTCTTCTTAAGGATTGCAGAGCAGCATGGAAACATGCCCCCGTATTCAAGGCTCATGTTGTTTCCTGCTTGGCTTCTGCAAAACCCACCTCTGTTTCTTGCTAGGTGGGTAGATTCTGGGCAGGTTATCATCAGAACCATTTCTTATTCCTCTAATTGAGAAGCTGGGGCAAAACAAAGAAAACCCTCTTGTTGTCTGGGGTGAAATTCTTTCTCCAAATAACTCAGGGTATCTGAGGCCTTTCTAACTCTTGGGTTTTAGCTCCTGGGAAACTTTCTGAAAAAAATCTGCTGCTGTTGGGCATTTGCTAAAGCAACTAACAGTATTTATATGCTCGTTAGAAACTTCAAAAATCACACAGGATCTGTTTCCCAGGGCATTAGGGTCATGTCCTCTTCTTACTTGATGGCCTTTTTTCTAACCACACCTGGGTGTGTTTGGCATGGTAGATAAGAAATGAGTAAAATGTTTCGCTGTTCTTCCTGTGGAGGGGTGGAGTTTTAGTCCCTAGTTCTTGGACATGAGTGGCCTTAGTGACTTGCTTAACCAATAGGAGGCAAGAGAAATGTTGTTCAGGGGTACCTGTGGTTACGTCATAAAAAGTCTTGCAGCCTCAGCCTAGACCTCTTAGAAAGCTCACCCTAGGGATGTTCCTTCTTTGAACCAGGTGGCCGAGTGCCAAGGAGAAACCACTTGTAGATGGTCTGTTTAATGGCTCCAAAGTCAGGATGCAGCATCCGCAGTCAGCCTTCCCAGCCCAGGCTTGTGAGAAGAAATGCCACCTTGGAAGTGACCCTCCAGTGTCTGCTGTCCATGAGGCATCACTCTCCATTAGAGATGAATCACTCAACTAAACGCATCCTGAATTCTTCATCTACAAAGTTGTGAACAAAATAAAATGACCTTTTATTTAAAGCCATTGAGTTTGGATGTAGTTTGGTACGATATGAAACTAGAATACTTGGTAAAGACAAATGTTAGTTCTTGGGATCCAAGACTCTAAGAGTGAACATATTTCATCGCAGGAGGAAAGATGTAAGGGACTCTAGTCTTACATCTTGGGTTCACTATTTCTGTGTCACGTGGTCTTCACATACTTCTCATTTCTTACTATCTAGGCAGTTCAGTGAACTAATTTCTTAATTTAGTGTTTTACCTGAGTATTGTTTTCCAGCTTCAAAATGGCTTTATAAAATGCAGAAGCAGAGATACTTTAGGTCTTGGGGAGTTACCACTGGAGAGGAATCCTTGTTGGGTATTACTAGACAAATCCATGTTATCACTAGGACAGTGAGATGAATGAAGTGGTTCTAGCCTTGAAGAGTTCCAGACTGTTCTGAAAGGGAATATGGGTTCATTCTCATGTATCCAGTACAATCATCTTACAGCAGTTTCCTGTAATCTAGTGTTGAGAAGAATTCTGAAGCTAATACTGGGCTCTGTGGGAAATAATATTATCAGTAATTAGTGATGACTGCCATAGTTAGTAGTAGTCAGTGCTCCAGCTTGAGGCCTGTAGGTCTTGAGACCAGGACATCCCAATGATCATTGACTCTTTTGCAAACCTTAGAGGCCTGTTGAACTGCTGACCTCACAAAGAGGATCATCACCCTTGGAAAGCTTCTGAGAAAATTTCAGTAAATTATAGCTGTGAGTCTTGGGAGCAAAGCCCAGAGAGTATTTGATTTATCCACATAAATATATTTTGCAATCTAAATCAATGAGACTGGGGGTATATGCACTCTTTCAATGAGAAAAACTATTAACTATGATACTCATAACGGCATTTTATACTACAGTGTAACCAAACACACACACACACAGACACACACACACAATAGAGTAGCATAGTAGAATATATATGGGATATGAAATGAGAGACCTGATGTATTAATTTTCTAGGGGTGACATAACAAAATGTCACAAACTGGTACTGGCTTAGAGAACAGAAATTTATTTCTCACAGTTCTGGAGGGTGGAAGTTGAAGATCAAGGTGCCAGCAGGGTTCATTTCTTCTGACACCTCTCTCTTTGGTTTGTAGATGGTCATCTCTCATGTCTTCACGTGGTCTTCTCTTGGTGTGTGTTGGTATCCTAATCTCCTCTTTTTTATAAGGACATCAGTAATATTGGTTTAGGGTCCATTTATATGGTCTCATATAACTTAATTACCTCTTCAAGGGCCTATCTCCAAATATAGTCACATTCTGAGGTACTGAAGATTAAGACTTCAACATATAAATGTTAGGGGGAACGTAATTCAGCTTATAACACCTGGGTCTGAATTCTGACTTTTCTACTTACTGCTCATATGACCACACATAAGTTGTTTAACTTTACCAAGCCTCAGTTTTCTTTTTTGCAAAAGCAGAGTTAAAAACCATACTTAGCTGATAGGGTTGATGGGTGTGGGGCAGGGCAGTGAGATGATGTAAAACCACCATGCGTATAAAAATGCTCTATATGCATCAGGCATGAACAAATAACTACCCCTCATTTTCACCTCTGGATAATAGCTCCTTCCAGGTTGGGTGACATTAATAACCAACATTTGTAGAGTTATTTAGATATTATAGTGATTTTTTGCAGATACAACTCATTTAATAATTTTAAAAATTTCGTGATGACTTCATAATTATTAGTGCCATCATCACACTAATTTGACAAATAGAAAAATATGTGTTTGTTTTCTCCCTTATTTTAGAGAGGCAGACAGGCCCATTGATGCCAAGTGTCTCATCCCTGGCAACTGTATTCATGACTTTAGGCACACTCTGCCATTTACCCTCAGCTCTAGATCTGGGAAGGCTGAGCAGGGTAGACATGGAAATAAATCATCAACTTTTAGTTGAAAGCCGAGAGCTTATGAGGTTTGGCATGCTTTTTTCATCTTGCTTTCTCACTGTAAAATGAATGGTGTAAAAAATCCAAAATGTCTTTAGGTGTTTGCCCTGCCTTCTAGTTTCAGAATTTGATCTGATGACTTCTCATGAAACCCTCTTGCAGAAATGCCTCTGACTATGAAGAAAGACCTTATCAAAAGTTCAAACCTCTTGTCTTGAGAAGGTCAATGAGAAGGAAAACAATTTCTCATCAGCTGGGAGCCAAGTCAATGTTTCTCCATTTATTTTCACCCTTAGATGGAGGATCAGCTAGCTAAAAGACTGCAAGAGTCACCGTGAGTGTCTAGTACACAGTACTTGACATGTCAGAGAAGAGCCCTTCCTTTGTTTGAGGGCTAAATATGTCTCTGCTTTGAGAATAATTTTAGGGGAAGAATCAGTTATAGATCACTAACTGGGGGATGTGGAACATGTCACAAGCTCATCATCACATAAAATATGAATGCCAACATCTCAGGTGAAGCTGTGGTGGACTGGACATGGGTCAGGTGCTTTGCATACATAATAATCGTTAGTCTACCCACAAAACAATGAGGAAAGGAAACTAAACCATTGCAGAAGTTGACATATGTATTCTTAATATTGGCTCTGGAGTCAGCCTGATTTAGGGGCTGATTATGGCTCCATGATCAACATGTGATTGAGGCCAAGTAAACTAAGTTCTCTCACTAGCTCTTACCAGCTCAGGACAACTTACTGCGCACATCTCTTCCCCACTTTGTTCAGTGACATCAAATTAGTAGCTTTAAACTGGTCATGATGGGAGTGTCAGTTTCTTCACCTGCAATTAGGGGTGATGTAAATGGAGGGCTTGTCCCAAATTTTCTTATCAGTAATGAAAAACTAATCTTCCTTGCCATCATCACCATTAACTTCATCACCATCACTATCACCATTATCACGGTCAACTTCATTACCATCACTATTCAACATTATCAACTTCATCGCCATGACTATCACCATCATCAACTTCGTCACCATCACTATCACCATCACCATCAGCTTCATCACCATTACTATCGCCATCATCATCATCAACTTCATCAGCATTACTGTCATCCTCTTCCTCCTCATCACCACCACCCTAAACCTTAATCCTTCCCATTTTCAAGAAGGCTCAGTGAGTTGAGGCTCAGTTATTTGGCTTGCCCTGGAATGGGAAATGTTTTCAGCTGTGCTAGTATCCTGCTTTATGTAACTTGTTTTTCTAGAGAAAACTTTACTCCCTTTTCAACTACTTTCCAATCTAATTATCTGAAGGAGAATGTCACCATTTGGTGGTAATAGAACTTTAATGCCACTCCAACATTTGTTCACAAAGGGAAAACAGACCTCAGGCTCAGAACGTTAGATAGAAAATGGTATATAACTAGAATTTAACAATATGGCTTTTATTATAAGCTCTTTACATTTACTTTTTATTTATAGCAACTAGTAATAGTTTTACACTTAAGGTGGTGATTATAGTTTCTTATACCATGTAATTAAAAGAAAGGATAAAATAATGAGTAGATTAAAAGTAAGCAATAAGCAACAGATAGTACAGCATACACATGAATATGACAAAAAATAGTGATGGTGGCACATGAATATGTATCAACTGCCCCAAACAAATTAATCTCAGCTCTAGGCTCAAACTTATAGTGCTTTTCTATCTCTATTTCTCCTACTCCTAAAAAGCCTGTTACAGTACTCACTGTGTCAGAATCACCCAGGAGAAGTTAATAAACATGAGATTACTGGCCTTGACTCAGTGGTGTCCAGGAACCAGCTCTTAGCAGCGCAGAAGAGCTTACTGCGCACATCTCTTCCCTACTTTGTTCAGTGACATCAAATTAGTAGCTTGAAACTGGTCATGATGGGAGTACTGGTACTAGGGAATCTGAAAATTCACCAATCAGGGCTATTTACATATTTTTCCAGAGAGCTGGTTGCTAAGTATTTATCACCACATCACTGCCCCTGCCCCAAACCTACTGAGTCAGAAACTCTAGGAAAAGTGCCACAAATATCTACTGTTATTAAACTTCCAGGCAGGTGACTCTGCGGCCCATTCTCCATTCTTTAACCACTGCCCTTATGGTCTCAGAAACTCTCAGAACCTGCAACTTTTGCTTTTCCTTAGCTGCTCTCCCACTTCCCCCAGCCTCCGTGATGGCGAAAGTTCAGCTATCAGGAGGGAAAATGCTGCCAAGGCTTCCGCACCCAATGAAGCAGAAAGACACTGGGCAGGAACGGAGAAAACTCTCATTTAAACACAAATAGCTGAAATAATTGCTGAGCAAATCTAGAAAGTGACTGGCTAAGTAAATTGCTTTTTTGCATGAAGTTTTTTTTTGAGTTTGACCCTGGGGAGTGAGGTGAGGAGTAACTCTTCCAGAAGCCCAGACCTACACAGTTGAATCCCTGGCTGTTCCTCCCTTGAGTTACACAGGCATTTCCTCGGCTTCAGGCTAGCCCTGCCTCTGCCTTCAGGGCAGCTGAGCCTCTGTGGAGGCTCTGGAAGGATGGGAGGAATCACTGCAAGACACTGAAATAGTGGTCTGGAGGTCTGGGGTTGCTGTCCTGTTGGCTTCTCAAAGTTATGTTATATCATGTTTGGTATGAAATTGACATCAGCCCATGGCCCATGAAATGGTGCTCTCATTCTCATCTTTTTGCCAACAAAAGACTAGGGTGCATCACTGCCCATTACTTAGCATCTAACATGTGTTGTTGATTGCGCTAAGGCGATTTTATTTAGAACAAAATAATAGCAACTTAACATAGAGCGTGCAAGGAATTATTTCAAGCCCCTTTAATACAGTAATTTACTTAAAAGGTACAACAGTCCTATGAGGTACAAATTCCTTTTTCTCCACTGAGGAACAGATCTTTAGGTCACTTGCCCAAGGTCAAAGAGATGGGATTCCAGTGCTGCCAATCTACTCCCAGGCTCAAAACTCTTCACTACAGCAGGTTTAACTGCCTCTCACATCTGGTCATAGTCATTTCGTTTTTAAATTCTTGTGATCTGGGAAAGAACTGTGGTTGTACTGCTGAGGAAAGTGAGAGTCAAAGGAATTAGGAGACTTGCCCAAGATCACACGGGAAATGAAAGAAAGAGCTAGAAGAAAATAAAGGGCTGAAGCAGAAATAGCAACATAAGGATGGGACCATTTTGTATGCCAATGGCTGCTCACATCTGCTGGGCACAGAGTCTTTAGAATCTCAAAGCTTTATACCAGGAGAGTCAGCTTGAAGCTGATGGTGGTTAAAGAAACTCTCTCCTTGGTCAGTTTCTAGCTTTGAGTCTCTGGCAATTCATTCAATCTAAGACTTACATCCACCTCCGCCCCCACCATCACCCCTAAAATAGCCCTTATAGTATAGCTTAAGGTACTGATTGTTGTGAACATTTAATAAACTAGCATGTGCAACTCCTTCCCCACCAGCAAAATGCCTAAGCGAGCAGGAAAAGCAATTTTTGGTTGTTGTTATTGTTTTAACTCAAAGCTGGATGTTTTTGTGGGTTTGTTATCCAGGCAATTTACAGGAAAATCCCTCAAAGCCTGGAGACTGCCTGTCCCCAAGGTTAGTCCTGAGATAAGCCCTAAAACCAATCAGAGATACCTTTCTGGCTGGCATCCCGCAGACAGACATTAACTTGAGAGAAGGGTTGATTGACACAAAGTAGGGATGGCCTGGCCCTCTGGAATGGCTGGCTGGATCCCAGCAACAGTCAGGCCAGGTCTTCTGGGTTGGTGGGAGGTACATGTTGGGTCCCTAGAGGAACTCACTTATCTGTCACCACCTGGTCGGACCTTGGGGTTGACCCGCTAGCCCTTCACACAGTGAAAATTGCAACGTGGTGCCTATTGGGGAAAAACTTGATCTCAGGGCAGTCCCCTCAGACCAAAAGTAAACTCCTCTCTCCTGTCTGTTGGGCAGAAGTCAGAATGAAGGCTGCCTTGTCTACTACCAGACTAAGTAGATATATTAGTTTCAGTTTTTGATCCTAGAATGTCAGCAGTTGCCCAGATGTAATGCAAGAAGCTGCCTGGGGCTGCTTTTCATTCTTATTTATGCTTTTAAATACTTCAGAATATGTAAGTATAATACTTGGTGATTAGGATAATTTAGAAAAGACTAATAAGCTAAACTAAGAAAAAAATATTTAAACTGTGAATCTTGTCTTCCATTAATATAAGGTATAGCTTGATAGTCTTAATTCAACTCCATTTCTTTTTATAAAATAATAGAACAACTGCTTATACAGTGATGGAATAAATGAGCAATCATGAAATTCTAGGTGGTAAGACAGTCTCAATTTTGTTGCTTTAAAAATCCGCATGGTTGAAAATTTTGGACATTTGCCTTGAATTTTGAAAAGGAAAGAGCTGTTCTTGACCTCTGCTTGATAAAGGTTTCAGACAGACGTGGAATATTCATGGTCCTTGTCCTCCGCTGGTACCCATGGGGGTGTTGTAATCTAGAATCTGAAAGAAAGGGTATGAGGAGCATTTAAAAGCCTTTTCCAAATTGAGTTTCTTCCTGGAAATTAACAACCATGAGGGCAAAGGTGTATTTGGATGGGCTGGGCGCAAAACAAGGCTTTTCCCACTCACAAATCTATTCCTCAGGCTTCCTGATCTGCAAAGAGAGAGGAAGAAAAGAGAGAATGCATGAGCAAGAAAGCCCCCATATGTTGTTTATAGGGCAGGCCAGGAAGAGGAGAAACTGTTACCGGAAAGGGATCCCTATCCAGACCCCAAGAGAGGTTCTTGGATCTCACACAAGAAAGAATTGGAGGCAAATCCATAAAGTGAAAGCAAGTTTTTAGAGAAGTAAAGAAACAAAACAATGGCTACTCTATAGGCAGAGCAGCCCTGAGGGCTGCTGGTTGACTATTTTTATTGTTGTCTCTTGATTATGTGCTAAACAAGCGATCATTAATGAGTTTTCTGGGAAAGGGGTGGGCAGTTCAAAGAACTGAGGGGTCCTCCCTTTTTTAGAACATATAGGGTAACTTTCAGACATTGCCATGGCATCTGTGACCAATCATGATGCTGGTGGGAGTGTCTCTTAGCATGCTAATGAATTATGATTAGCATGTAATGAGCAGTGAGGATGATCAGATGTCACTTTCATTGCCTTCTTGGTTTTGGTGGGATTTGGCCAGCTCCTTTACCACATACTGTTTTATCAGTAAGGTCTTTGTGACCTGTATTTTGTGCTGACCTCCTATCTCATCCTGTGACTTAGAATGCCTAACCTTTGGGAGTGCAGCCCAGTAGGTCTCAGCCTTATTTGACCCAGCACCTATTCAAGATGGAGTTGCTCTGGTTCAAACGCCTCTGACAAAACCAGCCTTTGATCAACATGATCCAAGATCTAGTTTTCATTGTTGCAAGCTCAGAACGTTGCAAGCTTATCACTGCTTTACAGACTAAGAAGCTCCTGGTGGCACCACTCCCCAATTTCTGGCATTTGAATGGTTGCAGGGAAAGCCAAATTGCCATCAGAAGATTGTTTGTTGAGTGTGCCACAAGAACAAAGCAGGTTGAGTCATTGAAGCAGCTGGTGTCGCCAAGCTTAGCCTCCTGTCTCCACTATGAGGAGGGAGTGGCCAAGAAGTCTGGCTGTTGAAGACAGCCTGGGGCTAGAAGACACTGTCTTTCCCTTTTTTTTTTTTTTTTTTTTTTTTTTTTCTTTGAGACGAGCTTTCACTCGTGTTGTCCAGGCTGGAGTGCAGTGGTGTGATCTTGGCTCACTGCAACCTCTGCCTCCCGAGTTGAAGCGATTCTCCTGCCTCAGCCTCCCAAGTAGCTGGGATTACAGGCATGCACCACCACGCCCGGCTAATTTTGTATTTTCAGTAGAGACGGGATTTGTCCATGTTGGTCAGGCTGGTCTTTAACTCCTGATGTCGGTGATCTGCCCACATCGGCCTCCCAAACTGCTGGGATTACAGGCGTGAGTCACCATGTCCGGTTGTCTTTCCCATCTTTTCTGTTTACTGTGGGGCAGGATTTGCAGGCAATAGAAATGGGGTAAGTCACTGCTTTTCCTTGCCTCAGTTTCAGCCCCTGTAAAGTGGGAGTGATCTATCATTTACATTTGCTGGCTAATGTAAACCATCTGCCATGATGTTAGCAAGAATATTTCCTTTATTTTTTTACATTTTGGTGTGTTTATGTGATGGCTATGTAATCTACTAGTTTACTCCAAGTGTACCCTGCTTAGATCAGGGGCCTTTCGTTCATTCCCTTGCAAATAACCCTTACTTAATTTTTAGTTGAAGTACCTTTAGTGCTTGTTGACAATCTGCCCATGTTCCCCTTATTTAACTCTCAATCATACAACCTGCTCAGACTTTCCAGAGCTTGAGATGATCCAGGCAAGGAGGTGAAGAGATCTGATGGCTCTGGAAGAGTCAACATTCTGGGTACTTAGAGAATGGATATACATTGTAATCTTTACTCTTGCCATCCATTTTAGCAGGCACCATGCTTTCCTTGAGTCTCCTTTTGTGGGAGAAAAAGTACACAAATCTGAGACACTAATTGGAGGGGCACTCCACTCAGACACAAGAATATATAACACAAATTGGAACATAACCTTATGCGTTTCTTAGGTTGCATATTGTTTATGAGAAAGTATTCATTAGTAGGCATTTTGATGATAAGGAATTAATATTAGAAAGGAAAAAACTTTGCAGGCAAACAAACAGTTTTTATTTTTTTTATTTTTGTTAACCTCAATTGATATCTAGGAATTTGATGGTTATCTTAAAGAAAGTTGGTTTAAAAGCCCAGCCGTTTGTATATACAGTTTCCCCATTAGTCAAACTAATTGCTTGAGAATTTAGCTACTAATCTCCCATTTTGTTCTTTCCTGAAACCCCCTTTAGGGTCCCCAGAGGGATTTAGATTTTCCTCCGGTAAGCAAAAGTTAGATTAATTGATATTTTCAAAGCAGAGATGCCAATCTTGCCTATGGAGAGTCCAAGATGGTCTGAAAATCTATTCTCTGTTTTCCATCCACGTTTCAGGACAGCATTTTACGAAGTGAAGGACCCTTCCTTATCCCTGGAGGTACCCTCTCCACTTTAGTTGGCACCTACACAAGGCATTAGATAATACTGACACATCATAAGACAATGATTTTCTTTCCAATTCTCTTTCTACATTTCTGAATATGTCTAGGAGAAATGATCCATGTGATGCCAGTACATAGTGTTAATCTCTTTCCAGGGTTGCCAAATTTAGCAAATAAAAATGCAGGACATCTAGTAAAATTTGAATTTCAGATAAATAATAAATATACTTCTAGTATAAGTGTGTCCCAAATAGTGCACAGGGCATACTTGTACATAAAAAGTACCTGCTGTTTATGTGAAGTTCAAATTTAACTAGGCATTTTGTATTTTATCAGGCAACACTTCTTTCTGATTTCTCTTAATGTCTCCTTTTAAGCAAATATTGGGCAGACATCAGGCTTAGAAGCTATTGCCAGCAATGATATCAAATTAAAATTTAATAATAAAGTTTTATTTTCATGCTGTTGATTTTTACAGGTACCTTTTAATTCAGAGAAAATTTCCCCCGTTATTTACTTAGTGTAGTGCATTTAAAAATAAAGTTAATTTTAAAATAAGTTAAACACTAAAAAGTGAACGGATTAAAAAAAGTGTTAGTATAGGATGAACTTCAGTGTGGCTAAAAATTACTGATGATGGGACATACTTCTTTCCCTTTGCTGCGAATAGACTTACCTTGTATATAAACCTGGGGTAAAATATAGTCCTTGGAGATTTGAAGAGTGCCTTTGATTCCCTATAGATTTTTATAATTTAGGGAGGGAGAAGAACCCTAAAGAGCTGTGTTGGTTTCGTTTGTCTCAGGACCCAATCACGTTTTCAGCTGGCATGGTTACATGTGTCCATAGTCCCAGCTACTCAGGAGGCTGAGGCTCAAGTGTGAGCCCAAAAGTTCGAGACTGCAGTGAGCTATGGTCATGCCACTGCATGTCAGTGTGGGCAACAGAGTGAGGCCTTTTCTCAAAACAAGCAAACAAACCCTCCAATTTTTGTTCAGACTGTTTTTCTCTATGAATTGTTTTTCGCTTATGTAATAGTTCTGATTTCTCTCTAACACTTGTGCTTTCTCTCTTAGGAATACTTAATGCATTCTTCCCAAGTTTTCTTTGTTTAATTGTTCTCAAAGTCAGGGCTCTGAGTGGTGCTGGGAGCATGTTAGAAATGAAAATTCTCAGGCCCCACCTCAGACCAGCAATGTCTGTTTAGACAAGGCCTTCATGTGACACTGATGTACCTTAAAGTTTGTGATCAATGACAGATTGGATAAAGAAAACGTGGTACTTATACACCATGGAATACTATGAAGTCATAAAAAGAACAAGATTATGTCCTTTGTGGCAACATGGATGGAGCTGAAGACCATTATCCTTAGCAAACTAATGCAAGAACAGAAAAACAAATGCCACCTGTTCTCTCTTATAAGTGGGAACTGAATGATGAGAACACATAGACACAAAGAGAATGATAGACACTGGGGCCTACCGAGGGTGAGAGATCGGGGAAGGAAGGAGACAAGCAGAAAAAATAACTAGTTTTAGCACCTAGGTGATGAAATACTCTGTACAACAAACTCCTGTGACATGAGTTTACCTATATAACATACCTGTACGTGTACCCGTGAACCTAAAATAAAAGTGAAAAAAAAAAAAAAGGTTGTGATCCACTGTTGTCATTCATACATACAGGCATAGCTACAAAGCAACATCTCTTTTGAAGCATTTCCTGCTTCTTTTAGCTGGAAACATTCTCTTTCTTAACCGAATTGCCATAGCAGTTCATTTGAGTTCCCTTAGAGTATTGTGGCACTGCAGTTATTTGCAGGCAGTATTGACTGTTTCACCGTAAGCTCCCTAAGAAGAGAAGCTCTCTCTCTCTCTCTCTCTCTCTCTATATATATATATATATATGTATGTATACTTACAAATTTATATATGTTATTAATAAATTATATGTACAAATATAATTTATAAGTATACAAATAAATTGATAATTATTACATTTACAAATTTATATAATGTATATGTAAATTATATATAATTATAAATGTATATAATATATATAAATTATATACAATTATAAATATATGAAATTTATAACATTTGTAAGTATAAATTATATAAACAAATGTATTGAACTTGTCAAATATCAGAACTTTTTCTGGCAAAGGATTTTTAAAAATTAAGAGACCTTACACATATCAATCACTAAGGGAAGAAAATCACTACGTTCTTATTCATCTTGAGCTAAAGATACAAAAAAGGCAGGATGCAAAAGAAATGTGAATAACCATAGACAAAAATATGCAGCCTCACTGGTACGTAAATTAAGGTAAATTGCCATGCGAATAAAGAGGCATGTTAGCTGTAAAATTCACAAAGATTTAAAAATAGTATGTTTAGATTTGGCAAGAATGCAGAAAAATAAACATTAATGTAGCACTGAAGAGGAGTTTAAGTTATATTTGTATCTATCCCATAAAGAATCATTATGGAAAGTAATTTGGAAGAATAATGTAGAGAGCCTAAGTAAAGTTCATACTCTTTGACACAGTAATTTTTCTTCTTGGGGGAAAAGTCAGAAATGCATATGACTATTTATATACAAATATGTTCAATACAACTTTATTTATAAATATTAAAAATGTGGGAATGGAATGCATGCCAAAAGTGGTTAAATTATGTCCAGTACAAATGACAGAACATCTGTAGACATAAAAAAACAATGTTTTCAAAAGATACTGAATGTCATGGAAAAATTTATTCTTATGTTAAGTGAAAAATAGGAAGATAAACATTTGTATGTAAGGAATCATTAGAATATTGTTAAAATGTGTGTATGTCCAGAAGAGACTAGATCACTAGGTTGATGACATTAGCTCTGAAGAGTAGAAAGTCCTGTTACTATGAGGTGCTGGATCCCTTTATTCTCTTCTAGACTTGTGATTTTATTGTTCATCCTTCCCTTATATTTTCAAAAGTTTCTACAATGTAAACTTTACATTTAGTAAGTTACATTTAGTAAGTTCTACATATAAAACTTTTACTTGTTTCTATTGAAAAGTACAGAAGGCTACTTTTGGGCATGGTGGAGTAACTCACACTGAACTCACCTTCCTATCATCAGTAACTATAAAAAGCAATGAAATATGTAAGATAACTGTTTCTAGCTGTTGGGGAGCATTTGGCACAGGGCCGTGATCCTTTTGGAAAGGAATACTCTTTTTTTTTCTTTAGAGATGAGGTCTCACTCTGTCACTATCATAGCTCCCTACAGCCTTGAATCCTCTCATTTCAGCCTCATGAGTAGACAAGACTATAGGTGTATACCATCAGGCCTGACTAATAATAATTTAAAAAAATGTAGAGAAGGGATCTTGCTATGGTGCCCAGACCGGTCTCAATCTCATGGCCTCGAGTGATCCTCACACTTTGAAATCATAGAAAAAGAAAAACCAGATGAGACAGAAAAATTATTTTAATAACTAATGGCTGAAAATTTCCAAATTTGATAAAAATTGTTAGCCTATGGACCCAAGAAGCTTAGTGAACACAAAGCCAGATACATACAAAAAAAGGCACTTACACGCATCATAATGAAACTGTTGAGAACGAAAGATAAACAGAAAATCTTAGAAGCATACAGAGAAAAATAACATATTACACACAGGGAAAAGGATATGAATGGTCTCTGATTCGTAATTCGAAACAATAGCATCTAGAAGACAGTAAAATGGCATTTTTAAAGTGTGTAAAGAAAAAAAGTCAACCTAGAATTTTATATTCAGCAAAAATATTTTTTTAAATTGAGAGTGACATAACATTTTTAGTTAAATGATAGCTAAGGTAATTCTTCACCAAAAGATCTACACTATGACAAATGCTGAAGAAAGTTCTTTGGGCCGATGAAAAATCATACCAAATGAAAACTTAGATCTTCAGGAAAAAAGATCAATAAAAATTATAAGTTTATGGATAAACATTAAAAAATTTAAATGAATAAGTGAAAAGTCTATTTTTAAACTGTTCTTTTTTTAAAAGAAGACAACTGATTATTTAAAGCCAAAATAAAAACTTGTATTGGGGGAACTATGTAAGTATATATTAGTATGTATAAAGAGTATATATATGTGTGTATATATTAGTGTGTGTGTGTGTTTGTGTATAGTACACATATACCTATACCTCAAAGAAAGGAAGGAGATAAATAGAATTATATATATATATTTTTTAATTTATTTATTTATTTATTTATTTTTTATTGATAATTCTTGGGTGTTTCTCACAGAGGGGGATTTGGCAGGGTCTTAGGACAATAGTGGAGGGAAGGTCAGCAGCTAAACAAGTGAACAAAGGTCTCTGGTTTTCCTAGGCAGAGGACCCTGCGGCCTTCCTCAGTGTTTGTGTCCCTGGGTACTTGAGATTAGGGAGTGGTGATGACTCTTAACGAGCATGCTGCCTTCAAGCATCTGTTTAACAAAGCACATCTTGCACCGCCCTTAATCCATTCAACCCTGAGTGGACACAGCACATGTTTCAGAGAGCACAGGGTTGGGGGTAAGGTCACAGATCAACAGGATCCCAAGGCAGAAGAACCTTTCCCAGTACAGAACAAAATGAAAAGTCTCCCATGTCTACCTCTCTCTACACAGACACAGCAACCATCCGATTTCTCAATCTTTTCCCCACATTTCCCGCCTCTCCATTCCACAAAGCCGCCATTGTCATCCTGGCCTGCCCTCAATGAGCTGTTGGGCACACCTCCCAGACGGGGTGGTGGCCGGGCAGAGGGGCTCCTCACTTCCCAGCAGGGGCGGCCGGGCAGAGGCGCCCCTCACTTCCCGGATGGGGGGGCTGGCCGGGCGGGGGGCTGACCCCCCCACCTCCCTCCCGGACGGGGCGGCTGGCCGGGCGGGGGGCTGACCCCCCCCACCTCTCTCCCAGATGGGGCGGCTGGCCGGGCAGAGGGGCTCCTCACTTCCCAGTAGGGGCGGCCGGGCAGAGGCGCCCCTCACCTCCCGGATGGGGCGGCTGGCCAGGCGGGGGGCTGACCCCCCCACCTCCATCCCGGATGGGGCGGCTGGCCGGGCAGAGGGGCTCCTCACTTCCCAGTAGGGGCGGCCGGGCAGAGGCACCCCTCACCTCCCGGACGGGGCGGCTGGCCGGGTGGGGGGCTGACCCCCCCACCCGTCTCCCTCCCGGACGGGGCGGCTGGCCTGGCGGGGGGCTGACCCCCCCACCTCCCTTCCGGATGGGGCGGCTGGCCGGGCGAGGGGCTGACCCCCCCACCTCCCTCCCGGACGGGGCGGCTGGCCGGGCGGGGGGCTGATCCCCCCACCTCCCTCCAAGATGGGGCGGCTGGCCGGGCGGGGGGCTGACCCCCCCACTTCCCTCCCGGACGGGGCGGCTGGCCGGGCAGAGGGGCTCCTCACTTCCCAGTAGGGGTGGCCGGGCAGAGGCGCCCCTCACCTCCTGGACGGGGCAGCTGGCCGGGCGGGGGGCTGACCCCCCCACGTCACTCCTGGATGGGGTGGCTGGCCGGGCGGGGGGCTGACTGATGCCCCCACCTCCCTCCCAGACGGGGCGGCTGGCCTGGCGGGGGGCTGACCCCCCTACCTCCCTCCCGGATGGGCGGCTGGCCGGGCAGGGGGCTGACCCCCCCACCTCCCTCCCGGATGGGGTGGCTGCCGGGCGGAGACGCTCCTCACTTCCCAGACGGGGCGGCTGCCGGGCGGAGGGGCTCCTCACTTCCCAGACGGGGCGGCTGCCAGGCGGAGGGGCTCCTCACTTCTCAGACGGGGTGGCCGGGCAGAGATGCTCCTCACCTCCCAGACGGGGTTGCGGCCGGGCAGAGGTGCTCCTCACATCCCAGACGGGGCGGCGGGGCAGAGGCGCTCCCCACATCTCAGACGATGGGCAGCCGGGCAGAGACGCTCCTCACTTCCTAGATGTGATGGCGGCCGGGCAGAGGTGCTCCTCACTTCCTAGGTGGGATGGCGGCCGGGCGGAGACGCTCCTCACTTTCCAGACTGGGCAGCCAGGCAGAGGGGCTCCTCACATCCCAGATGATGGGCGGCCAGGCAGAGATGCTCCTCACTTCCCAGACGGGGTGGCGGCCGGGCAGAGGCTGCAATCTCGGCACTTTGGGAGGCCAAGGCAGGCGGCTGGGAGGTGGAGGTTGTAGCGAGCCGAGATCACGCTACTGCATTCCAGCCGGGGCACCATTGAGCACTGAGTGAACGAGACTCCATCTGCAATCCCCAGGAGGCCGAGGCTGGTGGATCACGTGCGGTTAGGGGCTGGAGACCGGCCTGGCCAACACAGCGAAACCCCGTCTCCACCAAAACCAGTCAGGCGAGGCGGCGTGAGTCTGCAATCGCAGGCACTCGGCAGGCTGAGTCAGGAGAGTCAGGCAGGGAGGTTGCAGTGAGCCGAGATGGCAGCAGTACAGTCCAGCTTCGGCTCAGCATGAGAGGGAGACCGTGGGGAGAGGGAGAGGGAGAGGGAGAGGAGGGAGAGGAGGGAGAGGAGGGAGAGGAGGGAGAGGGAGAGGGAATAGAATTATATTTTTGCAAACTTTGTACATGCTATATAAAGTCAAAACTCTAAATATAGTATTATTTAAAGACTCACAATCTCTAGAAGAACCTCCAGAATAATACAGAGAAGTATAACACAAAATCTAGTGAAGCTAATGAAAGGGAATATTTAAAGTAATAAAAAATAAAATAAAGACTTATCCCAAAAGGAGGCAAGCAGACTAAGGGAAGGATAAAAATAGATGGGCCAAATAACAAGATGTATCCTTAAATCTAACAACATAAACAAATAAGTTGAATGTAAATGGTCTAAAGAGTCCAAATAAAAGACAGTGATTGTTAAACTTATTTTTTAGCAAGTGGCAACAAGAATCAACATATGTCTATGAGAGATTCCCTATAAATACGAAGAAAGAAGTAAGTTGAAAATAATAGTGTAGAAAAAGATATACCATAAAGACATTAAGCTCAAGGAAATTCTTGTTGCTATACTACTGTCGGATTAAATAGGCATCAGTCTTAGGAATGCTATCAGAAACATAGACACTTCATAATAAGAGTGTCAGCTCGTTAGAAATAACAACTCTTTTTTTTTTTCCTCTTTGAGACAGAGTCTCACTCTGTTGCCCAGGCTGGAGTGCAGTGGTGCGATCTCGGCTTACTGCAACCTTTGCCTCCTGGGTTCAAGCAATTCTCCTGCCTCAGCCTCCCAAGTAGCTGGGATTACAGGCGCCCACCACCATGCCTGGCTAATTTTTTTATTTTTAGTAGAGATGGGGTTTCACCATGTTGGCCAGGCTGGTCTCGAACTTTTGACTTTGTGATCTGCCCACCTCAGCCTCCCAGAAAGAAATAACAATTCTAAAATTGTATGCAACCAATAACGGTGCTTCAAAATACACATAGAAAAGAAGTGACAAAACAAAAACGAGGAACAGAAAAACCCACAATCCTAATTGAGAAGTTAGCATATTTCGTGGTGTAATTCACAGGACAAATAGATGATTTGTAAATCAGTAACGATATAGAAGATTAGAACAAGATTATTATAAACCTAATTTAACTTGCCATTAATAGACTACTATAACAACAAAATACACATCCTTGTAAAGTACACATGGAAGTTCACCAAAATAGACCATATAGTGGTCTCAAATAAACTACATCTCAGTAAAACACAAGAGACTTAATTTTTTTGTAGCATGTGCTCTGCTAACAAAGGAATTAAATTAGAAATAATAATAAGCTATTTAAAAATGAAAAATCCTAATGACGAGTGATGATCTTTTTTTCATATCTTTGTTGGCAGCATAAATATCTTCTTTTGAGAAGTGTCTGTTCATATCCTTTGCCCACTTTTTGATGGGGTTGTTTTTTTCTTGTAAATTTGTTTAAGTTCTTTGTAGATTCTGGATATTAACCCTTTGTCAGATGGATAGATTGCAAAAATTTTCTCCCATTCTGTAGGTTGCCTGTTCACTCTGATGATAGTTTCTTTTGCTGTGCAGAAGCTCTTTCATTTAGTTAGATCTCATTTGTCAATTTTTGCTTTTGTTGCCATTGCTTTTGGTGTTTTCATCATGAAGTCTTTGCCCATGCCTATGTCCTGAATGATATCACCTAGGTTTTCTTCTAGGGTTTTTATGGTTTTAGGTCTTACATTTAAGTCTTTAATCCATCTTGAGTTCGTTTTTTGTATGAGGTGTAAGGAAGGGGTCCAGTTTCAGTTTTCTGCATATGGCTAGCCAGTTTTCCCAACACCATTTATTAAATAGGGCATCCTTTCCCCATTGCTGGTTTTTGTCAGGTTTGTCAAAGATCAGATGGTTGTAGATGTGTGATTTTATTTTTGAGGCCTCTGTTCTGTTCCACTGGTCTATGTATCTGTTTTGGTACCAGTACCATGCTGTTTTGATTACTGTAGCCTTGAAGTATAGTTTGAAGTCAGGTAGTGTGATGCCTGCAGCTTTGTTCTTTTGCTTAGGATTGTCTTGGCTATATGGGCTCTTTTTTTTTTCCATATGAAGTTTAAGGTAGATTTTTTTTTTTTCCTAATTCTGTGAAGAAAGTTAGTGGTAGGTTGATGGGGATAGCATTGAATCTACAAATTACTTTGGGCAGTATGGCCATTTTCACACTACTGATTTTTCCTATCCATGAGCATGGAATGTTTTTCCATTTGTTTGTGTCCTTTCTTATTTTCCTTGAGCAGTGGTTTGCAGTTCTCTTTGAAGAGGTCCTTCACATCCCTTGTAAGTTGTAGTCCTAGGTATTTTATTCCCTTGTAGCAATTGTCAAAACCACAATGAGATACCATCTCACACCAGTTTGAATGGCGATCATTAAAAAGTCAGGAAACAGCTGATGCTGAAGAGAATGTGGAGAAATAGGAATGCTTTTACACTGTTGGTGGGAGTGTAAATTAGTTCAGCCATTGTGGCAGACAGTATGGCTATTCCTCAAGGATCTAGAACCAGAAATACCATTTGACCCAGCAATCCTATTACTGGGTATATACACAAAATATAAATCATTCTACTATAAAGGCACATGCACATGTATGTTTATTGCAGCACTGTTCACAATAGCTAAGACTTGGAACCAACCCGAATGCCCATCAATGATAGACGGGATAAAGAAAATGTGGCACATACACAGCATGGAATATTATGCAGCCATAAAATAGGATGAGTTTATGTCCTTTTCAGGGACATGGATGAAGCTGGAAACCATCATTGTCAGCAGAGTAACACAGGAACAGAAAACCAAACACCCCATGTTCTCACTCATAAGTGGGAGTTGAACAATGAAAACACATGGACACAGAGAGGGGAACCTCACACACTGGGGCCTGTCGGGGGGTGGTGGGCTAGGGGAGGGATAGCATTAGGAGAAATGCCTAATGTAGATGATGGGTTGATGGGTACAGCAAACTGCCATGGCACGTGTATACCTATGTAACAAACCTGCATGTTCTGCACATGTATCCCAGAACTTAAAGTATAATAAAAAATAAAAATAAAAAAAATTAAAAATTCAAAAATTGAGCATCATATTTTTATGTAACAAATTTGATTAAGGATAAAAAAAAGTTAGAAAATGTTTTTACCTGAATGATAAAAATAAAACATATCTAAATTTGTGAGATGTTCCCAGAGCATGCTAGATGGACGTTTATAGCTTTATGTGTTTATATTGGAAAAGGAACAAAAAAAAAGATGTAAAACTCAATGGTCTCATTTCCCACCTTAAAAAGGTAGAAAGAGAAGATAAAATTAAACCCAAATTAAATGAAAGAAAGGAAATATTGAAGACAAGAGCAGAAATTAATGCGAAAAAGACAAAAATGGAGAAAATTTACAAAGTCAAAAGTCACCTCTAGGATGATTAAGAAAAATAGAAACCATAAGTCAAAAATACTGAGAATGAAAAAGGATAACAAAAGGAATATGAACATTATTACTATAAATTTCATACAACTTTCATAAAGAAATAGACTAGCTGGATAACTACCCCATGAAGAATACTTAAGGTATGAATGGACTCACTGGTGCATTTTATGTGATGTTTAAGGAAGAAGTATTTCAATCTTATACAATATCTTTCAGAAAATAATAAAAGAGGGAGCATTTACAATTCGTTTTTTAAGGCCAGCATATCTCAGAGAGAAAAATCTGATAAAGTTATTTTAAAAAAATTATAAAGTAATATTACTCATGAATAGAGAAAAATATCTTCTAAAACATGAGCAAATCAAGTTCAATAATATATAAAAAGGATGATGTGTAATGACCAAGTGGGGTTGATTTCAGGAATGTAAGATTCGTTTAAATTTTATTAATATATCTATCAATGTATGTAACCACACTGATAACATAAAGGAAAGAAAGCATATGATCAACTCAACAGGTTTAAAAAGAAAGCATTTGGCAAAATACAGCAATGATTTTGTAATAATTCACAATAAAAACATAACAAACTGTAATAAAGAAAAAACTTCCTCAATTTGGTTAACAGTGTTTGCGAAAAACCTACAGAATTAATGCTTCCCCTCTAAGATCAAGCATAAGGCAAGGATGACCACTCTCAACAATTCAATATTGTGCTAGAAGTCCTAGCTTATGCAATCAGGTAAGAAAATAAATAAAAGAAATATTAAAAGATTGGAAAGGAAAAAGTAAAACTATCTTTATTTTCAGACAGTATAATTGTTTACACAAAAATCCTAATGAATCTCTAAGACAATTAATACAGTTAATAAGCAAATTTATTAAAGTTGGAGGATACAATGTCAATATACAAAACTCAATAAAATTTCTATGTACTGGCAACTATCAATAGAAAAATAAAACTAAAAAAATAAAATTTGCAATGACATCAAAAACATTTAGAAATATCTTTAACAAAAATATTATAACTTGGCCGGGCGCGGTGGCTCACGCTTGTAATCCCAGCACTTTGGGAGGCCGAGGCGGGCGGATCACGAGGTCAGGAGATCGAGACCATCCTGGCTAACACGGTGAAACCCCGTCTCTACTAAAAATACAAAAAAAATTAGCCGGGCGTGATGGTGGGCGCCTGTACTCCCAGCTACTCGGGAGGCTGAGGCAGGAGAATGGCGTGAACCCTGGAGGCGGAGCTTGCAGTGAGCCGAGATTGCGCCACTGCACTCCCGCCTGGGCCACACAGCGAGACTCCGTCTCAAAAAAAAAAAAAGAAAAAAAAATATTATAACTTTTGTATACTAAATATGGTATATAAAATATTTCTGAGAGAAATTGATAAAGCCCTAAATAAATACAGAGATATAAAGAGACATACTATGTTCTTAGGTCAGTAAACTTAGTGTAGTCAAGATGTCCATTCTCCCCAAATTGATCTCCAGATTTAACATAATCTCAAATGAAAATCTCAACAGGCTTTTTAATAGAAATTGACAAATCAATTTTAAAATCTATCTGGGAATGTAAACGACTATTAATAGCTAAAACAATCTCAAAAACAAAAAAGGTAGAGGTTTTCAACCATCTTATTTCAAGTCATACTATAAAGTTACAATAATAAAGACAGCATGGTATTTGTATAAAGATAGACAACTGGACAAATGGAACAAAATAATGTGCAGAAATGGATTTACATATATTTGGTTGGTTAGATTTTGTGCAGCATCTGAATAAGCCTATAGAAGAACTTGACAGCCCTACCTCACACCATTGACAAAAATTAATTTGAGATGTATTATAGACTTAAATGTAAAACCTGAAACTTTCTAGAGTAAAAAATAGGAGTATATCCTCTTAACTATGAGGTAGGAAAATGACTTTTTTTGAGGGAGAAGGAGGTGTTATGAAGACTAGCACCAAGTTAAATATATCTGTCTCAAGTTATTTCAATTGGTTTAGCTAAACTTTCAAATAAGTTCCTGGGATTTTGATTTTGTCATTTATGTGATTTGTGTAGTGCTTTAAAAAAAAACACACAAGGAAACATTTAAAAAGTAGAAAGAATTCCTGCTTTGCAGCCAGGAATATGTGAGTTCAAATACAGACTCCGGTTTTAGCCACTTAATAATGAGCAAGTCACTTAATCTCAGAGCTTCACAGGATTATTTTTGACATGTAAGCAAAATAATGCACATAAAGTGGCTCTCACATAAGAAACAGATAATAATTACTCAAATATTACTTCCTTTCCTCACCTTCTTTACCTGGTCCCAAATGTTTGCATCTCCAGGCTGATATACAGATATCAGCATGAATAAATTAGGCACTTAAGGGCACAGTTTCTGGAATTAAGCTCTTTGGGTTGATGTCCTATGTGGGACAAGTTTTATTTAATTTTTCTGTGCTTCAGTTTCCTTATGTGTAAAATATTGAATTAACTCACAAGGTTTTTATGAGAAATTGGACAATCCGTATAATGTGTTCAGCACAGTGGCAGAGCATATGGTCAGTGCTGAGAAGATGTTAGCTACAATTATATGACGTGAACATCTTCAGATGTTAAATAGCACCCCACCCTGATTGTGGGATAGAGAAAATATGTTCTTTGGACCTCAGAGAGCAGTTTGGGTCATGGAGATGCCTCACCTATTCAAAACCACACTTTCTGTGTTCCCAATGCCAATAGGAACCTGGAGCACATGCCTCGTAGAACCCAGAACAACAAGGTCATTTTACTTAGTCCATGTGACAGATGAATTATGATCATTTCTCATGTCCTCCCCTCGGTTCAGGATAAATTACACTTTATTCTTCCTTGTTATCTTCATGGGGTCAGTCTGTGACATAGCCTCTTAAAGTCACATGGTATTGAAACATTAAGACAAGTAACAGCTGTGAGGAATATCCACTATCAAACCAGAGGCTGGGCATTCTCAGTCTCAGTCTTCCTCCTTGACCATGCTGGGAAGGAAGACCATTTGTAGAATATTCCTTGTCTACATCTATCTGATGATGCATTTGCTAGCTTTAAAGATATAAATGTGAACAGATACCTTGTCTCTGAGTGGGGCTTTGTATAAACAAAAAGAGACTCATTGGATATCCAAAAATCAAAGCAAAATTTATTTATACCCCAGAGAGAATAAGAAAGGACTTCTAGCTCAGTAATAAGTTACAATTCTCAGCACTCTAGGCAGAAGAATGAAGACATTTCCAGTGAAGGTGGGTGTGTTGTATTCTGGCAGCCTCTGGGTCTCTTAGAATTGATAGGTTCTCCTTGTCTGTTCTGCAGAGGGTCATCCGTTCAGCCAGTAATATCCAGTAGACACAGCCATGATGGCATGACTCAGAGAGAGGGTGTGAAGATTCTTTCTTTGATGGCATGGACTTTGTAGTCATAGATTTTATGGAGAGGGGCTGAACATTCATAGATCAGTCCACAAAAGCATAAGTAACCCACTTATGCTATCTAATTATCCCTCTTAAAACCCATAATATATGCGATTCAGACCTAATGTTTGGATCTGGTAACATGCCTGAGTATAGTAGATACTCAACAATTGAGCTTTCTTTTTAACTTTGTCTGCAGGACATAATATTTCCCCAGAGAATACACTTTCTATGATTCTTACCATTCTGTTACCAGGAAGATAATTAACTGGTAAGGCCTTGAGGAAGAAGCTGGCATAAATATCATGAGGGTGTCAGTGGTCCTATAAAACAAGTTAGACACTAGGTCTTCTTAGTTAGGAGTCTTTTGGTTATAAGCAACTGAAATCAGTTTGAACTACAAGAACTTGGAAGGGGGCATTGTATTTTAAGCCTAGGGAATATTTAATGGTTCTCAAGGGTCAGGAAAGAGCTACCATCAGGCTCAAACTTGAACCTGACATGTCATCAGGATGTTCTCCATCTCTTTTCTTTGCTCCTGTCTTTGGATTTAGTCTTTCCCTCTTTCTTGCTGTAGTCTGACTGTCTTTACCAAATGACAACTGAAAATGGCCATCCATTTGTTTACTGTGATAACTGGGCAGCCTGAAGCTGGGGTCTCTTAGTGTCTATTCTATAGTCCCAGGAAAGAAATCTTAGCCTTCTCTGGGTCACATGCCGCCTGTGTTCTAATCCATCTCAGCCAGGGGCCCAATGTCATTGCCAGATGGATAGAGGGTATGAAAAAGGATAGGCCCCAGAAGATTATGTAGCCCAATTGATGGCTATTCCATCAACAATACTGGTGGTTCAGATGGTCCTCCCCTTATTTGGGAATACCATAAAGGGTTGAAAAAGGACCCAAATATTGCAAAAAAGCCTCAAGAATACACTTTCATAAGAGACTAATTAAAGATGCAATTAAGTTAAGGGACTTAGGGCTTGGCCTTGTTGCCAGGACAATTCATGCATGGTGTCAGAACATCCTGTCAATTAGTTCCATAAACTGTGCCCTCCTCTTCACCCCCATGGCCATCACCTCCTTTAAAGTTCTTATCTGCTCCTACCTCAGCTACTCGATGGCCAAACTATTTGGTCTCCCTACCTTATGGACTCCTTGTTGCCACTATAGACCATTTCCTGTAATGCTGTCATTACAGTCCTAAAATTCAAACCTGGCCAAGCTGCCTTCCTTCTTGAAAAATGTTAATGTCTCCAGTAGCCCTAAGAAGTCCATAGGCTCCATTCTGTTATTCAAGATGCCAACCAATGGTTTTGACCTCACTTCCTGTGAAGCTCTTCCTCATCATGAACATCACCTAGAAGGTATGTCCTTTATTTGTTCAACTCAGCTAGTGGGAAAGACAATGGAGTCATATCCTATCCTTGTGTTTAAGTCTCCGCTCCACCACTAACCAGCTCTGTGCGAGTGGGCAAGGCACTGACAGTTTCAGGCTTTAGTTTCCTCCTGAAAACTAAACATAAAACCCACACATAAGTTTACATGAAGAATAAAAATGAGATAATTTATATAAAGTGCTTAAAATGATATCTGGAATGCAGTAAGTGTGCAGTAAATATTACCTATCATCACCAATATCTTCATCACCATCATCACCATCACCATCAATAAGATTAATATTATGATAAAACAAGCCACCATTTTGATTTCTAGAATGCAAACTGCCTTAAATTATTGATTTTTCCATCTCACGCACTTCTCTGAAGCCAAGTGGAACACACTGTTTGAATAAATGGCCAAAAGGAAGATGGGAACTTCAAAATAAGGGGTAAAATGCTGCTTTAGTAATGAGCTCTTAACCACACCTCCTGCAGAGGCACCTAAAAGATAAGACTATGGTCTTCTTAGAAATAATGTCTTCCCCCACCCCCCGCAGAGGAGAAGGGACATTCCAGGCCTTGGCCTTGGGCTGTCCACACAGGATTCCAAAGGCAGAGGGCATGAGCCTGAGACAACTGCCACCAGGTTTCTGAAAGGGGTTTTGAGCTGTAGCCCACAACTTGGCCCCAGTGACCTGCCACTGGGGAGGGATGTGGCAACCTCGTAATTCATTACCAGTTGGAAATAGAACATCATTGAAGAGATAAGGGCAACAATAGCTTTTCTATCCAGTGATAAATTACTAACAGTTGCATTATTTTCTCTTATTTATATATGGGTCTCTTTATTGAATTTAGTGGGAGATAAATAAACGATCTGCCAAGCGTCTGGTTAATATTACTTCTCAGGGGCTCGTTTTAGGCCCAACTGGACTCCTACTGATAACATCTGTAAGCTTTTCAGGAGGGAGAGACATAACATTTGTTTCTGACAAGAACCCTCTGTTTGCCTTATCTGTTTCATTTGAGAGGCCATCGACCCCTCGCTTCTTTGGTTAAAATGAACTCTTTCCAGCCAAGGAGGAGTTCTTGAACTTGACTCTCACCACACAATGTGACTGGGCGCCCCAGCTGCAAATCTGAGGACCTCTGTCATGCACAACCAGACTTAGTACTTCCTGTTGGTGTTCAGGAGACAGTGAGAGACAGGGAGCTGAATTTCTCCCCTTAAAATACATTAAGACAAAAATTCAGCTTTCTAATCTGAATATTCCTGCCTGGCCTAAATGGAGAGTCTTTTTCTTTTAACCACAAGGTTTAAATTTTTTTTTTTTTTAATGCAAAGAGATGTTAATACACAGTGATTTAGAAATACATAAATGGTCTACAGCAATGAAGGTGAACCTTAAGCCATAATTAAAAAAAAAAATAACCCCAAGCTTCCACTAGCCTGCTGCAATAGGACTGCAAACTCAGAGATCCTCTTTATTTTTTAGATCCACCATTCTAATGCTCTGGCTCTTGAGGCCTTGTATTGAAGGCATATTTCTATACGTGTCTGAGCTGCTTCTACTCCCTCTCTGTAGGCGGTGTTAGAGGTAACAGTCTCTGGAAACCTTTCTCTGATCTTAGGTCTGTGTTTCCAAATACCCAGTTGCTCTGCCCAGGGCCCTCAGGATGTTAGCACACATCACCCAGTATTGCTGTGTTTACTTGGCTCTTTCTTATTCCAGGCAGCAAGTTCCGGGGGGACATATCATCACATTTTCTCTCTACCTTCGGAGTTCAGTAGAGAGATTGGTGTCGAGTAGGTGCTTACTCATATCTCTAGGTCACGTTTCTTTATTACAAAGTCTAATGGGACACTGTTTCTTTCCCTTGAGTGCTGGTCTCTTTTTTTTTTTTTTCTTTCTGTCTTTGGTATTTATTATTTGAGAAATTTCTGCCTCTGGTATTGTTATTATTTGAGAACTATATCTCCCCCCATCCCCCCACCAAACTGTAAGTTCTGTGAGAGCAGAAGTTGTGTCTGTATGTATACATGGTTTCCCTTAATGTCTGGCACAGTGCTTGGCACTTAGATGGCACTCAATATATGTTTACCAACTGATTGTATGAAAGGCATTTGGGGCCAAGGGCTTTGGGGTCAAGGCTTGTGTGTGTGGAGGAACGTCACAGTGCTGCATAGACCACACGTCTGAGTCAGGCCTGATTCAAAGTGCAGCTCCAATACAGCCCTTGGGTGTTGGGGAATGGCCCTTAGCTTCTCTGTGATGTGGGCCCGAGTGAGGCTCAGGAAGAGGCTCTATGCCTGGGTGACTCACAGATTGTGTGGTCTGTGCTACATAAATGAGAGAGTTGGCTGGAAAGAAGCAGTTGTGTTTTTAAGGCAACAAGGCATGTCTCTGGCCCCTTCAGTTCTGCTCATTCCTCTGATGGAGGTCTTCAGTGGACTTTCCTTGTTCTAACCATCTCTCTTTCTTGGGTCCCTCCTCATCTGGTGCTATGTGGCTCATTCATATTCTCTCTCTCTCTCACCTTTTCTGCCCTTCCTTTTTTCCTCTGGTCGAACCAGGGTCCCACTTTCCAGGTGGGATTGGAAAAACCAGGAAAATTCCTTGAAAGGGGATGGCGAGGAACATGGGAGTCTGACAACGGTTGATGTAGCAGCAGGGTCTACGTCTTCCCACCCCTTCAGCATGCTGAATTTTGTCTACACCTTTCTCCATGTGCTGCACGTAGTGCACCTTCACCGAAGTGCCTCCAGCCCTCCATGGGCCTGCTCTCTGTCTTGCTCTGAAATCCCTGAAGGTGCTCTAGCTAATGAGCTGACTTCTGGCTAAAATTCAGCTTAAGCTCTGAAATCAGTTTGAGTTACAGTCATTCTGTTCTTTATTTTGGCATTTCTGTAACCCAAACATTTGATTTGTTTAAAGAGGCAGATGTGAAAAAAATGCCTTCTCACTCTACCCACTGGCCAAGTTTTGTCAGAGAGAACAGGCTGACTTACTTGGACTCCTCAGGCCAAATATCAGCTTTAGAGAGCAGAGAAAGCTCTTCCCTGTCTGTGTCTTTCACACACATGTACATGCCCACACATGCACTCAAGGTACATAAGTCTAAAGTATTCAAAAGTAGACTTGATCTCTGTTCTCCAGGTACTAAAAATCTACCAGAAGAAACACATAATAACTATTTAGCCCCCAGAATGATTTCAGCTAAGGTTTCTCAAATGGAAGCATGTAGTTTCATTGGACTCACAGAAGGTATCCCTATGAAAGTGGTACATTAGCTGTGATCTAAAGAATGAGTAGGAATTTACTAGATAGAGAGTGGCACCCAGGCAGAGGGAACAGCATATGCAAATACCTTGTGGTTTAAGGAAGTTTTGTCCCTTGGTATAGACTCTTAGAATATCAAAGTCCATTAAAATCCTCTCGTTCAGTTCCTTTATTATACTTATGAATGAAGTAAGGCTCAGAAGGGAAAATGCCTTGTCTTAGATCCCACTGTGAATCAGAAAAATGCATCTCTAGCCTTCACTTAACTCCCCCACCAGCACCCACTGGGTTGACGGTGGAGCCCCTACTGTCAGGATGTGAAGAGAAGGCGGGTTAGGCAGGGGGGCCACTCTGCCTCTGCTCACCAGGGCCCAGAGCCACCAATCAACTGAGAAGTCCTGGTCTTTCCAAATGGAATTCTATCCAACCACAAGCTCAACTTTTTTTTTCTTATTATTTAAATTATTCCTAGATGAGTGCCAGAAGTAGAATGCTTGGGATGAAAACGATGGCATTCCATCATTGCATCATGACTAAGTGATATCACTGAATTTTGGGAAATGAGAATCAGCATCAGGCTGGAGGGAAGAACAGAGCTTACCCACCTCTACTGACCACCTAAGTCTCTGTTTTCAGCACTTCACTTGTGCATGGCTTTCAGAGGAGTAAAACTATTCTGTGTTAAGAGTTTTCTATGTGGCTTGGACTGAAGAGTCATCTGCACTTTCTCACTTGCAGACTTGCTTTTTCCTCTTCAAAAATGAGAGTGAAGGAAATGCAATCCATATTCCATGATAGAAATACAACTCAAACTAACTTAAAGAAAATAAAGGAACTTATTGTATCTCATAAGTGAGAAATCAAGGTGTTGGATAAAGGGGCCCAGTCTCTGTCAATAGGATTTTCTCCTTTCTCCTGTCTTCTATTTTTATGTGATAGCTCTGCTTTTTCATACATAATTAGAGCTTCTTTCAGGAAATCCAGGAAGATAGCCATAGACAGCTTCAGCTTCAGCCTGTGTTTTTCTTACAGTTCAGAGTTCCACAGGAGTAGGGTGCTCCTCTCCCAATGTCCATAGTTTGAACCCCAGGGCACTCTGTGTCCAGCCCTCTTTGGGTCACATGTCTACTCCCGAATGAAAGCACAGTGACCAGAAAAGTAGAATTCTCCTATTGACTTGTCTAGGGCAGGAAAGTGAGCTACTATAATTGAGCTCCACATTGATGTTTCATGAAGATGGAGCAGAAGTTGAGGAAAAATTGGTTCCCCAAAGGAAATGTACAGTCCTCTTATTGGAATAAGGAGAAAGAGGGTTGAAAAGAATACATGTAATCCAGAACCTCATATTCTCCATTTTTTCATAGCATTAAGATGCTCTTGGTGACCCAAGTTAGATTCATTGAGTCACTTTCAAGTCGCTGGCTCATCACCTACACATTTTATTTTGTTCATTCTAACTTCAGAATCTCTCCGTTCGCCCTGACTGCTGGATCCGCTTTCATTTCCAGGTAGATGTGGCTCTCAGAGTGTCGAGGCTGTGGGCAGGTTCCTACTTCTTCCTTCAGTGGATATTTGTTGATGACTTCTCATATCAGGTGTTGGGTATACAGAAGTTAATAAATCTGACAAGGAACCTGCTTGGGGGAGCTTGCATTCTAGCATAGGAGGCAGGTGTGAAATAAATATGTGGGCAAATACACAGACACTTGGCATTATAGGTGATGGCAAATGTGATAGAGGAAAAGGAGAGGGTAAAACCAGCTATTTATAACTACTGATATATACAAATAGATGAATCCCACAGACATAACATTGAGTGAAGGAAGCCAAACGTGAAAGAATGCTTACTGTATGATACTATTAATATGAAGTTCAAAAACAGCCAAAACTGCTCTATAGCGATAGAGGTCAATATAGTGGCTTCATTTAGGACAGGTATAAGCTGGGAAGAGGAATGAGGATCTGAGATACTGGAAATTTTCTATATTTTTATGTGAGTAGTGGTTTCATTTGCATAGATAGATAGATTAGATAGACAGCATCTACCCACTGTTTAATAGCACCATGGAGTCAAGCATCCATACCTACATTTGAAAAGATGGCACCCCAGGGAAAGCCAGTGGTATACTGAACCAGGTTCTACTCTACCACATTGGACAACAATGGTATTACTGCATGATCTGAGCCTGTTTCCACATCTACCTGCCTCATACTCTCCCCCTTGTTTCTTCTAACCCAGATCACGAGCATTTTTGCTTTTCTTAAGGAAAGTCCAGTTTATTTCCACCTCACTGTTCCTTCTTGTAACATCCTTTTTTTTCTGATCTGTGTATGATTCTCTCTGATGATACTTTCAGATCTCAAGTAGTTGATCTTCAGAGTGATCTTCCTTGACATCCTCTAAAAGTTACATCCCCTTACTCCCAATTCTAGCATCCTACCTAAGGCGATGTTATTTATTTATTTATGTTATTTGTTTAACTCTGCTTGATTGCAAGTCCCATGAAGGCAGATATTTCGTTTAATTTGATTTTATCCCCAGAGATCAGGAGATTTGCTAAGCAATAGTAGAGACTTTACATATATTTGTAAACTGGATTAATGAAGGAAAGTATTTAAACCAATGTGTAACACGGTTATAGTTACATTTACAAAAAAATGAATATATCTCATTTTTGTTGGAAGTAATTGTGAATATTTATACCATTATTAATCTACAGCAGTCTACCCTCTGGCCAAAGTGATTTCCATTTATCCCATAAGCAAATTACACCCAACTCCTTTAAAAACTTATCAAACGTCATGCAATTACAACATTGGACTCAAAGTCAAGCATCTTATGTTCTGCATCTTGTCCAGTGACAGATGAGGCATTTGGGGCATGGCTCCCTGACTGAGGGTTTTCCTGAACCAGAGAAATGTGACTGAAATGACTAGCTGTGTGCTTACCTCACACCTAATATGTAATGATGAGGCCGGCACATCTGATAAGAGAAACAGATATCACTGTTCAAAATGGGGAGGATAATGGAAGCACATAGCAGGCACCGTTAGGTAGTGATTCTGAAATCCAGCCAGGCACCTGCTCCCAGCTTTTCCTACTCTAGGGTTGGATAATTATTTTTGAGTAGGATCTCTTTATACTTTCATTTCTTTTTTTTTAATTATATATTTTAGAGACAGAATCTTGTTATGTTGCCCAAGTTGGTCTTGAACTCCTGGTCTCAAGGGATCATCTTGCCTCAGCCTCCTGAGTAGCTGGGTCTGTAGATGCAAGCCACCATGCCAGCTCTTTATACATTCTAGGAGTGGTTCATGGTCCATTGTTCCCCTTTAATTCTGGGCTCTTACCTATATCCTCTGAAAAGTTTTTATTTTTGTCTTAATAAATATCCTACTGCAGCTTAGTAGCTTTCTCAGCATACCTTTGTTCTGTAGGAGGAACCAAAATCCTCTTTATATCCTCTACTATCTTAATCTTTTTTAGTCCAAGCTGCCAATGTTGTCACTAATCTAATGTGTTTAAAATTTCCTAAAACTTGATTTGGTTTACTCCAAACATCAAAAATCACATCCCTAATTCTTTTTGATATAAACTGTATCTGTTTTGGGCTAAATATGGGCCTACTGTGTGATAGAACCTTAAATTCTTAAAATACTTTTTTTTTTTTTTGTAGTAGAGCAGATCAAAATTTACAAACTTAATCTTTCAAAGGTCTTAACTCAGAATCTTACAGTCACAAGTTTGACTTGATCTTGGATCCAGGGCTTATTTCCTGAAATATAGAGATGTTTTCACCAGTTGTGGAGACTGGGAATGAATGGCATCTTTATTTGTTTAATGCAGTAAGTCCTTGGTCTTCTGTATTTTCTTCTAATTCTGCTTGAAAACTAAATAGTTCCTTTCTTCCCCTTTTTTTTCTTTTACCTTGTCAGACACTGCTAGCAAAATCAATTGGTCGTTTCAAATTTCTGTTTTGTGATTCCTTTAGCCAGATCTATGAGTTCATTAGGTATAATTTCTATCTTTCAAGTTACTGCACATGACACTTTCGCTAATATTTCTATCACAATATAACATAGTTACCCTTCTCTTAGCCTCCGACAGTCCCTTCACTTTTCCCCAAGCCTCTGCTTACTAAGGGGTTCCAAAGCCAATGCCACATGTTTTAAATTTTGTTGTGGGTACATTTCACTTCTGGTACCAATTTCTGTTTCAGTTACTTATATCTGCATAGCAAATGACACAAAACTTTATGGTTGAAAACAATAAGTTAGTGTATTTTTTAAGAGTCTCTGTGTTGGCTTGGCTCAGCTGGGTGGTTCTTCTGCTGCTGTGATCTGGGATTAGTTATGTGGGTGCAGTCACCCAGCAGCATGTCAGGGGCTGGAGGGTCTCAGATGGTTCTAATCACAAGTCTGAGTCATTGGAGGTGACTGTCAAACTGTTGGCTGGGTTTTTCTCTTCATGCTGTTTCTTATTGTTCAGTTGGCTATCTCTGGCTTTCATATATTGTGGCTGGAGCATTTGATGAGAGCAAAACCAGAAACTGCAAGGCCTTTATTTTCCCAGATTGCTTTACCAATGGCCTATCATTAAAAGCCACACAGTGTTACTTATGCCACACTCAAAGCATGTTCACAAAGCCAGTCCAGATTCAGGGGTAGGAAAATAGTCTCTAATTCTTGATGGAAGGGGCAACAAAGTCACATTGCAAAGGATTATGGACAAAAGGAGATGTGATTCATTGAGAGCTCTTAGTATACTTCACCACACTAGCTTAAATGGGAGGAACAGATTATAATGTCAGAGTAGAAGCAAAGAAACCGGAGAGTACATCGCTTATTTTTGATGCAGGAGATATTCATGCTTGAGCCTAGATAAAGAAATGGATAGATTAAAAGTATTTATATCTAAATATCTTCAATGTCTATCTTCTTCAATTCTTATTTCCCATAACTAGCAACATTATTCTGTTAAAATCAAACTGGGAGCATGATATGTCTTTAACCCTGTCAAGAAACCTTGAATGAGTTTCTTTTTTTTTTTTTGTAGGTTAAAAAAATTTAATATTTTTGAGAATAAGAAGATAATTCAATCTGCTACATCTTACACATTATCACAGGCATGAAGGTGTTGTAGAAATACTTGTACTAATCCTGGAAATGTCCCTGACTCTGTTTTAAAATTTTATTTTATTATACTTTAAGTTTTAGTGTACATGTGCACAACGTGCAGGTTTGTTACATATGTATACATGTGCCATGTTGGTGTGCTGCACCCATTAACTTGTCATTTAGCATTAGGTATATCTCCTAATGCTGTCCCTCCCTCCTCCCCCCACCCCACAACAGGCCCCGGTGTGTGATGTTCCCCTTCCTGTGTCCATGTGTTCTCATTGTTCAATTCCCACCTATGAGCAAGAACATGTGGTGTTTGGTTTTTTGTCTTTGCAATAGTTTGTTGAGAATGATGGTTTCCAGCTTCATCCATGTCCCTACAAAGGACACGAACTCATCATTTTTTATGGCTGTATAGTATTCTGTGGTGTATATGTGCCACATTTTCTTAATCCAGTCTATCATTGTTGGACATTTAGGTTGGTTCCAAGTCTTTGCTATTGTGAATAGTGCCACTATAAACATACATGTGCATGTGTCTTTATAGCAGCATGATTTATAATCCTTGGGATATATACCCAGTAATGGGATGGCTGGGTCAAATGGTATTTCTAGTTCTAGATCCCTAAGGAATCGCCACACTGACTTCCACAATGGTTGAACTAGTTTACAGTCCCACCAACAGTGTAAAAGTGTTCCTATTTCTCCACATCCTCTTCAGCACCTGTTGTTTCCTGACTTTTAAATGATCGCCATTCAAACTGGTGTGAGATGGTATCTCATTGTGGTTTTGATTTGCTTTTCTCTGATGGCCAGTGATGATGAGCATTTTTTCATGTGTCTTTTGGCTGCATAAATGTCTTCTTTTGAGAAGTGTCTGTTGATATCCTTCACCCACTTTGTGATGGGGTTGTTTGTTTTTTTCTTGTAAATTTGTTGGTGTTAATTGTAGATTCTGGATATTAGCCCTTTGTCAGGTGAGTAGGTTGCAAAAATTTTCTCCTATTCCGTAGGTTGCCTGTTCACTCTGATGGTAGTTTCTTTTGCTGTGCAGAAGCTCTTTAGTTTAATTATATCCCATTTGTCAATTTTGTCTTTTGTTGCCATTGCTTTTGGTGTTTTAGACATGAAGTCCTTGCCCATGCCTATGTCCTGAATGGTATTGCCTAGGTTTTCTTCTAGGGTTTTTATGGTTTTAGGTCTAAAATTTAAGTCTTTAATCCATCTTGAATTAATTTTTGTATAAGGTGTAAGGAAGGGATCCAGTTTCAGCTTTCTACATATGACTAGCCAGTTTTCCCAGCACCATTTATTAAATAGGGAATCCTTTCCCCATTGCTTGTTTTTCTCAGGTTTGTCAAAGATCAGATAGTTGTAGATATGCGGCATTATTTCTGAGGGCTCTGTTCTGTTCCATTTGTCTATATCTCTGTTTTGGTACCAGTACCATGCTGTTTTGGTTACTGTAACCTTGTAGTATAGTTTGAAGTCAGGTAGCGTGATGCCTCCAGCTTTGTTCTTTCAGCTTAGGATTGACTTGGCGATGAGGGCTCTTTTTTGGTTCCATATGTACTTTAAAGTAGTTTTTTCCAATTCTGTGAAGAAAATCATTGGAAGCTTGATGGGGATGGCATTGAATCTATAAATTACCTTGGGCAGTATGGCCATTTTCACGATATTGATTCTTCCTACCCATGAGCATGGAATGTTCTTCCATTTGTTTGTATCTTCTTTTATTTCATTGAGCAGTGGTTTGTAGTTCTCCTTGAAGAGGTCCTTCACATCCCTTGTAAGTTGGATTCCTAGGTATTTTATTCTCTTTGAAGCAATTGTGAATGGGAATTCACTCATGATTTGGCTCTCTGTTTGTCTGTTATTGGTGTATAAGAATGCTTGTGATTTTTGCACATGGATTTTTTATCCTGAGACTTTGCTGTAGTTGCTTATCAGCTTGAGGAGACTTTGGGCTGAGATGATGGGGTTTTCTAGATATACAATCATGTCATCTGCAAACAGGGACAATTTGACTTCCTCTTTTCCTAATTGAATACCCTTTATTTCCTTCTCCTGCCTGATTGGCCTGGCCAGAACTTCCAACACTATGTTGAATAGGAGTGGTGAGAGAGGGCATCCCTGTCTTGTGCCCGTTTTCAAAGGGAGTGCTTCCAGTTTTTGCCCATTCAGTATGATATTGGCTGTGGGTTTGTCATAGGTAGCTCTTATTATTTTGAGATACGTCCCATCAATAACTAATTTATTGAGAGTTTTTAGCATGAAGGGTTGTTGAATTTTGTCAAAGGCCTTTTCTGCATCTATTGAGATAATCATGTGGTTTTTGTCTTTGGCTGTGTTTATATGCTGGATTACATTTATTGATTTGCATATGTTGAACCAGCCTTGCTTCCCAGGGATGAAGCCCACTTGATCATGGTGGAAAAGCTTTTTGATATGCTGCTGGATTTGGTTTGCCAGTATTTTATTGAGGATTTTTGCATCAATGTTCATCAAGGATATTGGTCTAAAATTCTCCTTTTTGGTTGTGTCTCTGCCAGGCTTTGGTATCAGGATGATGACCTCATAAAATGAGTTAGGCAGGATTCCCTCTTTTTCTATTGATTGGAATAGTTTCAGAAGGAATGGTACCACCTCCTCTTTGCACCTCTGGTAGAACTCGGCTGTGAATCCATCTGGTCCTGGACTTTTTTTGGTTAGTAAGCTGTTGATTATTGCCTCAATTTCAGAGCCTGTTATGGGTCTATTCAGAGATTTAACTTCTTCCTGGTTTAGTCTTGGGAGGATGTATGTGTCGAGGAATTCATCCATTTCTTCTACATTTTCTAGTTTATTTGCATAGAGGTGTTTATAGTATTCTAGATGGTAGTTTGTATTTCTGTGGGATCGGTGGTGATATCCCCTTTATCATTTTTTATTGTGTCTGTTTGATTCTTCTCTCTTTTCTTCTTTATTAGTCTTGCTAGTGGTCTATCAATTTTGTTGATCTTTTCAAAAAACCAGCTCTTGGATTCATTAATTTTTTGAAGGGTTTTTTGTGTCTCTATCTTCTTCAGTTCTGCTCTGATCTTAGTCATTTCTTACCTTCTGCTAGGTTTTGAATGTGTTTGCTCTTGCTTCTCTAGTTCTTTTAATTGTGATGTTAGGGTGTCAATTTTAGATCTTTCCTGCTTTCTCTTGTGGGCATTTAGTGCTATAAATTTCCCTCTACACACTGCTTTGAATGTGTCCCAGAGATTCTGGTATGTTGTGTTTGTTCTTGTTGGTTTCAAAGAACATTTTTATTTCTGCCTTCATTTCGTTAGATACCCAGTAGTCATTCAGGAGCGGGTTGTTCAGTTTCCATGTAGTTGTGCGGTTTTGAGTGAGTTTCTTAATCCTGAGTTCTAGTTTGATTGCACTGTCGTCTGAGAGACAGTTTGTTATAATTTCTGTTGTTTTACATTTGCTGAGCAGTGCTTTACTTCCAACTATGTGGTCAATTTTGGAGTAGGTGTGGTGAGGTGCTGAAAAGAATGTATATTCTGTTGATTAGGGGTGGAGAGTTCTGTAGATGTCTATTAGGTCCACTTTGTGCAGAGCTGAGTTCAATTCCTGGATATCCTTGTTAACTTTCTGTCTCATTGATCTGTCTAATGTTGACAATGGGGTGTTAAAGTCTCCCATTATTATTGTGTGGGAGGCTAAGTCTCTTTGTAGGTCACTCAGGACTTGCTTTATGAATCTGGGTGCTCCTGTATTGGGTGCATATATATTTAGGATAGTTAGCTCTTCTTGTTGAATTGATCCCTTTACCATTCTGTAATGGCCTTCTTTGTCTCTTTTGATCTTTGTTCGTTTAAAGTCTGTTTTATCAGAGACTAGGATTGCAACCCCTGCCTTTTTTTGTTTTCCATTTGCTTGGTAGATCTTCCTCCATCCCTTTATTTTGAGCCTATGTGTGTCTCTGCACGTGAGATGGGTTTCCTGGATACAGCACACTGATGGGTCTTGACTCTTTATCCAATTTGCCAGTGTGTGTCTTTTAATAGGAGCATTTAGCCCATTTACATTTAAAGTTAATATTGTTATGTGTGAATTTGATCCTGTCATTATGATGTTAGCTGGTTATTTTGCTCATTAGTTGATGCAGTTTCTTCCTAGCCTTGATGGTCCTTACATTTTGGCATGTTTTTGCAGTGGCTGGTACCAGTTGTTCCTTTCCATGTTTAGTGCTTCCTTCAGGAGCTCTTTTAGGGCAGGCCTGGTGGTGACAAAATCTCTCAGCATTTGCTTGTCTGTAAAGGATTTTATTTCTCCTTCACTTATGAAGCTTAGTTTGGCTAGATATGAAATTCTGGGTTGAAAATTCTTTTCTTTAAGAATGTTGAGTATTGGCGCCCACTCTCTTCTGGCTTGTAGAGTTTCTGCCGAGAGATCAGCTGTTAGTCTGATGGGCTTCCCTTTGTGGATAACCCGACCTTTCTCTCTGGCTGCCCTTAACATTTTTTCCTTCATTTCAACTTTGGTGAATCTGAGAATTATGTGTCTTGGCGTTGCTCTTCTCGAGGAGTATCTTTGTGGCATTCTCTGTATTTCCTGAATTTGAATGTTGGCCTGCCTTGCTAGATTGGGGAAGTTCTCCTGGATAATATCCTGCTGAGTGTTTTCCAACTTGGTTCCATTCTCCTCGTCACTTTCAGGTACGCCAATCAGACGTAGATTTGGTCTTTTCACATTGTACCATATTTCTTGGAGGCTTTGTTCATTTCTTTTTATTCTTTTTTTCTGTAAACTTCTCTTCTCATTTCATTTCATTCATTTTGTCTTCCATCACTTATACCCTTTCTTCCAGTTGATCGCATCGGCTACTGAGGCTTCTGAATTTGTCACGTAGTTCTCGTGCATTGGTTTTCAGCTCCATCAGGTCCTTTAAGGACTTCTCTCCATTGGGTATTCTAGTTATCCATTTTTCTAATTTTTTTTCAAAGCTTTTAACTTCTTTGCCATTGGTTCGAATTTCCTGCTGTAGCTCGGAGCAGTTTGATTGTCTGAAGGCTTCTTCTCTCAGCTCATCAAAGTCATTCTCCGTCCAGCATTGTTCCATTGCTGGTGAGGAGCTGCGTTCCTTTGGAGGAGGAGAGATGCTCTGATTTTTAGTTTCCAGTTTTTCTGCTCTGTTTTTTCCCCATCTTTGTGGTTTTATCTACCTTTGGTCTTTGATGATGGTGACGTACAGATGCATTTTTGGCATGGATGTCCTTTCTGTTTGTTAGTTTTCCTTCTAACAGACAGAACCCTCAGCTGCAAGTCTGTTGGAGTTTGCTAGAGGTCCACTCCAGACCCTGTTTGCCTGGGTACCAGCAGCGGTGGCTGCAGAACAGTGGATATTGGTGAACTGCAAATGCTGCTGCCTGATTGTTCCTCTGAAAGTTTTGTCTCAGAGGAGTACCCGGCCGTGTGAGGTGTCAGTCCGCCCCTACTGGGGGGTGCCTCCCAGTTAGGCTACTCGGGGGTCAGGGACCCACTTGAGGAGGCTGTCTGCCCGTTCTCAGATCTCCAGCTGTGTGCTGGGAAAACCACTACTCTCTTCAAAGCTGTCAGAGAGGGACATTTAAGTCTGCAGAGGTTACTGCTGTCTTTTTGTTTGTCTGTGCCCTGCCCCCAGAGGTGGAGCCTACAGAGGCAGGCAGGCCTCCTTGAGCTGTGGTGGGCTCCACCCAGTTTGCGCTTCCTGGCTGCTTTGTTTCCCTAATCAAACAACTAACTCGGCATTGGTGGGTGCCCCTCCCCCAGCCTCACTGCCTCCTTGCAGTTTGATCTTAGACTGCTGTGCTAGCAATGAGCAAGACTCCTTGGGTCTAGGTCCCTCCAAGCCATGTGTGGTATATAATCTCCTGGTGTGCCGTTTTTTAAGCTGGTTGGAAAAGTGCAGTATTAGGGTGGGAGTGACCCGATTTTCCAGGTGCCATCTGTCACCCCTTTCTTTGACTAGGAAAGGGAATTCCCTGATCCCTTGCACTTCCCAGGCGAGGCGATGCCTCGCCCTGCTTTGGCTTGTGCACGGTGTGCTGCCCCCACTGTCCTGCACCTACTGTCTGACACTCCCCAGTGAGATGAACCCGGTACCTCAGTTGGAAATGCAGAAATCACCTGTCTTCTGGTTGCTTATGCTGGGAACTATAGACTGGAGCTGTTTCTATTCGGCCATCTTCCCTTGAATGAGTTTCTAATTCTTCAGGTTAAATTTTTTATGCCTCATTTTGAAATTTAATTCTCTGGATATAATGTGCCTTTAGCTCACCTTTCCCTTTGAATCCTACTAATAGAGTCACTCCAGACCGTTCTTTTGTGAGTCAGGGAACATAGAACACTCCTTATTTCTCCATCTTTCTTTACCTCTGTTTATACTATTCTGTGGACTAGCATACTGTATTAGTCCATTTTCATACTGTTATGAAGAAATACCCAAGACTGGGTAATTTATAAAGAAAAAGAGGTTTAATAGACTTACACTTCCACATGGCTGGGGAGGCCTCATAATCTTGGTGGAAGGCAAAGGAGGAGCAAAGACACATCTTAACTGGTGGCAGGCACGAGAGCATGTGCAGGGGAACTGCCCTTGTGTAAAACCATCAGATCTCATGAGACTTATTCACTATCCTGAGAACAGCACTGGAAAGACTGGCCCCCATGATTTAATTACCTCCCACAGAGTCCCTCTCATGACATGTGTGGGTTATGGGACCTACAGTTCAAGATGAGATTTGGGTGGGGACAGAGCCAAACCATATCACATACACTCCTTGGAATTTTGAAGCCATGATCATGTTTTAATGCCCACTCAATCACCTCCTTTAGAAGATTTTCCCAGAGCACCGCAGTTAAATCACCCCTTTAAATTTCAGGGCTGATAAACTAAACACCATTTAGTTTCTTATAGCCTGAGTAGTTTCCACATCTATATACAGTATTATCTTAGTCAGTTCAGGCTGCTATAACAAAATACCACAGACTGATGCCTTAAACAAGATTTTTTTTTTCTCTCTCACAGTTCTGGGGGCTGGAAATTCAACATCAAGGCACAAGCAGATCAGCAGATTCAGTGTCTGGTGAGGGCCTTCTTCATGGCTTGTAGATGGCTGGCTGGCTTTCCTTTTTGCTATATCTTTGATGGCAGAGAAAGCGAGAGAGAGAGAGAGAGAGAGAGAGAGAGAGAGAGAGAAGGGGGTGAGATCATCTCTCTAATTCCCAAAGCTCCCACTCCTTCACTTTGGTGTTATAGGCTTTAACATGTGAGTTTTGAGGATACGGAAACATTCAGTCCATGAAAATTATTTCAACTAGAGAATGAGTTTCTTGAGGACAGTTTCTTGTTTCCACTCTATACTTCTTAGCTCAGAGTCTGGGACACAGTGAATGCTAATGTATCTATGGGAAATGAATTTTAATAGGTTTCCCATAGATATGCTTTTCCCCTTTTATTGCCAGTTCCTTTGAAAGAACTACTTATTATGGAAAATTTCAAAGTACACAAAAGTTGTGAGAATAGTTTGATGAACCATGTATTCATCATCCATTTTTGAAAATCTTGGCTATCCTTTTAAAGGCAAAACTCCTCTTCTGCAGACAAAGCCTTTGGCAGTGAGGGGCATGAAGACACCATTCTGTAGTCCTCAATTAATTCAAATCAATTTGGGCACAGTTTTCTCCCCCAGAATAACATCAATAGAACTCCCAGTGAAAGAACGTCTTCCTAAGGCAATTCTGAAGACAAAAAAGCAACATAAGAACACACTTCCCAATAATGTGAAGATCTATGACTGTACTAAATAAAAATGTTCCCTTAATGTACTGTAAAAAATAAAGATGTTTGGCTAGATTTATCAACCTGCTCCAGGAGCAGAATTAAGTTTCCATGCTACATTTTTTCTACTTATTTAAAAACACCTGAGTTGTTATATAGCTAGTCAGACAACCGCTTCATTATATAAATATAATACATGTCTGCTCTGAAGATGTACTGTTTAAAGAAAGCTTCTCTTTTCCCAGGCCTGTTGGATAACTTGTAAATAATGATTTCTAAGGACACAGATGTGGGTGAAAATTGTTCCAAGTTAAAACTGGTTATCCATTGGTAAAGATTTTTTTAATAGATTAATAAGACTTTAAAGAGATTTAATGTACTAGAGATCGTGACTAGATTCCTACAAAATGAAATTAAAGCCAGTTCTTAAAATTTGCAGTTACACAGCTTGGAAATACAATGGCAAAGCAAATTGGGAAAATAAATCTTTATTCTCAATGGAATGGGTCCCCCCAGGAGATTCATAGTCAGTGGTAACCAGTGTTATGTACATATTGACATGTCATTATACCATTCTCTCATTTTAGAATCACATGAAGTTCATGGACTAGAATTCCAAGAAACAGTGTGTGAGGAAGTATTTTCTTCATGTCTTTGCTCCTAACATGAACTGTTCACTAGTACTGCCTGTAGCTTCTAACCCAGACAATTCACAGGCCATGAAATGATTGAAAACAATCCAAAACGGACTACTAAAACAGTGACCTGGTGGCTGCCAACCCCCTGGAGGGAGAAGATGAGTGAACAAGGGGCAAAGTTGAAGGAGGCTCATGAGAAGCTACATATTGTGAGGGCAAAGATAAGAATGCATGTGGTTTTATCACTTCTTAGAGCCAACTATAAATTCCATTTATGATGGATCCAGGAGACCTGGAATAAAATAAACTTAGGAGGATCTGACTTCTTCGCCACAAACCTTCCACAAACCTGGATTGGTGAAGTATTAATTTGTTGGATTTTAAAATTTTATCCTCTCTTTCAGTGTGATCCAAAGAGAGAACTGGAATATCACATTTCACTGGGAAAATCACTCCAATATTACTTTAGCAGTTCTGCCTCAACCAGTCATACTGCTTATGGACATAGCATGGTATAAATTGCTCATGAGCCTTCATCAACAAGTAATTGGTTTACTTAAGTCTAAGTAATCTATGGTAACTCTCTGCTGGCCCTCTCTCCAAGTTCTCAATCCCACTGGATGAAGGCTGACATACTCAGGTAATGAACTACTCCTTCTCTTGTCTTCCAGCCATAGCAAACACCACTGCTTCCAATTAAAATCTACATGATTTATGAAAACCCCCAAGCTTATCTGCCTTAATTCTTCCCTGTCCTGTGACAGAATCCTATTAAATTTCTTTCTTAAAATCTAGTGCTTCATACTCTGAAATGCCACGGGTAGTTATGCAGCAAGACAGTTAGAAAAAAGAGCAGGTCATAGAAAGTCTGAAAAATAGTAATAGCTACCTACTGATGATTGGGCAGGACCACAGACCTAAGTATGCACTGGGCACTTTAGGTAAGGAGTTTGTTCATTATCTCATTAAATGTATATAACTCTTAGGAGAATACTCTCTATACTTTGTACATTTGGTACCGAGACATAGAGGAACATAACTTCTAAGGTCACATAGTGGTGGCAAAGCTAGGACAAGAAAGGTATCTGGCATGTAATTGACGGATAATCATGTTACTCATGATCACTGTTACTCATGAAGTCTGGATACTTCTAGGGGTCTGCAGAAGTATTACTGGGGTTTCTAAAATCCTACTTAGTATTTCAAACACAAATCACTTAAGAACTTACCTACAAAAAAGCAGCACAGTCCAACAAAACATAACATGCTAATTTTTTTTGTTTGGATGGGAGTTTTATTAACTCAGAGCGGTAGTCTTGGTTATTAATGCTGATCAGAGTACCAGTCAGAAAAAGGAAGTCTTTACTTCATAAATGCAGTTTGATCTTCAAACAAGCAAGCAAACAAACAGAAGTTTAGAACTTGAATTTATTCAAATGATCTACAAAATAACAAGAAAACAACAAATGTCACTAGTAAGTCTTTACCTATCAGTAATTACCTTTAATGTAAATGGGTTAAACTCTCTAGTCAAAAGACAGAGTGGCCAAATGGATGTTTTTTTTAAAAAAGGACCTAACTATATGCTGCCTACAAGAGACTCACTTCACCTCTAGGGACACACACAGACTGAAAGAGAAGGGATGGAAAAATATATTCTATGTAAAGGGAAAATGAAAGAGAGCAGTAGTAGCCATGCTTACATCAGAAATGATAGAATATGGGTTCATTGAGTAAAATAATAACAGGTTTTATAGTGAGGAGAACATTGCTTCAAAGAGATAGGATAGGTATATGCATAAAAACAAAGGACATATTCCAGAGACACATGCAAACATATCTATATGAATGATTTGGCCTACATGCTGCCTTTTTTTTGTATCTCCCCAGAATTCTGGATAAATACCCAGATGAAGTGAGTAGGATTGAGTAACAAAGCCTTTTACTTTGTTACTATATTGAGGAACAATGCTTGAATATTAACAGATCTAATAGTTATTATTTTTTTGTAATCATCTGAAGACCATGGGTTTTAGGCTGGACCTCAGTAAAGAATAGGAATTGCATTGAAAGAATGGAGCAAATACGTATTTCCATTCAGAGGAGCATATACATATTACAACGACAATCATCATACTCAGCTATTCATCATACTCAGGCAGCAAGTATGTACTGGATTAGGTACTAAACTAGATGCCAGGGTGTAGAAATGAAAAAGTCAAGTTCCAGTATTTAAGGAGCTTAAGTCTAATAAAGAAGGCAGATGCATCAATAAAATAGTTGATTTGGAGAAACTAAGGCTACTCCACAAGATGTGACATACAAGATGGAGTAACATTTTCTTATCTATCAAAGTTGCGTAAATCCTTTGAGCTCCTTCTTGAAGGATCAGTGACTGGGAGTTTGTCAGGTGGGAAAGGAAAGAAAGAGGAATTAGGTCTTGTCCCAAGACATCACACTGAATATAGGCATTCAGTGAATTCAGCTCTGTTTTCAAATTGTTTATCAATAAATAAGTATACTCTAATAGGGTCATTGAAGGACACGGACGATATGTCTTGTGGTTTAATACACTGAACTTCTTGCAACCAAAAACCTTGCCTTATTTTTGCAACTCCAGGAGAGTCACTTGCGTATAGTAGCTGCTCAGTAAATAATTTTTGAACTCTTGGTGGTCCCTTCTGTCCAGAATATATAGTATAATGATTGGAACTAGAACTTTTTGAAATGTATTGATAATTCAAAAGTTAGAAGAGAGTGACGTAACAGAACTGATTATGTTTGTGGAAAATGGGCATGGGTAGGCAGTGGTGATAGGTGTTTATGTCACCACCTGTTATTTAGTTGTTATGCCTCAACTAAACAAGAATGAATGTTCAGGCTAGAGGTTGGTTAGGCTAGAGGTTGGTTAGTTAAAGAGCAGACACAAGAGTGAGTTGTGGAGTAGTGTCCTGTTAAATGAGATTCTCAAGAACAGGATAAATAGACCTGGATTTAGCTGGCATGGGTCTGTGCAAAGAGCTCAGGTAGAATGACAGAAAACAGTTTTTGTTTTGACTTGGCATCAATTCTGCATAAACTGATTATGACTTAATGATATTTCACTGTTCACATTTCATTTAATCACTCTCTTCAACCTTTTCTTCTCAGGGTGGTTTCTCACTAAGCATTGCATTCAGCAAAACCCAAACCACAGAAGTGCCTGATGGCTTTTCCGCTTCAACATGCATTCTTCTTAGAGTCATGTGAAGTCATGAATGAAGATAAAATTATGACATGAGCAAATTCTGCATATACTGTCACAAAATCCCAGGCACAACTTTTCTAAATATAGACAGGCTTTAGGGGCATTAATAAACATTGAAATGATTAGTACCTTTCCCCAATGAGAGCTGGAGCATCATTTTGAAGTGAAGCCAGAGAGCATACTAAGGTTTTTGCCTCATTAAAATGACTGATCTTTATGTGAAGATGCAAGGGTTAATTGCACCATCTCAGAGAACCATGCCCATGCATCTACAATCAAGAGAATTTCGACCAGTAACAAAACACCACCTTGATGTCTGAGGAATTGTAAGCTTACATTTCAAATTTGTGCTTTCCTAGAATTTTCTAGAGCCTACTTTGTTACTAAATTGAGGAACAGTGCTTGAATATTAACAGGTCTAATAGTTATTTTTTTTGTAATCATCTGAAGACCATCTCAACCCAGGATTTTGGCTCATCGTGTTTATTTCCCTACTTTCTACCATCCCAAATCCTAGTGATTCTTTAAGTCTCATCTTCTGGAAGCCTTCCATCATGCATCTTTTGAGCTCCTTTAGCACTGAAACAACCTATGAAGCCACTTTTGAATGAGAACCATCCTCATTATCTGGTTTCAACATGTCTATACAACTGCATTCCCAACTAAACCATAAGCCCCCCATAGGCAAAGGTGTGTCTTCTCCAACTTGTGTACCCTTCATCTTTTCCACCCCAGAGCAGAACATGGGACAGGCCCTCAACAGGAGCCAATGGAGATCCAGCCCCATGCACAATGACTTAAAAGTGTACATATTCAAAGGAAATAAGTATATATTGACTTCTTAGTATATGCTAGGATTTGGGTCAGGTTCTTTACATGCATTATTAACTTTTATTTCCTCTAAAACGCTGAAAGATAGGACTTATATTTTAGATACGGGAAAAAAGTCAGGGAGTGGTAAAAGTGGAAGGACCAGCATCCAGACAGGTCAGCCTCACACCAGGGCTGTGTCTCTCTCTTCAATCCTGTGCTATCTTTTATCCTAGCCAGGGGCTATTTGGGCTCCTGATTACGGCCAATATACTGCAGTGAAAGTAAATTTCAGGGACAAAGTTTTAAATAAATCTGTGCTCAGTACTTTACACTTATTCCCCTACCACCACTGCACATGAGAGGTATTGACATGAAGCCCAGGAAGCAAAGCTGGAGTAATAAGTTTTAAGGCTTATTATAGAAGGTACAGTCAATAATTATTATGGGTTCCATCATAAGTGAGATACTCAACCCTCATGGTTGCTTTACTCATGGCCACTTCTTCCAGTTAAATACGATCAAGGAAGAGAAAGAACCAGAGGAGGGGAGTTGTGGACTCAGAGGATTTGTTTTTTTTGTGTGCTCAGTCACTGACTCCTGGGGCTTTAATTGGCTTTTTGTTGCCAGGACACCCTGAAGAAATAATTTTATATGACCCCTGAGAGGTCTGGCAGTCATTGCTTTTTCAAACATCTATTTGAATATTCAAACATTCACTTAAATGTGAGTTGAAGGAGATTGGACTTTGCCTGCGATTCTGAACATGTAAGCCACCTCCAGTCTTCCTGCTTTGCCCATGGCTGTGCCTTCTTCTCATGATGCCCTCGCTTTCATCCCATTTGCCAAGGGAAGAGCCATCCCGTCTTAATATGCTGCTCAAATATTAACTTCTCTGTGAACATTTTCCTGAATGCTCCCACACTCCTGACAAGTATAGAGTGGTCGTTCTACCTCTAAGGTCCTAACTTGGTGTTTGTTTCAGTATCTGTCTTTTGCACTGTGTTCTTATTGAAACATGAACGTGTCCACTCAGGACAATGTAATTATTTGAGGAGGGAATCCTGCATGGTGGTTAAGACCGTTTGATTCTTAATTCAGACTCAGCTTACTCATCAGTAGAAAGGGATAATATCCGTCCCTTGGATTGCTGGGAGAGTTAAATGAGATGGATAGAGAGTTAAATGATGCTGGTCAAATCCTTAGTACAAGCACTTGACTGATGTTAGCTATTAGAACTGTTGTTCATTCAACCATCCCAGATCCCTTCTGACCCCCTACTCTGTACAGAGAGTTGAACACCATCTGATGTGACTAAGAGATTACAGTTCACCATCCCAAGGAGAATGGTCTTTGTCCACTGTGCGTGTTCACAGCTCTGTGCTGGGCAAACAACATTTGCTGTGCCTGGCAGGTCTGCCCTAGCCTCTCTGAAGCATTTTGTTCCTCACTGCAGAGGTTGGGCTGAGTTGCAGCTTCTCCAGGGTCCCCTAGGCCATCCAGAACAAAGGATTCCAGGAACAGAATTCCTATACCATTTATCTGGGCTCATTAACTAGCTATTCTTTCAGTTAATGTTTTTTCTGTCACCTTCTGCTGTGCTAGGGACTGAGTACATATGTCAGCAGGTAGACAAGACCCCTCAACTCCCTTAGGTTTCCTGCTTGCGTAAGTTATAGTTGAATATGCAGGTCAACACATAAATGAAGGTGATAGTTTGAGATAGTGTTAAGTGCTATAGAGAAAATACAGCAGAGTGATGTGTTAGAGAATGTCTGCGGTGGCAGCCTGTATTCAGTCTCTCTTTCCATGATTCAGCAAATGCAATATTTCCTAAGGAGTGCTCTGTTGAACATCCACTGGACTAGATGCCCAACTAAGGAAAAATGAGGGGCCCTATTGGAAACACAGTTGGAAGATATTTCCTACATGTTTGTGTCCTGTTGGAGTGACACAATTTATATTAATATATGAAAGGCATTGATATTTACTGCAGTAAAGAAATTTTTATTGTGCTTAAATTGGCATTTCCCAAACTTCTTTAATCATATAATTTATTTGTATATCTTTTACTGTTTAATACTCATTAACATTCCATGAAACCCATGTCTATGGAATAAACTTTGGGATATACTTACTGTGTCAAATAATATTCAGACTCAGCCAATCTCTTGCCTACATACCTGACAAATATGTCATTCACATGTCATTGCCAACCCATAAATTTTAGGCAAAACAGAAAAAATTGCACTGAATGAGCAAATAAAAATCTTATTTAGTTAATTCAGTTTAACTCCCCAAATATCCTAAAATACCTTCTATGTTTTAGGTGCTGGAAATAGAGAAGAGAGCAAAATACAATCCTTTCTGTCATGGAGCCATTGGCGTGTCCTGCTGGATGGCCGCCACAGCTTTCTCACTGGCCTTGCCATGCAATTTCTCCTTCACAGAGCAGCCAGAGCCAGACTTGATAAGGTCAGGCAAATCATAGAGCTGCTTTGTTGGGTTTCCCCGGTGGCTCTTCATCTCATACAGGGCAAACAACAAAAATATTTACAGTGGTCTGTAACTGCACTGTCCCAAACTGCAGCCACTAGCCAAGTGTGGCTTTTTCAATTAAAATTATTTAAAATTAAATAAAATGAAAAATTTATTTCCTTAATTGCTCTAGCCACATTTCAAATGCCCCACAGTCACCTGTGGTTAGTAGCTACCATCGTGTGTACACCCACATAGATCATTTTCATCCTTGCAGAAAGTTCTGTTGGTTACAGAATGCCCTATAAAATCCTACCCCATTGCTGCTATTATCTCATCCTCTGTGGCTGATGCCCTTTATCCCTCTGCTCCAAACACAGTGGTCTCTGTGGATTCCTCAAACACTCTAGTCACGGTCCCACCCATCGGTCCCTTTTCCCTCTCTCTGGGATGCTCCTTCCCATATGGCCACTGGGCTCACTTCCTCATCTCTTGCAGTTTTCTCCAATGTAACATTCTAAAGGATGTCCTCATGGTTACCCTTGTTAAAGTTGCAATGCCCGTTTCTGATCTTAACATGCTCTATTCCCCAGCCTACTTTTTTTTTTGCATAGTGCTTATCACCATCTGATATACATACCCTTTACTATATTTATGGTTTGTATATTCCATGAAAATAGAAATTTTAGTCTGTTTTGCTCACTACTGTATCCAAGTACCTAGAATAGGGTCTGAGACATAGTAGGTGCTCAGTACACATTTTTGAATAAATGAGGGAGCTTTATGGGGAAAGACATAACCACAAGCAGAATAACAACATCAACAGATACAGATTTATTATAATATTAGGTGGGGGTAAGTGCCATGGAGAAAAAACAAAAAAGCTGTGTATGGAAAGAGTTTTATCTCCATTTTTAATAGTCGGAGAAATGAATGCTCGGGAAAGTTAAATAAACTATCCCTGCCCATATTCACAATTGTCCAGCCAGGATTTGAACCTGCATCCAGTGATGTACTGGGTAATATTTAACTCCTGGCTCCCTGAAGATTAAAATAAAGCACTGGTTTGTAGTGTCTGCCTGTTTACATGGTGTAAATACCTCCACCATGGCTGATTTGAAGCTGTCAGTGTGACACAACTGACCTTAGAGTTGGGAAGAGATGCACACAGTCTCCTCTCATTGGCTGGTACAGACTGGCTCTGGCACACCACTGCATGTGACCTTGAAGTCCAAGCCCATCCCAGGGTACCATGTGGTCACTGCTGGAAAGAACTGGACTCTAAACAGTCTGGTCTTTCTAGGGACCAGGTGGCCACTACAATTTGGAATCCTTGTGTCTCACTGGTACCTCTATCCTTACAAACCAATTGGGTTTACGTTCAACCTGTTTGGATTATAGCATTTTTTTCCTAAGAGGATCATGTTTATTGGACTTGACAGAAAAAGTTGCTCTCGTAGGAGTCTGCTTCTCAGCTAGCTTTTGAAGTGACTGCCTAGATGACACAGGTAATCCTCTTGAACCTTTGGGGCCTAGGTGGACTACTTTTTAATTGAGAATTCCATGTTTCTACAATAAGTGGCCTTCTTAATAATAGCCTGCCACGTCATATGTGGTGATTGCTAATTTAGGTTTTCAGGCTTCCTGGATGTAATGAGCTCTAATAAGCCCAAGACTTGTCAGAAACTCAGGAAAGCCCATTTCCCTCCTTGAAGCAATGATTTCCCTCCATCCCTGGACACAATTGGGCATACTCTTAAAAATATTAATAAGTATGACTGGGATGTTCACCCCTTTCCAAATAAAACATAAAGTCCTGGTTTCACTAAGTCAAGCTATTAAGTTAAGAAAGTGTTTTTAATTATCTGAGCATTTCAGGGAGCTCATAAAACATTTAAGGACCTCACAGGGGTGGTGCTGAAGCCCTTTCAGAGTGAATTAGAGCTTTGACTTGTGGAGCTGGCTGGGGAGGGCTCGGGGCCACAGTTGCGGATTCCACTTGGCCTGGAGAATCCACTTGAGCAGTAAAGGAAAAGCTGCAGATCTTGTTCTTTGGGAGGGTGTGTCTGTGTCCAAACTTCAGAGGAAAACTAGATGAAGTTCTCTGGAAAAAAAAAAAATAAAAAAAAAAAATAAATAAAACACTCCAGTTTTCTAGCTCCTCCTGCTAGGTGCTGAGGTTTCGAATGATAGCCATGAGTTACTGAGGAGTAACTTGTGTGCTAAGCATTCTGTTTTTCTGACCTCATACCATCCTTATAAAAGTTATTCCCCCCATTTGATAGGCAAGAGAACAGTATTAAAATCACACCAATAGAACAACTAGAGAAGCTAAATCTTGGGAAGAGACCCAATTATGTCTGACCCAAGGGCCACGTACCTTATACTGATGAGTGAGCTGTGGCTCACATTCTAATGCCATACAATAATAATAATTCCAATTATAATAGAATTGTTACGAAATAATAGATACCATCTTAGTGTTTCCATTGTGCCAGGGATAATGCTGTGCACTCTACAAGAGTTTTTCTAATTTAGCTCTCCTAACAATTCTAAGAAATTATTCTCCTGTATATTACAAATAAAGGAATTGAGTCATGTAGAGAGGTCAAGTCACCTCAAATGAGGCTGCACAGCTGAGGCTAGATTTGGGATTTGTTGGAGGACTGAGTCTCCAGTCTATGCTCTGTCTCATTCTCACCCCAAAGCCTCTTGCCTGAGCCTGTCTTGTCAGGCAGCCGTTCCTTATGTTGTCAAGTGGCCAAGTATTATTTGCACCTGTGCAAGCACAGCGTGGGCAAAGCTTTTTTTTTTTTTTTTTTTCCCTTTATAACCAAGGCCTATGTGTCCTTCCCAGTCTCTTTTTATTCTTGTGTTCTTTGGTCACTCCAGCTAATTCCACTGTCTTCAAATATGCCCCTATGTTAATTGGATTAAGAAGCCATTTTTAAAATTATAAAATTGGAATAAAAATCATGTTTTCCAGTTGGGCGCAGTGGATCATACCTGTAATCCCAGCATTTTGGGAGGACAAGGCGGGTGGATCACCTAACATCAGGAATTCAAGACCAGCTTGGCCAACATGGCGAAACCCAGTCTCTACTAAACATACAAAAATTATCCAGGCGTGGTTGTGAGCACCTATAATCCCAGCTACTCGGGAGGCTGAGGCAGGAGAATCACTTGAACCAGGGAGGTAGAGGTTGCAGTAAGCTGAGATCACACCACTGCACTCCAGCCTGGGCGACAAGAGCAAAACTCTTTTACAAAACAAAAACACAAAAACCAAAAACAAACACACATGTTTTCCTTGAAATTGCATTTTTCTAGCTGGTATGACAGAGAGGTTTCCTGGCACATTGATGCCCTTGGCCATGGGCTGTCCAGGTCTTGGCATCCTTAGTCCAACTCAATTTTTATACCCTGGTGTGCTACTCAAATCTCATTACATGCAAGCATCACACTGGTTAATTATCAAATCTGTATGCCTTTAAAAAATATCTGGTAGAATCTATTTGTACCTACCAGATAGAAAAGAAAAACAATCTGTTGGCAAGAGTGTGGCTATCAGGCTCTAGTGAGTGAGAATGTCATTTGAAACCCTCATAAAGGGCACTTTAGCAACATTTATCACAATTGCAAATACATCAACTTTGAAACAAATTTTTATTTTCTTGGATTTTTCTTCTAGCTATGCCTGCTTGCAATGAAATGTGTAATATTACTGTCTTCAGTATTATTTAAAATAGAAAAAAAAATTAGTACCTATCGCTTTGGGAACAGTTTACATAAATTATGGGATATCTATAGAATGGAATATGATACACCTCTAAAAAGGATGCATCAGTTTATGTACTGAAGTAAAATGATCTCTAAGCTATATTGCTAAATAACAAGAGGGAACAAGGTGCAGATCTGCATGCATAGTATGCTACCCTTTCTGTAAAGCCAGGAAGGAGAGAATATGGATATGAATAGGTGCTTGAATATGCTTTAAAAATCTCTTGAAGGATATGGAGATGTGGGGCTAGGGTTTGGGGAGAATTGGGTGGATGTGAGCAGGGTGAGATGGATAATTTTTTCTCTGTGGATGTTTAGACTTGGATTTATGAATCCTGTGAATATATTACCTATGCAGAAATTAAATGAAAAATAAATGATAGCCAGAGGATGGAATTTCAGAGAGTGTGGAAAGTCTTCCAGATTAAAGAGGTAATGTGTGCAAAAAGGAGTGTGATATTTTCAGGGAACATGGAAACATTCAGCACTGAAGCAGAGAGAAGAAGGTATCCAGAGCATGCCTTCTAGGGCTTTTTGATGATTTCTGGATCATTATGTTGAGAGTAATTGAAGTGTTCCGAGCAGGCAAGGGGTTCCTTGGTCAGAGTTTGGAAGGTTCTCTCTGGCTGTGGGGGGCTGATTGCAGAGAGATCAGTCAGAAACTTTTGCCTTTGTCCAGGTGAGAGCTCGACCATGAGGCTGTTACATCTGGGCTGAAGTGGACATGAAGATGAAGTGATAAGATGTTTCAGAGAAATGGTTGGATGGTAAATTGATTGGACTTAGGGAGGGTTTGGCTAAAGAGTTGAAGGAAATGGAGATGGTGAGAACTTTGACCAGAGACTGATTTACCTAAATTACCGAAGACTCATAGAATGGAACACTACGCAGCTGTAAAAATGAGGCATCAGTTTGTGTACTGAAATGGAACAATCTCTAAGGTATATTCTTAAGTAAAAGAAAGCAAGGCAGAACTTTGTGTGTGTGTTGTGCTACTTTTTGTGTAAAACCAGGAAGAAGATAATATATTTTATATCTTATCTATATACATATATAATATCTTATACATATTATACTTAATATGTTATACTTAAGATATAAAATATATACATATATAAGATGCATAATATATATATATAATATAAGTAATATGTATAAGGTATATAAGTATAATATATAATATGTATAAGGTATTATATATGTATTATACATATACATACATAAAATGTATGAGATATGTATAATATACAACTATAAAATGTATAAGGTATTATATATGTATAATATACGTCTATAATATGTATAAGGTATTCTATATGTATAATATACATATAGAATATGTATACGATATATGTATATACATAATATACATATGTAATATCTTATTTTTATCTTATTTTATCTTATATGTGATCTTATATTTTATCTTATTTTTATATGTTCTTGATTATGCTTTAAAAGCTATATAAAGTGGCTGGGTGTGGTAATCCCAGCACTTTGGGAGGCCGAGGCGGGCAGATCACGAGGTCAGGAGATCGAGACCATCCTGGCTAACATGGTGAAACCCTGTCTCTACTAAAAATACAAAAAGCCAGGCGCGGTGGCGGGCATCTGTAGTCCCAGCTACTGAGGAAGCTGAGGCAGGAGAATGGTGTGAACCCAGGAGGCGGAGCTTCCAATGAGCCAAGATTGCGCCACTTGCACTCCAGCCTGGGCGACAGAGTGAGACTCCATCTCAGAAAAAAAAAAAAAAAAAGTTATATAAAGTATATGAACAACAGACAGGTGGGGCCATTTCCTGAGAGACAGCAGGGACTAGGCTTGGGTGGGGAGAACTTTAGTTTAGTCTTAGGCATGTTGAATCTGAAGTGCTCTTGGTACATCATAGGGGAGAGAACCCCTGCTCCTAGGGGTTTCCAGGGAATGGGTGGGACCTCTGTCTGGGTGACAGCAGCCAGGTGACTCCTTGGTGCCTTGGTGCTCACATGGGCCTCATGTTTGGCAAACTGGGTGAACCCTTCCCCTGGCAGGGGGTCAGCTAGACCATGTTGGCTTAAGCATCCGGAGGTTGGCACAAACTATTTTGTTGTTGTTGTTTAAGCTGTCAAGACAGGACACAGTTGCTTGTGACAGGGAAAAGGAAGCACATGTCATGCCAGATTGGGTGGCAGAAGCAAGGTGGGGAAATCCATCTAGTGCCAAGGCCACTAGAGAGGGTGAGTGAAAGAGAGAGAAAGGAAGGTAGACAGAGGAATGTGGGGAGGCGAGACAAAGTAAGAAACTAAGGGAGGACAGAAGACAGACAAACAATGACAGAAAGAGAGAAAGGGGAGAGGGAGTGAGAGACAAAGATAGAGTCAGAGGGAAGGAGGTAGAGAAATAAAGTCGGAAATCAGAGATACACACATACATGCAAAGATATAAACAAACACTAAGGCAGAAGTTGGGAGAGCACAGCCAGCTCATCAGACTGAAGGCCACCGAGTGAGGTTCAAAGGCGTTGGAAGAGACACTCAGCTGTCATGGTTTGTTTCATGAGTGCCCAAACCTTGTTGAATCCTGAGCCCCACATCATTTGTTATTGTCATTATTTGCAGTAACAGTGGTGATAGCAGTCGTCGTTATTGTCATTGAATTAGAACTTGCTTTTATCTAGAGCTTTACAGACTCTCTGAAGCCAACATCCAAGGTAGACTTTATAACCTCTGCTGAGAATTTAATAGCTCAGAAAATGATGCTCTGAGAAGTGAAGCCACTTTTAGAAAGTCACACATCTTGTCAGGAACAGAGCCTCTGAGATTATTAACAATCTAACTTTGGGTATTAACATTCTACCTGTCTTTCTTTCCCCTTCATTCCATGAGATGAATGTATTTATTTAAAAGCAAAACAGACATAAGAGGAAAATAAAATGACACAGGTTTTATGTCACCTATCCTTTTAAAAACAAATATTCAGTTTGTAAACATTTTCAACACCATCCTACATATGGAAAATGAATGCTGGAGAACAGTGAGGGCAGAGAAAGAAGTGAGACAGGAGGGGAGAGTAGAAAAATGTCTCAGGTGACATTAGCTTTGGGGGTGTTTGCGCAATGGTTCTATTTGAGAGTGGCCAGGTCTACCAAGCTGTCTGCATGCCATATGACAGAAGATGAGATCAGAGGTACACACCTGACGTGCAGCCGGACAATCAGGTTTCCTTTCACTGATTATTTGAAATTTGGAGTCAGAGCTCTAGAGCCTGGAATTTGGAACAGGGGAGAATTTGGAATTTGGGGAGATGTGCTGAATGGATATCTTTCCCAGAGGATTGAAGGACACATGGGCCAGTGGCAAAGATGGAAACAACAGAACGTAATAAGTTCCAGGATTCAATTGTGACTCAAATCAGAACATCCTTGGATGACTCCTCAGTCACATGAGTTAATGTGTGCCTTATTTTTGGCTTATGTTGGTGTAAGTTTGGTTTTTGTCCTTTACAACTAAAAAAATCCTGACACATGCACCCTTAATTACTTATTCCCTTTAATTGTTTAAATTAGTTCAATTTGTTCTCTACTACTCATATTCACACAAGATTTAATTTACAGAGTTTTCCTTCATAGACAATAAGAAGCAAAATAGAACCTAAAAATGTTCTTAATAGCCTCTGGGGATAATTTCTTGACTCAAAGCAGTTTCTAAGTGACCTTCTAAGTGTCATCAAAATATGAGCATACTTGAAGGCAAGGTCTGTTCCTATGACTTTTTTTCTTTATTTTTTTTCATACCTAAAGCCTGCTCAGCCTTAGCAAGAAATTCAAATGCAAAGCGGGTTTGTATGTAAAAAGAAATTAGGTGTTCTCTGAAGGAAAGCATCTTCTACTTGGTGGCTTGTAGCAGTTAGCTATTGCTGCATAAAAACCCCACACCCAATGGTTTCAAGTGATAAGCATTTATTCAGCTTTGCATATGCAGATGGGTAGTCATTTCCACTGGGGTGAACTGGGCTTGGTAGAGCTCATCCATTTCTCTATGGGTAGGTAGGTGTGGGTTGGTTAGGCAGCTTTGCTGATCTTAATTGGACTCTTCTCTGTGTTCTGGACTCTGCTTCAAGCGTCTTCTCATCCTCCAGTGGGCAAATCCAGGCTTGTTCAGGCTCCTACTGAACAAGAGAGAGAAAATAGAAATGTTTCTTTAAGTTTCTGCTTGTATTGAGTTTGCTTCTGTCCTATATGTTGAAGCAACTTATGTGGCCAAGCCAGAGTTCTCATGGGAAGGCACCATCGAAGGGCATAGATATGTGAGTGTCTTCTGTTGTCTTTGGTGAATGTACATAAAGTCTCGGAAAAGAACAGACTCCACTCACTGTGATGGCAAATACTAATTGCTGACACATGACACTGAGAGTCTAGAATGTTCCAAGGGGGTGGGAGGTATTGGGTAATGGGGATGGGGAGTGAACCTTTCAGTCCATATTTGTGAAGGAATTTGGAACTGCCTATATTATTCTTCTTTTGAAAGTATGTCATATAGAGAACTATTCTTTTAGCCTTTTATAGCTGTCTCTAATCCTTTTTGGGGCCAGGATCCTTTTCTTGTCTTTTGAGGGAAAAGGGTCCTCAAAGAAATTATAGTCAGGAAAGTTCAAGATCAAAAAGTAAGAACTGAGGCAGGAATAAGCACAATATGCTATGTGAGCCCAGAGGCGGGGCACTTAGCCCAAGCAGGCAAACCATTTAGAGAAATCTATTTTAAATTGATTCTTTTATTTGCTGGATTTTATATTGACATGTTTTGCTTTGTTCTCAATGTGTTCTGGGACTGCAGCCTATTCATTTATTATTAAGAGAACGGTAATTATTTCCAGGAGCTCCTGAGAATACACTTTGCTTCCCCTTTGCCTGTTCTCTGCTGAATCTGATATAACCTTCATATCTCTGAGGACGTCTGTGTCAGGAGATGACAGACCCCCATGTGCTGGTGGCGTACACCAAAGACTGTGCTCTGGAAGGAGGGCTTGCAGACCACCGCTTTTCAAAGTTTAATGAAAATAGGAGTCCCCTGGGATCTTGCCAAAGTGCAGAATCTGATTCTGGAGCTCTGAGATGAGGCCTGAGATTTTTTTTTTTTTCTAATAAACTCCCAGGTGTTGCTGATGCTGCTGGTCTGTGAACCACATTTTGAGTAGCAAAATCATAGAAGATCAGCTACACCTTCTCCATTGGTGAATGTTGTAGCAGGGCTGACCAGAAGGTTACCTATATCTCATTTGTCTGCCTTGCTGGACTGTAAACTCGGTGGAGACAGCATTTGTTTCTTGCCTACGACTATATTCCCAATGGCAGGCACATAAAAAAATCTCAACAAATATTTGCCAAATAGATTCTTCCTACCCCCTCCTTTCCATCAGAGATTTTCCTAATCCTAATGTTCTTTCAGCCTGATGCTCCAAGTGCATCTTGGACCTGTGTCTATCCCATGGGCTGTAGTATGGACCCCTCATCTAATTCAAGACAGCCCAGATGTCCAGGGCTGGACCACATGTCTTGCAGCCCTCTCCTAGAATTGTATAAACCTCATCCTAATGCTTGTGCACCTGTCTGATGTGAGGTCCTCCTTCCATTGACAACTGGACTGCTCTCTAACTCATGCCCATGGTCCAGACCAGCTGGATATTGATCCTAGAGTTCCTTACATCCTTTTGGACTCAATGATTGACACTGCTGATCTCCTTTTATTATGGCTCTTCTAGGTTGGCTAATTTTTTCAAAACCTCTTAACCACTTCCAGCTTCCTGCTTAGATACTTCCTGCTTGGGAATCCCAGCAAAGCTGCATGATTTGAGCTGAGCTAGGCCCATGATGACATGAAGGACCAACACTGCATTATAAGATCATCACCACTCTCTTAGCTGGAGTTCCCTCCCAGAAACTTCACACTCTCTCCTTAGAATGCATTATTTTGTAAAGCCAAAAGCAATTAGCCATTATGCAGAGTTTATTCTCAGCTTCCTCAACTGCAAAATGGGAATGGTTGTACCTTCCTTGCGGTGTTTCAGTTAAGATTAAGTTGTAAATAGAATAGAAATAAACTATCTGGCTTAGCATCTGACACATGGAAAAATGCTCCATAAAGGATAATTGTGTTTATTCTTACTTCTAAGGGTGAATCCTAAAGTCCAGGGAAGGACTTCTATTAATCCAGGGCCATATCTCTAACAACTATCAGAAGGTTGGATCCATTAGGTAACAAAGTATAAATACCTAAAACATAAGGCTTGCTCCCCTCAAGGGAGCCCCAGTGATGAGAGTAAGTGGACAATGAATCTTACCGAAAGGGTAGCTGTCAGCTGTCTCTACTCCTCAGACTTCCCTGGACTTCTTTCTCTTCTAGAATGCCTTTCCATTCTCCATCCTGCAGGTATAGCTCGTACCTGTGTATACCCATCCAACACTTGTCTAGAACTGGTTTTACCCTGGTGTTTCTATTTTGTAAGTAATCTGGTTCTTCTTGAACTTTATTCCTGTTTTCTGGGTTTTCCCATCATCATAGAATATGGTAATTTCATTTATTTCGTTAGCCAACAAATATTTAATGGACAACTCCTATATGCCAGATACTATCCTAGAAGAGGATACATTCAAGGATGCAGCTCTGAATAAATCAGAGAAGAGTCATCTGTCCTTACAGAGCTTAATGTATTTTGCAAAAATGATACTAGATTTTTCATTTTCTCAGAAATCAAAATAGTGATGAGAACAAGTTCCAGTCTAGTAGAGATCCCAGAGGAAATGCATATGCCGTAGATACTTATTAACTGACTGACTCAGTGAGTATATAGTTGTGAGAGATATGAGGAAAAGATCGGGGAGGAGAGATAAGGTGGATTCATCTGGAGCCATTACATGGTTCTTACTGGGAACCAGTTACTCACTAGAGCATGTGATGAGCATGCATTGACCATGCGCTACCTACTATAATTGGAAAGACAAAAACTGTAGTTAACCAGACAATTTCTTGCCTTCATCAAGCTTAATATCCAGATAAACATTCTTTGTTGGCTTTCTCTGTATCTGAATGAGCTCAGAGCCTCTTACCATCTCATTTAAGATGCTAGAAGGGTCCATACTGATCACAAGTTTCCTTGAACATATTTTGGGGTATGAGTACCTTTTATATGCCTTTCTGAAACAACTGGATATACAAATGAAGATTTGACTCTTCAAAGTTTTAAAATCCTAAATCATAAAATCCATTTTTCCAGCTTAGCAGATAAATGAACAACCAGCATAATTTAAACTTAACTTCAACAGACATAATGTTGCCTGTTCCATCTTGGCCTGTATTTAATTACATGAAGTCAGCGTTTCTCAACTTCAGCACTATTGACATTTGCAGATGGATAATTCTTTGTTGTGGGAGGCTGTCCTATGCATTGTAGGATGTTTAGCAGCATCCTTGCTTCTACGTACTAGACGTCAATAGTATTTCCCCCACCCACTGTGACTACCAAAAATGTCTCCAGGTATTATCAAACATCCCCTGGGGAACAGCTTGTCCCATAGTTGAGAAACATGTGTATCTGTGCTTTTTAATAATGAGAAGGGTTTTTGAATTATACCTGATCTGGTATTGAGTACTGGCTCTTTTACATGCATACTGTGTCATGTTAGACAGGACTGTCCTGAGAGTTAGTTCCTCGTCTGAACAAAATGGGTGATGAAGTCTATGAGCTGAAGATGCGTGAGGCTTAAAAGATGACATGTGTAAGGTATCTGAACAGTGGAGATCTCGTCTTTTTCTTTAGATAGTAGAAGTGAACATTGCCCAAAACTCATTGTGCTTGGAAAATGTGTGTGCTGCAGGTCTAGTGGATATATTGCTGAGAAAGCTTGATGTAGCTCAAGAAATCCCTGATGGAACATCAGTGATGTGGAGCAACACTTAATTTAAAGCACAAGCTTTGGAGGAATATGTACGGGATTTGACTCCTGGATCCACCATCTTCCTGTGATGATCTTGAGCAAGTTGTGTAACCTCACTGACTCAATTTCCTTATGCAACAAGTGAAGATAATGGCAGTACTCATTTCATAGGGTTATGGTGTTGAGAGGATTAAATGAGATCATGAATGTGAAGCACTTAGCACCATGCCTGCGGTCCATAGTCAAGTGTACTTAATAACTATTAGTTGTTGTTGCCATTATCTCTGTTGTTTCACTCATGGGTACGTCCCTGGGGGGGACTTCAAAGCAGATAGTGGCCTCTTTCCAGGGGTTTCCTCTCCTGCCAGAGTAGCTCAGTTAACAACTTCTCTAATGAGCTCAAGTCTTCAGCAGCAGGACCCTTTGTTTTCCTAGTAACTCTCTGTCAACATGGTTTCTGTCCTGCGTCAACATTATACCAATTGCATATTTACCAGCCTGCATGGTGCCCAAGTCTATCAATTGCTACAATGGAGTAAATGATATTCATTGTTAAAACAGGGTAAATGCCTGTTTCCTTTACACAATGGAAGAAGCTGTTGTAGGCTGTTAAGCAAATAATTATAAATAACACACTATAAAATGCTTTACATATGCCTTATCATACTGAACTGCAACACTCTGAAGTAGCTGTTATGGCTGAGTAAATTATACGTGTCTTTGAACACTACCCAAAATACATATTTACACGTACTTAAAGTCCTATGCTAAATAGTCTCTATAGCAACCAGAAAAACACAAAAGCCTTATTAAGCATGCTTCGTAGTATTTTTAGGAGTTTAATCATTAGGAGAAAGCTCATAGGCCATATAGACACCAGGGAACATAAAGAAAGAAAGTCTTTACAGGAACAAAAGAATGAGGCTGGCTTTGAACCTGGTGGGAGAGAATTTTATTTTTTTAAACTAATAATCACCAAGGGCCTTCTCTTTAGACGGCAATGCTATGTTTGGGGCACATCAGACACAGTTTTGGAATTACAATCTGGTTTCTTAACAGAGAAGAGAGATTCTTCAATTAACACGTTCCAGCAAAAGATCACTTTCAAATTTTCCTCTTTAGTGTAAGAAAAGATTTCGTTGTCATTCAGAAATGAAGTAATATGTGATGTCTGTGTTGAACCTGAGTCATACCACTCTTTGAAGGGAAATTCTAGTGGTTTCATTGGGGTGGAGCCATATCTCATCCTTTGATTATTGTATTTTTCCAGATAGTCTATGGTATGCTGCAGTAATAATGTAACCTAGAAATTCCAGTGACTCAACACTGCAAAAATTTCTGTCTTGTTTATATAACATGTCGATGCCAGTTGGCAAAGTTTCTGCTCCATACAGTTCCTCGGGGACCCTGGAGAATCCCATCCTCTTGTGATGCCACTGCTTCAACACTTGCTTGCCAGGGCTCTGAAGCAGAGAAGAGAGAACTGAATGGGTGGCTTCATGGCCCAGAAGCAGCACAGCTCGTTTCCATTCACATCCCATCGACCAAAACTCATGGCATATGTCCCAGTCGATCTTCACAAAGGACAGGAAAGATAGGGGAGCATGTAGATTATTCAGTGAGCACTAAACATCTTTGGGACAAATATTACTTATACATCAGAACTGTGCCAGATGCTTTAAGTTACTTGAAAAAATATATATATATATGTGTGTGTGTGTGTATATATATATATGTGTGTGTATATATATGTGTGTGTGTATATATATATGTGTGTGTGTGTATATATATGTGTGTGTGTGTATATATATGTGTGTGTGTGTGTATATATATGTGTGTGTATATATATGTGTGTATATATATGTGTGTGTGTGTGTATATATATGTGTGTGTATATATATGTGTGTATATATATGTGTGTGTGTGTATATATATATGTGTGTGTATATATATGTGTGTATATATATATGTGTGTGTGTATATATATGTGTGTGTGTATATATATGTGTGTGTATATATATGTGTGTATATATATATGTGTGTGTGTATATATATATGTGTGTGTGTGTATATATATGTGTGTGTGTATATATATGTGTGTATATATATATGTGTGTGTGTGTATATATATGTGTGTATATATATATGTGTGTGTGTGTGTATATATATGTGTGTGTGTATATATATGTGTGTATATATATATGTGTGTGTGTGTATATATATGTGTGTGTGTATATATATGTGTGTATATATATATGTGTGTGTGTGTATATATATGTGTGTGTGTGTGTATATATATGTGTGTGTGTATATATATGTGTGTGTATATATATATGTGTGTGTGTATATATATGTGTGTGTATATATATGTGTGTATATATATATGTGTGTGTGTGTGTGTATATATATATTTGTTGTTGTTGTTGTTGTTGTTGTTGTTGTTGTTGCCAGGCTGGAGTGCGGTGGCACAATCTTGGCTCACTGCAACTTCCGCCTCCTTGGTTCAGGCTATTCTCCTGCCTCAGCCTCTCGAGTAGCTGGGACTACAGGCACGTGCCACCACAACTAGCTAATTTTTTGTATTTTTAGGAGAGACGGACTTTCACCATGTTAGCCAGGATGGTCTCAATCTCTTGACCTTGTGATCCGCATGCCTTGGCCTCCCAAAGTACTGCGATTACAAGCGTGAGCCCCTGTGCCTGGCCACTTGATTTTATATTTAAAACAACTTTTTAACACGAACTCTGTCCATTCACTGATGGAGAAATAGGCTTGAGAATCGTAAGTGACTTATTTAATGTCACCCAAGAAGAGTAGGAAGGGTAAATTTGAAATTGAGGTCGGGAAAAGGTGAACATAAGTTACTCTGTGACTTAGCAGTTTCACTCTTAGGTACTTTTTCAGAAACACATAACGTGTTCACCTAAAGGCATGTTCATGGAATGCTCATAGAAGACCTCTTTGTAATAGCCCTAATGTGAAAACAATTCAATATCTATCAACAATTGAATAGATAAAATGATTGTGGTATGTTAACCCAATGGAATACTATACATTACTGAGAATGAATGAATTATAGCTGTATACAAACATGGATGAATCTCACAAATATTTGAGTAAAGGAAAGCAGCCACAAAATAGTTCATGTTGTATGATTGTACAACAAAGCAAGCAAAATTAATGCAGGGTGATAGAAGTCAGGATAATTGTTACATTGAGGCTTGGTAGTGACCAAGGTTACATGAACAGAGCTCCTGTGTTTATTGTAATGTTCATTTATCTGGGTGCAATTGGCGCAAAAGTAACTGCATTTTTGCCATTGAAAGTAATGGCAATTACAAAAACTGCAATTAATTTTGCACCAACGTAATAGTTATATGGCTGTGTTCAGTTTGTGAAGACTCATCTAGCTGCACACTTATAATTTGGGATATTACTTTATATATGTTAGACTTCAGTAAAAAGTCTACTTGAAAAAATGAACTTGCAAAAGCATGAATTATAGACTCAGATCAAACTGATTCCAGGGCCCTCTTTTTGACCACATGGCATTCATCTCTTTCCCAGACAGATTAAAGCAAAATTCCTCCCTAGCCTTAACCAGTCCAATTTGTTCCCACTTCATTAACACAATCCATCTATTAAGATTTTTTTTTTTTTAGAATCACAGTTTAGGTAGAAATTGTCAGCAAAATTTGAGGAAAGTGTCAAAGTCAACTACAATTCACACTAATACTGATTTTGGTGAGATAGTTCTCTTTCGTGAAATCAAATGTAAACTTGAGATCTGGAGATGAACCAGGGAAAGATAAGAAATCCCCTTTCTCCTGACCTTGAGGAATGAACATGGTCAAGTTCAGAGGAGAGAGAATAAGCCTACATTATAAGAAACCCCAAATGAAGGCTCATAATATAGACTATGGAGGGGGATGTTTCCATCCATTTCATTTGGAGCCATAATGAAACTCAAAAGTCATTGTTCCCACCCAGCAACAATGGATTACAGCTGAAAGATTAATCCCATTGGTTTTTTTTTTTTGTGACTTTTCCCTATCTAACACAGCCACCACCACAACCAGCAATTTAGTGTGGAGATTTGACTGCCAGCAAACAATACTGTCTTAAGGAAGGCATTAGTGGTAAACCCTTAAGCTGTTGTGTAAGCACCTCCTAGTTGGCAACAGAAGGCTAAACACAAAATTGCAAGATGAGCTTGAATTTAATTTTGCAGCTTTCATCTGTCATTATGCTATGGCAGTTTGGTGTTCTGGGCTTTACAGCAGCCACAGGGCAGGAGAAGGGCTTCTACTCCTAATGGAAAGAGCTTCTCTCCCACCTGCATGTATCTGGAAGCCATGCTTGTGAGATCATGGTTCTCAAAGACCTTCATCTTTGTCTTTAAAGATCTGTCGGATTCTTAATCAATTGCACTCTTTTTAGATCATGCATCCTTGTAAAACAGTGCAATTCAATTCAACAAATAATTAATGAGTGGCCACTGTATGCCAAGCACTAGGTATTTAGATAAACTCTGCCTGGCAGAAGAAACTATAGATAGTATCAATTATTATGTATCATAATGACTGTTAATATAAAAGTTTACTTGGAAGGCCATATAAGCACAGAGTTTGGGACCTTTGCCCAGTTTATGGTTCCAAATAAGCTGGGTTTTGAAGGATGAAGAAGAGATTTCCTGAAAATACAGATGGAACCTAAAAAATATGGGTGTACAGAAAACTGGAAAAAGAACAGAGTATGATGAGCAATGGGGATAAGAAGACAATAGCAGCCATATCCTGATAGTTTTTGTATATGATGCTATTATCATCATCATCATTATTATCATTAAACTTTCTTCTCCTATTGGCAAAGAGTGGCCATTCAATAATTTTTGAAAGAAGAGGAAAATGATAAGATTTTATTTTAGAAAGAGCATCTTGGCTACTAGAGTATAATAATGATATGCATATTTTAGAAAGGGGATGTCAGAAATATAAGGAGAGCTACAAGGAGATTATTGCAGAAGCACAGGTGTAAGACATTGGAGGCAGGGCCAGGTGCAGTGTGGTTCATGTCTGTAATCCCAACACTTTGGGAGGCTGAGGTGAGTGGATTACTTGAGGCCAGGAGTTCAAGACCAGCCTGGCCAACATGGCATAACCCTGTCTCTACTAAAAATATAAAAATTAGCTGGGCGTGGTGACATGTCCTTGTGATCCCAGCTACTTGGGAGGCTGATGCATGAGAATTGCTTGAATCCAAGAGGCGGAGGTTGGAGTGAGCTGAGATTGTGCCACTGCACTTCAGCCTGTGCTACAGAGTGAGACTCTGTCAAAAAAAAAAAAAAAAAAAAAAAAAAAGAAGAAAGAAATTGGAGGCCGTTGCATTTGTCAGAACTCCTTCCTGGGGTGCCTTCTATATGTTCAGTCACCATTCCTTGATAAGTCCTATTGAGATGTGGCTTAGATTATGAGAGGATCTATATGAGCTAGGTGAGGAGAGAAATGTTTTACTTGTACTGGAACAAGATGGGGAAGAGAGAGTAATGAAGAAGGGGGCAGGGAGTGGAGGTTACCTATGTAAAATATTTTTTTCTTCGGGCAAGAACCTCAAATCTTCAAAAGCCTACAGGTATCCTGTGGTTCAGGGAGTATACAGAAGTTTTTTTTCATGGTGTGGCAGACCACAGCAAAGCAGGCCATAAGGACAGCAGGACACAGTAAGCTACGGGAATGTGCAGAGAAGTTGCTGAGCACTTTGGAGCCCGACGTTGCTAGGGTTGGGTTGATGGCATGGGGCTGAGCAAGAGTAAGATGACAGTGAACTTGATAAAGGCATATCTTCTCAACAGAGTGGTATCACCCCAGGGGTAGCAAAATTTGGTTCTTGAGGGTTGATAACAAGTTTAGCTTTTAAATGTGTAAAGCACAGTTATACACACAGTGCATTACCAGATACACAGTGTTTATCTGTGACATTAAAATTTCATTGGAAGAGATGAGAAAAAATGTGTTAAAAGGCGTTTTAGGAAGATGATAATGTTAAAAATGTTGAGAATCACTGGACAAAGGAAATGCCAGTGGAGATAAATAAAAAGTGGACTGGAGAGACTTTTTAATAGAGGTGAGAGAAAGAGAAAGAGAGGCAAGAAGAAGATTCAGATGTCAGAGATAATTCTAAGGTTCTGGTTTAGAGTTCTGGGGGCATTAATTGAGATTTAGGCTGAGGAGGAGATTTGGGGTGAGTGGGTTGTAGATTATTCAAATTAATTTGTGATGAACATAAGATGATTATCTTCATTAAAAATAATTCAAATTATTAATAATGATAAATAATGGAGTCTGAGCTGTATTTAAACTGAAAATCTCTCACATGCTGGTCTGTGCTATATCACTTATCTAGAGAGTGAAATGTGTCTTACTTGATTCTGTGAACATCTTTTGCATCATGGACACAATCTGCTATTTACATTATTTCATTGGCCTCAAAACTGCAGAATAAGATGACATAGTAATGATGCCCTTGACTTCTCAAGCCCACTCTCAAATGTGAGATTTATATGATCCCTAAGGCAGAGAGTAGAAGCTTTCTGGGAACCTCTCATTTTCTCTGCAGCCCTCGGATGTGTGAGCCTAGGAACAGCGTAATTTACCATTATGAGTTTCTTGCACATTTGACAGACATACCAACTGCTCCAGCTACCCGTACAGTGTCTGCAGTGAAATCCAAGTCCACATTGTCATCCAGGGACTATGATCTTCATCATTTCTTAGTCCCACTGTTGACCTGGTGGGAGTTTACAATGATTCAGGAATGTGGTACAAAAGGTAGGAAAGGGAGCACTCAAAGGGAACAGAGAGCCGTTCTTTAACAAGAAGAGATACGAAAGGTCCTGGTTGCATAGAAGATGAATAGATGCATAGAAGGAGAAGGGAATTCATCTTCTACTACATTTGGGAAATTGTCCAAGACCTGGTGTTTTAGTCAGGAATTTCAGATTAAGGAACACCAACCCAGCTAATGGAAATCCAGATTACTGATCCCAGAAGGGAGGGACTTGGCTGCCCAATTCTAAGGGAATTGAAGATGTGTTGAAGCCATGAAGAAATCTCAATGGGAGTATTCCCAAAGTGTATAAACACACTGAGAAGGTCATGCAAACAGGCAGTCAGGATTTTGGCAGGATAGGAGGAAAACTGATTGACAGCATCATTAGCCAGTGAATATAAAATTGTGGCTTCTTGTTGATGAAATGCATGACTACAGCTTACCGTTACTGAGACGCTAGAGTTCCTGATGCATATTTTAGATCCGAGAATGCTGGGAAATGGGGGGCAAGATGAAATAGTCAGTAGAAACAGCAAAACCTTGTGGAGTTAATGGAAATTTGAACTTGTATGGATATAATGGGGAACCATCTGACTTTCTTGGTGGTTATTAGTTGTCCTCAGCATCTGAGAGAGGCAGGGAAGAGGGGGAGGGCAATAAAATACCAAGGGCTGGTGAAAACATCTCCAGGACAAAAGACTTGTCTGCACTCACTAAATCCTTTTTCAGCGTTTCCTTCCCATGCCGACCCCATGCTCTGCTTTCCTGGGCCTTTCTCATCACTTCTAAACAGAAGCAGAATCCATTTTCTACCACAGAGACTTGCAGAGGTTAAGTGAAGTCACACACACCAAATGGCCAGCACAGGGTCTGTGCATAGTCAGTTAAAGATAACGGTTTCCTTTCTTTCCTCTTATTTATGTTCATTAACTTTAATCTTTTTCCTCTTCCTCCTTCTTTTCACCTTTTAAGGGACAATCAAGGCACTTCAAACTGTTGAACTCCAGAGGGTCGTTGTGAAGGGGGCCTTTTGTCTGTATACCTTGTTCATTCATTTATTTATTCAGCAGGTTTCTACTAAACACGTATCTTGTTCTAGGCACTGTACGTGGCTCCAGGCATGCCCTGGTGAACAAAGAGGATGTACTTTCTGCCCTTGAGAAGCTTCTGATCCAGAGGGAAAGATAGACAAATTTAAAGAAATGCTAATTAATGTTACAAGTGAGATTAAATAGTCTGCTACATGAGCAAATAAGGGAATACCCACCAAGCTTTGAAGAGTATCCTGTCTTGGAGATAATGGCCTCTAGGTTAAAGCATGAACAGTTCAGTGAAGGTGTTTTGAATATCCATCATGTACCAAGCACTGTGCTAGGCTTTGGAAATATAAAGATGAATATATCATGGTCTGAATGCTCATGTAGAGGGTAGGTTTTCTGTTTTGTTTTGTTTTCTTTTTTTGAGACAAGGTTTCACTCTGTCACCCAAGCTATAGTGCAGTGGTGCAATCCCAGCTCACTGCAGCCTCCACCTCCTGGGCTCAAGCAGTTCTCCCACCTCAGCCTCCTGAGTAGCTGGGACGACAGGCATGCACCACTACGCCTGGCTAATTTTTTAATATATTTTTGTAGAGACAGGGTTTCACCATGTTACCCAGGCTGGTCTTGAACTCCTGAGCAAAAGTGAGCTGCGTGCCTCTGCCTCGCAAAGTGCTGGGATTACAGGCGTGAGCTACCACGAACAGCAGACAGTAGTTTTGACAAACAGTAAATATAATGGGTTATTTCAGTAGATTGATTAATTTCAGTAGGGTGTTGTTGAACCAGCTTGGTAGAGATGACATCTGAGTTAAATCTGGACAAATAAGTAGCAGTTAGGGAAAAAAGGATGGAGGGAGAAAATAAACAGTGTTCTAACAGAAAAGTACAAGCAGGGCATAGAGTCTTGAAAAAGTGAATCTATGATGGATACTGTGTATTTAGTATAGTTGGCATACATAGTTTGAAGCTCCGGGCAGCAGAATCTGGAAAGCCCTCAATGTGGCAATTACAGCAAGCCATGGTCATTTTGGTGAATCACTGATTAGTGGTGGTGATTGGATCATACTGTGCTTGATAAGGATCACCCTAATACCAGTGTAGACAGAGGATAGAATTTGAAATCCAATATACCAATATACCAATATATCCAATATACCAATGACCACTATACCAATAGTACCCACAAGCCTTATGCTTTCCTCCCTCACTCCCTTTGTCTTCTGGGCTGTTAGAAACACAAAATCTAAACCCAGAGAACGACCACTTGGAAGAGAACAAGCTGTTATCTTGCATTTCCCCTGTAGACATCCAGCCTTGGTGTGGATTTATACAGCTGCATTTAGAACTGATGATAGAATCATCGTTTGTTTGTTTTTTAGCTCTTCCATGACACAAACCAAGAAAAAAAAAACATAATAAAATTTTACAAGTTAGCTGCCACCAAGAATAAACAAGAGAGCACTATAAGAAATGAATCAGAGGCTCTAACTGAATCTTCTCTCAGGACAATAACTCTAATGCAAAGCCAGGGTCTGAGGAGGTCGCCATAGAAAACTCTCCTGGGGCATTTCCGAGGAGAAAGGAAATATTCTCCACCTGTCATCTTCACTTCATGTCCTAATATGTCTGTTGATGTGCAGAGAAAACATAATCTGTGGCCTCTGCTCTGAATCAAGGTTTGGATAACCAGGGCCATTAAGGTGTCCCCAAGGATCACAGAATTAACCCTCTGTGAACACAGGGAAGCTGCTGCTACTAAACCACCCGAGGAAAGCTGCCTGATTCTAATCGTGGCTGAGCCCAAGTGTCACTTGCCATTAGGTTCAATTGGCAATTTTTTTTTCTTTCTAAATTACAAGATAACCTTTAAATTGTGTACAGGAGCTCATGACTGCTGTAGATCGCAGGTAATCGGGAGTGATTTCATTTTACCCAGGGACAGGCTCCCTCCTCTGGAGTCTTTGTTCATTAAACCTCTGTCTCTCTCAGGTTCCATTTAAGTATCAATGAGGAATACATTCTGTAGCAGACGTTGTATGTTTGCTTTTAGAGTCACCTCTTTGTTGGTGGATGATCCTTTAGAGCTGGATTGTCCTGGAGCCTCTCACATGTAGACGGTGAATATGCATTCAGTGCATCCTCTGTGCGGTGTCTTGTTTACAGATCACGGAATTAGGCTGACCCCATGACCTCTCCAAAAAATCACTTGAAAAAAAATCTAAACTTCTAATTATCTTTTGCTGTTTTCAATTGAAGCAACTTTAGTATAATAACTCTTATAGACCAAGTCATAACATTACTTATCCATTTATTCATTCATTCATGCATTTATTCTTGTTACATAATTATTATATGTCTCCTGTGTGCCAGTCAGTAAGCCTGGCATTGAGTACAATGGTGCATTGGGAGCTTACAATATAGTGGTGAATAGACAAAATTAAACAGGTGATTCCCTTTTGTTGTGATAAGGCTATGAAGTGGAGAGAGCAGGAGGTCCAGTCTAGGGACATTGCCTACAGTTTTGAGGCCACAGGAAAGTCTTCTCAGAGAGTTTTACATCTGAGCAGAGGCCTGAAGGTTGAGGGGAGTTTCACGGGCTGAAGAGCTTGTGCACGGATCTGGAGGTGAGAGGGAAGTTTAGGGAGGCTGAAAATGGAAAGTGGGTATGCGTGTATGAAGAAAGCAGAGTGGTGGTCAGATTGTCCTGGAAGAATGGAGATGGAGAAAGATGGCCCATATCTCAAAAGCTTTGCGAGCCCTATTAATGAGTGAGGACTTTATCCAGAGGGCTAAAGAGAAGAGAGGAGAGAGATGATCAGATATGCATTTTAGAAAGGTCGCTGTGGACATCTTACTCATAGTGGGTGACTGGTCCTCTGAGGATCTGATGTATTTGCGAGGCTGATGGGACCTCAGATACAATAACCCTTTTCCCAGGAACAACCTCTAACCAGCTGCATCCTTTAAGTTTAAACTTTTCCTCCAAGAACACTGTCCATGCTTTATTTATTCCAATTCTGCAAGTACTGGAATGGGGTCACAGTAAGAACCCATCTAAAGAAGGTCATAGCCAAGAGTTTGAAGGCACAACAACGGCATTATTACCCACAGCCCTAGACCCTAGCCAGAGGCTACTGGTAAGCAAAGGAAATTTTAGAATTTGTTGTGGCAAAAAATAATCTAAATAGTTGCAGTTTTGTCAAGTCCTTTTGCTTTACTGAGAGAAAAAGTTTAAACACTAGAGCTATGGGTTGTAACATTTCTGACATCAGCCAGAGTCAAATTAGAGAGATGACTGGCCTGGGAGTCTCTTAAGATGTAGGTTTGAAGTCCAGTTCTGTCACTTAATAACTCCGACAACTTTCAAGACTTCATAGTCTCATCTTTTCCCCCCATCTAAATATTAGCATAACTCCTGTCCCAATGATGTTATGGAAATTAAATGACACATGCATAGGATATTGTAGATATTTATTGAACGAATAAAAATGAGATATTAGAGAAACCTTGGACTCCCTTTCTAGGCTTCGGTCTTCTCATCTGTAAATTGAAGAGGTTGGGTTAGACGCTTTCAAACTCTTTCCAGCTCAAATATTCTGGTTTCTTGATGGCCTATTTGGGATGCCAAATATATGAAAATTTGGTTTGGTACCTGATAAAGTTCAAGGACAAGATATAAAAAATATTTCTGATAGAAAAAACCCTAGTTACTCTTCTGGCACCACTGAAATTGCTCTTATTCCCAAAGCCAGGTGATTAGAAGAATGCTTATTTGCTTCTGTCGTTGACTTTATTTGACTTTCTAGTGAAGACTTGGTCTCATAGGATGAAACTGACAGCAAATTTCCTGTAAGACCACTTTGCCCTGTAGAAAAAAATAATTGATTTATCCTTTTATGTTATCTCATGAAGTACTATTGATGTTCATGCTAAAAACTCTGTGTTTCTTCCTGAGTAAGGACTCAAAAGGAGACGATTCTGACCACAGAAAATCTGATATTGACTGATGGAGTGCGTGTTTCAGATGTTTGCTGACATATGAAAGGTGATTTGATTTAGAATTTAAGCACCTCTGAGAGTTATGCCCTCTGTATAGCGCCTTTGATGTGTGCGCATTCTTTCCTTGCTGTGTTTAAAGAATTCATTCTCTCTTAGTAGGTAGACATTGGCATTACTCAGAATTTAATGCTTCTGCTAATTGACCTTTATGTACTATGATAATGAAGCTAAAAATAGACACATGTTCTAAAGATATGAAAATAGAAAGTTTTGGGGACTAGATATTTCATCTATTTAGGAATGACTAAAATATACTCTGATCACAATTTAAATATTTCTTGGCCACAGTGACCTATTATCTTCTGTATTGCTGGGGCTGGGTGTCTGGTGTTTTATACATTATCTATACTTTATTTTTTGGTACTTCAGAGAAGTCAGATTGTAATTTGATCACATAGGACCATCTGGAGGCCTATCCTAAATATAACCCTCAAACTTTAGGAAACATAGCTGCAAAATAGCTACTCAGGAGAGCAAAAATGTCAGCTTCCACCTCATTTTCTCTGGCTGTCTAAGATGACCCCTTTGAAAATTGCTTCCCCAGTATGCAGTCCCATGGCATACACTTTATTATAATCACTTCTTTGATGTCCATCTCTTAGCTTGGGCATTACATTCCCAAGGCGACAGGAACCCTAGCTTGTTCACCTCTCCTTTCCATTGTCTAATACATAGTAGGTACACAAAATGATTATCCACTTAAGGGTAATTATCGATTCATTTTGCGTTTTAATCATCTGTCTCACTCACTAGAATGCAAGTCCCATGAAATAGAGACTTCATGTTTTTAAAATACTTTATTAGAAGACTGCTGGTTATCAGTTGGTGCTCAGTAGTTAGTGAATGAATGCACATTAACAAGAAGAACCGATGTAAAAAGGCAGAAGGTGATCAGACTGATTACTTAATACTTAGGCACTTAGACTCCACTACCCAGAATAAATAAATTCTGCTAAAACTGGTCGTTTAAATTAATCCATGCAGCAGGGTGCCTTGGCTGGTGCCTGTGTTCCTAGCTACTCAGGAGGCTAAGGAGAGAGGATCCCTTGAGCCCAGGAGTTCAAGACCAGCCTGGGCAACACAGACATACCCTGTTTGTAAAAAAGGAAAAAAAAAAAGAAAAAAAAAAAGTAGGTATGGTGGTGCCTGCCTGAGGCCCAGCTATTAAGGAGGCTGAGACAGGAGGATTCCTTGAGCCCAGGAGTTCAAGACCAGTCTGGTCAACATAATGAGACCAATGTCTCAATCAGTCAATCAGTCAATAAGTAGTCCATCCACCTCTTTATTCTGAATCATCAATATTAGTCTATCTACGTCTTTATTCTGATTCATCAATCCACTTTGTTTGTATGGTGATATTTTAAGAATTCTGGCACTAAAATAATTGCTGTATCTGTTTTTCTTTTTAAAAAACCACAGCAATATTGAAGTATAATTGACATAAAATAAACTGCACAGATTTGAAATGTACAATTTGATACATTTTGATATGTGTATACTGTGGGGAAACCATCACATAATCAAGATAATGAACATCTCCATTACTCTACATGTTGCCTTGTGTCCTTTGCAGCCAATCCTTCCCTCTAGACCACCACTGATCTGCTTTCTGTCACTATTTATTAGTTTGTCTTTCCTAGAATTTTATGTAAGTGGGATTATACAGTATGTACTCATATTTGTTTGGCTTCTTTCACCCTCATTATTTTGAGATGAATCCATGTTGTAGTGTGTATCAAGAGTTCATTCTTGTTCTGTTGAGAAATATCCCATTGTATGAATATAGCTGTTTGTTTAACCATTTACCTGTTGATGGATATTTGGGTAGTCTCCAGTTTGGGGCTATTACCAATAAGGCTTCTACAAACGTTCATGTAAAAGACTTGGTATGGACAAATATTTTCCTTTCTCTTGGGCAAATATCGAGGAAAAGAATGGTTGGACCATATGGTAGTTAGATGTTTAACTTTTCTATTTTTTGTTTTTTGAGATGGAGTTTCATTCTTGTTGCCCAGGCTGGAGTGCAATGGCGCGATATCGGCTCACCGCAACCTACGCCTCCCGGGTTTAAGCAATTCTCCTGCCTTAGCCTCCCAAATAGCTGGGATTACAGGCATGTGCCACGATGCCCAGGCTAATTTTGTATTTTTAGTAGAGACGGGGTTTCTCCATGTTAGTCAGGCTGGTCTTGAACTCCTGACCTCAGGTGATCCTTCCGCCTTGGCCTCCCAAAGTGCTGGGATTACAGGCGTGAGCCACCACACCCAGCCTGATGTTTAACTTTTTAAGAAACCACTAAGCTGCTTTCTAAAGTAGTCATACCATTGTAGATTTCCACCAGCAGTTGTATGGGACTCCTAGCTTTTTCACATCTTTTCCAACACTTGGTGTGATCAGTCATCTTAGTTTTAGTCAAGCAAACATGTATGTAGAAGTATCTTCTTGTAGTTGTAATCATCATTTCCTTAATGACTAATGATGTTGGGCACCTTCTTTGTGCTTATTTCCCACCCATGTATCTTTTTATTTATTGGGTTTTCTTATTATTGACTTTCAAGAGCTCCTTATATATTTTGGATACAAGTTCTTTATCTGGCATATGGTTTGTAAATATTTTCTCAGATTGTGGCTTATCGTTTCATTTTCCTAACAGTGTCTTTTGATGAGTAGACATTTAAAATTTTTATGAAGTCCTGTTTATCAATTTGTTTATTGCTGCATACTTTTAGAGGAGTAGGAAATCTTTGCATACCCCAATGTCAAAAAGGTTTTCTCTTATGTTTTCTTCTAGAAGTTTTAGAGTTCTAGGTTTTAATTTAGAACTATATGTTTCACCATCTCTGAGCCCAAGACTTCCTGGAAGTCACAGCCAATGTGATAAGATAAATAAAATCAATGAAATATAAAAAATTAATAAATCCAGGGCTATACTGTTCAAGGTATACATTAAAGTTAATATTTTTGGATGTAGATATCCAGTTGTTCCAGTACCATTTAAAATAGAGACATCCTTTGCCCAGCTAATTGCCTTTGCACCTTGTAAAAAATCAATTGCTTGTATCTTGATTATTGGAATTTTATTATAAGTCTTGAAATCTGGGAGTGTTAGCTCTCCAGCCTTATTCTTTTTAAAAGTTGTATTAGCTAATTTAGGTCCTTTGCATTTCCTTATAGCTTTTAAAATGAGATTGTTCAATTTCTATTAAAGAAACCACACTAGGATTTTGATATGGGAGAACTGACAGCTTAATCATATTGAAGCTTCTGACCCATGAACACAGTATAGTATATCTTCCCATTCATTTAGGTCTTTAAGTTGTGCAGCAATGTTTTACACATGTTAGGGTACACATCTTTTATATCTTTGTCAGATTTGTTCCTATGTATTTCCTATTTTGAAATTAAATTTTAAAATTTCAATTTCCAGCATTATTTCCCCCAGCTTTATTAAGGTCTAATTGACAAATAAAATAGTGTATATTTATAGTAATGTTTGGATATATGTATGGATTGCAAACTGATTAAATCAAGCTACTTCACATGTCCATCAGCTCACATCCTTATTATTTTTGGTAGTGAGAATATTTAAGATTGACTTTCTTAGTGATTTTAAGTATACAGTATGTTATTATTAACTATAGTAGTCATGTTGTACAATAGATGTTCAGTGCTTATTCCTACTGTTGAGCTGATATCTTGTAGACTTTAACCAACATCTCCTCATCCTCCCCCCTTTTGCCCCCAGTCCCAGGCAACCATCATTCTATTGTTCTCTGCTTCTGTGAATTTGACTTCTTAAGATACCACCTATAAGTGAGATCACGCAGCATTTGTCTTTTGTGCCTGGTGTATTTCACTAAGCATAATATCCTCCAGGTTCATTCATGTTGTTGCAAATTACAGGATTTTCTTTTTTTTTTTAAGGCTGGACACTATTCCATTGTACATATATACCACATTTTCTTCATTCATCAGTTGATGGATATTTATGTTAATTGTATATCATGACTATTGTGAATAATGCTGCTACGAATATGGGAGTATAGACATCTCTTTGAGATATTGATTTCGTTTCTTTTGGATGTATACCCATAGCGGAATATGGAATTGCTGGATCATGTGGTAGTTCTGTATTTAATTTGGATTAGTAGTATGTAATGTGTGAAGAATCCCCATGCTGTTTCTCATAATGGCTGCACTAATGTACATTTTCACCAATAGCATACAGGGGCTTCATTTTCTCCACATCTTCACCAACAGTTACTTTTTTGTCTTTTTGATACTAGCTATTCTAACAGGTGTGAGGTGATAGCTCATTGTGGCTTTGATTTGAATTTCCCTGATGATAAGCCATAAAGAGCATATTTTAATATACTGTTGAACATTTGCATCTCATCTTCTGGGGAATATCTATTCAGGTGCTTTGCGTCTTTTTAAAATTCAGTTGATTTCTTACTATTGAGCTGTTTCACTTCCTTATAAATATGGAATATTAGCCCCTTATCAGATACATTGTTTGCAGATATTTTCTCCCATTCTGTTGGTTTTCTGTCCACTCAGTTGGTTGTTGCCTTTGCTTTGCAGAAGCTGTGTAGTTGATATAATCTTATGTGTCTATTTTTATTTATGTTGCCTGTGCTTTTGGGTTCAAATCCCTCCTCCCCCCAAAAAAGTTGCCAAAACCAGTATCAAGAAGCCTTTCCCCTATGTTTTCTGCTGAAAGTTTTACAGCTTATGTCTTAGGTGTTTTTATTTGAATTAGATTTTATATATGGTGTGAAATAAGGGTGAAATTTCATTCTTCTGCATATGGATATACAGTTTTCCCAACACTACTTATTAAAGAGACTGTCCTTTCCCCATTATATGTTCTTGGGAACTTGGCCAAAGATCAATTAACTGTAAATAGGTGAATTTATTTCTAGGCTTTCTGTTTTGTTCCATTGGGCTACATGTCTGTTTTTATACCAATATCATACTGTTTTGATTAATATACCTTTTCAGTATATTTTGAAATGAGGGATTGCACTGAATCCGTGGATTGCTTTGGGGCACTTTAAAAATACTAATTCTTCAAATCCATGAACATAGATATACTGCCATTTACTTGTGCTGTCTTCAGTTTCTTTCATCAGTGTTTTATAAGTTTTAGCATACAGATCTTTCACTGTCTTGATTAAATTTATCTCTAAGTATTCTATATTTGATTCTATCATAAATGGTATTTTCTTGATTAGTTTTTCAGATAATTCATTGTTAGTATAAAGAAATGAGAATTTTTGTAGGTTAAATTTATATTCTGCAACTTTACCAAATTTGTTTATTAGTTCCAGCATTTTTTGGTGGAGTCTTTATAATCATGTCCTCTGCAAATAATAGCGATTTCACTTCTTCCTTTCCAATTTGGATGCGCTTTTATTTCTTTTTCTTGCCTGATTGCTCGGGCTAAGACTTCCAGTACTATATTAAATAGACTTTGGGAAAGTAGGCATGTTTGTTCCTGATCTTAAAAGAAAAACTCTCAGCTTTTTCTCCAATGAGTATAATATCAGCTGTGGGCTTATTGTATATGGCCTTTATTGTGTTGAATAAACTGTAACTAATCTGTTGAGAATTTTTTATCATGAAATAATACTTGTCAAATGATTTTCCTGCATATACTGATATGATCATATGGTTTTTATACTTCAGTCTTTTAATGTGACATATCACATTTCTTGATTTGTATATGTTGAACCATTCTTGCATCCTAGGAATAAATTCCACTTGATCATGGTGTATGATCTCTTAAGGTGTTGTTGAATTTTGTTTACTAGTATTTTGTTGAGGATTTTTGCTGCCTTTGTAAAATAAGTGTGAAAGTGTTCTTGCTATCTAATTTTTGGAAGAGTTTGAGAAGGCTTGGCATTAATCTTCTGTAAATGTTTGGTAAAAATCACCAGTGAAGTCATCAGGCCATGGGATTTTCTGTGTTGGGAGTTTTTAATTACTGACTCAATCTCTTTGCTCATTATTGGCAAGATTAGATTTTTAATTTCTTACAATTTTAGTAGGTTGTATGTTTCTAAGAATTCAGCTTTTTATTGATGGTATATAGAAATACAATTGAGTTTTGTACATTATGTCCTGCAACTTTATTAACCTCATTTTTAGTTGTAGCACTTTTTTTGTGAATTTCACCAGATTTTCTATGTAGAAGATCATGTCCCATATTAATAAACCTATTTTTCACTGTTTGTTTTTCAACTGGATGACGTTTTTGTCTTTTGCTTTCCTTATTGCATTGGCTACAGTATCCAGTACAATGCTGAATTTAAGTGGTCAGAGTAGATATCTTTTCTTATCAAAGGGAGAAAAAATGTGGTCTTTTACCATTAAGTGTGATACTATAGACTACTCATGCATACTCTTAAGCAGGTTGAGAAAGCTGGGGCAATTTGTTTCCCATCTCTTTTGGATCACTGTCCTTCATTGACTGATATCCAGTGTCTTGCAAACCATTGTTTCATATGTCTGTTCTTCGGTTGTTTTTGGAAGGAGGATAAATCAGGTAATTTTTTACTCCACCTTGCCTGGAAATGGAAGTTCCAAGGTCTACTCTAAATATTTTTTAAGTAAAAATAGAAGACTTTAAACTCTTATAGCATCCACATGATTGATTAGTTTATTTTACTATGTAGAGAAAGTTTTGTTCCTCATGACAAAATAACATGAAGGCACATATCTGGTTGATATTATAATCTTGGACTGAATGATTGATTGGGTCATTCAATAACTATTTGTTATATGCCTACTACATAACAGTGCCAGGTAGACTTCCAGGCCCTGGAGATTTGTCTATAGACAAAGAAGGTAGGTTTCTGCTAGAGTGGAGCTTTCACTCTGGTGCAGGACAGAGTAGATTATTACACAAGCAAACACATAGGTAAGATAATTTCAGATAGTGAAGACCATTTTGAATCTAGCTTTGTTTTAGAGACAATGACTGGGAAAAGGAAATACTTTAGAACAGTCATCTGAGGAGTCCTCTATGAAGAGCTGACATTTGAGCTGAGACCTAAATGATGAGAAAGAACCAGTTACCCCAAGTTTTGAGAGAAGAACATTCCACATGTCAAAATAGATAAAGACCAAAAGGATTTAAGCCGGATAAAGGATTTAAAGATAGAAATACTCCCCTCACAAACAAAGAATAAGAGCCTAATAAGAAGGGACTGCAAATTAATATAAGAACCATGCTATAGATTATTTATAACAATATTCTCAGGGTAATCATGAATAAAGCATTCTCACAGAGCTTTACAGGTTGTTCCAGCAGACACTGGTCTGCCACCTGGAAGGAGCTTGAACATAGCCCTAGATTTAGGTGTGTGCAGTAATGTACTAGGGCTGGCCTGGGTGGGCTCTCCAGAGCCAGCTGTGGGCATCTTTTCTTAACTCACATTCAATGATGTCACCCTCATAACTTGACATCAACCATAGTGGGAGTATCTACACCACAAAAACGGCAAATTTTACAAATGGGGCTTTTATCCCACAGAAATCTCATTGTTAAACACTTATTAGCACACCACTCTATAACAACATTTATCAGCGCAGCAGTACATAATCAGTACTCTCTATATAATTATTAATATATATTAATATTTTCATATAGATCACAGTCTATAGCCTCTAAGAGTAAGCCAGAACATAATTTTATATATAATAACATAATTGTATACCTAAGAAAGAAGAAAGTGATGCCAATTATAATTTTGAGATTCCATGGAAAGAGGTAACATCATACTTTCAGCTATGCTAAAAATGTGAAAAACCTGAACTTCGGAATTGAAGAAATACAGCATAACTTAAGCTCATTATATAGAAAATGCTGTATAGTTTATTTTATGCATTGGTCATTCACATAAAATGCCTAGCTCTCATTACAAGTCCAAAATTTTAAAAAATCAACAACAATACAGTTTTTAGAGTTTAACAAAAGTATGTGAGCTTAATAAGCCCAATTCATAATGTAAGTCAAGATTTTGGGACCTTATATGGACAAATTAAAAAACAGCCTCCCTTTCACCTACTATCGCATGGGGCTTGCTGCTTTTTCTTGATGTATTATTTATTTGTCTGTTTTTCCCAAATAGACACTAGCATGCTTGAGGGCAGAATTCCTCCATATCTTATTTTTCTTTATATTCTCAGTGTTGAGATAGTTGCCCAGCTCACTGTAAGTGATCAAGAAATGTCAAGTAAAATAAAAATAATTAAAAAATCAATGTATTTACTTATCTATCTCATCTATCTGTCTGTCTATCAATCAATCAATCATGACCCCTAACCAAGGCATATTCATGTTTGGGTATAACATTACACACACAGATGGTAGCATGAAGGTTCTACTTTTACAGATCTTTCACTATGACTTATCAGTCAGATACATTGTTCAATAACCTCTTTTCTCTGGACAGTCTCACCAAAGAGTCCAGTACACAGTGCTGGTCATGTAACCCAATTGGTAGGGTCAGAAGTTTCTGACAAGTTAGTTGAATATAAACTTAATAAAAACCCGATTGTATTGACCGCATCACTGGCCTGCTGTGATGGCATTCGGACATTCTGACATGAGTAGATTTGTCCTTCCTTGCTCTCAAGGACTGGATGCAGGTGAAAGTCTCCAGTGAGCCTCTGTATCCCCAGTTGCCTAACAAGCTATGAGAAAGAGTCTTAGGGTAGCTCTTCTCAGACACTCTGGTTCAATATAAAAGAAACTGACCATTACTACCAGGTACCAGCCAAGCACATCACTTTGAATAGATCCATTTGGACAAGGTGGCTGCTTTCCTTTTCTTTTTTCTAGAAGCTGAAAATATCCCCTGATAGCTTAACAGAGAATAACATATTGTCCTCGTGTATTTACACAGAGGAGAAGATTTTCCTCATTGTACTTGCAATTTCGTCTTGTGTGATGACCTCCATTTTCATAATCCTTCATGGAGTATCATGATTTAAAAAGCTTTCTCTCCCTGCTGTTTCTGTTAAAAGGTTTTCTGGTGCAATTCCTGAAAAGTCAAATTCTGCATTTAAATGTTGTATTTTCACAGATATAATATAAAAGAGGCCATACTTCTGCGTATTTTTCTTCCTGGGAGAGCAGCAAGCAATTCCACCCTTCTGCATATATTGTTAACCAAGCTGTAAGAGTGTACAGCAGCTTTAATAGCAAAGCAATTGTGATTACATCTTGCTTGTAATTACATTTATTTGCTCACATATGTCCAAAAAAGCAAGCATTAGTCAGACTGTATGGGTATGTGTTTGTGCAAGGAAAATCATCCAGTGGGTTGACAGTGAGGAAAATAGCTTTTAGCCTCTTAGGTTTCTCCTATCACGGACACTCCCAAAGACTGTCAGAGCTTACTTAGTTTTTGCTTCCTTGCTTCTAAAATCGATTGCATTTGGAAAGCAGGGTGATTTATTATGAGTGATGGATTTGCATCAAAATAATCAAAATATTAGGAGGTGCATATAACAAGATACATGTCTGTGATCCCAAAGAGAAAAGAGTTAAGAAATACCATGGTTCAAAGCAGCTTTAGAAATGGCAGTTGTCCCATCCAAGGAAAGGATGTATGCTGCTTCCCAGGGAATGTAGAGGAAAATAGGAGGGTTAGGCATGAGAAAGAATTTTAGATCTGCATTTTTGAACTGTCCCTAAGGAAATGGGACAGTGATGGAAATAGCACTGGCTTTTTGTGAGGTGGATGGGTTTGGATCCTGGCTGGGCCATTTATAACTCAAAGGAGTTTGGAGAAGTTACTTTACTCCTCTGTACCTTCATTTTATTTTTCTTTCTTTTTTTTGAGATGGAGATTTGCTTTTGTCACCCAGGTTGGAGTGCAGTGGCACCATCTCAGCTCACTGCAACCTCTGCCTCCTGGGTTCAAGCAGTTCTCCTGCCTCAGCCTGCCGTGTATCTGGGATTACAGGCACATGCCACCACACCCGGCTAATTTTGTATTTTTAGTAGAGGTGGGGTCTCACCATGTTAGTCAGGCTGGTCTCAAACTCCCGACCTCAGGTGATCTGCCCGCCTTGGCCTCCCAAAGTGCTGGGATTACAGACGTGAACAACTGTGCCTGGCCTGTGCCTTCATTTTGTTATTACTAGAATGGAGGTAGCAATGCCAAGCTTACTGGGCCGTTTTTAAATTTATTACTCATGAGATTATACAAACTCCTCACAAGCAGCCACTGAAACTGGGCTGCTGCGGTATCCTCAGAACCTGGAGTAATTCCTGGAACATCATACTCAGTGAGGATTTCTTTTTAAGTAAATGAATGTAAATTACTTGATATGCACACGACTCAGACCATTGCACTGTATTATTTTCCTATTGCTGCTGTAATAAATGAGCACAAACTTCGTTATGTAAAAACACAAATCGCTTCTTTCTGGAGGTCACAAATCCTAAAATTAAGGTATTGTCAGGGTTGCAATCTTCCAGAGGATCTAGGAGAGAATCATTTTTTTTTTTTTTGGCTTTTCCAGCTTCTAGAAGCCATCTGCACTCCTTGACTCATGGCCCCCTCTTTCATCTTCAAAGCCAGCAGCAGAGCATCTTCAAGCCTCCCTCTAAATCGTATTCTCCTGTCTCCCTCTTGTAAGGATCCTTGTGATTATATTGAATACACTGAGTAATCTGGGGGAATCTCCCAATCACAAGATCCTTAATGTAATCACATCTGCAAAGCTCCCCCTTTTGCCACACAAGGTAGCATATTCACAGGTTCTTGGAATTAGAATGTGGGCATCCTTGGAGCATCATTATGTCTACCCCCAAGTATCTACTGTGGAGTAAAACCTGCCTATTTATTATCACCATTTCATTTTATTGCCTGTTGAAAGCTCCTATTGAAGACTTTCCTAAGAAGCAATGGGCCAAACTTCCAGATTCCCTTTTCATTTCCATGGCAATGGTCCAAGGATGCCAGACACCAACCATGACCTTTCAGGGCTTAATTGACAGTGATTCATCTCACTTGCATTTGGACTCAGGAGGGCCTTTTGTTGGGTTGAAGAAGTTTTCAGCAACCAACAGAGGCATGGGACTCCATCAATATTTGTGGATTAAATAAGTAAATGAATATTCAGAAGGTAACAGCCTACTTTCGAGGGTCATTTTTGAAGACAAGAAATGTCTTGTAGAAAATTATTTGTAATTGACAAAAGAGCAACATATTTCAGTAAGCATATACTGCCAGGGACTCACTTATTTAAAAAAATGTGGTGGCTCATATGCCTTTCTTCCCTTGGGCTGAAACATTTTCAAACACAGTGGTTGAGTCCTTAGTGCCTGAAGCTTGTTGGTGCCCACCAAATACTTGTGAAATACAAGTGAGTTATGTAAATCATCAAATAATTCATGGAAAAGCCAAGATCTCGTAGAAGCTTTAGGCTGGCAAAAACTTAAAGGTCCACTAAATTCAGTCTTTCAGCTAGTAGCTAGAGTTTTTCTGGCTATGCAGTTTAAAAATAATCTATTAAATTTCTTCTATGATGACACTAGAATAAATGAGGTTTCTATATTTGGCAAATTTGGTGGGAAGTTCTTTATTGCACTGAACCAAAATGATCTCTCTATACCATCTGTGCACCCAGGTCTGGTCTTCTCTGTCTCACATGTCACTCCCCTTGAGACTGGCTCCCTTTTCTTTGTACTCTGGTATATCTCACATCTCTCCTATAGCTTCTATAATGTCAGATTTCAAGGGGCTATTTTTGCATCTCTACCACTAGACTATAAATTTCCTAAAAGCAGATTTGTTTTGTCTTTGAATTCTCAGAGCCGAGCAGAGTGCAAGATCTATAGCACAGGCAGAGTCCACTTTGGTTGAATGAATGCTACAGGTAATTAAGCATAATGGAACAAGCCCAAGACATTTAGTAAAGAGAATTGGGTTTGAGGTTTGATCATGCTACTTCTGAACTGTGTGAATTGGGCAAGGCAGTTCTCCTCTCCCAATCACAGATTCCTCTGATTTTATGGCAACCACACAGGGTTGTTTTGAGGATTAAATGCGTGAATTATGGGAATGTATTATGCAAATGGGAAGGGTTGTCTCAGTGTCCTTGAAGCCACATAGAATAGATCTAATCCTTTTCTATTTGGCAGCCCTTCAAATATTCAAGGGAAGAGATCTCACACTCCATATCCCAAGCTGACAATATATATATATAATAACTAACTGTGAGGTGTCCAGAATTAAAGTTCTGAGTTTCAAATATCTACTGTGCCACATATTAGCTCTGTGACCTTGGGAAAGGTACTTAACTTCTTCATGCCTCAGTTTCCCCATCTGTCAAAAGTGAAATAAAAATAAGGCCTATTTCAACAAGTCAGTGTGAGGACTGGATAAGATATTGCATGTCAAAGCTTAGGACAGTGCCTAGCACATAGTAGGCAATCAATTATTATTATTATGCTTTTCCCTCAGCCTTGATGTACCTAGTTTCTTCTACAATTCTATGAACCTTTGTTTTCAGTCATTACTCTTTAAGAATAGTAAATAATTTTTTTTATCTTGTAAATACTTCAACCACATTTGATGTCCAATGGCTGCCTTGCGCTTTGGGTTGGGAAGGATTCTGAGGTTCTGTGTGGGTTTAACAGGAAAGAATGTGAAAATAGACTACTGGTATTTTGCAATGATAGAGAAACAGTAACACTCATGTCCCAAATATGCTGATCTCATTTGTTTGCAATTCTGAGTAAACTGGCTTTTTTTTTTTTTAATTGCCTATGGCAGCCTGTATGCCACGCTAAATTTCCTAAAGGTCAGTTTGAAAAACATGAGAGGTAAGAAGTTCCCTGACTTGTGGCTCCTTCCTCCTGTTAAATGCCAGGCACTCTTTTAGATGTTGTTGCTACAGTGCTCTTTTTGGTATTGTTCATACAGAGGAGAACAAGTTCATGTGGGGCAAGAGGGAATTAACTAAAGAAATACATTGGAAGCTAATTGTAAAGACTGGTAAGTACCAAGTGAAAAACAGAATGAGAGACTTGGACAGCACCTGGGGAGCAGGGATGGGATGTGTAATTTAGATTGAACAGTTTGGAAGGACTTCTTGAGTAGTGACATTTGAGCTGAGATTTGAGTGGGAAGGATTCAGTTTTGTATTGGCTGCTGTAACAAATAACGTTGTTATTTTGATGGCTTAAAACATGATGGCTTAAAACAACACAAATTTATTTTCTTATGGTGCTGTTGGTCAGACACAGGTCTCACTAGGTCCAAATCAAGATGTTATCAGGGCCATGATTTTTTATGGAGGCTCTAGGGGAGAATTCATTTCCTTGCCTATTTGAACTTCTGGTGGCCACCCACCGTCCTTGGTTTGTGGCCCCTTCCTCCATGCTTAAACCCAGCAATGGTGGGCTATCTATCTTCCTGACTCTTCTTCCTCTCATGTCCACTTTTAAGGGGTCTTATAACTACATTAAACCCGCTTGAACAAATGAAGCTAATCTCCTTATCTTCAGGTCTTTATCTCATTCATATTTGCAAAGTCTCTTTTTCTTCGTGAAGTAGTATCTTCCAAGGTTCTGGGAATCAGGACATGGACATCTTTGGGGACCATTATTTTGTGCACCACACAGTTATAAGGATATATGGGGCAGAGCTCACCAGGTAAAGACACCAGGAAGAGCAAGGGCTCTTGGCACGTTTAAAAGAAAGAAAGACCAACGTTTCAGTAGCCTTGTAAGCAAAGAGGGTGGCAAAAGAAGTCATGTTGGTTACCATTTACTGAGGAATTACTATGTGTCTGTCACTTGGTAAGCACTTTTTATATATTATTTCATAGATTCTCATGGCAACCCTATGACAAAGGCAGTATTATTCTCTTCCTTCTACCCGATGAGAAAATGGTAGCTCAGAAGCTAAGATATGTCTTTAAGATCACAGAACTAATATCTTATGAAGGTAGAATATGAATCCAAACACTCTATGGGTGTTTATTCTTGACCACAATACTCTTCTGCTCCCCATACCTGTAATGAATGTGCTTGGAAGTAGATCTCAGTGGAAACTTAGAGGGGGTGGTCCATGGTTATTGGTGAGCCTGGTTCCTACCTTGGCTTTGGTCTTCAGTGTGCTTTGAAAACTTTCTTACTGGTTTCGAGCTCCAGGCAGGGACATTTTCCTGAGAAACAACAATGAATTGAGAAAGAGAAAAGTAGCTGCTAACAGCTAAGTGCTGATCTAACATGAAAAACTGGCCGTTTGTAATTCTGGGAACTGGCTTGACACTCAGAGCAGGCCTGGTGTTCTTCTGTTGCACATGAAAACTTTTATGGAACACCAATGTCACAATGTCTGTGTGACCATGACAGAGCCAGGCAAAAACAAGACCACTCTGTAATCATGTCTCAGTACAGACAAAACATGAGTGTTGTTCAAAAATACAACATAAAGTACCAATCCTCAAAATACCAACCGTCCCTCTTTCCCAGATAATATGGTGACTGCAGCTTCCTTGCCAATCACAGCTGAAACCTCACAGTTGTCTGTCCCCCCATAGATCAGATATGCTAAGATACACAATCATAGAATTGCGTCCATTTACTCACAGTGCCCAATTGAGAGCAAACTTCCACTTTTTTGAATCTACTTCAAAATCACCTCACACAAGCCCAATTCCTGTAAGTTCTTTCTAGCACCTTGTTACTGAGACAATACATGGCTCCCTTTGGTGTGGTTTTCTCAAATTCCAACAAGCCAATAAACTTAACTTTGTTTTACAGGTGTGTTTCTGGGTGTCCATCTGGCGGGTATTGTCAATCAAGAAACACTAATGCATGTAACAGCACCCACATCCCTAATATTCTTCTCTGTGTTGTTGGGAGCTCTTCCAGGTTCGGTGCGGTCCTATTGTGAAAAAGGCACAGAATGCAATCTGGTGACAAACTGCAAGGAACAGAGTGCTCAGAGCACAGGAGAATATGCAGGGGGACAGAATTTAGGGTTCAGTTCACAAGTCTACACGGGTGACCTCAGGCAAGTTGTTTAATCTCAGCCTCTGTTTTAGCATCATTAAAATTAGCATAATGATAATTTACAGAAATGTAAACATTAAATGAGGTAATCCATGGAAAGAACTTAGCACAAAGCCTGCCACATAGTAAGAATAAGATAAATGCTGGCTGTTTATTACAAATACTTACTGCAGAAAAAAAGAGATTTGCTAGAGACGGCATAGTCAGGAGTGCCCAGCTGGAGAAAGAAGGGCTTAAGAAGAGACACGTAGAGAACAGGGAAGCCAATACAAACAGAGGAGGCACTGCAGGCTCCCAGAACAGCATTGGACGTCCTCAGTGATTGAAAGAGACAGAGAGCCATTCCTCTGAACCATTCTCTAGCCAAGTCACTGGGAGTGTTCAACCTTTCTACAAGCATGACCAATTCAACAGATTATGTTTCAAACTTTATCATAATAATCAAGCATCCGAGTCTTTGGAAAAGGAAAAATGTCCTAAATAATAAGATTATTTTGGACTGAAGTGGTTTAGTGAAAGCATACAAAAAAATGCAACATGGTTTGGGACTGAGAAACACTTGAATTCTTATCTTGGCTCTTCCTTTGTGACATCGAGCAACTCACTTTCCATTCCTGCAACTTCCCGAATTCTCTGGCAAAAAGGGATGGATACCTGCAATTCAATACTGTTGAATTTTTGAAGGAGAGAGTTTAGCATATTGGATATATAAAAGTATGGTATTTGTGACGGCGATGATGATGGTAGCCCTGGTGGTGATGATGGTCTTGGTGTTGGTATTGGTGGTGGTGATGATGATAGTGGTAGTGGCGGGACAGTGATGGTGATGGTAGTGGTGGTATCTCTGGTGGTAATGATGATGATGATGGTGATTGTATGGTTGGTGGTAGTGATGGTGGTGGTGGTGATGTTGGTAGTTATGAGATGGTAATGGTGAAGGTGGTGGTAGCACGGATGTAGTGATGGTGATGGCATTGGCAGTAGTGATGATAATGGTGGTACTGGTGATTATGGTGGTGCTGTGGTGGTGATGGTCATAGTGGTGGTAGCCCTGGTGGTGGTGATGGTAGTAGTCATAGACCTGGGGGAGATGACTGTGATGGTAGTGATGATGGTGGACTTACCCTACACTTTAAAGTATGAACTGAACTATTATCTTCATTCAACTGAAAGTTGTCAAGTTGATAATTTTCTATTCTTTAAACTTCATCTCCCACTAACCTGTGTTACCCACACATATCACAGATGGAGGCAGCAAGAAAGAAAAGAAGGTCTGCAATAAAGAGAGATAGCAAGGGCTGCAGCCTCAGTCCTTCCTTTTTATTTCTTTTTAAATTTATTTTTAACTGTGAGTATCTATTAGCAGTATATATTTAAGAGCCCAGGTGATGCTATTTTTGGCATTGATACCAGTATCTTCTGGCCATTTCTGAGACCTAAGCTCAGACACTGTTTCTCATCCTCTTGGAGACACCCTGTTACTTCTGAGTGGAGCATTTTCTTATTTCTGAATCTTTTAAAAGCGTCATTATACCTTTATTAGCTCTACTTTCCCCCTTACTTCCCTCTACCCTCAGGCTGCACTTCAAGTGTTCCAGGGAGAGAGCCCCTTCTTTTACCATGGAAAAACTCTGGACAAAACCCATTCTTGCAGCACCTGAAATTGCAACGTCAACTTCAGCGTGAGATGAACGAGAATTCCTGCGAATCACACTGCTTATGAGTGGTAAACCTTGACTTTATTCATGCGATGCTGAAGCAAGCCACATGCTGCGATCTGTCCTGTAACTTTTTTCCTCCTCCAGAATATAATAAATTAAACATAGTATGAAATGCAAAAAGGTTACACTGAGACATACACTATTTGAAGGTTTAATTCATTTTTCTAGTTTATAAGACACAAGGCTATTAAATTTTTAAAGCAGTGATCTTCTAAACTCTCTACTTTATGAGGGCTTTCTTCATAAAGATAAATGGTTTCCTTGCCAAATCAAATGCAGATTTGAAACAAATTAAGTTAATGTTCAATGGTACAAGGTAGAATGGATGGGGGAGCTGTTTTATTTTGCATTGTAATAACCATATACACCTAAATCAATAGCTGTGGAAAAAAGGCAATAATATCACGTAACTGCAGGAAATGAAATATAGTGGTTGGGTCGGGGGGGGAACAGGCTGCAAAAAGAAAGGGTTTGTATTGGAATAATGACATTTCATTAAACAGGGAAGGAGTGGTATTGAAGAGAAGTCCATAGCAGTAAATTCTATTTCTTATAATAACACTTGAGACAAGTTAAAGTTGGCTGGGTATTGTGATAAAGGATAATGCCGCCGTCCTTTTGTGCATTGTGCTATAATTTTATGTTTAAAGAAAACCTGAGACATTAAAGAGGCAGCACGTGTTTTCTCAGTGTGTCCTTATTCTTCTAATCTTTTGCTTAATTTGGTACAAGATCTTATAATCTGTCTGAAAGCCATTACTTGGATAAGGAAGGCAGTCCTAGGTTTAAAAAAGTGCATTTGAGTGAAGGTCAATCGGCATTCGTATTCTTTTCAAATTTTTTTGTTGTTGTTGAAGGGGCAAGGCAGAAACAAAAGGATTTGCTATTAATGAAAGGGCTCTTTCAACAGTTATCAGAGAAAAAATAATTCCTGAGTTGATATTTTTCAATATATACGTATCTACCTATCTATATTCTACAGAATATCTACATAAGAGATGTTATAGGAAGCTGAACAGAGTGGCCTTCACAGGTGTAGGGGCCTGACTCAGGTTCCTCATTGTCTAAAAACCACTTTGATTAAACTTTCTTCTCAAGCTGCCTCTAAAAGTGGTTGCACAAGAAGAGAAGAGAATGATTCCAACATTCTCTTCCTCTAGGCACAGCCCCAAATGGGCACAACTTATTTGAAATCAGCCTTCAGGTTCTGAAAGCTGGAGGACATCTGTATGTTTCTCTCTCTCTGGACCTCTTTCTGTTCTCTTCGTTGGAAGGAACAGAAACACTTTTTCAACCTGGCACCTATGTGCCCCCCACCCCAACTTCCCAAAGATGGGCCTACAGGGGTGCTTGTAGGAAAAGCAAGATACTAGAGGGGCCACCTCCTCTAGGAAGCCTTCTTTGCCGTCTCCAGTTAGATGAACTGTTAGTCTCCATTTATAGTGCTGCTTGGAAGTGGGAAGACTGTACTATGCATTTTACTATATTATCCCAAATAGTGGGACATGTGGTGCCTGCAAAATGGGAAACAGATACCACAGAGGTGAAGCTTATGGGCTCTAGAAGACTAACCACTGAAGGACAAAATAGTGTCTGTGACCTTCAGTAGCTCTGCAATCTTGGGAAATTGGCTTAAACTCTGTTCCTTAGTCTTGTCATCTGTAAAATCGTACCTATCCCTCCGGGTTGTTGTAAGGCTTAGGTGAGAAAATGCATGGAAAGAATTAGCACAATGTCCAGCATGCAGAATATGTGACAGTTGTTATTGGCATTGGTATTGTTATCTTCATTATTAAGAACCCTATGAATCATGGTTCTCCCTCATTTATTTATTTATATTTATTTTTTGAGACAGAGTCTCGCTCTGTAGCCCAGGCTGGAGTGCAGTGGCGTGGTCTCGGCTCACTGCAACCTCTGCTTCCCAGGTCCCTGTTCAAGCAGTTTTCCTGCCTCAGCCTCCCAAGTAGCTGGCATTATAGGCACGTGCCACCATGCCCAACTAATTTTTGTATTATTAGTAGAGACAGAGTTTCACTATGTTGGCCAAGCTGGTCTGCAACTCCTGACCTTGTGATCTGCTCGCCTTGGCCTCCAAAAGTTCTGGAATTACAGGCGTAAGCCACCGCGCCCAGCCTCTCCCCCATTTATATTTGAGAAACTTGAAGCTCAGCAGAGCGAACAGCACATAGAAGGCACTCAACAAAACGTCCTTCCTTCTCTTTATCCCGTCCACTTTCTCCAGTGTGATCACAATGCTGTGGGGATACTTTTATGTGCAGAAGAGATCTCTCCCCCAGGTTGATGACTAAAAAGGGTTGCACTCTGGAATAGAAAAGGAGTGTCAGGTTTGTTTGTTTAATACATAAATCTGTAAATAATACCTCAGGTGTCTCCACCCGAGACAGGTGCCTCCATGCTTCTGGGCATCTCAGCCTCCCAAAGTAAGCCCATTTACGAAATGCTGTTTTAATGGCTAGGAAGCATTACACAAACTTTAATAAAAGAGCTCTGAGTAGACAACCGAGGATACAAAGTAAACAGCACATTTAATCACCCACTGAGCACACAGCTCCTGGGATGTAGTTGCATGGTTATTCTGATCCTATATAAGTCACTCCTTACTCTCCTGGTTCTCGAGGATCACTCAAAGCCTCCACCCATGAAAGGACTGGCAGGAGTCATGAGGATCCCAGAAGGGGCACACAATAGGCGTCACACATCAGAAAATGCAGAAGAGGCTGTTCAGCCCAGATCTTGGACTTGAGTCAGGCATGGGTGACTAGCTCGTAAATCAGGCTTAGCACAGGAAAGCCTTGGAGGGCTTGTGGTTTCCAGGCACCTGTCTGTATGCATGCCTCATCTATGGGAACATACCTGTCTTTGCCAATTCCGCAGTAGCATACATGTGGCTAGAGAGGGTGTAAGCATGGTGCATTGTCCCCAGGTACCACAGACCCTTGCTCTCCTGCTGGCTTGATTGGGAGAAAAAACTTTTTCATTTCATCTGTTTATGATGCAGCTGGGGACTGTACTAGGCACGGAGGATGCTCTTAACTCTCTTAGCCTCTATGCCTGCCGAAACTCTTGTCTTCTTAGCCGCCATGTGAATTTAAGTGGTTCAGCATGCGGACTCTCGTCCTCTGTCTGGTTCCTATCAAAAAGGATGGGAGAGTGTTATCTTTTTTGGCAGAATTTAAAACAATGTTCCTTATCTTTTTTCTTAAAAATTTTCCTAAAATTTTAATGAGATGAATATCATAATCATACAAAAATAGTTAAAATGACTTTATGCAAAACTAGCATCTATTCTCAAGTTTTCTGGGTAGTGGAAAAATCCAGGGCTTTGGGACCAAAGGACACTGAGTATGAATATTGATTCAGCAAATTATTAACCTCTCAGTGTGTTCATTAGTAAAATAGGCATTCAGAACATGATGTGAGGCTGTTGTGAGAATGACAAATAAATGATGGGAATGGTATGATCCACGTACGTTGTTCAATAAGATGTCCACGTCATCCTCATTGTGGTAGACCTCCTGGCTGATGTTGTTTCTGCTGTTTTTATTAAGAGGGGAGCTCCATCTATTACAATGATAGCTGTTCTTTGAGGAATTCATAGTCCCAGAAAATTTGCAGTTTAGCACTTCTCTTGAATCAGTAAAATTTCTTAAACATGTGCGGGACTCTGGTATGAACAGAGCCTGATAGTAGTCTCTGTGCTTGTCATGGAGGAGTTCATAATCTTAAATTAGACAACTAGAAATCATAATCGGTATGTCGACTAAAGAACAAGGCTGAACTCATACGACAGATTCTTATTTCCAAAGAAACAGTACAGTTCCCCTGGGATTTGGGTGGTTTGGCTGGGCACTCATACTTAAAGTAGAAATGAAACAGAGTTCATTTAATAGACTTAGTAGAAATAGAGATTTAGTTTCCCATGACTGCTGTAACAAATTACCACGAACTTTGTGGCTTAAAATGACACAAATTTATCTTTCAGTTCTAGAAGTCAGAAGCCCAAACTGGGTCTCACTGGGCTGAAATTAAAGGTGTCTGCAGGTCAGTGTTCCTTCTGGAGGCTCTAGAGGAGAATCCGCTTCCTTGCCTTGTCCATCATCTAGAGGCTACCTGCATTCCTTGGCTCATGGCTCTTCCCTCCATCTTCAAAGCCAGCATTGGTGCCTTTCCCACGCTCTATCCCTCTGACACTGACTCTCCTGTCTCTTTCATTCTTTCTTTATCATCACTTGTGATTGTCTTGGGATGACTCAGCTAATCCAGGTTAAGATCCTTAGTTCAATCACATCCACAAAGTCTTCGTCTTTGCTAGGGGAGGTAACACACTCACAGGTTCCAGGAATTAGGATGTATGCACTTTTGGGGGCCATTATTCTGCCTCCCCTCCCATGGGGCAGACAAGATCTCCCATGAGGGACCTTGAGTGGAGTTTTTCAGAAGTAGAGTGATCCACCAAAGGCTTCAGTAAGTGGAGGTTTCTGGGAAATTTTATAGGAAAGGTTGGAGAAATGTTTTCCATTTTGGCTTATTATTGCAGTTTTTATAAAAGGACATTTCTACTTTAGGTAGGAGATGATCACCATGATGCTAACTGCGTTTCATTGAACATCCTCAATGAGTCACTCATTTTGCACAGTGCCTGACCACATAAACTCACTTTATCTTAGTAGTAACCCAGCAAAGCATTATCTCCATCCTATTCATGGACCTGTAGCTATTATATTGTGCAGTTGAGATTTGAATCTGAGTCTGTCTGGCTTAGAAGTCCAGATTCTTTCCAATAGGGCACACAAGATCCTGGGAAAGGATTATTCACCTTTTCTCTGGACTGGGCTCCTGGTCAAAAAGTCTGTTTCCCAGCCAGATGTGGACAGATGCAAAACCAGGGGCAGGAATGCCTTTTTTGCTTGAGCATCAGCTTTGTGGGGAGGCCTGGGCTGGCAAGAGCTCAGAGACATGGGCTTTCTTCTCACTGCCCTTCAGGATGCAAGCCCATGATGAGGAAAGGATTTCCCCTCCAGCCCGACATCAAAAGGTTCCCGTCAGGGCTCCCAGGGCCAGGATGCTCTTAGCATGGGATATTAACCAAACACACTTCACCCCTGTGTTTGTCAGTGGTGCTTGTGTTTTTGATGCAGCCTCATTCTTTGGACTTAATTAAAACCCAGTTCCCTCTTTTATTCAATTTATGAGGCCTAGCCTGCAGGATTAAGTGATTACAGACAAAAAGCCCCATTTGTGAAACACTCCTAAACTCAAGCTGTTACGCTGCTTACTTGTACTCCATTAAATTAATAAGGAATGAATTGGCTGATCCATTATGAATAAAGCAGTGGGGAGTCTTTGCCCGGTTCATACTTTCCTCTCCCTCCTTGGAGAACATTTGTGTAAAATGATTAGGTTCATATTCATTCAATTGGAATTCTCTAAAAGTGGAATGCATAAATTACTCTAAAGACACAGAGTTTATCTTAAACATTAACTACGAAGGGTGAATTAATAAGACTATTATAAAACCATTAGCATTCAGTGTGTTTACCTACAACTGCAGCATACCTAAACTAAATTCAACCCACAATTGCCATTTGTGTTGGGAGATCAAGCTAGTTTATTTTAGCTCGTAGTTCATTTAAACTCATAACACACCCTTGAAGATTCAGTTTTTCTATTAGCTTTTATTTCAGGGTCTCTCTTAGTTGAAAATGTAACTTTTATTATTTCCTGATTCAGCCATGCACCTCTATCTGACAGTTATTACACCTAAATGTTTCCAAACATTGGTTGTTAACTCTAGAAGATAGGAATCAAGAACTCTAAGGACACGTGGTAAGCTCCAGAGAAGACAATTATTTAAGGACTATGGGGTCACAAACAATTGGAGAGAGGGAGTATTCAAAGATTTTTGGTTGACCAAATGCCCAGGCTGTTTAGAGAGTGTAATATGGCTTTGTACAAGTTAAATGTCAGTTTGATTCAGGGTATTCTAACCTATGCACTCTTGACACACTTTGGGCTAGATTGTTCTTTGTGGTGGGGGCTATCTCATGCATTATACAATGTTTAGCAGCATCCTTGGTTCCAGTCAACACATACTGGTTGCAATACCTCTCCCTCTCCCCTTCCCCAATTGTGACAACAAACATTTCCAAATATTGTCAAGTATCCTGTAGAGATGAGCAGGGGTTGTGATAGGGGGCAAAATAGCCCCCAGTTGAGAACCACTGCCTTAATCTGTTCCAAGAAGAGAGGGAGCATTTAATCTCTCTTCAGAACTTGGTTTTCTGTTTGTAAAATGAAGAAAGATGGTCTCTAAAGGATTCTTAAAACTCTCCAAATATGTGATGACCTAAACCTGCTCAATGACAGTTGCTTTTCTGTCCTTCATCTGGTGGGAATACAATAGCTTAAAAAGATGAATCATTCTGTTCTTTAAACTCAGTCTCCTCTCTTTGCCCCCATCCTCTCCCCTGGTAAGAAATCAGTTTCCTATTGTAGCACTGAGTGGTAAAATAGAAACCATCAGAAGAGGACGTCCATGTGCTTTCACTCTACCTTCCCTCCTGCATCTGCACCCACACACTCTGGCTTCCTCTGGTGAGTGACTTGGAACCAAGTCTGCCTGATTCTCAATTCCACATTGTTACCCAAATGAACTTAGGCCAGAGATGCCTTGCAACAAGGGTGGAATTGTTGCATCTTCCCTGCTAGAATTTCCAGCACACGTGTGTGTGTATGTGTGTGTGTGTGTGTGTGTGTTCTCACAGATGTCCACAACTTGTAAGTGATTCCTGCCTAGTGGTCCCACAGCCATCAGGAGAGAACTCAAATGCCTGAAAAAAATGCCTGAAAATCAAGCTATCTCAACTTTGGAATGGCAAGTTCTTTCACATTTGCAATAACAAAATCCACAATGCGAATACAGTAACATCTTAAAATTCCAATTCCCATACCCTAGGGGACTTCAGAATCAGGTAGCTATGGTTCCAAGTCCTACTAACAAGAAGAAGGTGGGGTACATGGGTGTGGGTGTAAATAGGAGGTCAATTTAAAGCCTGTGGGAATTCCCTTCTGGAGGCCTCTGTTTTCCTGCTTCTGACTAGATTGGAAATTTAATCTATTACCAGGGAATGCCGTCGTTATTCTGCGTACACAGGTTGAGATGAGGTAATGTGTCAAATGACAGGAATGTAGAGAGGGGTGAGAATAGGTATAAGCCCTGATTGCCTGAAACCCAAGCCCTTGACTGTCGACCTCAGCATACTGCTTTCTTATTATCTTCTAACTTCTAAAGTCATTGTAACCCATCAAAAACCCACTGTTCATTGTCAAAATGGAGCACTGGTTAATTAAATGAAATTTAAAATAATCCTTATACCTGTAATTCGGAGCTCTTGCACTGCTTTTTTTTCTTTTTACATTCTTTTATTCTTTATTTAATATTATTTTAAATAGCATAGGAACCACTTTACCATTGGCTGGTTTTTCTCTTTTCTAATTTCTTTCATTCTCCTCTTTAAGTCAACTGCTATCATGCCCTGCACATTATCAGAGTTTTAAGAAGAAGGGGGAAGGAAGCCAGGTAGATGATAATCAGCAGCATGGATCATTCACTGCTGCCTAATTGGTAAAATGTAGTAGTTGGCATCATTTGATATAGAATAATGTGTACATGTTAGCTGCGTGTCTGTGCAACAGGGGCTTTGCAATCAGAGAGGAGAGGGCCAGACTCAAGTGTAACATCTTTCTAGTTGTGTACACTTAGGCGAGTTACCAAAAATTAGTCTCAGCTTCCTCGTCTGTCTAAAAAATTTATAATCTGTGTCCGTCTGCGCCACAGTGAGGATAAAGTGAGACAATATTGTCATTAGAGCATTTACTAAGGTGGCTGCACAACCTTTCAGCATAAAGTAAAGTCAGGGAGAGTGTCTCCTCCTTGAGGCCCCTCAACTCCTTACCCTCAGCCTAGTGGGAAGGATTAACAAATTCTTTCTTGAAAGAACTTACATGTACATATGCAATTGGCAAAAGTCTGACTCTTTGGCCCAATTCCAAGCAAAACTAATCATCAGAAACTTCATGCAGATTTACGATTACTTTTTCTATAACAGGGTTAGGCCCGAGCTGCTGAGACAGAATTAAAAAGGGGCTGCTGCAAGCAGCGAGGGCTCAGGTCTCACAATGGAGCATTTTCCAACACGGCACCTTGTAGGGACACCCTGACTCCAGGTTGGCTGGAAATTAATGTCAAATGTGGAAACAGCCTTCTTCCTCTTCCCTAAGATTGTTGTGATGGGCTCTTACAAGTGAGCTATGGGCTTTCATGTAATGCCAATAAAGAGATGCACATAGGACCTTTTCCATATAGTATGTTTAATTTGAGACATAATTTAATTTTATGATGGCTGATTTATCTCAATTAAGTCAAATGTGTGCACAGAGGTGTTTCTCATTGTGGGTGAAGTGGAAACTGCATTGAGCTCCGAGCCTGCGTTCCAGACCGCACCTTGCCACATACTCACTGTGTGATGTGCGATGAGCCATCTGCTTTCTCTGCAGGCCTGTCTACCTTTTCTGAAATGCTTGGCGAGGGTCAGAATGGAGGATGTCAACTGCGGGCAGCCTACAGAAATAGTTTGCTGTACACTGGGTAGACACCTGTTAAGAAATGCTAAATGCATTACCAGTATTCAAACACTGGTAGAGTTGACATTAAAAATGTGGGGTTTTGATGTCCTCTCTTAGAAAACTGAGGGATCTGGCAACAAGACATCTGCACTCCAAAATGGGAGCAGCTGGACAGAACTGACAGGCAGTTGCTGAATTTTGCTTGGTCATGTACTGGCTTTCAGTTTGCTGCTGTCCCCACCACTCCCTATTGTGATATCTGGCCCTCTGTCATTCATTCACATCTTTTCTGGTTCCTGCGTTATAGTTTCTAACCCCTGTATTGCAAACACCCTTCTACAATAACTTAGGATTTTGAGGATCTGTATAATCTGGAATTACCTGTGTGAAAATACTCTTGCTGTTTAAACATTTAAGGGAGGAGAAAATCTATTGTTTCTATGAACAAACTTAAGATGCCTTTGATTCCATGTATTCAAGGACTGTCTTTTATGAGGCTGCTGTGTGAAGGTTGCTTGCTGGCTTTCACTGGAGAGGGGCAATGATGCACTTAATGGTGGACATGAACATGGGAGAAGAGGAAACAGAAAATAAACAAGCAAAGAGACAAATGAGTGTTAATGAATTAAAATCTGAGACAATTCCAAAGTGACAAAAGAACACAGATGTATGAAAAAGAGTCCTTTAGGAGGAGGAAGTTAATGTGGCCTGAGGGTTTTGTTTGTTTTGAGAGGGAGTTTTGCTCTTGTCTCCCAGGCTGGAGTGCAATGGTGCGATCTGGGCTCACTGCAACCTCCACCTCCCAGGTTCCAGTGATTCTCCTGCCTCAGCCTCCCAAGTAGCTGGGATTACAGGCACGTGCCACCACACCCAGCTAATTTTGGTATTTTTAGTAGAGATGGGGTTTCACCATGTTGGCCAGGCTGGTCTCAAACTCATGACCTCAGGTGATCCACCTTCTTTGCCCTCCCAAAGGGCTGGGATTTTAGGCAGGGTTGTTATTTAAGCTGAGAACTGGAGATATGGAAGCCAGGCAAAGGTCAGTGTGACTGGTTATCTGGGGGTGAGAAAAAAAGGCTGCAGAGGGGAAGCTGGCCAGGTGGGCAATGGCTTGATCTGCAGAGATTTGGATGATACTGCTGAGAGTCCAGGTTGATTTTCAAAACTTTGGGAAAAAAAAAATAGATGGCACCATTAATAAATAGATGCCTACTTTTATATTCATCAGGGAATCTCTGCTCCGGGAACTCACAGATACTTAAACTGATAGGAGAAAGACCCCCTGCCTGCCTCCCTTCTTCTTTTCCAACGTTCTGACCTTTCTCCTGTGCCTTCCTGGCCCTTTGCATGGCTCCTTTCCCCATATTGTGAGTGCCCCAGTGGCTTGATGTCACTGAGAACATCATATGCAGATGGAGGGTTCTTTTCTTGGAGAGATTGTGATTCAGTCATTCAAGATGATTCAATCATTCAAGAAAAGAAAACTTGCACTTGCTGAAAATGTTCTAGAAGCCAGCTGCTGTGCCATAGGAGTAAAAAACTTTTATTAAAATATTTTACATGTATATATGTATATAAATTTCACAGGACATAATTCTACAGGTCGAGGAGTTTCGCAGACATAACTCCTTGGGAGCAGTGCCCAGGTCAAGAAAGAAAATGTGGCCAATGCCCCAGGTACATCCTCTCACCATCTTCCACCCTCACTCTCACCCCTACCAAGGAAACCACTGACCCCAGTTCTTTTTAGACAGAGTCTTACTCTGTCACCCAGGCTGGATGAACTCAGCTCACTGCCACCTCCACTTCCTGGGTTCAAGTGATTCTCCTGCCTCAGCCTCCTGAGTAGCTAGGATTACAGGCACGTGCCACCATGCCCAGCTAATTTTTGTATTTTTTCACCATGTTGGCCAGGCTGGTCTCAAACTCCCGACCTCCAGGGATCCACCCATCTCAGCCTCCCAAGGTGCTGGGATTATAGGCGTGAGCCACTGTGTCCAGCCCACTAACCCCAATTCTAACCCCATATATTAGTTTTTGCCTGTGTTTTAATTTTATGTAATTGGAATCATACAGTACATACTGGCTTCTTTTGATGAACATTATATAGGCGAGATCCACTTATATTGTTGCTGGTAGTTGTACTTTGTTCATTGTTTTTGCTCTAAAGTATTCCATCATGTGAATATAGCATAGCGTATCATATTCACTATAGGTAAACATTTGGGTTAGTTCCATCTGGAGTTGTTATGGATAGTGCTGCAATGGACATTCTTTGCATGTCTCTTCATACACACATGTGCATGCACATGCACACGCATGTGCATTTCTGTTATACACCCGTGCATCACGTTCTGCTTTAACTGGTCCTGCCAAACAGTTTTCTATCCTTATACCTTTTACCTACATTTATCTCATGAGTTCTCTTATCACCCCACTTTTTGTTGAGACAGGATCTTATTTGGTCATCCAGGCTGGACTGCAGTGGTGTGATCATAGCTCACTGCAGCCTCAAACTGCTGGACTCCAGTGATCTTCCAGCCTCAGCCTCCCCCGGTAGCAAGGACTACAGGTATGTACCACCATGCACGCCCACCCCCCAACCGCTAACTTAAAAAAAATTTGTAGAGATGGGGTCTTGCCACATTGCCCAGCCTGGCCTCAAGCAATCCTCCAACCCTGGGAATATAGGTGTGAACCACCATATCCTGCCTCATCCACTTTTAACATATGCAAAATAAATAAAGGCACAGAAAGATATAGTCAGTACCTCAACGTCACAGAGCCAGCCGGCAGCAGAGCCAGAGCACAAACTTGAATTTATCTGGCTCTGTTTCCCATGTTCCCTCCACCGCATAGTGAGCCACAGATGATTCATGAGCTGTGTGGCTGCTGCCTTTCCAAGGCACCACTCAGATGCCACCTTTTCCCTCAACTTTTTCCTGACCCAGCCAGGAAGAGGTAACTGCACATGCTGTCTGCTCCCCAGACACTTTCTGGGTGAGTCAACTTGGGGAAGTTATGTTTATTTGTCAGTACAATAGGATATGAAACTAGAGACCTCAAGGTTAGGTGTGAAGATTAAATGCACTTACTTACTATAAGTAAGTGCAGCATTTACACGGGATCTGATACATAGCATAGGCTCTCAACTGAAGAGATGGATGGATGGGTCGATAAATGGGGCATAGATATTTCCACAGAACAATGATTCAACACATTTGGGGTATATGCATGTGTATATATGTATGCTTGTGCCTGATACATGTACATTTATATCTACAGCTACTCCCATATATTATCTTGTACTTGACGGAGCCCAAATAACCTTTCTCTTTTTAGGGGTCACACTTTCCCCCTCTGTCACTGAGAGAAGCAAATAGATTCAAATGCAGCAAACATCTGATGAGCACCTACTCTTTGCCAGGAACCTTCAGAAGCTGTGTGCTCTTTAACCTACTTATTTCCAAAAAGCACACCTAATGGATGTTGTACCCAATTTACAGATAGGGAAAATGAGGCTCAGAGAGGTGAGGGAACTTACCCAAAGTCACTAGCTTATGAGAAGCAGAGCTAAGACTCAGTGTTGAGTCACATTCCAAGAGCAGTAGGGTTCGCTTCTTTTCTGTACCATGGTGTTTCCCTATAGGGTTTCTGGTGGCTTTGTGACTCTTTCAGGGCTATGTCCCTGGCTAAGGAGAGTTCTGCAGAGACCTGGTCTGTGCTAGAGAGAAGTGGTTTGGAGCCAGCTTGCAGTGAGGAAGTAAGACAAAGCTGTGGGGGGGCTCTGGAGCACAGGGAAGCAGAGGGGCTGTGAGCAAATGAAGCATCATCCAACCATGTGTGCTGTGTGTGGGTGGCTGCACCAAGACAGGCCTGGCTCAGTCCCTGTCTCCATTACTTACTGTCATGGTTGAATAGTGTCCTCCCCAAATTCATGTTTACCTAGAATCCCAGAAGGTAAGCTTGTTTGGAAAGAGGGCCTTTGTAGGCAGTCAGTTAAGAATCTCAGCTAAGAATCTCAAGATGAAATTATCCCACATGAAGGTGGGCCCAAATTCTATGGCTGGCATCCTTAAAAGAAGAAGAGAAGATACAGAAGATACAGGGACGCAGAGAGAAGCCACGTGAGGAGGGAGGAGCAGATAGGGTGACGCACCTGCAAGCCAAGGGAACGCGGAGGAGTGCCAGCAGCCATAGGAGCTAAGGGACAATTTCTTCTTTAGGGTCCCAGAAGGAACCAACGCTGCCCACACCTTAATTTGAGACTTCTGGCCTCTGAGAAATGAGAAAGAGTAAGTTTCTATTGCTTTAAGCCACCCGGTTTGTGGTGATTTGTTATGGCAGGCACAAGAAACTAACACACTTGCTGACTATGTCCTCTGGGAGAAACCACTAAGCTCTCTGAGCCTGGGTTTCAACACATGGAAAACAGGCCTAATGAATGGGAAAGACCTTTAGGGATCCTGAAGATGATAAATAAAGCATGCAAAGAACCTACATATATTGGGTGGTTATTACTTTTATGACCCCACTGTCCCTCCTGAGAGGACCCTCTCTGGAACCTGTGAACACCGAGCCCTGTCAGTCCAGCTTTCAAAGGCAATGCACATCAGCCTAAGTTCTGTGTTCCTGGCATTTCAAGGTGGCTTCTAGCCTCAGCACACCCCGTTGCTTTTAGTTGCAAGCACGTACTGTCAAAGTCTCATATCCCCCTTAGAACCATAAACGCTCTAATAGCAGTAACGGGCAGCCTCGATCATGGCTAAACGTGATTATGTTCCACATAAAAATATAAAAGCTCATTTGAGCCAGGGCTCCCTGTGGGCCCTTTGCCTGCACTTTTATTGAAAAGCCCACATTCCTGACTCTGTGAGCCCTGATGTAAGAGCCCAGGGAGGCCATATACCATGGACCACTGTAAAGTTCCAGGGCAGCCTGAGGAGCTGGGCTCTACTGGAAATCTCTGTCTCTCCTGTGGTCTGTGATCCAGAGCCCCACACTTGATTCCCTGGTAACTCCTATGCTTGGAGTTCCTCATATATGCTAGCCATGCCTCTTGCTTTGCTCCCTGAGAGACTGGAAGGCCATGGAATCAGGGAGCTGCTCTGTTTCCTCCCCTGCTACATCCTCAAGGCCCAGCTCAGTGTCAGGTGCAGGAATGGACCGACCTCAGGGGATATGGATCTCTTTTCCTTCCCTACCCTAGGCCTGGTCTCTCAATCCTGCTGCATTCTCCCCTGCCCACTCTGAGTCTTGCCTTTTAGCCCCACACCATAACTCAAGATCCAGTCACAATTAAACCTCTCTCTCCACCCTTCCGTGGTCTGTGCCATTCACCTCTTGGTTTTCACTCATACCTGTCCCATTGCTGGGAACACTGTCCTGGTCTCCTATGCTAATACTTGCATGTTCCATAGGTGTCAGCACAGATATCACTTTTATTACTAGATGCTTTCTGGTGCCTAAGTTAGGCCGGGTTCTCTCTCCTATGGCCCAGCTGTGCCTCCTGAATCACCCTGACCCACCATACCTTCCCACTTGTTGACTTCTCTGGACACTTCTCTAGACTTTAAGCACCATGATGTCCCAGACAAGGCCTTCTTCCTTCTTTGCCCAGTGCTGGCAGAGTCTCTGACTCATGGTAGTCCTTGATATATATTGCGTGGCGATGAACTGACATACTGCAGAGAGAAGAACAGGTCTCCAAAGAGGCAGACACAAAGGGGAAGGAAGGAGAGGAGGGAGACAGAATGCTCTGTCAATAAATACAGTAAAATGTGATTCTGCAAGCATTGTCTCATTTAATCCTTGCAACAAGCACATGAGAAAGCTAATATTCTCTCCCTCTGTTTTCCCTTTTTTTTTCTTCCTTCCCTCCCCTTCCCCTCCCCTCTCCAGGTCTCACTCTCTGTCGCCCAGCCTGGAGTGCAGTGGCATCATCTGAGCTCACTACAACCTCCGCCTCCCGGGTTCAAGCGATTCTCCTGCCTCAGCCTCCTGAGTAGCTGGGACTACAGGCACGCGCCACCACGCCCAGCTAATTTTCGTATTTTTAATAGACATGGGGTTTCACCATGTTGGCCAGGCTGCTCTTGAACTGCTAACCTCAAGTGATCCACCAGCGTTGGCCTCTCAAAGTACTAGGATTACAGTGCTAGGAGCCACCATGCCCGGCCGCCTCTCTTTTCTTTTACACATGAAGAAAAAGTGGTCAGAGAAGTTAACTTGGTCAGTGCCAAAAGCACTGGAAGTGAGTAGGACCAAGCTTTTCATCTAGATTTGTTTGTTAGACTCTAAATCCAAATTCACAACAAGATCAGAATATGAGAAACCTAAGGAACAAAATTCTAGGAATCATTTCTAGAAACTGTGGCTATTGAAAAAGCACAGACCTAGGGAATCAAATTATTTTCCCTGCCACCAGCACATGGGTAGGCCTGTGACAAATTCCATGCTCTGGACCCCAGATTCCTCAGTGAGAATAGAAGGGGCTAGAGACATCAGGGAATTGGATTTGGTGACTTTAATACCCACTCAGCTCCAAAGCATTCTTGAATGATGCACGATTTATGAATATATATATTGAAATTTACTGATGGGTGAACAGCTCTCAACATGAGATTTTTGTTGTATGCCTTAAAAAAGATTATACATAAATATGCGTGTGTGTGTGTATGTATGTTTCGATGTATATGAACCCATGATCTGAAAAATGGCCACTGTGGCTTGTGGAAACCTATTAATCTCTGCTGTTCCACCCAACATCCTCAGAGAAAAAAATAAACAACTTTTTGAAAGTGCTGCCATGGGGTCAGACCAAATACTGTGGCCACTTCCAAGGGGTTTGCCTTGATTTGCCTGGATTCCTGTTCATGTGACATCTGCCTTCTAATTCAAGGATATGATCAATTCAATGTGTGAGTTATCAATCAAGGACTGGCAACAGTGATGCTGAACAAGCCTGGTGGAAGGAAAGAGAAGGCAGGCCAGAGCCCAGACAGACGCATTCACAAACCTTACAAAGAGGACAGGCTAATTAGGGGCTGTAGTTCTCCCTCTCTTTATAGTTGGTATAAGAGGAGTGGTAATCGTAGTGTCCAAAAATATATGGGCTACATAGTTGCTTAGTAAGCTGTGGGTATGTGGTTTCTTCTGCAAGGTGCTTTCTTTCTGATAAAGAGATTACGTTGTTTGTTTGTTCATTTATTGAACATATTTACACTTACACACACACACACACACACACACAATGTTCCAGATACCGTACTTGGCAATGGTAGTTAGACCTTGCTCTTGCAAAATTTATAATGAAGTTGGGAAGTGTGGTTTGATCCCTCAAAGTGTCCAAATCCTAATCCCCAGAACTTGTATTTTCTTACATGACAAAAAAAAATTTTCAGATATGAAGAACTTTGAGATGAGGAGCTTAACCTGGATTATGCAGGTGGATACAATCAATCACAAGGGTCTTTGACAAAAGAGGTGGGCAGAAAGGTCAGGAGGCTTTGGCTATGGGGAAGGGGCTGCAAGCCAAATAATTCAGGTGGCCTCCAGAAGCTGGGAAATGTAAGCAAACAGATTCTCCCCTAGAGCCTCCAGAAGAAATACAGTCCTATGGGTCCATTTCAGACTCTTCACTTCCACAACTGTAGGAAAATAAACTTGTGTTATTTTAAGCCACTAAGTTTGTGATACCTTGTTACGTAGCAATCAGAAACAAATAGAGGCAGAATGGCTTTAATCAGAAAACTAAAAGACTAAATACATAATTTCACAATGTGGCCCTGGAGTGATAGGAAGGAGAAGAGGATGGTATGAGCAGGTCCAGGAGAGATGATGAAAATCATTGGTTGGAGAAGGCTTCCCTGAAGGAGAAGGATACTGATGTGTGGGCTGAGGCACATGCAGGAGAAAATTCCACAGAGAGTATATTCTGAGTGACGGCCCCAAGCAGGAAAGGAACATGGCATGGTTTCGAAAGTAGAGGGAGGGCAGAGGGCTTGGTCCACAGATGCTGAGGTGGAGATGGTGCATACTCATCCTAGAACATGTCCGTGGGAGATTAATCACAGCCTTTGCAAGCTGGCGTAGAGACTTGGGTTCTTAACCAAAGAGAAATGGGAATATTTTGAATCGTGTTGCACTGTAGTGAGACTTTGTCAGATTTATACTTTGGAACTGTGTGTCCAGTTTAGTAGCCATTTGCTATGTGTGGCTCTGTCCCTTTAAATGGCTAAAAACGTGCTAATTTAAAATGTTAGCTATTCAGTCCCACTAGCTGCATTTCAAACACTCAATAAGCACACGTGGCTCATGGCTGCCACACAGGATAGTAGGGTCTAGAAAACTCCTTGCACTGCAGAAAGTGGAGTAGACGGTGCTGCTTCAGAAGAAACACCTGACCGCAGGGCGGAGTGTGGACCAGATAGCGGTAAGAATGGATGTGGGACAGCATCTGGGAAGGAGCTTCCCAATATTCCAGGTGGGTTGATACTGGTTCAACCAAAGATGGCGGTAGTGGGTATGAACATCAGTGGACAGATTTGAAGTCAGTTTAGCAGGTGGTCATGGATTCTGTTTTCAGATATTGGCAAGTTGCTGCCCTGCTTTGGTCCTTCATTAGATTAGAAGTGTTATCTAAAAGGAGCTTCTCAAGTTCTCAGAGCCTCAATTTTTTCACCTGTGAATGGAAATAATCCGTATTTCAAAAACAATATGGTGATATAAAATCCCTGGAATAATGGGTGTTGAATAAAGGGCACATCTCATATCTTTTACACATTTCTAACTTAAAGTGGTCTCCTGGATGCTGTTAAGAGGGAGGTGACCCAGGTGGGAACCAGTCCCCGCACCCCAGTGGTGGGTGCAAGGGAGCTTGAAAATGCATTTGGATAGCTATTTCCTTTTTTTTTTTTTTTTTTTTTTTTTTTTTTGAGACAGAGTCTCGCTTTGTTGCCCAGGCTGGAGTGCAGTGGAGCAATCTCAGCTCATTTCAAGCTCTGCCTTCCGGGTTCACGCCGTTCTCCTGCCTCAACCTCCAGAGTAGCTGGGACTACAGGCACCCGCTACCACGCCCAGCTGATTTTTTTTTTATTTTTTATTTTTTGTATTTTTAGTAGAGACGGGGTTTCACTGTGTTAGCCAGGATGGTCTCAATCTCCTAACCTTGTGATCTGCCTGCCTCGGCCTCCCAAAGTGCTGGGATTACAGGCGTGAGTCATCGCGCCTGGCCTTAAATAGTAAGTCACTGTGGAATAATAAACAGCTGCTGACCAGGTGGGCCCTTGCTTTCCAAAGCAGACATTGATCAGAATGTCTCTCACTCAGCTGGACAAGCCCTTGACTTTGGTGTGAAGGTCCTGGGGAAAAGTGCAGAGGGAAGGAGCCATATGCAGAAAATAAGCAATTCTCTTCCCAACATGACAGCAGGGCGCCCAAATGGAGTTATTTTGTAGTCAGACTGCCACGTAGGACCACACTAGGAGAGCGAGCTTGGGGGAGGCAAGGAGGAGAACGTGCCATCCGTGTAGAGAAGATAATTGAATCCATGGGAGGCCGACTGGGGCTCATTTCACAGGGAGCCGCACAAAAGTGCATGGCTCATTCCAAGACAATGCAGGCCTTCAAAGAGACCTGCTAAGGGGAGCGCATTACTATATTAAGGGCACAACATACCCTAAGTGAGACACACTGTTATGCCTCTTCTTCCCAGTCACAGCCTGGAAATAGCCATAAAAGAAATGAAGTATATTTGCCTTGTTAACACAGTTTGTATTACATATTCATAAACCATTTTGTGAAACTGCAAGGGAAAGATTCAATTGTCTTGGAAGCTGATAATGGCCAAACAGCCACACAGAAAGCAGGAAGCATGTTATGGAATTAGCTGCACAATGAATGAAACACAACGCCTATAATAAACCCATTCAGATATAAATTATGGCAGGGTAGATGCAATGTTTGTTAAGCAATAAAGCTTGCCACCCTACACGGGAAACTGAATGAGATTTATCATAAAATATGGTGGAGAATGTGCTAAGAATCTGGCTTCTCAAACTGGGCTTAATCAAAACAATCTAGAGAGCAGTTTTCCAGGAACAGGAAACCAAAAGAAAACGATAACACTGGGTCCTAAGGGCATTTTGACATTGTGACCCTAAATACCCTTGCTTGCAAGAAATTCCACAGAGGACATTTATAATTTTGAAAAAGTTTTGTTTTGATTTTTCCTTGGAGAATTACCAAAAACTCTTGAGCTCTGGAAATACAAAATTTGACCAATAATTGGCTTCCTGGTTAGATAGGGAAGTAATTCAAGGACAGGGAACTTGTCCAAGTGACACTGGGCTCTTGGTTTCCCTTGGAAATGGTTGAGGTTGTTGATTCCCAGTGAGGCAACTGGGTCTCAGAATGCACTGTGAGATATATGACTGGGTCCCAGAAGGATGTGCGACTTATTTTCTCAGAAGACCTCCTTGAATCTTCCGCACACACTGCTAAATGAATAGAAGGGTACTTTGTGTATTATCTTCTAAAGCTGGGAGCTTGAGTTTATCTCAGACTCCACTTTCTGGGAAAAATAAAATGGAACCAAATAAAACAAAACAAGAATTAACCCAGCATGATGTAGGCTTTCTGGTATTGTTACTTGAAAAGAACTGCAAATATTTTATGGCTTTACAAGTTGAAGTCAATGTTTTTAGTGTATTGAGAACAATGAAAAATACCTTAGGAATGTATTATAGTCCCAGAGTTGGATTAAGAGTGTTCGGAAGCCAAAAGGAATTTTCTGCCTGCTAATAACATTACCCTGCAATCTAATGAAATAATCTCCCTAAAGCCAGGTTTATGGAATAAGCTGATTTCCCATTTGTGGTTAAAAATAAGAATAACAAATGTCCTCTTTGGTCAACTTGCCACTCAGTCCATATACTGTAAAACTATGCTTTGGAAATAGCAAAATTGTATGACTTAATGGGTCAATTATGACATTTTAGAGATACAGATTATTACTGACCTGCAGTGAAGTAACCAGAGAATTTAAATTGGCAAAAAGCTCCAACACATGGAGTTGTTACTGGCAAATTCAGCTGTGTCATCTTCACTGTATTCATAGATGGTGTGTGTGTATACATACCCACACATGTGTACATGCATATGCATATGTAAGAATCCACTAGAAAAACTAGGCATTAACAAAAGATTGGAAAATAGAAATACATAAGATTCTACATGTTTATATGTTTTAGAGATGAGATCTCACTATGTTGCCCAGGCTGGGGTGCAGTGACTATTCACAGGCATGATCGATGCGTACTACAGCCTCAAACTCTGCTCCTCAAGTGATCCTCCCACCTCAGCGTCCCAAATAGCTCTTGCCACAGCATCCAGCTCAAGATTCTATAACATTAACAGCAAAAAAATCTCTACTTCCCTCTCCTCAATGAAACTCATTCTCCATACTCTTTTTCCTAGTTAAGATGCAAAAATTGCCAAGTATTTGGAAAGGTAATCATAGTAACAGAGTGCTGAAATAAAACAAAGACAAAAGTGTCCCTCAATATCCTGTCTGGGAGCATAGCACCAACTGCCTGCCTTTATATGGCTGTTTATTTCTTCCTTGCTATCATCTCATTTACTTCTTATGAATATTTCTGCAGAGCAGGAATCACTGTAGCCACTTTACATATTAGGGCATAGAGGAAACTCATGTATCATTAAGAGGGAAACAAAGAAACAGCAAAAACCAAAACGCCTTCAGCTGCAAGAAACAGACACCTGAACTTAAAGTGATAAAGCACATGGGGGTTTACTTGTCCTATATAACAAGGAAGTCTAGTGGTAAGCCTTCCAGAACTTTCTGAATACACGATGCCAATAAATAACTACACCCTTTTTCTCTTTCCGCACCACCACCCTGTAGACTTTTCAGGACGAAAAAGGATGAAGGACAAGAGGACGAATAGCCACACTGCAGAGATCGTCCCTTTATGTCACCAAAACCAAAGCCTCCCCAGAAGCCCATCCTGCAGACTTTTCCACATTCGTTTCATTGATCAGAGGTTGCTGCTTGGCCAACTGTAACTGAGGAGTGGCCACAGAGAAGGGACTTAGGAAGGGGTCAGGTCAGCCAACCTATAGCACCTAACACACTCAGAAATCTTTAAATACTTGCACAAGTTTGTATCTTTTAAAAGAAGAACAGGGACTTGTAGACTTAGCTTTCAAAGCTGGTGTTCTTTTCATTATGCCTAGCTATCTGCATTGTTATATCAACATTTCTTTCTTTTGGCTCAAAATTATACCTATCAGTTATATCTTTGTTAAAGCAAAGAAGTTCAGAAACGAATATTATGCATGAATTAAATGTAAGTGTGAATTTGCCAAATTGGTACTTTATACATAATAGAAATCTCACTGAACTTGATGGGAAATGGACAGATGCACCCACTGAAGATATCCAAGTCCTGGTTTATGAATCTGAATTAGTTTAATCAATTTGGATAATTTACAGTAATTTCTGAGCCATTTGGTTTTTATGGAGAGACTAGGTGAGGCAGCTGTTAAGCCTGCTTTTTAGAGCCTTCTAAGCACAAGGGGCTCTACTTCCAGTTGAAAACCCTAATGTGCATTATATTTCTCTGGAAGCAAATTTTGGGTCCCATACTCAGATCACCAACACTTCATCCAAAGCTCGGGGCCTCTGTTTAATAGAATTTGGTTGAGGTAGAAACTCTCTCAAAGTTTTATCTATTATATTTCTGTGCAATAAACCACCCTAGAATTTAGTGACTTAAGACAACACCCATGCATTGGCCTGCAGTTCTGCAATTTCAGCAAGGTTGGGTGGAGGCGGGTTGTCTCTATTCCAGGTGATGTTGCTGTGATGTGACTCATTTGTCTGAGTGCTCTGCTGCGGGGAATGTCTGGGGATGGCTGGTTTTCTCTCTCTCTCCACATGGTCTCCCACTCAGGTGTCTAGTCTGAGCTTCTTTACATGACAGCTAGATCCCCAGAGAATGACTGTGGAACCTTCCAGGACTCTAAAGAACTATATTTCAGAATTCACACATCACTCTGCCACATCGCACTGCTCACAGCAAGCACAGGCCCACCTAGATTTCAGAGATGGGGAAACGTACTCCAACTCTATGCAAACTGTGCCGTGCCCTCACAGAGATGGCAGGGATGGTTGGTGGCCATCTGTGCAGACAACTTCTACACCCAGCATTATCTCTGAAGACCATCAATTACCTCAAAGAGTCACCTTGCTTTCCCAGGAACCTATGCATCCGCCACATGGAGCAGTAGTGCCGAGGAGAGAGTTTCAGAGATTCTACATCTCACTCTCCCACTTTATTACTGTCATATCTTGGTCAAGATGCTTAATGTCTTTAGGCTTCAGTGTTAGCACCAGTCGAATAGAGACAGCATCAGTGCCCTCCTCATAGGCTATGAGAAGTATTTTACGGAGTTAATCCATGTTAAACCACTGAGGGTAGTGCCTCCATAGAATTGGGGCTCAATAACCTCGAGTCATACTGCCCTCATCTCTACCCTGAAAGCTTCCAAGGGTGAGACTGATGTCTTCATCTTTGTACCCTGGGGAAAAGACTAGATTATTGCAGGTACTGAGCAAGTATGCAATAAATGAATGAATGATGAACCAGGATATCTTGATCTTTAATTATGAAATTATTTATTTGATGAAGCCAGAGATTTATTTATAAAAATATCAAAATGGTACAGCATATGTTTTATGTGCCATTGGCATGAGCACTTACCCATTCATTCATTGAGCAAATATTTACCGATCATTTATTATGAGCTTGGCAGTCTATTGGGTTCTGGAGATAACAAGTAAATAAGCTATGCATAGTCCCCGTTCTTATGGTCCTTATATTCTAGTGAGAGGAGGAAAAAAAGTAAACTGAAGCACAGAAGATAATGTTTGATGGTAAAATATGTGTTATGAAGGAAATAGTTATATGATAAAGTGCCTGGTGGAACCAGGAGTGGGATGGAGTGCAGCTTGGGTTGGCAAATCAGCTCCTGAAAAGTTGGAATTTCAGCAGAGATCTAAAGAAGAGAAAATGTCAATCACTGACAGCTCTGTGGATAGAGTGTTCCAGAAAGAGAGAGGAGCAAGAACAATGGCTTGTGGTGGAAATAAATGTAGTGGGTTCGAAAAATATGAAGAAGCCCTGAGTGCCTGGATCGTGACGAACAAAAGACAGGGGAGATAGGCAGGGGCTAAATGGTGTGGCCCCTTTAACTGAAATTTTACTCTGAGTGCAATGGAATACAGCGGAAGGGATTTAAACACGACAGTTGAAAATAGCTTCCCTTGTTTGGATTTCATCCTTGGATTGTTTTATTGCTGACAGATGGACCTCCAACACAGCTGTCGTGCCACATCCATGGACGCTGGGAAATCCTGTTCTTTGGAGGTATGTGTGAGTGAGAGGATGTAGTGATGGTGATGGTGAAGGTTGTTGGAGAGGATCCTTTTCTATCAACGTTGGAAATATATTGATCTCCCAGAGCAAAATCCAGATTGTCCAGATTCGTTCTGCACGAAGAATGAAATGATGATACATCATGACAACAACAGCCACTTATTTCAGTCTGACTCTGTGCCAGGCATTTTTAGAGCTTTATAAACATTGTTGTGGTTGATTTTCATAGAATCCCAAGACATCGGTGCTATTGATATCTTCCTTTTACAGATGAGCACACTGAGACTCTGCAAGGTGATGTGCCAGCCCAAGGCTCACCAACAGGGGGGATTTGAATTGAATCCCTGGACCTTATCTCTCCAGGACATTTCAAAATTCTTCTCATCTGCACCTCCTCCCAAGAAACCTCCCCAGACACCTCCCCAGACAGCACAGATAGAAAGGGAAAGAAACTCGGTGCTAAGTTACAAGATGTTCTCTAGAACTTGCGGAAATCATAGGGTGGGAGAACTGTGCTGGTTTTCCAACAATGATCCTAATGAGCAATTTAGCGATGAGCGGTGCACATGTGTTGGGGGCTGAAGCACAGTCTGCCTTCGGCACACATTTGTATCATTGTTTGGTGTCTGTATACAACTTGAGATTTCCAAAATGCTACCCGAGGAAGTGGATGAATGGCATTCCTCCAATTTTATAGATTCGGGGCTGAGACAAGCTAAATGTTGGCCTCAAGTCACACAGAAAGATGATGGAAACTTCAGAGGCCCAAATGGAGAAGTCATATCCCATGCCATCCATCCAAATGTCAAGTGACTTGACTTTCACCTGCGGTCAGTATTTCCAGGATAGGTTTGCTGGGTCATGCTTCATCAATCACTTCTTTCATTTATTCAACAAACATTAAATGCCTCCTAGGTCTCAGACACTCTATTACATGAGGGAGCACAGGGATGCATCAGACAAGGTCCTAGCCATTGAAAAGCTGTCTAGCTGTCTACTGTTTCATTTTTTTTCTTTTCTTTTTTTGAGGTGGAGTCTCGCTCTGTTGCCAGGCTGGAGTGCAGTGGCGCGATCTCAGCTCACTGCAACCTCTGCCTCCCAGGTTCAAGTGATTCTCCTCCCTTAGCCTCCTAAGTCGCTGGGACTACAGGTGTGTGCCACTATGCCCAGCTAATTTTTGTATTTTTAGTAGAGATGGGGTTGCACCATGTTGGCCAGGATGGTCTCGATCTCTTGACCTCGTGATCTGCCCACCTCAGTCTCCCAAGCTTGAGCCACTGTGCCCAGCCTAGTTTTTTTTTATTTTTAATAGAGACAGGGTTTCATTATGTTGGCCAGGCTGTTCTCGAACTCCTGACTTCAGGTGATCCACCCACCTCAGCCTCCCAAAGTGCTGGGATTACAGGGGTGAGCCACCATGCCTGGCCAAGCTGTCTACTGTTTCTACTTGGACCTCTGCCCTCTTTCAATTTCAGTGTGTCCCAACCCAATCCAGTGGTGGTTAAAGATGTGGTTTCTGACATAACACTGCCTGGGTTCAAATCCTGGCTCAGTGTGACCTTGTACTAGTGCTTTAAGTTTTCTGCCCTCCAGTTGCTGCATCTATAAAACTGTGAGATTAATAGTACATAATAGTACATAAATAAAAGAATTGTCATGCAAATAAAATGATATGATGCAGTGTTTCTGTAGTTCTTTGAGGATAAGGATCACCCAGGTCCCTTGTTAAGAATGCAGCTTCCTGGGACACTCCCTTGGAAATTCTGATGCCGTGGCTTTGGGGTCCACGACCTTGTGATTTGTTTTTGTTTTTGCTTTTTTTAAACCAATATTCCAGATGATAGTTTTCACCAGGATAATCTGGAAAACACTAATACAATGCATGGAAAGCAATGATTCTCAACCTTGGCTGCACATTGAAGTTTTAAAGATACAGAAGCCCTTTAAAGATACAGAAGCCTGAGTTACACTAAAAAACTTCTGTTTCAATAGGTCGGGATATAGATTTGGAAGTTTAAGTTCTCCCCAGGTATTTGTAATGTGTAGCCAAGTTTGAGAACTCCTGATAGAACACATTTAGCACAGTGTCTGGCACAAGCAATGTGTAACAAATACATCATCATCATTATCATCTTTATTGTTCCACAAGCAGATAAGAAACATACAATTAGGAAGAAAATTAAGAGGGTCAACACATATGTAAGAATAATGACAAAGGGATGCTAAAATTCTGTGGCATTTAGATTCTCTCATGGTCTCCTAACCTTAAACACTTTTGTGTTTTCCCTTCTTGGTTAAAGCTCTATCAGGAGCAAGATCCTAATTTTTTGTTTTCATTTTTATATGTTCTCTCCAAGATTCACCCAATGCCTTATAATGTAATAGTAAAGGTATTACATAATGATTACGATGTAGATTAAATAAAATAAATGCATTTGTAGAGACATAGCAAGGACAAAATACTACAAGAATGATGAGGAGAAAGATAATTTCAGAGTTGACACTTGAAGAATGGTTTGAATTTTGTTGAGTGGAATGAGGCTATTTTGGCAGGAGAAATGGCTTGAGCAAATTTGGAGAAGATTCTGTTAAGTATGTGCAAAGAAAAAGGGACAATCAAATTTGACTGGAGTGTTGGACATATGAAATATCACAAGGAGATCTGAGCTAAAAGGGTAGGTGGAAGAGGCACAGGGAAACTGAGGCACAGAGCAGCTGTGTCACTTGCTCAAGGCATGCCATGGTTGGTCTGGAATTTGAAGCATGGCTCAGGCAACTCCCACAACCCACAACCTGAAGCTGCTACACCCTACTGTTTCCTTTAGTCTTGAAATATAGGGGGTTATTGAAACGTTCCTAAGCAGAAGCATGACAGCCTCAGACTGACTTTGCAGCATAATCTTCAGGGCAACTGTGAGGAGGAAAGACTACAGAGACCTAGAGATCAAGAGACTGGTTTCTGCTGAGGCCTTTCCTTCTTACACAGTGTGAGTAACATACATGTTTACCACAGACAAAACCAGTGCTGAGGTCAGTATGCAAAGTACACAAACACATCATGCCTTTTAGTTCCCTAGATGGAGGTGGGCCACAGATTTGCATCTTAGTGGTTTGGCAGCTTACACAAAGAAGGGCATAAAGAAAAACAGAATTGTCACTCAAGGGATGTCCAGCCCTCACTGTTACAGATACCAGAAAGCAAATCCCTGCTGAGGTTCTGAAAGTGAGGGCCCCTTGCAAAATGCTGAAAGTTGCTCTCCAGGTTGAAAACAGCAGAGTCCGTAGTACAGCTTCCTGAATGGCCATTAACAAAGGAGGTCTTGCCCATGTGGAGGCTCGATTTTAATGCTTAAGTATCTGCTTTCACGTTCTGGACACTCAAACTTAATATTTGTAAAGCATTTTCCTTTATATATTACTATACATAAACATATAATAATTTTTATAAATTTTTTATAAAACCATACTTTTGCTTCCCAAAAGGAACGGTTGCCTTTATAAAGTTGGCTAAATGATCAGTTTCTACTATATTCCATTTTATTTCCAGTGTTGGAAATCTAAGGCTGGGCTTTTCAATATGTATATTGTAATTTCTTGCTGTCGTATCTTAAGCATGTATAATGAAATGTCAATAGCTGCTGTGGCCTATTAATAGGAATCTTCCTAATGATATATCAAACAGGATAGTAGCAGCTCAGCCTTGCTCCCTTGATGGTTTTAAGTGGCTTTATGCATTCTTTGTACCTTGTTTGTATAGAATCTTAGGTCCTCATGTTTAAAGCTGCCTAAAGTTCATCTAGCCACGATCCTTTTTTCTTCCTTTTCCACCACTTCCCAGTCATAAGATGTTGCAAATTCAGCTTAAACAATGTCACCACCATCCTTGTTGTAGGACAGTGATATCAGGGAGAAAAAGGGGGATGCAAAACCAATAATTGGACAGTAATTAAGCACCTGCTCTGTGTCGGGCACTTTACACTTTACCTGTTTGAATGAGACAACACACTAAATGATATGTAGTAGTCTCCCAGATTAACAAGGAGTGTGAAGTTTATAGAAGCCAAACAGCATGTATTAATGTTTACACAGTTAATAAGTGTCAAAGAAAAAACTCCATTTCAATTCTGACTTCAGTGCCTAGGTTCTGTCCATGGAAATAAATATACATTCCCAAGGATAAACCTGAAAACATAGGTGCAGCAGGTTTCAACTCCAGGTAAAGTGATGTAGGCACATTCCATCCTGTCTCTTCTATTGAATGAAGCTATTGAAGCTCAATATAATGCTTACAGAAGCTGTTTGAAGGCTCTGAAGGTAAACAGTAGCATAGTAGATTGGGAAACAGACCAAAATTCAAAGTACCATTGATCCTGTGGTGAGTTTACTATCTTCTTTCTTCCTCTGTCCTACAGCCTGGACTCAAGGCAGCTCAAAACACAAAAGTGGGCATCCATGAATGCAGAAAGAACTCACAACCATCTAGCTCTGCCTTAAGCAAAGGAAAGGGGACTTCCAATGCTCAAAAACAGTGGGGGAAATCCCTCACTTTGGAAAATTTTTGCTCTCTTGAGCCCCAGCGCCCAGCTGATCATTACATGCTGGTGAGAGTGCAGCATCAGTGATGGCGATGGGAATGCACAAGCTACTAAAACTCTGGTGGAGATGAACCTTCCTTTCTCATTGGTTCTGAGGATATGGCAAGTCCTCGTTGCTTTTTCCCTCCCCTGTCTTCCTGCCAGTTGTTTGTGGATGTAGGTACAGTTGTAGGAATCCTGCAGCAGAGCAACGAAATTAAAGCCCCAGCTGTGTGGTGGGGAACCAAAAAAACGAGCCTCGGAATGGCAGGAAGTACCAGGAAGGGAGGAACTTAAGAAAATACAGAAAACCCCTTATGTTATATATGAACTTCTGGGCTGACTGTTCCACTAAGCATGTCTGTTTCTAATCACAAAGAGCATACCAAAGACTTGAAGAATTGAACAAAGGGAGGGGTGGAGCCAAGATGGCCAAATATGAACAGCTTTAGTCTACAGCTCCCAGTGTGAGTGACGCAGAAGATGGGTGATTTCTGCATTTCCAACTGAGGTACTGGGTTCGTTTCACTGGGGAGTGTCAGACAGTGGGTGCAGGACAGTGGATGCAGCACAGTGAGTGTGAGCCGAAGCAGGGCGAGGCATTGCCTCACCTAGGAAGTGCAAGGGGTCAGGGAATTCCCTTTCCTAGTCAAAGAAAGGGGTGACAGATGGCACCTGGAAAATCAGGTCACTCCCACCCTAATACTGTGCTTTTCCAATGGTCTTAGCAAACAGCACACCAGGAGATTATATCCCGCACCTGGCTTGGAGGGTCCTATGCCCATGGAGCCTCGCTTTGCTAGCACAGCAGTCTGAGATCAAACTGCAAGGTGGCAGCAAGGCTGGGGGAGCGGCGCCCGCCATTACCGAGGCTTGAGTAGGTAAACAAAGTGGCCGGGAAGCTCGAACTGGGTGGAGCCCACAGCAGCTCAAGGAGGCCTGCATGCCTCTGTAGACTCCACCTCTGGGGGCAGGGTATAGCCAAATGAAAGGCAGCAGAAACCTCTGCAGACTTAAATGTCCCTGTCTGACAGCTTTGAAGAGAGTAATGGTTCTCCCAGCACGCAGCTGGAGATCTGAGAATGGACAGACTGCCTCCTCAAGTGGGTCCCTGACCCCCAAGCATCCTAACTGGGAGCCACCCCCCAGTAGAGGCAGACTGACACCTCACATGGCTGGCTATTCCTCTGAGACAAAACTTCCAGAGGAACGATCAGGTAGCAACATTTGCTGTTCACCAATATCCGCTGTTCTGCAGCCTCCGCTGCTGATACCCAGGCAAACAGGGTCTGGAGTGGACCTCCAGCAAACTCCAACACACCTGCAGCTGAGGGTCCTGACTGTTAGAAGGAAAACTAACAAACAGAAAGGACATCCACACCAAAACCCCATCTGTACGTCACCATCATCAAAGACCAAAGGTAGATAAAACCACAAAGATGGGGAAAAAACAGAGCAGAAAAACTGGAAACTCTAAAAATCAGAGCGCCTTTCCTCCTCCAAAGGCATGCAGCTCCTCACCAGCAACGGAACAAAGCTGGACGGAGAATGACTGACGAGCTGAGAGAAGAAGTCTTCAGAAGATCAAACCACTCCGAGCTAAAGGAGGAAGTTTGAACCAATGGCAAAGAAGTTAAAAACCTTGAAAAAAAATTAGACAAATGGCTAACTAGAATAATCAATGCAGAGAAGTCCTTAAAGGACCTGATGGAGCTGAAAACCACAGCATGAGAACTACGTGACAAATGCATAAGCCTCAGTAGCCAGTGTGATCAACTGGAAGAAAGGGTATCAGTGATGGAAGACGAAATGAATGAAATGAAGCAAGAAGAGAAGTTTAGAGAAAAAAGAACAAAAAGAAATGAACAAAACCTCCAAGAAATATGGGACTATGTGAAAAGACCAAATCTACGTCTGATTGGCGTACCTGAAAGTGATGGGGAGAATGGAACCAAGTTGGAAAACACTCTGCAGGATATTATCCAGGAGAACTTCCCCAATCTAGCAAGGCAGGCCAACATTCAAATTCAGGAAATACAGAGAATGCCACAAAGATACTCCTCGAGAAGAGCAACTCCAAGAGACATAATTGTAGATTCACCAAAGTTGAAATGAAGGAAAAAACGTCAAGGGCAGCCAGAGAGAAAGGTCGGGTTACCCACAAAGGGAAGCCCATCAGACTAACAGCTGATCTCTCAGTGGAAACTCTACAAGCCAGAAGAGAGTGGGGGCCAATATTCAACATTCTTAAAGAATTTTCAACCCAGAATTTCATATCCAGCCAAACTAAGCTTCATAAGTGAAGGAGAAATAAAATACTTTACAGACAAGCAAATGCTGAGAGATTCTGTCACCACCAGACCTGCCCTAAAAGAGCTCCTGAAGGAAGCAGTAAACATGGAAAGGAACAACTGGTACCAGCCACTGCAAAAACATGCCAAATTGTAAAGACCGTCAAGGCTAGGAAGAAACTGCATCAACTAATGTGCAAAATAACCAGCTAACATCATAATGACAGGATCAAATTCACACATAACAATATTAACCTTAAATGTAAATGGGCTAAATGCTCCGACTAAAAGACACAGACTGGCAAATTGGATAAAGAGTCAAGACCCATCAGTGTGCTGTATTCAGGAAACCCATCTCATGTGCAGAGACACACACAGGCTCAAAATAAAGGGATGGACGAAGATCTATCAAGCAAATGGAAAACAAAAAAAGGCAGGGGTTGCAATCTTAGTTTCTGATAAAACAGACCTTAAATGAACAAAGATCAAAAGAGACAAAGAAGGCCATTACATAATGGTAAAGGGATCAATTCAACAAGAAGAGCTAACTATCCTAAATATATATGCACCCAATACAGGAGCACCCAGATTCATAAAGCAAGTCCTTAGAGACCTAGAAAGAGACTTAGACTCCCACACAATAATAATGGGAGATTTTAACACCCCATTGTCAACATTAGACAGATCAACGAGGCAGAAAGTTAAGAAGGATATCCAGAAATTGAACTCGTCTCTGCACCTAGCGGACCTAATAGACATCTACAGAACTCTCCACCCCAAATCAACAGAATATACTTTCTTTTCAGCACCACATCACACCTATTCCAAAATTGACCACATAGTTGGAAGTAAAGCACTCCTCAGCAAATGTAAAAGAAGAGAAATTATAACAAACTGTCTGTCAGACCACAGTGCAATCAAACTAGAACTCAGGATTAAGAATCTCACTCAAAACCGCTCAACTACATGGAAACTGAACAACCTGCTCCTGAATGACTGCTGGGTACCTAACGAAATGAAGGCAGAAATAAAGATGTTCCTTGAAACCAATGAGAACAAAGACACAACATACCAGAATCTCTGGGACACATTCAAAGCAGTGTGTAGAGGGAAATTTATAGCACTAAATGCCCACAAGGGAAAGCAGGAAAGATCTAAAATTGACACCCTAACATCACAATTAAAAGAACTAGAGAAGCAAGAGCAAACACATTCAAAAGCTAGCAGAAGGCAAGAAATAAGTAAGATCAGAACAGAACTGAAGGAAATAGAGACACAAAAAACCCTTCAAAAAATCAATGAATCCAGGAGCTGGTTTTTTTGAACAGATCAACAAAATTGATAGACTGCTAGCAAGACTAATAAAGAAGAAAAGAGAGAAGAATCAAATAGATGCAATAAAAAATGATAAAGGGGATATCACCACCGATCCCACAGAAATACAAACTACCATCAGAGAATACTATAAACACCTCTATGCAAATAAACTAGAAAATCTAGAAGAAATGGATAAATTCCTCGACACATACACTCTCCCAACACTAAACCAGGAAGAAGTTGAATCTCTGAATAGACCAATAACAGGATCTGAAATTGAGGCAATAATTAATAGCTTACCAACCAAAAAAAGTCCAGGACCAGATGGATTCACAGCCAAATTCTACCAGAGGTACAAGGAGGAGCTTGTACCATGCCTTCTGAAACCATTCCAATACTAGAAAAAGAGGGAATCCTCCCTAACTCATTTTATGAGGCCAGCATCATCCTGATACCGAAGCCTGGCAGAGACACAATAAAAAAAGAATTTTAGACCAATATCCTTGATGAACATCAATGCAAAAATACTCAATAAAATACTGGCAAACTGAATCCAGCAGCACATCAAAAAGCTTATCCACCATGATCAAGTAGGCTTCATCCCTGAGATGCAAGGCTGGTTCAACATACAAAAACCAGTAAACGTAATCCAGCATATAAACAGAACCAATCACAAAACCACATGATTATCTCAATAGATGCAGAAAAGGCCTCTGACAAAATTCAACAACCCTTCATGCTAAAAACTCTCAATAAATTAGGTATCGATGGGACATGTCTCAAAATAATAAGAGCTATCTATGACAAACCCACAGCCAATATCATACTGAATGGGCAAAAACTGGAAGCATTCCCTTTGAAAACTGGCACAAGACAGGGATGCCCTCTCTCACCACTCCTATTCAACGTAGTGTTGGAAGTTCTGGCCAGGGCAATCAGGCAGGAGAAGGAAATAAAGGGTATTCAATTGGGAAAAGAGGAAGTCAAATTGTCCCTGTTTGCAGATGACATGATTGTATATCTAGAAAACCCCATCGTCTCAGCCCAAAATCTCCTTAAGCTGAAAGGCAAATTCAGCAAAGTCTCAGCATACAAAATCCATGTGCAAAAATCACAAGCATTCTTATACACCAATAACAGACAAACAGAGAGCCAAATCATGATTGAACTCCCATTCACAATTGCTTCAAAGAGAATAAAATACCTAGGAATCCAACTTACAAGGGACGTGAAGGACCTCTTCAAGGAGAACTATAAACCACTGCTCAATGAAATAAAAGAAGATACAAACAAATGGAAGAACATTCCATGCTCATGGGTAGGAAGAATCAATATTGTGAAAATGGCCATACTGCCCAAGGTAATTTATAGATTCAGTGCTGTCCCCATCAAGCTATCAATGACTTTCTTCACAGAGTTGGAAAAAACTACTTTAAAGTTCATATGGAAACAATAAAGAGCCCGCATTGTCAAGTCAAGCCTAAGCCAAAAGCTGGAGGCATCATGCTACCTGACTTCAAAATATACTACAAGGCTACAGTAACCAAAACAGCATGGTACTGGTACCAAAACAGAGATATAGACCAATGGAACAGAACAGAGCCCTCAGAAATAATGTCACATATCTACAACTATCTGGTCTTTGAGAAACCTGACAAAAACAAGAAATGGGGAAAGGATTCCCTATTTAATAAATAGGGTGGGATGAATAGGTGCTGGGAAAACTGGCTAGTCATATGTAGAAAGCTGAAACTGGATCCCTTCCTTACACCTTATACAAAAATTAATTCAAGATGAATTAAAGACTTACATGTTAGACCTAAAACCATAAAAACCCTTGAAGAAAATCTAGGCAATACCATTCAGTACATAGGCATGGGCAAGGACTTCATGTCTAAAACACCAAAAGCAATGGCAACAAAAGCCAAAATTGACAAATGGGATCTAATTAAAAAGAGCTTCTGCACAGTAAAAGAAACTACCATCAGAGTGAACAGGCAACCTACAGAATGGGAGAAAATTTTTGCAACCTACTCATCTGACAAAGGGCTAATATCCAGAATCTACAATGAACTCAAACAGATTTACAAGAAAAAAACAACCCCATCAACAAGTGGGTGAAGGATATGAACAGACACTTCTCAAAAGAAGACATTTATGCAGCCAAAAGACACATGAAAAAATGCTCATCATCACTGGCCATCAGAGAAATGCAAATCAAAACCACAATGAGATACCATCTCACACCAGTTTGAATGGCGATCATTAAAAAGTCAGGAAACAACAGGTGCTGGAGAGGATGTGGAGAAATAGGAACACTTTTACACTGTTGGTGGGACTGTAAACTAGTTCAACCATTGTGGAAGTCAGTGTGGCGATTCCTCAGGGATCTAGAACTAGAAATACCATTTGACCCGGCCATCCCATTACTGGGTATGTACCCAAAGGATTATAAATCATGCTGCTATAAAGACACATGCACATGTATGTTTATAGTGGCACTATTCACAATAGCAAAGACTTGGAACCAACCTAAATGTCCAACAACGATAGACTGGATTAAGAAAATGTGGTACATATACACCACGGAATACTATGCAGCCATAAAAAAGGATGAGTTCATGTCCTTTGTAAGGACATGGATGAAGCTGGAAACCATCATTCTCAGCAAAGTATCGCAAGGGTAAAAAACGAAACACCGCATGTTCTCACTCATAGATGGGAATTGAACAATGAGAACACATGGACACAGGAAGGGGAACATCACACACCGGGGCCTATTGTGGGGTAGGGGTAGTGGGGAGGGATAGCATTAGGAGATATACCTAATGTTAAATGATGAGTTAATGGGTGCAGCACACCAACATGGCACATGTATGCATATGTAACAAACCTGCACGTTGAGCACATGTACCCCAAAACTTAAAGTATATTAATAATAAAAAAAATAGAATTGAACTAAGGGAGAGACCACCACCCAAGTCTCAGATAGCTCACTGGGTGGGGCACAGGCAGGAGAAATCCAAATAGCACTATGGTGTTTGAAAATGGGATGGAACTTGCAACTATAACCTACAAACCTTTGGGGAAAATTTGCAGCCCGACCCAATAGGGTTGATTGCATAGTAAAACAAAAATGTCAATGTTTACTATACGATTTTAACAAGATCCTATGTTCCCTAGCTTAATATTAAAAAAATCCAGGATATAATCCAACACTACGTGGCATACGAAGAACCAAGAAAATATCCCCTTGAATGGGAAGAGATAAAAGCCAATGACAAGATGGCACAGGTATCTGATAAAAACTTTAAAACAGCTATTATTAAAATATCCAAGAAGTAAAGATGTATTCTTTTTTAAATGCTTAAAGTGTCTTTAATGATGGTCTTTACTCTCTGTATTTGTCCGGATTCTCCAGAGAAACAGGACAAATGATATATATAGATAAAGGGAATGATTTTTTTTTCCTCTAATTTTTATTTTTAGTTCTGGGGATACACGTGGGATACATGGGATACAAAATCTGCTTACTCATTGTACCAATTCTCAAGTTAATCTCATCCAGAAATACACTCACAGACACCATGATTGTACAATTTTGGAAAATAATGGAATGATAGTACTTTTCACCAAACAAATAGAAGATATATACAAAATAGGAATTTTGGAAATATAAGTAAATAACAAAGAAAATACTGACTGTGTTCTTTATCAGAATGGAGATTAAAGAGGAAAGTCAGTGTATAAACTCAAAGACAGATCAATAGAAACTCAACCCAAAACGATGATAGAAAAAACTGAAAAAAAGCCTTAAGAATGCCAAAGGGTTTAATTTTGTATTATGGGAGTCTCAGAAGAAAAGGAGAAAGTGTGTGATACAGAAAAAGATATTTAAAGAGTAACTTAAAATGTCTCAAACTTGGTAGAAGACATAAATCTACAGGTTCACAAAGTTCACTGAATTTCAAACAGCACAAACACAATGAAATAGCTTCCAGATACAGTGTAATCAAAGAATTGAAATCTAAAGATAAAGAAAGAAAATCTTGAAAACAGCCAGGGAAAAACATCATGTTACTTGTACGAGAATAACAATTGGAATGACTGTACAATGTTTCTCTATGTTTCTCCTCAGAAACCATGGAGACCAGAGAGAGAGGAACATTTTTGAAAGCCTGCAAGAATAGAATTGTTATCCCAGAAATTGACAACCAGTGAAAATATCCGTTAGGAATAAAGGTAAAATAAAGATACCTTGTAGGACCAATCATCCTGTTTTACCCAGGACTGAGAGGTTTCCCAGGATGCATGACTTTTGGTGCTAAAACTAGGCAAACCAGAACAGTTAGTCACCCTAACATTCTCAGATGAAAAAACACTGCGAGAATTTGTTGTCACCAGACCAGCTGTAAAATATTTCTAAGGGAAGTGCTTCGGCTGGAGGGAAGTGATACCAGATCGAAATGTGGAATATCAGAAATCCAAGCTGAGGAATGGAAATGGCAAATATCTGGTTGAATAAAATGGTGAATTCTTCTCTGAGTTTAAAATATGCTTGATGGTTGCAAGCAAAAATATAACATTGTCTGATGAAGTTGTCAATGCATACATGCACATAGCATTATACTTACTGATCAAAGACCAAAATCATTCCCCCTAAGATTTGGAACAAAGGTGGCAGTTCTAATCTTAGCGCTCCTATTAAACATTTTTTATGGAAGTCCTAGCCAGTACTGCAAGGCAAGCTGAAGAAATAAAATATATACGGATTAGAAAGAAAGAATTCCTGTTTACAGAATACACTATTGGATTTGTAGAAAATCCCACAGAATACACTACTGGATTTGTGGAAAATTTCAGGGGCTCTATGAATAATGCCAACAAAAATATAAACTCTTAGTGCTAACAAGTTTTTTTAGAAAAATCACAGAATGCAAAGTTACTGCACAACTCACTGTATTTCTATATACTAGCAGTGACAAACTGAAATCAAAATTTAAAAACAAAAATAATACCATCTACAACAGCTCAAAAGGATGTAATAGTTAGATATAAATCTGAAAGTCATATACAAGATCTGTATTCTGAAAACTACAAAGTGGCCATAAAAGAAGACCTAAATGACTGGAAAAGTATACCATTATATGGATAGGAAGACTCAACATAGTAAACTATCTGTTCTCTCCAAATTGATTTATAGGTTTAATGCACTACCAATTAACATCTCAGCAGATTTTTTTTGTAGATAAAAACAAACTGATTCTGAAATCCATAGAGGAGGGCAAAGGAACTGAAACAACTAAAACAATTTGTAACAGAAAAATAAAGTTGGAAAAATCACTCTACCTAATTGTAAGACTTACTATATAAATCTACAGTAATAGAGATAGTGTTGTATTAGTTACAGGAGAGACACATAAATGAAATGGAACAAAAGAGATAGTTCAGAAATAGACCCACACAAATATGGCCAGTTGATATTTGAAAAGTTATAAAGACACTTCAATGAAGAAAGGATATTGTTTATAATAAATGTTATTATAAAACTGGGTATATTAATTGAAGAACCTCATCCTAAACTTCACACCCTACACAAAATTAGCTCAAATTGTATTACAGGTCTAAAAGTAGAATGGGAATATTAAAACTTTTAGAAAAAAACTTTTATAATTTTAGAAAATACTTGTCACCTGGAGACAGGAAAAGAGTTCTTAGACAAGATATCAAAAGCACAATTTATTAAAGAAAGAACATTTATAATTGAGCTCCATCACAGTTAAAACTGTTTTCTCTGTGGAAGACATGGCTATAAAAATGAAAAGATTGAAGCACGGTGGCTCATGTCTGTAATCCCAGCACATGGAATGCCAAGGTGGGAGGATTGCTTGAGCCCAGGAGTCTGGGACCAGCTTGGGCAATGTAGTGAGACCCTGTCACTACCAAAAAAAAAAAAAAAAAAATTAGCTGGGCATGGTGGCATATACCTGCAGTCCCAGCTATGCAGGAGGCTGAGGTGGGAGAATCACTTGAGCCCAAGAAGGTTGAGGCTGCAGTGAGCCGTGACTGTGCCACTGCACTCCAGCCTGGGTGATAGAGCAAGACCCTGTCTCAATAAATAAATACACAAACAAACAAATAAATTAAGTAAATATATGAGTGCATGTATGCATGTATCTTTTTTTGGTATTTTTTTTCCTTTGGACAAATATTAAATCATGTCTTTTACAGCAACATGGATGGATGTTTCTTAAGTGAAATAACTCAGAAACAGAAAGACAAATGCTGCATGTTCTCACTCGTAAGTGGGAGCTAAGTGATGTGTACACATGGGCATAGAGTGTGGAATGATAGACATTAGAGACCCTGAAGGGTGAGGTGGAGGTGGAAGGGGGGAGAATGATGAGAAATTACTTAATGAGTACAATGTATGTTATGTGGGTGATAGAGTAAGAGCCCATCTTCACCAGTATGCATTATATCCATATAACAAAATTGCACTTGTACTTCATAAATGTATATGAAGACTAAAAAGAATAAAAAATGAAAAGATAAGTTCCATACCAGGAGAAAATATTTGGAGGTCACATGTACAACAAAGGACTCATATACAGAATATGTAAAGAAATCTCAAAGCTCAACATTAACAAAGCAAAAACCTAACTTTGAAAAATGAGCAAAAATCTTGAATAGATACTTCACTGAAAAGAATATACAGAAGGCAAATTAGCACATGAAAAGATGTTTCATCATCAGCAATTGGGGAAATGCAAATTAAAACCATGATGAGATACCAGTACATGCTTATTATAGTGGCAAAAAAATACTGATGCTATCAAGTGATGACGAGAATGTGGAGCAGCTGGAACTCTAATATGTTGTTGGTGGGAATCTCAAATGGTACAACCACTCTGAAAAAAAATTTGGTAGTTTTTCATAAAGTTAAATGCACACATCATATGATCTAGCAATCTCACTTCTGGGTATTTACCCTAGAGAAATGAAAACTTATGTTCACATAAAAACCTGCACATGAATATTTATCCCAGCTCTACTCATAATTGCTAAAAATGGGAAACAAACCAAATGTCCTTCACTGGATGAACGGTAAACAAAACGTGGTGCATCTATCCAATGGAGTACTCTCAGGAAGAAAATGGAATAAATGGTTGATACACACAACTTGGATGGATCTAGAAGACATTACACTGGGTAAAATATGCCAGCTTCAAAAGGTTATATTATATTCTGTTTATATGACATTCTTGAAAAGACCAAACTATAGTGACAGAGAACAAATGAATGGTTATCAAATATTAGGAACTGGAGGAGAGGGTGCTACAAAGAGATATCACAAGGGTTTTTTCGGGATGGTGACAGAGCTGTTCTATATCTTGATTGTGACAGTAGTTACGAGAATCTATGCATGTGATAAAATTTACAGAACTACACACACAAAGCCGATTTTACTGTGTGTGAATCTAAAAATAATTGAAAAAATTATGTTTAGCAATCACTTCTTTTTAAACTTTTATTTTTAATGACAAATGTGTTTCCCAAATAAATTCTCATGAGAATAATAAAAATGCAGATAAAGCCACTGTGCCACCTAGATTAAAACTGTCAATCTCACTCTTTGCCAAGGGTAATCCCTCTTATCAACTCATATATGTTCTTATAAAGTGGCAATGATTTCTAAAGTCTGGCATTTTATCTCAAATGCTCAATTCTTTAATTATAAAATAAATGAAATTAAGCAAGTACTTCAAGCATTCAAATATGTTGAAGAAACTAATACAAAGTGAATGATAATGTCATTGTTATAACACAAAAACGTGTCTACTTTCATTGAACTTACTTTTTATTGTTATTATTTTCTATGATTGTCTACCCCATTCACACATTCCCCAGTTCTTTGAGTGTTGTTATACTATTTGTTTTATATGACTTATTTTATTCCTTTAAAGCCTTCCCATCTGAACTCTACTCCATCAATCATGGACTATCACAAAATCAATCTCAGGGCAGATGTTAAGAACAGACATGCAACAGATGCAAAATTACAACAGAAACAAATCACTTTCTTTTGATTTGCTAGTCGCTTACACTTTCTCTCGGCTTTTGTGTCTTGAATATTCCCCACTCCATCTTTTGCCTTAAGTTTCCAACTAAATGCACTGAGTTCCCATATTTCTAGTTTTAAATTTTAGTTCTGTTTCTCTGGTTCTGACAGTCTCTTCTGTGTTAGTGTGCGGTCATTCCAGATTGAACGGGTAATGGCACCTCTGTTTGGTACACCTTTGGGGACTTCCCTATTGGTCAATGAATTGCCCCACGGACAGATCATCTGCTAATGTAAAAGCAATTCTTGGACTTAGGGTCAAGTCTCAGTCATAGTCAGTCTTTTGTCTTGTCTTACATTTCCGCATTCTGTATATTCCCCTCTTTGATCAATCAATCATAAATGATATCTCTATGCTGCCACTAACTCGACCTTATTTTAATCACATTAGTTAGTCCAATTGTCAAGTGGCAAAAATTAGATTAGTAACTTGAATAGTTGAGCTGATATGGTTATCTCA